>NC_000004.12:63921381-65171381 GCF_000001405.40 Homo sapiens
ATCCAAATAAAAAAATTAGTTGAGGTTGAAATCATTAAGATTTAAGAAATTTATAATGCAATAAGTGATATTGATAACATAAAAATCCTTTTTGTAAATATTTACTTTGTAAATCTAAAACTAATAAAATACATAATTTGCTTTGCCTAATAAAATCATTAGTTTTACTATATAGCAAATTAAATGGGCTGCACAATGAAATATTAGTACTGAAAATGCATTTGGTAAAAATACTAACGGGAATAGAAATGACACAGGATTTGGTGCTGCTTTGCCAGCCAGAAATCTCTGTGGTCGGTGGTGTCTCTGCCCGGGCTTTGCTCGTGCTTGCTGGGCTCACTCTGTCCACTCAGTCGGGCAAGCTGTGCTTGGCTATTGCTACCAGCCGGGATCCTGCACCCACCGTGACTCCGGGCTTAGCCTACAGCTGATCTGGGTGTGCCATGACCAGTTTCTGTCTTGGGTGCCGGTGTTTGGATGAAGGGGATGTGACAGCGACCAAAAACTCTCAGATACCAGCAACCATGGAGCCCCAAGGGATGTTACAGCTTTTTCTCAGGGAGTCCCAAGGTTTAAGCCACCAGGAAGTGTTTTAGCTCTCATTCAGTCCTGCTGCCCACAGCTTGCTGAGTGGGGGCATGTGGTGCTTAGCGGTTTTTTCACTTCCATAGCTCAGCAAACAGGAGAAAGGGTGACAGCCCTTTTCTCACCTGCCATTTGGCAGGTTCCAGTTTCTTTCCCTGTGACCAAGAGGAATGAGGTACACGGACACCAGAGAGTGAGCAAAGCAGAGAAGAATTATATTCAGTGACAGAGAAGCTCTTGACAACGAGAGGGGACCTGAAGTGGATAGCCCTTTGTCTGAGAGGGGGCCTGAAAATGCGTAGCTGTCGTGTCTGTGAGGCTGATTCTGGAGCTTTCATGGGCTCAGAATGGGAGAATGAATGCTGATTAGTCCATGGGCGGGCCTGGAAAAAGCAGCTTTTGATTGGCTAAAAGGCAACGAGGAATTTCTCACTTTAGTTGTGGACTCCATCCGAACTGGCACCTCAGTTTTCAGGCTTCGGGCTGTCTCTGGCTTGAAGGTCATGTTTCCCTGGGGACCTGTTTCTGTCTGCCTTGAAATTTGTCTGTCTGTGGCATCTATCAATACTTTAGCTTTATTTTTCTCAAATATGTGATAATCACAATATCAGTTTGTATTTTCCTGAGCATGATGGAATATATGCAAATACTTTCTTCATTTACTATAAAATAATTATTTTATCCCTTTATGTGGAGAATTTCAGTTTGTACTCCAAATACACAAAGGTAAACTTTCCTTTAGATACTGGTTTTGCTATGTATCATGACTTTTTATGTGTAATGTTATTATTATTCCCTTTACTTGTTCCTTTTTCAGATGAAATCAACTTGCTTTTTTTTGGTCATTATTTTCAATACCTTAAATATTTCATATATATTAGCTCCATTAGCATTTGTGACCTTAAATGCAAATTTAAATGTGCAAAAACAAAAATAAATTCATTTGGTATTATTTCTCTAATTATATACCAATGATAACAATTTGCCAGTTATGATAGTTTAATGGACTACAAGTAATACATAAATAAATTATGTAAAAAGATCTGGTTTCTTCCTTAAGAAAACTAAATTTTTATTTGAATTTAAAACATGCTATACCCTCATTCTTGAATTTTGCACAATTTACACATATGGGCTCTCCTTCGCCATTCTCCATTATAAATGTAATATATGAAAAAATATTTTATCTCAGAACATAAGCTGATATGTGAATAAAGATCATACTATTATTAAAGATAAAAAATCCATATACTTACCATGAGCTACTTTCAGAGGTACCTGAGATACTGTGACATTATGTTTTGAGACAATTAGATTTTTAGTTTGTATTAACATTGAATATTCAGAAATTATTCTTAATTAAATATTTGCCAAAGATTTAAAATTAAAATTAAAATTTCCAAGGATTTAAAATTCCAAAGAGTCCAATGTTTCTCCTTCTTATAAGAACATTTGGTGTTGTTTGTTTAAATAATAAATTTCATAGTTGATATTAAGTATAAATAATAAAAATTATATATAGTACTAGATGAACTATTTAAAGTGTTAGAGATTTTACTTTAAGGAACATTTTGGAAGCTTACATAGTTGAACAAAAATATAGTTTAGTATTCCCTGCTTTCCCTCTTTTTTTTAGGATGCCATTCTGCTATCCTAAAAATGTATATGTGTAGGTTACATTATACATTATGTATATGTGTATACATAATGTGTATGTATGGTTCCCGTATTTTATCTAAATTGAATTTTATATAATGGGATATAGTATTTTTATAAAGTTAGCATTTGTGACCTTAAATGCAAATTTAAATGTACAAAACAAAATTTGATATTTTTTAACATTTAATATTTTAAAACAAAATGTAATATTTTAATAAAATATTATATTTCATCTTAATTTTTTATGATAACATGTTGGTGTTTGCACAATATTGCAATGTGATGACTTTTATTCCAACATGAATAAAGTCTTCATTTATCTGAAGATTGAAATACAAACAAGCCAACAAAAAACCCTGGATTTTTTAATTGAAAATTAATGGCCAAAATATCTATTTTTTTTCCACAATACAGTTTTGAAAGAAAGTTTTCTCTCCATTCGGTTTTATAAAGTTCATGTTTCCTTAAACTCTATAGGCTTTGTATCAACTTTGAACAAAATATGCTATAAATGTGATCCATCTTTGTGGAGGACATATATTTAAAAACAAATCAATTTATTGAACAAATAATTGAATGTTTACTTTAGAATCATAAATGTATTTAAATGTATATTTTATTTTCTATGTTTTGTGTTTTGGGTTAGAGCTTCCTTTTAAAATATTGATGTATAAAATTGTAATAAGAGCTTTTAGCATAATTGCTCCAATCTCTTATTGAATCTTTAAAAGGTCTTTACTAAGAACATAGGTTTGGAGTCCAGTGAGCTATTTCAAATTGTGGCTTGGGCACTTGTTAAATGTGCCTGAGTCTCTTAATCTGTAAAATAAGGTTACTTCAAATGTAAACTGATAACTTAACACATAGGGATTTTTGAGGCATTTGTAAATCACTTAGAAAAATCCCTATAATTTTATAAGCTATCAAAAACCATGAGCTATTTTTGCCGTGTATCAAGGGGCTTTTGGTTTCCTCTTTACAGATATACTGGTCTTTATCTACTTTTAAGATAAAATACAAAAAATAAAAGAGATATAATATAAAACTGAATGGCACTCTTTTATTTAATATGTGAAATGTCACTCAAGAATCTTTTGACTTCTCTATCTTAATTGCAACAGTTTTAAAATTTATGTATAGTTTAAATTGCTATGTATGTTACTTTTCAAGATATCCAAGTGTTTTAAGTTTTGTAATTCATTCTTTTCTACAATTAGCATACTGTAAATACGTTTCCATATTATTTGATTAAAAAACAATATATAGAGTTTCAATAGTTCATAAATTTATTAAGTTATGAGTTTCCTACTTGCTAGGCAGATATACCGTGCTGGAGGTATCAAGTAATATCAAATCATACTAATTAGAGTGAGGAAACTCTCTAAGCATAATAAAGGGAATAAAATCCGTAACTCGACATATAACTAAAGTTTTGCGTATTTATTTTTTCAAAATTTTGGTAAATTATTTGGAAATATGGATAGTAATTTATTAGGCATGATTAAAATAATGTTCCTACTGAAGTCTTGCTCAACATCTGCCATTTGATTTCTTCCTATAACACTCTTAAATGCCTCAACATTCTCTATAGAAAACCACCATCTACTTTTGTCTGCTTCTTGCATCTGTTCATGTGTCCTACCTTTAGCCACATGTGTCATATTCTATCACTATTTTCTTCCTTGGCATATCTGTCTTAGTCCGTTTGGGCTGCTATGATAAACTACCATAAACTGGGTAGTTTAAGAGTAACTGAAATTTATTTCTGGAGTCTGGGAAGTCCATGATGAAGGCACCAGCAGATTTGGTGCATGGGGTAGGCCCACTTTCTGGTTCACAGTCAGTGCCTTCTCCCTTCCACATGGTGGGAGAGGCAAGGAATGTTTCTCAGACCTATTTTATAAGGGTACTAATTTTATTCATGAGGCTGAGATACTCCCAATCTCCCAAAGACCTCTTCTCCCAATAGTATCAATTTGGAGTTTAGAATTTCGACATATGTATTTGGGGGTTATATAAATATTCTGATGATAGCAAGTGGTTATGAGCTCATTGGCAGCAATTAGTTTGTCTTTTTTTATATCCTAATTTCTCATTGTAGGTAATTCATCATATTATTTATATGGCTGCTGAGCAGGAAAGACAAAATTATATGACAATATACAAAAGGTTAGCAGAGTAAATATAATGTTTTAAAGTTAGTGTATGTAGGTGAGAAATAACAGTTCTTAAAAAGAAATTGGTTTCTAATAAATAATACCTGTAGAATCAATCTTAAGAGGTAAATTTGGAATATTTTCTGAAGACACTGCACTTCTAAGGATACAAGGCAAAATGACTAAGATAACATGAGTGCACACCTTTCAAAGAACTCTCATACACATAATTGTAGAAATGTCCAAGAATGTACAAATAGTGTAGGTCCTTCAGTGGGATTGGCAGCTGAGAAAGAGTGCTATTCACTTTTGAGAAATTTCAGAGCTTTCTCTTTAATTATGTCCACATACAAAATAAATTTATCTGCTGGCTTCAGGGTTAACTTGTCATTTACCATCACTGAAGGTTTACTTCAGTATTTACAATGAATGTAAGTTTGAAGAGCTTAATAAACAAGTTTTAATTTGAAGAGACCAAATACATGGACAAAAATGAGCAATGGTGAAAATTGCTAAGTACAGCTGTTGATAACACAAATCATCAGCATATTTCTACATTGGGGGTACAGATTATAAGAAAAACAGTCCATGTCAAGTATGATGTGTGTGTGTGTGTGTGTGTGTGTGTGTGTGTGTGTGTGTTTGTGTGTTCTGGGGGGAGCCAGAGAGGAGGTACAGCAATAACTTGCTTATAACATCATGCATGTGAATATTTCCACAAATTTAGGCAAGGGACAGTCACAAGTATAATTGGGAGCTAGACTAAATAGAAATTCTAATAAACCCTGACTCTCAGCTTACATAAAAAAAGAAAAGAATGAGGCGTTGGACAAAAGAAAATCCCCCTCTAAGACTACTTGTAGTTCTCGTTGTCACATGTCATAATGGACTGTCAGATTAATTACTCTTTGTGAAAGAGCCCTCTCAAACTAAAAGCCTGAACAAGTTTAAAAGCATACTGCTAAGTTAAGATAGTAAATAAAACTTCTCCAAATAATTGTTTTGACCTTAATAATTGCACCATTCACCCCATCCCTGTGCCCCACCCCCAAAAAAGGAAGACATTTGCATCAAGAACAAGAAAGACACAAAATCCTGAAGCACACCATAGAGGTAGTACAGATAGTTTCTTCTTGCAAGCACTTGACTGATATAGTAGGATGGAATTTCAAAAATTCTCATTAATCCCTTACAATATTTGCAAAAATGAAAACAACTTCCTATCCTTATTTTTTGTTATGATCATATAATTTCAAAGAAGACATAGATCAAATAAGCATTGAGCTTGATTTTCTTTGCGAAGGAAATAAAGTACTAGAGATGGACAATAATTTGAAGGAAAATATCAATTCAGGAGGTCATTACTCAATGCCAATCGTATGTTGCCACACTTCCAAGTAATTGGCGTGATGTATGGAGTTAGATAGTCACCAAAATATCAGGAGAAAGACCATGGTCCAGGTATTCTAACTACGTTTCCAACAAAGTGTATAGACCACCTCAACTGAGCTGTGCTGCTCACTATATCTGCTAGAACACATATATGTGTGCACCCATACATGCATGCACACACAAACAATTTCTTCATTGCAAACCAGGCAGTCCTCACCGAATAACTCAAAGATGAAGAAAAAAAGTCATATATATTTGCATGTATGTGTGTATGTGTGTGTGTATGTATATATAGCAGAAGGTGTTTGACTTAAAAAAAAAAAAAAAAAGAAATGTATTATCTCACAGGTTTGGAGACTAGAATGCTAAGATGACAGCAGCACCAGACTCTCGTGGAAGGTGATCAGAAAGGACTTCTTCCAGTCCTCTCTCCTAGCTTGTTGTACTTCCTTATCTCTGGTAACCTAACTCCAATCTTCACATTTATAGCTGTTTGTGTTTGTATCTATGTCCAAATTTCCTCTTCTTATGAGGAAACAGTCGTATTGCATTAGGACCCTCCTAATGACCTCAACTTAATTGATCATGTTCTAAGAAGCTGTTTTCAAAAACGCTATTTCCAAATTGCATTCTGAGGTAATGGAGTGAGAATTCGAACATATTAATTTTGGGGGAAACAAATGCATACCACTTCCAACCATGAACAAAATGAAAACAAATATAAAGGGTGTTATACATGTGTACTATAATAAATTTAGAAAAAAATGACTTTATAAAGCAACAGACAAAGTGTAAAGCAATAGTCTTTTATTCAAAAGAAGCTTTTCTTAAGGCAGGCGATGTGGGGCATATAATAAAATGAAAGTATACTGGGGTATTAAAATAAATATCAAAATGCAAATCTTTATTTAAAGCAACTGTAATAAAAATTAACATTGCATAAACTTTAATTTGCTGTGAAGGAGAAACTTGACATTAATACTCAGAATGCACATAAAAATATATTAAAATGATAAGATGAAGAATGAGAGACTTTGAGAAACAAAAAATCAGAAACAATATACTAACAATGTATCCCTGATTTAAAAGATCAAGACATAGAGAATATAAAATTATTTAAATACATGAGAACTTATCTGAGTTATAAGCGCTCAGTCTGTAAATTTCATAGATTTGCCATAATGTCAAATAAAATCAAGGTAAAATAACAAACATCCAGAAATATGCTTTTAAATCTAAAATAAAAATGATATAATAAAAATAAGTTCCCTGCAGTATATATTAGGAAGCTAACTGGCTTTTGATTCTGAAATCCAGAACACTGTAAGAGAAAAAGACACCTCTACAAATAGAATTAAGGTCCTTGAATACACATGTTTATTGGATTTTATCCGACAGTCTTGTTTTCAGAAGTAACCAGGATCTTGAGTTGGATAGACTTTTTTTGTACTCTGATGATTATAAATTTATTACCTATATTACACTAATAAGTTATATGTAATATTGTTACATATGCTTTATGTAATTATATTAAAATATGTGCATCCTTTGCAACTTGCCTTTTATAGTGAAATGGTAACACATTAATATTCTAAAATGTATTTCTTGAATTGGTTTATTCTTTCACTCTTAACTGTTAGCTACCCTTCCGTATACATTGCATACTAATTAAGTAATTCCCAGGTCATATTGTACCTTTCCTTGAACACTCACTTCTTTCATATTCCACATCTCATTTTCAAGTACACTCTCCAGTATAGCTAAGAAAAGATAATTATCCCATGAAAGTAAATAAAATTATTAAATATACAAAAAAAACAAAATGCTAATGATGTAAGCATAAATTAAATTGAAATATACTCCCATTTGTTATTAAAGACTGAGAAGATATCTATGCCTCAATGTGAAACTCCTCACATTAATTACTCAATAGTTTAAAGTCCAAAATATTCCCTTTGTTTTACTTAGTTTTAGCAAGGAGGAAATGGGAAAAAACTTGGTTCTCTTCAGCAGAAACAGTACCCAGAGAATATGTTCCCCCTTCAGCATCCTCATCAGGTACTTTAAGGTTTTGAATTAATCCAACACCAAGTCCCATATATTACCATTTGAAGATTCAAATTCAATTTCACAAAATCAATCTCATAACAAGCACAATTGCTGAGGCTCTCTCTCTCTCTCTCTCTCTGTCTCTCTCTCTCTATTTAGTTCGGATCTGAGAGAAAGACATACAATGGTTGCAAGACATTAGGACCTTCCTTTTTATGGTATAAGAATAAGATATGCTTCCCATGTCCTTATTAATATCCACCTTAAGATACTTGGTTTTATTTTGCATACTTAGAACAGCATTTAAGAAATTCCATTGCACTGATAAAATTTGTAGTGATGGCATGCCTTAATCTTTAAATCTTACTGAGTCTCTGTATTAGTCAGTGTTCTCTAAAGAGACAAAACTAATAGGATAGATGTATATATGAATGGGGAGTTTATTAAGGAGTACTGACGCACAGGATCACAAGGTGAAGTCCCACAATAGGCCTTCTGCAGTCTGAGGAGCAAGGAAGCCAGTCCCAGTCCCCAAAACTCCCAGCATTCTTATCCCAACAAGGCTGACCTACAGCCTCTACAAACAATTGCAGCTTAATCCATTAAGGAACTAGTAGACACCACTGAGGTTGAAAACAGTTTAAAGAATACATTATGTAGAGACTGCATTATTGTGCACCCTCCGAAGTAAACCCAAAGCAACCTACACAATGAATGATATAGTTATGTCTATAGGAGATAGTATTTTCCTACAAAAGCAACTGTTATACCAGATAAATATATATCAATATAACGACAGAAGAAATATAAAAAATAAGAGATAAAACAGCAAGAAAATTTGAGACCTCCTAAAGAACATAATAATTCTCTGGTAACAGGTCCCTCCAAAGAAGAAAATTTATCAAATGCCTGAAAAGCAATTAAAAATAATAATCTTAAGGAAACTAAGTGAGCTACAAGCAAACACAGGTAGACAATTTGGTGTAATCAGAAACAATTCATGATTTGAATGAAGAATTCAACAAAGAGATAAATTTCATCTAAAAAGAACCAAACAGACATCTTAGAACTGAAGAACTCATTGAATAAAATATAAACTACATCTGAAAACTCCAACAACTGACTATATCAAACAGAAGAATTTTAGAACTTAAAGAAATGTCATTTGTAATAACCTAGATAGACAAAAATAAAGAAATAAAAAATAATGAACAAAGCACTCATGGAATATGGTACACCATAGAGTGCTCAATTATTCACATTTTTGTTGTCTCAGAAAGTAAAGAGAAAATTAAAGGGATAGAAAAACTATTTTAAACAATAAGACTGAAAAACATCTTAAATTTAGTAACAGATTTAGACATTCAAACAGGGAAGCTTAGAGATTTCTAAATAGATACAACTCAAAAAATTCTTCTCCATGGCGCATTATTGACAGACTGTTAAATATAAAAGACGAGAGAATTCTGAAAACAGCAAGTGTCTAATCACTTTTAAGGAAATCTGCATCAGACCAACAGTGAATTTCTCATCAGAAACCTTACAGACCAGAAGAGAATGGGATGATGTACTCAAAGTGCTGATGGAAAACAAACAAACAAACAAAAAAAACAATGAAACATAACAAAAAATCACCTGTGAGTTAAGGATATATCCATCAAATTTACCCTTCATTCACGAAGGATAACTTCAGCCAAGCAAAAGCTGAAGAAATTCATCATCACCAGACAAACTCTAAGAAGTACTCAAGGAATTTGAAAACTGAAAGTGAAAAAAAAAAAAAAAAAAAAAAAAAAAATGATATCTGCCATCATGAAAACATGTGAAAGTATAAAACACATAGGTAGAGCAAACATGCAAATAAGAAAAAAAAAGACTCTAATATTACTGCTACAAAAGACTATAAAATTATAATTATAAACATTAAGAACATAAAAGAAAAAATTAATAAAATGGCAGGACTAAGTCCCTACTTATTGGTAATTACCTTGAATTTAAATAGATTAAGTTTAAAAGATATAGCCTGGTTGAATAGACAAATAAGTGACCCAACTATATGCTTTCTAGAACAAATTTGTCTTACCTGTAAAGTCACATATGGACTGAAAGTAAAGAGATGAAAACTAAATTTTATGTAAATAGAAACCAAAAACAAGCAAGAATAGCTATACTCATATCAGAAAAAATAGACTTTAAGTAAAAATTGTAAATAAAAAGAGACATAGACAGTCATATAATGCTGAAGGGATCTCTACTGTCAGTATTAGAACGGTCATCTAGACAAGAATCTAACAAAGAAACATTGGTTATAAACTGAACATTAGACCAAATGGACTTAAAAACCTTTTACAGAGAATTTTTTTTCAGCAGCTACAGAATACACATTTTTTTCTCATTAGAACATAGAACATTCTCTGCGATAAACCATATGATTGGACACAAAAAAAGTCTCAACAAATTTTAAAATATCAAAATTATCAAGTGTCTTCTCAGACCACAATGGAATACAACTGGAAATCAATAACAACGGAGGCTTTAAAAATTATACTAAACATGGGTTTGAACAACATGCTCCTGAATGACCATTGAATCAAGGAAGAAATAAAAGAGGGGAAAAGAAACATCAAAGCAAATTAAAGTCACAACATATGAAAATCTGTGGGATACAGCAAAAACAGTGCTAAGGGGAAAGTTTATAACAATAAATGGCTATATCAGAAAAGTAGAAAGGTTTCAAATAAACAATCTAAAGACCCAACTCAAGGAACTAGAAAATCAAGAACTAACCAAACTCCAAATAAATAAAAGAGAAGAAATAATATAAATAATACAGATTAGAACATCAGGACAGAACTAAATGAAGTAGAGACTTAGTGTGTATATATAAAACACACATGCAGACACACAAACACACACACACAAACACATATAAACCACACGCAAAAAAAATCAATGAAGCAAAAAGTTGATTGTTGAAAAGAAAAACAAAATTTAAGCTGCTAATTAGACTAAACAAGAGAAAAAAGATAAAACCCAAATAAAATCAGAAATAAAAAAGATATAGCTGATACTACAGAAATACAATAGACCAATAGAGACTCTTATGAACAGGTATACACTAACAAACTAGAAAACATAGAAACAATTGATGAATTTCTGGACATATACTATCTACCCACTTTGAATAAGGAAGAAATAGAAAACCTGAAAAGACCAATAATTTGTAATGAGATTGAGTCAGTACTAAAAAGTTATTAAATAAAGAAAAGTCAGGATAAGATAGCTTCACTGCCTGTCTTTCCACCAAATTCTACCGAACTTTCAAAAAATTATTGATACCAATTCTGCTCAAAATATTTCATAAAATTGAAGAGAAAGAAATTCTCCTTAATTTATGCTATAAGGCCAGCATTGCCCTGATATCAAAACCAGACAAGGACACAACAAAAAAAGAAAACTATGGGTAAATATCCCTGACAAACCTAAACATAAGAATCCTTAATGACATTCTAGTAAACCAAATCCAACAGCACATCATAAAGGTAATACACTAAGTGAGATTTATCTCAGGGATGCACAGATACTTGAAAATATGCAAATAAATAAATGTAATACATCATATCAAAAGAATAAATGACAAAAGCCGTATGATCATTTCAATAGATTCAGAAAAAAAATCTGATAAAATTCAAAATCCCTTCTTGATAAAAATGATAAAATAACCATGCATAGAAGGAACAGACATCAACATAATAAATGCCACCCATAACAAATCCACAGATAATATCATAGAAAATGGAGAAAAGCTGAAAGAATTTCCTCTAAGAATGAGACCAAGACAAGGATGCTCACTTTCACCACTCCCATTCATCATAAAACTGGAAATCCTAGCCAGAGTAAACAGGCAAAAGAGAGAAATAAAAGGCACTCAAATTGTAAAAGAGCAATTCAAATTGTCCCTTTTTGCAAATAATAAAATTTTATATTTGTAACAAAAACTGAAGATTACAGTAAAAAACCTATTAGAATTGAAAAACCAACTCAAATTTACAGGATAAAAAATCAATACAATTTCTATAAGCCTATAATGAACAATACAAAAAATAAACCATGAAAGTAATCTTTTTTATAACAGCTACAAATAAAATAAAATACCTAGGAATATACTGAAACAAAGAAGTGAAAGCCCTCTACAAATAAAATTATGAAACACTGATGAAAAAATTGAAGAGTACACCAAAAAATGAGAGATATTCCATGTACCTAGATTCAAATTAATATTGTTTAAATGTCCATACTACCCAAAGCAATCTACAGAATCAATGCAATTGCTATCAGAATAGCAATGAGATTCTTTACAAAGTAGAAAATCAACCCTAAAATTTATATGGAACCACAAAAGACCCCAAATAGACAAAGAAATACTTGGCAAAAAGAAGAAACCTGGAAGCATCACACTGCTCGATTTCAAAATGTATTGAAGAGATAATAACCAAAGCAGCATTGTGTTGCTATGAAAATAGACATATGGACCAATAAAATAGTATAAAGAACATAGAAACAAATACATTTATTTATAGCCAACTGAATTTTGACCAAGGTGCCAAGAACTTATACTGTAGAAAAGACACTCTCTGAAATAAATAGTGCTGAGAAAACCGGATATTCATATGAAGAAGAATAAAAACAGATGTCCCCTTTTCACTACATACAAAATCCACTCAAAATGGAATAAAGACTTTTATGTAAGACCTGAAACTGGAAATTAATTATATAAAGAAAACATAAGGGAAACATGTCACAACATTGACCTGGGCAAAGATTTTATGAGTAATATTTCAAAGGAAAAGGCAACGAAACCAAAAATAGACAAATGGAACTATACTAAACTAAGAATATTCTGCATCCGAAAGAAAACAATCATCAGAGAGTAGAGACAAAACGTAGAATGAGCAAAATATTTGCAAGCTATTTGTTCAACAAGTTATTGATATCCAGAATATACAAGAAACTCAAACAATTCAACCAAAAAATAAAATAATCAGATTCAAAAAAGGCATAGTATCTGAACAGAAATTGCTCTAAAGAAAATATAAAAATGGTTAACAAGCAGCTGAGTGTGGGGGCACATGCCTGTAGTCCTAGAAATTTAGGAAGCTAAGGCAGGAGGATCACTTGAGCCCAGGAGTTTGAATCCAGCTTGAGCAACATAGAACCCTGTCTGTAAAATAAATATAATTAAAATAATTTTGAAATAGCCAACAAGTATATGAAAAAAATGTTGAACATCATTAATCATCAAAAAAATACAAATAAAACCACAATGAGACATCGTCTCACCCAAGTTAGACTGATTATTACCAAAAAGACAAAACCCAGTAAATGCAGGAGAGAATACAGATAAAAGGAAACTGTTATACACTGTTGATGGAATTGTAAATTAGTACAGCCATTATGAAAAATAGTATGGAGATTTCTCAAAAAACTACAAATAGAACTTTATATAAATCAGCAACTCACTACTGGCATTTTATTCAAAAGAAAGGAAATCAGTATGTCAAAGTGATGTCTGTACCTTCACATTTGTTGTATCACTACCCACAATAGAAAAGATATGGAATTAATTTTAATATCTATTAGCAAAAAATTGATATTGAAAATGAAAAATGTATACAGAATGGAATGCTATTTAGCTAGAAATATATTGGCATTTTATTATTTACAACAATAGATGAGCCTGAAAATTATTAAGCAAAATAAATCAGGAACAGAAGGATAAACACCACATATTCTCACTCATATGTGAGAGCTGAAGGAAATTGAGCTCATAGAAGTAGAGAATAGAATTGTAGTTATTGAAGGCTGAAAATGGTCAGGTGGAGGCAAGGTAGAAAGAGGTTGGCCAGAGAATACAAAATTACAACTAGTTAAGATAAATAAGTTCAAATTTATAGCACTTCGAGCGTAGTTAATAACAATGTACCATGCATTTTCAAAAAGCTAGAAGAGAGGATTTTGAATGTTCCCATCACAAAGAAGTGATAAATATTTGAGATGATGGATTTACTAATTATCCTGATTTTATCATTATAATACTGTATACATATATTGAAACTTCCTTATCTTATAAACGTGTGCAATTATTATATGTCAACCAAAAATTAAAGAAAAAAGAATATTATTATGCTATGTGTTGTAGTCTGTGACTTGTTTTGTTTCACAACTGTATATTATTTCATTGTGTGAATATGTCACAATTTATTCTATTGTCAATGAATTTTTTCAGTATTTTTTGTTGATACAAACAATGCTTCTAAGAACATTTTCATAGAAGTCTGCTGTTGCCTGTGTGCAAGAATTCCTGTGGAGAGTATACCTAGCATTGAAAATGCAAGGTTGTAGGAAATGTGAGACTTCACATTAAAATGATAATTCAAATTCGATGAGACTATATCAATGTGCATTTTCACCGGGAAGATATAAGATTTTGCCTTGATGCACATTTTCTCCAATATTCACTATTTTACTGCTAATGTTTGCCAATCTACTGGGTATTTAATGTGTCCTTAATTTCCATTTGCTGCATTTCTAGCAAGATTTGGCATCTTTTTATGTTTATTCACTATTCATGTTTCTTCTCCTCTAAGGATTCTACTTTTCTCTGAAGTTTATTACTGCTCCCAACTTTATTTTTTGGATGAAAAGTCTTTCTCATTGGTTTGTGACATTTCCTTTATTATATAATATGCCCTTCTACATACTAGAATCTGTTTCAAAGTCATCAATTCTTTGCCAACATCATGTGATTTTAAGCATTCAAGTTCTATATTCCATTTTACTATAGGGTAGTGTGAGTCAGACTTTAATATTCCCTTTGTTCAGGATTTTGTACGCTATACTCATGTCTATTTTTATTCCCTAATTCAATGCTAGAATCATTTTTGTTAAGCTAAAAAATTGCTAAATTTTGCTTAGTAAACAAGTATTTTATTTTTCAGATTTAGTCTCATTCATAACCATGATGTGTCTTTCACTCATATCTTTTAAAATAATGTTTTAAAAAAATTCAAGGTATTTACAAAAGAAATTGTTTTTAAGTTATCTTTTCTTGCTAGTTCTCTATTCAAACAATTCATGGGGTTTGATAGATAAAGAACAATTTAACAACTGCACCAGAAACAATGTATTCAGGAAGCAGAAAATATGCACACTGAAATTATGTGAATACATGTGACATATTTTTCTATTGCTTTCTCTTTTTTATGTATTTAGTTGATTGTCTACATACAGACTTTTTTGAAATTTCTACCTTCTAAAATGTAGCCATAGTCTCAGTGTAATTTTCAATTCCATGTAGAAAAAGGAGCTGCCAATAATAAAGACTGCAGACTAAATAGAGAAGAAATAAATCAATTTTAGCTTTATTTTCAAAACTAGCAGATACAACCTTCTATAAATTACTATGACCCAAGAAAGTAAACCATGTAATAAAGAAACAGCTAGCAATTTTTGTCAGGGAATATCTTTTAGAATATAAAGCTGTGTGAACTCATTATTTTTATATAGTGGTTAATAAAAGTTCTATTTCTTCCACTTATGTGTTGTTTCTTCATTACTGTTTCAGAGGTTTTGCTAAAACTTGGCATATGTTGTGACAGACATGAGCCACTCATTTGAATGAACTTATGCTACTTTAAACTTTTGAAATCATATTAGTGAAAAAATATATTTGATATTATTTAATGATTTTAGATTATTATTAAAATGTTTTTCATAATTGATAAAATAGATATTCCTGACAGCTTTTAGAGAAATGTAGCTTTTTTTTTCTACTTAGTTGGAAATAAAGCTTAATCTTGGCTCAACAATGCTGCTATTAAAATGGAAATATGTCTTCATTTTCTCTGGTTTACTAACCTTATATATCAGGATACGCTATACTCTTATCATAAGAGAAAAATGTCAGATTTTTTTAACGACTAACTATGGCCATTTTACATAGCATAATAGTTTCTACACATATCCTCAGAGTATGATTCAATTCAGAATCTCATGTGGCCATTGTGGGGAAAAGCCAAATTAACCTTACTAGAAAAAGAATTTAAAAGTTTACTACATTCTATCAATTGAACTATTAGTATGGATGATGTTTCCTGATTCCTTTCAACATACCTGATTCATCGTCTCTTCCACTGAAGAAATAGGTATTTAGTTTAGAACTTTTCTTTATACGAATATCTCAAATACAAAACAGATTAACTTGTGATCAGCCCTGACCATTTTGTTATATAATAATTTGAAATATCCATTTCTAACTTCCTCTGAATATCTAACTAGGAACAGAGTACTGAGAAATTAATAGTAATTACTCTTCAAATGTATGTAACACTTTACAGATTTCAAAGCACACTTTCAGAAATCTGTACCTTATTATATGAGTTAAACCCATAACCCAGATAAGTTACAGTTGCTTAATAAAAAATATTATTAAGCAGAACCATGGCTGAAATGTTTCTCTCCCTGTTCCAAGATGGGTAATGTTTCTTAGATACAGGAAACCTTCTAAAGATGCTGGGACAAAGGAAATAATAATTTTTCACAGAATCCACAGCTTCCAGAAAGCAACTATGCTTAAAAGCAATATTTGTAATTTGGGTTAGTTAGTGATACAGTGGTGTAAGATACACACTTACTCGTCCAAACCCAAAGAATGGACTTAGAGGCATGGAGCACAGATAAAGTGAGACTTCTAATAACAGTCTTGCAAGATCGGTGTCTGGTAGGCAGGCCCATCCAGGGCAGTCAAAACAGATAATTTATCTCCTAGCATGCAACTCCCTCCCCCAGTTCCACATTGGTCGAGTACTCTGGGGCTCCAATCTTCCCAGACATCGCCTAAGTTTCATTATCTCCCTTATAAGGTTACACCCTGGCCCCATTCCTTGCTTAACTTTCGATTTCCCAAAAACAGAACTTTCTTCTCTTTTATGGGCTGATCCCTCCTCTACATTCTGTTTGCTTATCATGAATTTGTAAGAGCATGAGCTGTCAGCTTGTTACATCCACAGGCTGGCTGCCAGTGCTTAGATTTATCATGCCTTGAAAATTGACCATTTAAAATGTTTTCTTACCAGAAGCCTGGGGTTAAGTAAAATAAGTGCTTTCTGGGAGAAATTTTGTTGTTTACCCTTAAGCCCAAGTTCAAAAATACACAAAGTCTTCCCTTATTCACTCTCATAACTCCCTATGTTTGTCTTCCTTGCAATTTGTTTTTCTTGCAATTTTATCTTTGTATAGGTATTTGATTAAAGTTTTTTTAACCAAACAGGTTTCTAACATACTGGTAAAGATAGTGAATGTTTCATTTACTATTTTATTCCTAGATTCCTAGGGTATAACATATTTTATGCATGATAGGTACACGTTAAAACATATTTTGAATGAATGATTCAACAGGCAATAAATAAAAGTTGTGAGAGAGCTTTTGTGTTTATTTTATATTTAATTTCTACCAGTAACAATATACTCTAATTTGTGAGAAAAATAACCAAAGAACATGAAGTTTTCTTAGCATACACAGTGTTATGCCAACGGCAGAGATGAATGGAGCAATAATATTACCTAATGACTCTATAAATTCTAGAGTTAACAATATATCTGACTTTGGGCTCAAATTCTATTGCAAATTTTAAGATAATTTAACTGAAAGATTTTGCCCATGTTCACTTATATCTATTTTTATAATCTTATCTTCTCCATTGTCTCCTCCCAAAGATTCTATGTACTTTCAACTTAATTATTGACTTAAAAGATTAATACTAAGTACCCAGTATAATGTTCCAGTTACTCTGCTAAAAATCGGATACACAACTGACTCATTATCTCCAAGATAACTCTTATTTACCAATCTGTATTATCTTTTTTGCTGTTGTAACAAATTACTACAAATTTAGTGGCTTAAAAACAACAGAAATTTATTATTTTAAGTTTTCTAGATCAAAATTTGTACACGAGTGTCATTGGGCTGCATTAAAGATTTCCTTACGGCTTAATTTTTTTCTAGAAGCTCCAGGAGATAATTCATGTTCTTACATTTTTCAGCTTCTAGAGGCCATCATCATTCCTTGATTCTTTGTTTCTTTCCTGTAGCTTTTAAAGCTAGCAAAAGAAGTTCAAATTCTTCTTATGTCAAATCTCTCTGACGTATACTTCTGTCATTTTTTCCTCTCCTAAGGACTCATGTGGTCAGATTGGCCCCATTCTGATGATAATCTAAAATAATCTACTCATCTCAATGTCCTTAATTTTAATCACATCGGTGAAGTTGCTTTTTCCATGTAAGGTAACATGAACTATTCCAGGAATATGGAAGTGCACATATTTTGGGGACACTATTTTGCCCACTGCACACCATGACACATTACAATAAAACTGTCAGAACTATTCTGCCAGTCATTAGATGCCTGAGTAATTTTTTCCTTGCAAAGGAAAACATCTGGGCCACATATCTTGACATTATTAGAATTAGCTAAGTGTTCATTGAAATATCAGCTATCTGGACCTTTATTCTGGAGTATTGAAACACATTCTGATAATTATGTTTCCAATGCAAAGGTTAGAAAATGTATCAGATTTGCTAGGTCTAATAACTAAGAGTTGTTGAAACCTGCACTCTGAGATTTAAATCTATTATTTCCCATGTGTTCTCTGGCACCATCATTTAACTCCTGCTCACATGTAACCTCACTCATTCCTCAGGCTATCACCATAAGTCTTTCTCTTGACCTTTGTTCATCTCTCTGTTTATATCCTAAAGTTTTTGTTGATGATTTTATCCCATTATTTTTAATAACTTACTTTCTATTGCAGATTCTTGGCTTTACCTCCAGTATGTTCTTTAATAGAAATCAGACAGAAGTTAACAGTATGAATTCTAAAGTAGAATATTTGAGTTTGATTCAAGGCTGACCTACTTGTAATGTGATCTTAGACTATCTGCCTAAATGTATTCTATAAAAGTGGTGATTTAGTAATAGTTACTGCTTGATACATTTCTTGAAGATTAAAATAAATGATACCAATAAGAAAGTACTAAGAAGATGGCATGGAACATAGTAGGCATTAAATAGTTGTTAAATAAAAGTTACACATTTTCTGATAACTTGGAATTGTATAATAGCCAGATGATTACTTGACAAATGTGATCAAACTACACATAAAGTCTAAAGGCTATTTTAAAGTTTATTATAAACATGTTCATACATTTGCACCTATAAACCTGCATGTCACCGAAATCCTCCAGCTTACTGAGTAGTAAAACAGTATATAAGAAAACAGTACCGGATTCCTGGACCTGAGGTTTCCACCATTCTGAGAAATGACATCACATATGGTATGCTAATTTAGAACCTTCTGGAGAATCTTGTTCCAGTCCTATAATGCATTGCCACCCAACTGGAACTGCAACTGAGTCCTCAAAGGCCATTTCACTGTTCTATCAAGCCAGCTGCTTCAGGAGGCTGGGGAGCATGATAAGACCTATACATTCTATGGGTTTGCATCCGTTGCCAAACTTATTTTGTTGTGAAATGAGTACTTTGATCAGAAGCAATGCTCTGTGGAGTACTATAATGGTATATAAGACATTCCGTAATCTCATGGATGGTAGTTTTGGCAGAAGCATTGCATGCAGGGAAGGAAAATGCATATCACTTACTCTGCATATGACATTTATTATATTATTTTGTCAATGTTACTGAAATTATCACTTACAATAAAACTTTAAAGCTTATGAAAGTGTTCATATACTTATACCTATTAACTTGAATGTTGCTCAAATTCTACAATTTTCTGAGATCAATGATATATGTTTAGAAAAATTTGGATTAAATTATAATTTTAAATATGTTTATGTGGGTTAGGAGTTGAAACTGGGTTGAACTCAGAGGTCAATTCTAGATTTGATTTGCTGTTAATACTAAATTCAACCATCTATTTTGTGTTTTATTTAATTACATTACCTATTTTTATACCACATTAGCCTTACATAAAGCTCCTATATTATCCCTCCATTTCACTTATGTATATTTTTTAATTGAAAATGTTTACTCGACAAATACAGCATTATTTGATTCTAATTAAGTGTAATATAACTTATCACAATTTCCCTTTTCTGATATATCTATCTCAAAATTTCACTCTGCATAATGAAACACTATATATTTTGAAAGTACACATTTCCTATATACCCATTCCACTGCCATTCAGCCTTGTCTAAACTATTGTTGATTCTATTAAATTATTTTTAAAAGATTGTATCAATAAAATGCTGCCCACTATATGGTGTATAAATAATGATACCAAAGAAAGTAACTTTTAACTTTATTCTCTTACAACCTAAAAATGTGGAAGTTAATTATATTGCCTTTTGTAATAATTTTAAAACTTTAGAATGACATGAGAAGTCCAGAAAAAAAAAAACAAAACAGATGGCGCTTTCCTTTTCTTTGTTGTTTTTAAACAGTTATCTTAGCCAGGATGATCATACATCAACCATGCACAAATGTCACTATTTGAAAAAAAGATATAGCTATATATATATATATATATAATATATGTGTGTGTATATATACACACACATACATACACACATACATGTATATATGCATATACATGATATATATGTATTTATATATAAAGTAAAGCAAAACATAAGGGACACTGCATTACTGTATTACTTTTATTTGTACATTTTTTACAATTTCAATTACATATGGACAGAACTTATTGGTGTTAATAATGTGATATTTTCCCTGCTTGTTAAAATGAAATGAAAATTATTTTATTTCTGTGTCCGGAATTGGTGGGTTACTGGTCTCACTGACTTCAAAAATGAAGCCGCGGACCCTCGCAGTGAGTGTTACAGTTCTCAAAAGCGGCGTGTCCGGAGTTTGTTCCTACTGATGATGTTCAGATATGTTCGGAGTTTTTTCCTTCTGGTGGGTTCGTGGTCTTGCTGGCTCAGGAGTGAAGCTGCAGACCTTAGCGGTGGGTGTTGTTCCTTCCTGGCTTCAGGAGTGATGCTGCAGACCTTCGCGGTGAGTGTTACAGATCATAAAGGCAGTGTGTACCCAAAGAGTGAGCAGTAGCAAGATTTATTGCAAAAAGCGAACAAACCTTCCACATTGTGGAAGGGAACCCCAGTGGGTTGCCACTGCTGGCTCCCGCAGCCTGCTTTTATTCTCTTATCTGACCCCACCCACATCCTGCTGATTGGTAGAGCCCAGGGGTCTGTTTTGACAGGGCACTGATTGGTGCCTTTACAATTCCTGAGCTAGACACAAAGGTTCTCCACGTCCCCACAAGATTAGGTAGATACAGTGTCCACACAAAGGTTCTCCAATTTCCCACCAGAGTAGCTAGATACAGAGTGTCAATTGGTGAATTCACAAACCCTGAGCTAGACATAGGGTGCTGATTGGTGTACTTACAAACCTTGAGCTAGATACAGAGTGCCGATTGGTGTATTTACAATCCCTGAGCTAGACATAAAGGTTCTCCACCTCCCCGCCAGATTCAGGAGCCCAGCTGGCTTCACCCAGTGGATCCCGCACCTGGGCTGCAGATGGAGCTGTGTGCCAGTCCCGTGTGGTGCTCCGGAACTCCTCAGCCCTTGGGTGGTTGATGGGACTGGGGGCCGGGGAGCAGGGGCCGGGGCTCGCTGGGGAGGCTCGGGCCGCACAGGAGCCCGTGGAGGGGGTGGGAGGCTCAGGCATGGCGGGCTGGAGGTCCCGAGCACTGCCCTGCGGGAAGGCAGCTAAGGCCCGGCGAGAAATCGAGCGCAGCGCCGGTGGGGCTGAGGGACCCGGTACACCCTCCACAGCCACTGGCCCGGGTGCTAAGCCCCTCATTGCCCGGGGTCGGCAGGGCCGGCTGGCTGCTCCGAGTGCGACGCCCGTCAAGCCCACGCCCACCCAGAACTCCAGCTGGCCCGCAAGCGCCGCGCGCAGCCCGGGTTCCCGCTGGCGCCTCTCCCTCCACACCTCCCTGCAAGCTGAGGGAGCCGGCTCCGGCCTTGGCCAGCCCAGAAAGGGGCCTCCCACAATGCAGTGGTGGGCTGAAGGGCTCCTCATGTGCCGCCAAAGTGGGAGCCCAGGCAGAGGAGGCGCCGAAAGCGAGCGAGGGCTGTGAGGACTGCCAGCACGCTGTCACCTCTCATTTCTTTACCAAGAGGAAACTAGGTACTTATTTTAAGCATTTCACTTTTAGAACCTATAATTCATGTTGTAATTAAGATAAAATTAGTATTAGACTCTTATTTTTCAGTAATGAAAATCATCTTTAGAAAATGCAATGTTTTATGATATAAAACTAAAGAAGTTTTATGAAGCATGACTTACATTTCAGTGTCTTTATGGCTTTTTGTTGACAATCTCAAGCACCTAATAGCCCCAACTGTAATAGTCACTAAACAATATGACAATCTCCATGGAAAAATACAGCAAAATATGGCTGTAGTAGCATAGGTTAATGTATTAGCGTATTTTAATAATGTAGAATCTCCTCAGTGAAACAAAGAATTGCTTCTTAAAGCTGTGTAATATTTAAAGCTATGTAATATTTAAATGGGAAAGTAGGAAAAACAAGTTTAAATTCTTTAATAGGCTTAAAGTTTAAATTCTTACGTAGGATCAATTATTGTCAATTCTAAAACCTTTCATCCAATCATTATTTGGAGTACTTGTTGCCTACAAAATGAAGTTCATGATGGAGAACAAGGGTACATAGTTACACCTACAATCTCTGTAAAAAAAAAAAAAGTTAAGAATTAGAGAGCAACAAAAAGGAATTATAATGCAAATAAAAAAGTGTCAATAGTGCTAATGCTGAGGATGGTAATGGCAATGACATACTATGTACCAAGAAATTCACGTTAAAATTTTTTATGCTAAAAAATGTGTGCTCTACTAGACAAATATAAACATATGCATATATATCACTTACGAACAAATTAAGCTAATGAGAAGTTGAATTTATATTAAAAAAGTGAAGAAACTGGAAGATTGGACTCCTAAGTATTTCACTATCTTTAAAGTCTCATTTATAGTAATTAAATAAATTAGAAAAAGAGGTGGAGTGATGCAGCAGATACAATTAGTGAATATTTACTATCATGTATTTAATGTATGAGTGATCAAGTGTTAATTTCATTTTGTGCATCAATATGGAAAAAAGTTTGATACTTATTGAAAACCAGACCAGGATTTAGTCAAGCAAGGAAGACTTGCTATCTGAAGTCCAACTACACTGAGAAAACGCTTTTTTTTCCCTTAACTTCTTTTGTTTCAGGAGTACGTGTAGGATGGTTCTATAGAAAAATTGAGTATCATGGAAGTTTGGTATACATTTTATTTCATTACCCAAGTAGTAAGCATAGGACCCAATAGGTGGTTTAATGATTCTCACCCTCCTCCCACTCCCTACTCTCAAGTAGGTCCCAGTGTCTGTTTTCCCCTTCTTCGTGTTCATGTATACTCAGTGTTTAGGTACCACTTATAAGTGAGAACCTGCAGTATATGTTTTTCTGTTTCTGTGTAAAGATAATGGCCTCCAGCTCCACCCATGTTGCTGTAAAGGACATTATCTCAGTCTTTTTATGGCTGTGTAGTATTCTATGACGTATACATACCACTTTTTTTTTTTTTTTTTACCCAGTCTACCATTCATGGGCATTTATGTACATTTCATGTATTTGCTTTTGAGAATACCACTGCAGTGAGCTCACATGTGCATGCATCCTTATGGTAAAATGACTTATATTTCTTTGGATATAGACCCAATAATGGGTTTTTGGGGTTAAATGGTAGTTCTACTTTACGTTATTTGAGAAATTGCCAAACTGCCTTCAACAGTGGCTGAACTAATTTACATTCTCACCAACAGTGTATAAGCATTACTTTCTCTCTGCAGCCTCACCAGCAGCTATTGTTTTTTAACTTTTTAGTAATAGCCATTCTGACTAGTGTGAGATAGTATCTCATTACTGTTTTGGTTTACATTTCTCTGAATATTAGTGATGTTGAGTATTTTTTCATGTTTTTTGGCCCATATATATCTTCTTTTGAAAAGTGTGGGCTCTTGTCCTTTGCCCACTTTTTAATGAGGTTGTTTTTGCTTGTTAATTTGTTGAAGTTCCTTATAGATTCTGGAAATTAGACCTTTGTCAGTTGCATAGTTTGTAAATATTTTCTCCCATTCTGTGGACTGTCTATTTACCCTGTTGAGTAATTTAATTTTCTGTGCAGAAACTGTTTAGTTTAATCAAATCTTATTTGTCATTTTTTGTTTTTGTTGCAGTTAATTTTGTTAATTTTTAAATAAAATCTTTCTCAGGGCCTATGTCTAAAAATAGTTCTAGGTTTAGTTCATGGGGTTTTACAGTAATTAGGTTTTACATGTAAATCTGTAACCCAAATTGAGTTGATTTTTGTATATGATGTAAGGAAGAGGTCCAGTGTCAATCTTTTGTATATGGCTTGCCAGTTATCTCTGCACCATTAGTTGAATAGGGAGTCATTTCCCTGTTGCTTGTTTTTGTTGGCTTTGTCAAAAATCAGATGGTTGTACGTGTGTGGCTTTCTTTCCAGGTTCTCTATTCTGTTCCACTGTTCTATGTGTCTATTTTTGTACCAGTACCATGCTATAATATTTTGGTGACTAAAGCCTTTCAGTATAGTTTGAAGTTGTGTATTATGATATCTCCACCTCTGCTCTTTCTGCTTTGAATTGCTTAGGCTCTTTGGGCTCTTTTGTGGTTTTACATGAATTTTATAATAGTTTTTTTTTTCTAATTCTGTAAATAATGCCATTGGTGGTTTCAAAGGAATAGCATTAAATTTGAAAATTTCTTTGGACAGTATGGCCTTTTAAACAATAGTGATTTTTTTCTATCCATGAGCATAAAACGTTTTTTTCATTTGTTTGTGTCATCTCTGATTTCTTTCAGCAATGTTTTTTAGTTTTTACTGTAGAGATCTTTCACTTCCCTGGTCACCTGTTTTCCTATATATTTGATATTTTATTTTTTGTTATTGCTGCTATTGTGAATGGGATTGTATTCTTGATTTCACACTAGGCTTGAGTGCTATTGGTGTATATAAATGGTACTGATTTTTCTGATTTTGTATCTAGAAGCTTTGCTGAAATTGCTTATCAAACACAGGAGCTTTTGGGCAAAGACTATGGGCTTTTCTAGGTATAAAATCATGTTGCACAAACAGAGATAGCTTGACTTCTTGACTTACTATTCGGGTGCCTTTTATTTCTTTCTCTTGCCTGACTGCTTGGCTAGGACTTCCAGCACTATGTTTAATTGGAGTGTTGAAAATGTCATCCTTGTCTTGTTCTGTTTCTCAACGGGAATGCATCTAGCTTTTGTTCATTCAGTAGGTTGTTGGCTATGAGTTTGTCTTAGATGGCTCTTATTATTTTGACATATATTCCTTCAATGCCTAGCTTGCTGAGGGTTTTTAACAAGAAGAGATGCTGAATTTTGTAGAAAGCTTTTCTGCATCTATTGAGATGACCATGTGGTTTTTGTTTTTAGCTCTGTTTATGTGATGAATCACATTCATTGATTTGTGTATGTTAGACCAAGCTAACATCTCAGAGAAAAAGCCTACTTAATCATGGTGGATTCACTTTTTGAAGGGCTGCTCAATTCAGTTTGTTGATAATTTGTTGAGGATTTTTGCATCAAGGTTCATCAAGGATATTGACCTGAAATTTTATCTTTTTATTGTGCCTTTGCCAGGTTTTGATACCAGAATGATGCTGGCCTCATGGCATGAGTTAGAAAAGAATCCCTGCTCCTCAATTTTTTGAAGTAGTTTCAGTAGAAATGGTGGTACCAGCTCTTATTTATATGTCTGACAAAACTCAGCTGTGAATCCATCTAGTCTTGAGATTTTTCTTGTTGGTAGCCTTTTTATTACTTATTCAATTTCAGAACTCATTTTTGGTGTGTTCAGGGATTTAATTTATTTCTGGTTCAGTCATTGGAAGTTGTATGTTCCCAATAATTTGTACATTTCTTCTGGGTTTTCTAGTATATGCATGGAAGTGTTTGTAATAGTCTCTCATGTTTTTTTTTTTCTTTTGTATTCCCATGAGGTCAGCAATACTGTCCTCTTTGTCATTTCAGATTGTGTTTATCTGGCTTTCTTTTTTTTCTTCATTAGTCAGTGGTCTATCTATTTTATTTTATTTTTTCAAAGAACAAACTTTTGGTGTTGTTGATTTTTTGTATGTTTTTGGGCATGTCAGTTTTGTTCAGTTCAGTTTATCTCTGTGGTTATTTCTTGTCTTCTGCTAGCTTTGTGGTTGGTTTGCTCTTGTTTTTCTAGTTCCTCAAGGTGTGATGTTATGTTAGATTAAATCATTCTTTTTCATGTGGGCATTTAGCACTATAAACTTTCCTCTCAAGCTGTGTCCCAGAGTTTCTGGATGTTGCATTTTTTTTTCATTAGTTTCAAATAATTATTTTTTTCTGCCTTAATTTCATTTTTTTGCCCGGAAGTCATTAAAAAGCAGTTTGTTTAATTATATCGTAATTGTTTGGTTTTGAGCAATATTCTTGATATTGGCTTATACTTTTAATATTCTGTGGTCCAAGAGTGTAGTTGGTATGATTTTTTTTTTAAATTTGCTGAGAATTGTTTTATGTCTGATTGTGGGGTTTATGTTAGACTATGTGACATGTGTAGATGAAAAGAAGGATGTATATTGCATTGCTTTTTTTTTGGTATGCATTCATTCATTTATTCAGCATTTATTTATTTGTTTATTTATGTATTTTATTATTATTATACTTTAAGTTTTAGGGTACATGTGCACAATGTGCAGGTTTCTTACATGTGTATACATGTGCTATGTTGGTGTGGTGCACCCATTAACTCATCATTCAGCATTAGGTATATCTCCTAATGCTATCCCTCCCCACTCCCCCCACCCCACAACAGACCCCAGAGTGTGATGTTCCCCTTCCAGTGTCCATGTGTTCTCACTGCTCAATTCCCACCTATGAGTGAGAACATGCAGTGTTTGGTTTTTTGTCCTTGCGACAGTTTGCTGAGAATGATGGTTTCCAGCTTCATCCACGTCCCTACGAAGGACATGAACTCATCTTTTTTTATGGCTGCATAGTATTCCATGGTGTATATGTGCCACATTTTCTTAATCCAGTCTATCATTGTTGGACATTTGGGTTGGTTCCAAGTCTTTACTATTGTGAATAGTGCTGCTATAAACATACGTGTGCATGTGTCTTTATAGCAGCCTGTTTCATAATCCTTTGGGTATATACCCAGTAATGGGATGGCTGGGTCAAATGGTATTTCTAGTTCTAGATCCCTGAGGAATCGCCACACTGACTTCCACAATGGTTGAACTAGTTTACAGTCCCACCAACAGTGTAAAAGTGTTCCTATTTCTCCATATCCTCTCCAGCACCTGTTGTTTCCTGACTCTTTAATGATTGCCATTCTAACTGGTGTGAGATGGTATCTCATTGAGGTTTTGATTTGCATTTCTCTGATGGCCAGTGATGATGAGCATTTTTTCATGTGTTATTTGGCTGCATAAATGTCTTCTTTTGAGAAGTGTCTGTTCATGTCCTTCGCCCACTTTTTGATGGGGTTGTTTGATTTTTTTCTTGTAAATTTGTTTGAGTTCATTGTAGATTCTGGATATTAGCGCTTCGTCAGATGAGTAGGTTGCGAAAATTTTCTCCCATTTTGTAGGTTGCCTGTTGACTCTGATGGTAGTTTCTTTTGCTGTGCAGAAGCTCTTTAGTTTAATTAGATCCCATTTGCCAATTTTGTCTTTTGTTGCCATTGCTTTTGGTGTTTTAGACATGAAGTCCTTGCCCATGCCTGTGTCCTGAATGGTAATGCCTAGGTTTTCTTCTAGGGTTTTTATGGTTTTAGGTCTAACATGTAAGTCTTTAATCCATCTCAAATTAATTTTTGTTTAAGGTGTAAGGAAGCGATCCAGTTTCAGCTTTCTACATATGGCTAGCCAGTTTTCCCACCATTTATTAAACAGGGAAACCTTTCCCCATTGCTTGTTTTTCTCAGGTTTGTCAAAGATCAGATAGTTGTAGATATGCAACGTTATTTCTTAAGGCTCTGTTCTGTTCCATTGATCTATATCTCTGTTTTGAAACCAAAATCATGCTGTTTTGGTTACTGTAGCCTTGTAGTATAGTTTGAAGTCAGGTAGCATGATGCCTCCCTCCAGCTTTGTTCTTTTGGCTTAGGATTGACTTGGCGATGCGGGCTCTTTTTTGGTGCCATATGAACTTTAAAGTAGTTTTTTCCAATTCTGTGAAGAAAGTCATTGGTAGCTTGATGAGGATGGCATTGAATCTATAAATGACCTTGGGCAGTATGGCCATTTTCATGATATTGATTCTTTCTGCCCATGAGCATGGAATGTTCTTCCATTTGTTTGT
The DNA here is from genome assembly GCF_000001405.40 of Homo sapiens. Lineage (NCBI taxonomy): Eukaryota > Metazoa > Chordata > Mammalia > Primates > Hominidae > Homo > Homo sapiens. The sequence continues at coordinate 63,949,735 of NC_000004.12, forward strand.
ATCCTCTTTTGTTTCATTGAGCAGTGGTTTGTAGTTCTCCTTGAAGAGGTCCTTCACGTCCCTAGTAAGTTGGATTCCTAGGTATTTTATTCTCTTTGAAGCAATTGTGAATGGGAGTTCACTCATGATTTGGCTCTCTGTTTGTCTGTTATTGGTGTATAAGAATGCTTGTGATTTTTGCACATTGATTTTGTATCCTGAGACTTTGCTGAAGTTGCTTATCAGCTTAAGGAGATTTTGGGCTGAGACAATGGGCTTTTCTAGATATACAATCATGTCATCTGCAAACAGGGACAGTTTGACTTCCTCTTTTCCTAATTGAATACCCTTTATTTCCTTCTCCTGCCTAATTGCCTTGGCCAGAACTTCCAACACTATGTTGAATAGGAGTGGTGAGAGAGGGCATCCCTGTCTTGTGCCCATTTTCAAAGGGAGTGCTTCCAGTTTTTGCCCATTCAGTATGATATTGGCTGTGGGTTTGTCATAGATAGCTCTTATTATTTTGAGATACGTCCCATCAATACCTAATTTATTGAGAGTTTTTAGCATGAAGCGTTGTTGAATTTTGTCAAAGGCCTTTTCTGCATCTATTGAGATAATCATGTGGTTTTTATCTTTGGTTCTGTTTATATGCTGGATTACATTTATTGATTTGCATATATTGAACCAGCCTTGCATCCCAGGGATGAAGCCCACTTGATCATGGCGGATAAGCTTTTTGATGTGTTGCTGGATTCGGTTTCCCAGTATTTTATTGAGGATTTTTGCATCAATGTTCATCAAGGATATTGGTCTAAAATTCTCTTTTTTGGTTGTGTCTCTGCCAGGCTTTGGTATCAGGATGATGCTGGCCTCATAAAATGAGTTAGGGAGGATTCCCTCTTTTTCTATTGATTGGAATGGTTTCAGAAGGAATGGTACCAGTTCCTCCTTGTACCTCTGGTAGAATTCGGCTGTGAATCCATCTGGTCCTGGACTCTTTTTGGTTGGTAAGTTATTAATTATTGTCACAATTTCAGAGCCTGTTATTGGTCTATTCAGAGATTCAACTTCTTCCTGGTTTAGTCTTGGGAGGGTGTATGTGTCGAGGAATGTATCCATTTCTTCTAGATTTTCTAGTTTATTTGCGTAGAGGTGTTTGTAGTATTCTCTGATGGTAGTTTGCATTTCTGTGGGATCGGTGGTGATATCCCCTTTATCATTTTTTATTGTGTGTATTTGATTCTTCTCTCTTTTCTTCTTTATTAGTCTTGCTAGTGGTCTGTCAATTTTGTTGATCCTTTCAAAAAACCAGCTCCTGGATTAATTAATTTTTTGAAGGGTTTTTTGTGTCTCTATTTCCTTCAGTTCTGCTCTGATGTTAGTTATTTCTTGCCTTTTGCTAGCTTTTGAATGTGTTTGCTCTTGCTTTTCTAGTTCTTTTAATTGTGATGTCAGGGTGTCAAGTTTGGATCTTTCCTGTTTTCTCTTGTGGGCATTTAGTGCTATAAATTTCCCTCTACACACTGCTTTGAATGTGTCCCAGAGATTCTGGATGTTGTGTCTTTGTTCTCGTTGGTTTCAAAGAACATCTTTATTTCTGCCTTCATTTTGTTATGTACCCAGTAGTCATTCAGGAGCAGGTTGTTCAGTTTCCATGTAGTTGAGCGGTTTTGAGTGAGTTTCTTAATCCTGAGTTCTTGTTTGATTGCACTGTGGTCTGAGAGACAGTTTGTTATAATGTCTGATCTTTTACATTTGCTGAGGAGAGCTTTACTTCCAACTATGTGGTCAATTTTGGAATAGGTGTGGTGTGGTGCTGAAAAAAATGTATATTCTGTTGATGTGGGGTGGAGAGTTCTGTAGATGTCTATTAGGTCCGCTTGGTGCAGAGCTGAGTTCAATTCCTGGGTATCCTTGTTAACTTTCTGTCTCACTGATCTGTCTAATGTTGACAGTGGGGTGTTAAAGTCTCCCATTATTATTGTGTGGGAGTCTAAGTCTCTTTGTAGGTCACTCAGGACTTGCTTTATGAATCTGGGTGCTCCTGTATTGGGTGTATATATATTTAGGATAGTTAGCTCTTCTTGTTGAATTGATCCCTTTACCATTAAGTAATGGCCTTCTTTGTCTCTTTTGATCTTTGTTGGTTTAACGTCTGTTTTATCTGAGACTAGGATTGCAACCCTTGCCTTTTTTTGTTTTCCATTTGCTTGGTAGATCTTCCTCCATTCTTTTATTTTGAGCCTATGTGTGTCTCTGCATGTGAGATGGGTTTCCTGAATACAGCACATGGATGGGTCTTGACTCTTTATCCAATTTGCCAGTCTGTGTCTTTTAATTGGAGCATTTCATCCATTTACATTTAAAGTTAATATTGTTATGTGTGAGTTTGATTCTGTCCTTATGATGTTAGCTGGTTATTTTGCTCATTAGTTGATGCAGTTTCTTCCTAGCCTTGATGGTCTTTACAATTTGGCATGATTTTGCAGTGGCTGCTACCGGTTGTTCCTTTCCATGTTTAGTGCTTCCTTCAGGAGCTCTTTTAGGGCAGGCCTGGTGGTGACAAAATCTCTCAGCATTTGCTTGTCTGTAAAGTATTTTATTTCTCCTTCACTTATGAAGCTTAGTTTGGCTGGATATGAAATTCTGGGTTGAAAATTCTTTTCTTTAAGAATGTTGAATATTGGCCCCCACTCTCTTCTAGCTTGTAGAGTTTCTGCCGAGATATCTGCTGTTAGTCTGATGGGCTTCCCTTTGTGGGTAACCTGACCTTTCTCTCTGGTTGCCCTTAACATTTTTTCCTTCATTTTAACTTTGATGAATCTGACAATTATGGGTCTTGGAGTCGCTCTTCTCGAGGAGTATCTTTGTGGCGTTCTCTGTATTTCCTGAATCTGAATGTTGGCCTGCCTTGCTAGATTGGGGAAGTTCTCCTGGATAATATCCTGCAGAGTGTTTTCCAACTTGGTTCCATTCTCCCCGTCACTTTCAGGTACACCAATCAGACGTAGATTTGGTCTTTTCACATAGTCCCATATTTCTTGGAGGCTTTGCTCATTTCTTTTTATTCTTTTTTCTCTAAACTTGCCTTCTCGCTTCATTTCATTCATTTCATCTTCCATAGCTGATACCCTTTCTTCCAGTTGATCGTATCGGCTCCTGAGGCTTCTGCATTCTTCACGTAGTTCTCGAGCCTTGGCTTTCAGCTCCAGCAGCTCCTTTAAGCACTTCTCTGTATTGGTTATTCTAGTTATACATTCGTGTAAATTTTTTTCAAAGTTTTTAACTTCTTTGCCTTTGGTTTGAATTTCCTCCTGTAGCTTGTAGTTTGATCGTCTGAAGCCGCCTTCTCTCAACTCGTCAAAGTCATTCTCCATCCAGCTTTGTTCCATTGCTGGTGAGGAACTGTGTTCCTTTGGAGGAGGAGAGGTGCTCTGCTTTTTAGAGTTTCCAGTTTTTCTGCTCTGTTTTTTCCACATCTTTGTGGTTTTATCTACTTTTGGTCTTTGACGATGGTGATGTACAGATGGGTTTTTGGTGTGGATGTCCTTTCTGTTTGTTAGTTTTCCTTCTACCAGACAGGACCCTCAGCTGCAGTTCTGTTGGAGTTTGCCAGAGGTCCACTCCAGACAGTTTGCCTGGGTATCCGCAGCGGTGTTTGCAGAACAGCGGTTTTTCGTGAGCTGCGAATGCTGCTGTCTGATCATTCCTCTGGAAGTTTTGTCTCAGAGGAGTACAGGGCCGTGTGAAGTGTCAGTCTGCCCCTACTGGGGGGTGCCTCCCAGTTAGGCTGCTCAGGGGTCAGGGGTCAGGGACCCACTTGAGGAGGCAGTCTGCCTGTTCTCAGATCTCCAGCTGCGTGCTGGGAGAACCATTGCTCTCTTCAAAGCTCAGATGGAAATGCAGAAATCACCCGTCTTCTGTGTCGCTCACGCTGGGAGCTGTAGACCGGAACTGTTCCTATTCGGCCATCTTGGCTCCTCCCCCGAGACCAAAATATTTTCTAATATTTTGTTACTTTATATTTAACTACTGGTAATTTAAAATTATGTTGTTGAATATTTGGTGCTTTCCGGAGATCTTTATTTATTTTTACTCAATTTTATGTTGTTGAAAGAAAATAAAATATGCTATAATTTTCCATCTTTTAAATTTTTTACTTTTTAAGGAATCAGCATATAGTATCTTGGTGAATGTATGATGTCTGCTTGAAGTGACTATAAATTCCTCAACCATAGTTTGCAGTGTTCTGTAACCATCAATAAGGTTTATGGGTTGATAGTGTTCTTTAATTCTTCCATGTCTTTACTGATTTTCTGTGTGTAGGTAGTTGTCATATAAATTGAAAATAGAAATTAAAAATCTCTAACTATTTATATTAATTTTTTGGTTTCTCCTTACAGTGTCAATTTGGCTTCATATATGTTAAGTTCATTAGTTTTTTTATATGTTTCAGTTAGATTGAGTTGTTATAGCAAAATGCCATGCACTGGGTGGCTTAAATAACAATCACTTAAATTCTCACAGTTTTGGATGATGGGAAGTCCAAAATCAAACTGCTGGCTTGTGAGGCTGGTAAGGGCCCTCCTCCTGGTTTCCAAATGGCTACTCTCTTGTATTCTCCTGTGATAGAGATAGAGAGGGTTCTAGTCTTTTCCTTGCTTGTAAGGACACTAATCCTATCATGGGAACTCTACTCTCATGACCTTGTCTAAGCCTCCCCTACTTCCAAATACCATCACATTGAAAATTAAGGCTTCAACATTTTACTTTTGAGGGCAGACAAATATTCAGTTATTTAAAATATGCTTAATGTAATCATTATCTTTTGTTGATAAATTGATTATTTTACAATTATGGAATAATTATAAAATCTCTCTCTCTCTTAATATTTTTTTTTTGGAGACATAATCTCACTCTGTTGCCCAGATTCAATTGTAGTGGCATAATCATGGCTCACTGCAGCCTCAGTCTTCAAGGCTCACGTGATCCTCCCACCTCAGCCTCTGAAGTAGCTGGCACTACAGGTATGTAGTCCAGCCCAGCTAATTTTTGTATTTTTTTGTACAGACAGGATTTTACTGTTTCTCAAGCTAGTCTTGAACTCCTGGACTCAAGCCATCCACTCACCTAGGCCTCCCAAATTGCTGGGATTACAGGCCTGCGCTGCCACACCTGGCCAAGTATCTCTATCCCTAATAATGCTCTATGTCTTTAAGTTTCCTTTGAGGTTGACAGGATCATTGCAGTTTTCTTATGCTGTTTTAATGACATGACATTTTGTTATTTCAATTCCAACTTATCTAAATCTTTAAAGCACATCACCTGTTGTTGTGTCTTGTTTTTTCATCAATCCTGATGATCTCTCACTTTTAATATACATGTTTAATATAGACAATTAGATAATTACATGTAATATAACTACAGCTATGGCTGGGTTTAGGTTTGCCATTTTACTATTTATTATTTGTTTGTTCCATCCTGTTTGTTCTCCTATTTCTAGTCTCCTAAATTCTTTTTTATTATTTAATATTGTTGCTAGACTCAGATTCTCACTTATATAGTAGCTTTTTAAACAGTAAGACATAATTGATATGGAATAAACTGAATGCATTAAAAGTATACAATTTGATAAGTTTTGATATCTGAATAGACTCCTATAATCAATCATTGCCATTGCTATAATAAACATGTGAATTAACTCCCCAGATTTTCTCATACCCCTTTGTAATTTTATCTGTATCTGCAAGCAACCACTGATTTCTTTTATTTTGATGACCATAGATAAGGATTTTTCAGGAGCAGCATCTACTAAGTTTTGACTGGATGATATCTTGTGCATTATGTAGTATTCTGCCACACCTCTGGCCTCTAACTATCAGATGCAAGTATTATTTCTTTTATATCACAACCAAAAATATCCCTAGATATAGATAAATGGTGCATGAGGGACAAAATTGTCCCTGGATGGCAATTACTACTATAAATTAGTTTCCAGTTTCTACATTTTTATGTAAATAGAGTTTTATAATGTGTACCTTTTTTTGGCTGGCTTCCTTCATTCACAAATTTATTAGCATAATTTTTATAAAAATACCTAAGTTTGTTTATTTATTACCAAGTAATAGTTATGTAGGGTATTTCCCGATTTTTGCTTTTACAAATAAGCCTGTTACAAACATCTATATACACTTTTTCTAAACAAACTTAAGCTTCAAATACTTTGGGCTAAAGACATGAGAATGGAGTAGCTGGGTCATATAGTTAGTGCAAGTTTAACTTTATAAGAAATGGTCAAACTGCTTTCCATTGTGGTTTTACCATTTAACATTTTAATCGGCAGTGTATGAGTTTCAGTGCTTTCATTTTTTCCAACATATTTTATGGTGAATCTTAAATGTTAGATAATCTACTAAATGTATAATGACATCTCATTGTTGTTCAATCTGCATTCTGTTAATTACATTGTGCATTTTTAAAGTGTTTATTTGTTATGTATTTTATTTGGTGACGTTCCTGTTCAAATATTTGCCCATTTTTTATTGGGTTGATTTTGATTTTGTTTTTACTGAGCTTTGAGGTTTCTTTATATATTCTGTACACTGTTTCTTCATCAAATATGTGATTCGTAGTGATATTTTTCTAGTCTCTGATTTGTCTTTTTATTTACTTAACTGAGTCTTTTGCAGAATATTAGTTCTCAATGTTTTATGTCTGTAGTTTAGAAATAATTACCTAACAAAAGTTAGAAAATCTGTTACGTTTTATTTTACAAATTGTATTGTTTTAGATTATGTCCTTAAATTTGTGACCCATATTTGTGTGTGTGTGTCTGTGTGTGTCTGTGTTTGTGTGTGCATGCCCGTGCACATGTATTTCTGTACCATCTATTCTATTTCATTGATTTATTTGTTTATTGTCATGCTCAATGGCAGTAAGGCATTGGCCTTACTGTCCAGCTTTCTATAAAAAAATTATTACATATTACTTATATGTAATAAGTCTTTAAATAAGCTTGGGTACATTTTACAACTTTATTCTTTTATATTAAATTTGTTTTGTCTATTCTAAATATTTGCTTTTTTATAAAACTTCAGGATAAACTTTTCAAATTCAGAAAATGCCTGGCACCATTTCAATTGGGATTGTGTTGAACCTATAGATCAATTTGCAGACAATTGACGTCCTAAAAATACCGAGTCTTCCAATCAATTAACATGGTGTATCTCTCCATTTACTTAGATATTTTTAAACTTCCCTCAAATAGTTGTGTTGATTTTAGAGTACATGTTTAACAGATATTTTGTCAGATTTGTATTTTGTATTTTGATCCAATTGGATATGGTATTTTGAATTTACTTTCCCTTTGATTTTGTAGCTTATATAAATATACCTTATGTTTGTTTCTTGATGTTGTATCTTACAAATTTGTTAATCTCATTAATTAGATCTAATAGAATTTTTGTTTATTACCTGGATTGTCCACATTGATGATCATGTCATCCATGACAAAAACAATTCTTTCCGATCTGGATTTTGTGTGTGTGTGTGTGTGTGTGCATGATTTTCACATATAGAAACCCAAGTACAAGGTTAGAGAGAAGTGGTCAGAATGGAAATCTTTGCTTCGATCCTGATATTAAGAGGAAAATGTTGGAAAATATTAGTTCTATCACCTTTAAGATAGCTTAATAAATAGTGATAGCTATAGGTTTTACTTAGAATACGTTTATCATTTAGAGAACGTTTCCTTTTGTTTCTTGTTTGCTGACAGTTTTTATCAGCAATAAATGTTGCATTTTTAAAATGCTTTTAAAAAATCTATTCATATAATTATATGCATATTCTCTTTTGGTCTTCTATTATGGTAAATTTTTTTGTGAATTTAAAAGATAAACAATATTATACATGTGTGTGTGTATATATATATATATATATATATATATATATGTATCTAAATGATTTTCAGAAAAAAGGAAGATTTTACCAAATACAAGATGGATTGTGATTCTTTATTTAAAAAACATGAATGTGTTATTGCATAGACTTTAATGTACTAAGTGTGTTGGATATTTATTGATGTGTAACAATCTACACTTAGGCACATGAAAACATTTCCTTATTGTTATCATCTATCATAGTTAGAAGAGTAACGGGTCTCAACTAATCAGTCATTGCTCAGTTTTTCATTCATACAGGAGCTGGGGCCAGAGTCATCTAGAAAATTTCTCACACACAGCTGGTGCCTATGTTAGAAAGACTCAGTTGGGATTAGCTTAGGCTGCAGGGCATTTTCCTCCACAAGGCCTCGTCAGCCTTGCAGCCTCAGTGTAGCTGAACTTCTTACATGGTGACTGGAGGCTCCCAAAGCTTATATCCAAGACAAACCAGCAGAAACTGTATACATATTCTAACCTAGCCTTAGAAATCATGCAGCAGGATTTTCACTATATTCTGATCATTGAAGAAGTCACAAAGGCCTGTCTAGTTTAAAAACAGGAGGGCATTGACTCTAATTCTTCATGAGAGGCTTAACAAAGTATTTGTACATGTGTTTTAAACCTACAGAACAAATGATAGGCTATACTTTTATTTAAAATATAAATTTATAAAACTATTTATTTAAAGTAAAAATATAACTTATTTCAATCCTGGCCTTATGAGTTTGCCCTGAAGGTTTTGCACTTCTACGTCTTCAGTATATTTGATTATCTCACTTAGAGGATTCAACAACTTTTCTGTACCTGAGCTAGAAAAATTGTATCAAGAAAGCCCATTTGAATTCTCGTGTGTAGAACCATAATCTACAGAATTTGTAAGCAATCAAATGCATACACAAATAGATAAAAAGCCTAATCCTTTTCTGCCTTTCATTCCTGCACTACTCATTCACCGGGCAATAAAATGCACCATAATTTTGCACAAATTGAGAGACCTTTGGAAAAATATATTGTGACGTTACAGTATTCCGTGGTGTACTATTCCAGGTTTTTTTCACATTTCACATGATGGAAAATAATAATTTTAAAGTCATTATCTCTTTCCAGAGTAATAGTTTGGAGGAACAGGTGCATGTCATCTCAGTCTCAGTCTGGAGCTCATTTCAATAAACTCAGATTGGCTGATTTTTTTTTAAGACATGACTATTAGTTGTCTCATTTGTTACAGCCATTCTTTGCTGTTCTCACATCTGTCAAAGTCTATACAAATAGCCCCGTAGAGGAAGCAGATGTTACAAAGTTATAATTTAGTTGTTTGTTTTGCCTCATAGACAAAATGTGGACAGTAAACATCCTGGTCTGTTAAGCATCATTATCAAATGCAAATTGTTGATGAATTTTTTGATTAGTTTGTCACGGCTTTTGTAATGCTTATCTCACTAATTAGTACTGGAGAAAACATAGTATTCTCAGAAGTTAAACCCTTAAATAAGCCGGATAGGTAGACAGGTAGGTACATAGCTAAGAAAGTATATAGGCAGACATAAAGGCAGATATAAAGATATACTTAGGTATCGATTTGTATAAAAGCTGAGTGTGATTTGTGATTACACTTGTAATTATATAACGCGAAATTTACCTAATATGTAGACATATTTGATTTATCCACAAAATGTTGTACTACACATAAGCTTTTCTCTCAAAATAGAAATACCAAATATTGAGTAGTAAAGAAAGAAGACATACATACACTTTTGTGGAATGTTAAATTATATTTTTGTGATTGATATTATTTTGATTTTTATTTTGTTTATATATCTTAGGCAAACTTACTGACATTATTTATGAATAAGTAATGGACAGATTAATTTAGAGTTATTATACTTTAGCACTTTCATTTATCTGCTTATGTATTCATTTAAAAACACAAAGTATAAGTGAATTGAATGTAATTTTGTGTTTTTTATATCAATAGACATATTTTCTGCTTAATCCTCAGTGGCTATTTTATCTAACTTTTTTTTACTTATTTATGTTACCAAATGTCCCTCTTTTCAAACTAGAATGTAAGCCCCTTGAATGCACAACTATTTGTCTGTTCCATACAGTCCTAGAGTAGAACCTGCTACAGTGTAGGTGCTCTATAAATGTTTATTAAACATAATAAACAAATTAACATCATAAATATAAATAAGAAGAGACATTAGTTTTTGAAATATGAAATGTAGTCTTTGCTTAGAGTTCCATGGATATTGAAAATAACATATTGCTACTACCATTAATAATAGTAAGAATTATGATTTTGATGATAAAATGAAAACTAAGGAAATATAAAACACAATAAGTAAACAAAGAAGATCAGAGCATATTCTACAAGTGCACGGAAATTAACTTCTAAAGAAATATTTCTGTGTATCAATATTGAAAGGCAATTTTTTTCTGTTTTGAAATTACAAATATAAATTTATAACTTGTAAAGCATTAGGACATTCTGAATTTAATGAAAATATTGATGCTATGCTAAATTGTCTGAATAACTTTCTTGCTTTCCTGAATAGAAAAATATATACTCTTTGTTACTAAAATTATGAAAGACAGCATGATTTTTTTCTACAAAAAAATGAAATCTTTGCTTGATATTACTCTATTATTTCAAAATAGGTAAATGTCCTTCTATCACATAAAAATAAAAAGATACCACCCACTTTGATGTAATTGAATATGAAGGCTCGTAAAACTATTTGTAATTATATAAATTATCCCCCAAGAAATAAAAATGCTAAAGTATTTCACATTTCTGTGATACAGACTTAAAGTGGTTATTAATTATATGTATGTTATGCTCAGACATAAATAAATCCTTTTGGAAATTGACTTTAAAACATGGATTTTACCCTAATAAAATCAAAGTATAGGTGTGGTCAATAATTTTCTACACTTCTCTATGTTTTCCCCAAATCATTAAAATTTCAAAACCTATTATTTGTTTTACTTTGTTTTTACGATATCAAGGGTTATAGTTTTTGAAATTATCTGAATTTTAATTAATTTGAAATGCATTTAAACTTTAACTTTAGTATAATCTGTCATTTGTAATTGCTTTAAAAGTCATTTTATTTTATATAAGACACTTTGTCATAGCTAAAGGTACACTTTATTTAATTTTTTTTTGAAGCAAAGCTTGTATTTATTATTGTGGATAGACTTCAGATGTTATTGGATATGTTTTTTCCCTTCAATTTACTTTTGTTCCTTTAAGAAAACCTCCCAGTTACCTGTCATAGAGTGAACAAAAATAGCACATGTATACCCAACAGAAAACAAGCAGGTTTATTCCAAATATATATGTAAAGTATTTTTTTCATAATAAATTAATTAAAGTAATAAAAACACTGTGAAGTATCTTGAGCAATAAAATATTGTCTTATATTGAAGTAATTAAAAATAAGTTTTGAAAATATATCCACAGCTTTGTATTGAATTCACAAGTAAGAACACAAACTTACAATGATAACAATGTACTTATAATTAATTTTTTAAAAAACACAGTGCTCAACATTTATAAGGTTGCACTGTTAAATATTTTTCATAATAATGTGCCTTCCTAAAACTTAAAATATTTTAATGTTAAATAATGTTTATAAAAATTTTATATTGATTTAATTACTTCCATTTTTATTTTCACATATAGTTTAAATAAGATTATGCTTAAATGTTTCTTGGATATTTGATATAATTAGATAAGAAGTTACTGTGAAAGTGAAAGATTTAAACTGCTTACATTATTTCTCTAATGCATATACAATTATTAGTATTTGGAAATCATTGCAGCTCATTTTGGTAAGTTATTTTTCTAAAAATATTATCAGTTATGTTTTCAAAACTAGTCTGATAGTAATGTTCATAATATAATCTTATTAGCATTTTTATCACTAAAGCTTCTTTTTCATGATTTTTTTTCATTCCAAGTATAGTTTGTTGTCTCCTATTAAAAAATAAAATAATTATCACAGGTTATAATTTTTATTCACTCATTGTAAAGATATTTTATATTTTCTACAATGAACATAAATTATTTTTGTCATAAAATGAAATATATATTTATGTTCTTTATCAGTATATTAATAATTAGTCATTTCATATATTAGCCTGCATATAATACTATCAATGCTGTAAGAAGGTTTAGTAATCATAAATATTATAAATGATTATAGCATCACAATCCTAGTAGGTTTTATATTTATTATTCATATTTCCATATAATTTATTTAACTAAATACTTAACTATATTTAAGTATATTTAACTATATTTGAATTAAATCATTATAAGACACTGAATTCATATGGAAGAACTGTCATCCTGCCATATTGTTCTTGTTCTGTTTCCAAGAACAATGTATAATAATTGTAACAATCATTTTCTATTACTGATTTTTAAACATTTATGCCAATTTGATAAAGATAATATGCAGGCCGGACGCTGTGGTTCATGCCTGTAATCCCAGCTCTTTGGGAAGCTGAGGCGTGCAGGTCCCTTGAGCTCAGAAGTTGGAGACCTACTAGGCAACATGGCGAAACCTACGTGAAATAAAAAAGTTTGCCAAGGATGGTGCCACTGCGCTCACGCGTGGGTGACAGAGTGAGATCCTCAGTCCAAAAAAAAAAAAAAAGCAGTATAAATATTCTTGTGAAAATATCTTTTTAAGAACATATTGAACATTAAAAATACCTTTTTATTGAATTCCTGTATGTTTTGCTTATTTTTAAGGCATTCATATTTGTCTTACCTATTTTGAATGCCGTATTTATACAATGAGTATTACTACTTTGATAGACATAATAATTACTGCAGGTATGTATTGCCTATTAGATTTATTTTATAGTTTATTTGATATAAACATTAAAAATATTTATGTCATCAGTCATATGAACACTTATTTGTAATCTGTTATATAACATTTCTTTAGACAATCATGAATTCATGTTGGATCAAGTCATAAATGTTGATAAGTTTTGCTTTCCCATAATGAAATATGGCTCAATCATTTGTTTTAATTTAATCTTTCGAAGTGATTATGTGATTTTTTGATATTACATTTCTACATATTCTGTTGATATTCTGTTTCATTTCTAGCAGCTATTATACTTTCATGATGTAAATAAATTAGTATTTTACTGTTTCAAAAGTTATACCTTTTTATTTTATGATACTTACCATTGAGAAATTCCTTGTCCATTATTTATATTTAAAAAATTCCTTGTATGTTTTTGCTTGGTAGTTCTTACATATACACAAGTATGTAGAAATATATGTTACACACATGGACACACATATATTCCATGTGTTCATTGTAAATATGTATGTATATGAATATAATGATTAATGAACAAGTAAGACATTTTTTAAATGTATCTACCAAAGTAAAATTAGGAAAATAGTGTAGACAGATTTAAATGAATTTTATCACGATCTTATTTATACTATAGCTCTTACTTATGTAGGAGTCAAAATGAAGGATTTTTTTTTTTTTTGAGATGGAGTCTTGCTCTGTTGCCAGGCTGGAGTTCAGTGGCGAAATCTTGGCTCACTGCAACCTCCGCCTACCAGGTTCAAGCAATTTCCCTGCCTCAGCCTCACCTAGTAGCCGAGACTACAGATGCACGCCACCACACCCGGCTAATGTTTTGTATATCAGTAGAGACGGGGTTTCACCATGTTGGCCAGGATGTTCTCGATCTCCTGATCTTGTGATCCACCGGTCTCCATCTCCCAAAGTGCTGGGATTACAGGCGTGAGCCACCACACCTGTCCAAAATAAAGGATTCTTCATTGTTAATATTGACTATTGATACTTTATTTTCTCTTATTTTAAACTTTAATAAATATAACAGAAATTGAAAAATGTTAAATTGCTACAAAGAAAAAATATATGAGTAAAATGTAATTGATATTGCAAGGAACCAAAACATTAATTATTAAGCCAAAATAAAAAGAAAATATTAGTAATTAATATAAATATAATCCATATCTGCCATTGTGAATAAATATACAAATATAGAAAGGCAAATTGAAACTTAAAATTAAAATAAAATTGGATATACATTCAATAATCTTTTTCTAGATTCATAAACAAATAGCTAAAAAGACATTTGCAAATGATAACATTATATGATAAACTTCTTAGAAAGCAGGTCGCTGCTATTTTATAAAGAAAATCCAATTGATATAACTAAATTAGAGTAAAAGATGCTTTAAATTGGTAAAATATGCAATCCACATCTAACATCTACTTTTATGAAACAATAGATACAACATTGAAACACATTACAATAACATATTGCCAGCTATGTATGTTCTTCCTGTTTTCTTATGATGAATTCATTATGTATAGGTCACTGATATGGTTTGGCTGTGTCCCCACCCAAATCTTAACTTGAATTGTACCTCCCAGAATTCCCATGTGTTGTGGGAGGGACCCAAGGGGAGGTAATTTCATCATGGGGACCAGTCTTTCCTGTGCTATTCTCGTGATATTGAATAAGTCTCAGGGGATCGGATGTAAGTTTTATCAGGTGTTTCCACTTTTGCTTCTTGCTCATTTTCTTTTGTCGCCACCAGGTAAGAAGTGCCTTTCACCTCCTGCCATGATTCTGAGGCCTCCCCAGCCAGGTGGAACTGTAAGTCAAATTAAACCTCTTTTTCTTCCCAGTCTCAGTTATATCTTTATCAGCAGCATGAAAATGGACTAATACACTCACTGTGGTTTACCATGTTCTACTGTTTCATTTGTCATGCTTTGTTGAATGAAGGATGAATGCTTAACCTAAAGGTCAACCTATGAGCTAATTTGATGAAAAATGTTTCCTTATGCTCCAAGACAAATGACTTAACCAATCACTTTCTTTCTTGAGACATATGGACATGACAGTTAAAAGTAAACATTGTAGTTTTGTCATTTGTAGCCACTGATGGTGGAGCAATGAGTATGGTAGTGTGCTTAGTGAGAAGAATAACATGATAGAATAGCTCCTGTGTCCTAAATAGGTCCTTACACTCTGAGAGGCTAGGTGTTACATGTATCACATATTATGATGAGAAAGGTAAATAAATAATAAACAAACATGTAACGATCAAGGATAGACTGCAAGGTTTACATAAAATTGGACAGAGAAGTTCTTCATTTTTTATGCCATAATAGAATACATTGTAATAAGGGATCTTAGATTGATTGTATTCTGTTGTGAAATACCTTCTTGCTACTAAGCATCAAATGTAAAATTTCAAAGAAATTTATAAAGTGACTGGTTATACAAAAATGAACATAAAATGAAGATTATTATGTTGAGGTAGGTTAAATAAACAACTAAGTTTTAGTAAGTAAATGTGCACATTTTATATTTTCATATATTAATTAATAATACACTGTGCAGAAAAAAATTATAGTTTATGAAATAGAATCAGTTTGCATACGTGATTCTGTGATATAATAAGTTAATCATGTTTATTATGATGTTTTATGATGTGCTTTTATTACAAGTAGTAGGAAGTTTTCCTGGTTATTATGCTAACCCAAATATTAACCGATCAGATAATGATGCTTACTAAAAACAAAGAGAGCAGGAACAGGCAATGTTACATAATGGAAGCTCAGAAAAATGAGATTGTAATATGAATACTGGTCACAATGGTGATAATATAATCAATTTTGGGGGGATTCACTTTTCATAACTGAAAGAGTTGGCTTACAATATATTCAGTTTAGACTCATTTCAATTCTCAAGTTCCATGATAAAAAATGCAGTCTCAAAACTGCTTTTCAAAGCTTAAATGTTTATATTAGTTAACCAGTTAGAAACAATTCGTAGGGTTTCTACTAAGGATAACCAAGAAACAATCTCCTTGAAGGCAATTACCATTTATGATTTGTCTTTGTATTTTTAGAATCAAGTATTGTCTCTTACATAGGTAGTACGCTTCATATGTTAAAAATATTTATTTTGATAAGCATTCAAGTTAAAGTTTGCATTGTTATAAAATACCAATATAGAAATTTGGGGCATTTCTTACATATGTCTAAAACATTCTGAGTAAAGGTTAGTTCTCTGTAGAAAGATAATAAATACACTATGGAGAGATTTTTCACTGAAATATTATCCATATTCATCTTAGCTAAAAACATTGCTCCGTGTAAGGTATTTAATATAAGGGTGAAAAGATAGAACTAAAGTATAAGAATTTATTCCTAATTTCTTCAAAGTATTTTAAAATTGTAATTCCAAAAACAAATAAACCAAGAAAAATTTTCTCCAGCTCTTAGGGAAGTATGCTACGCTAAGGGAAAAAAATGTACTTTTATTAAAGTGTAATGATCCTGCCTGTCAATGGGGAAAACTTCTGTCCCTGAGCATGTTTCCTACCAAAGATGGCATCATGATTAATGACAGAAAATGCTAGATAAATGGGTATCATAAAAGCTGCCAAAACGTTCATTCTTTTGCAAGTTACATTTTATCTTACATTGTCTCTTACATTATTAATGCAGAAAGCTGTTATTTCATTCATGAATAATTGAGTAAGTGCAGAGTGGAGGTTGGAAAATTGAGAAAAAAAAGAGATGCCGTTTTCTCTCATCACAGTTGTGTATATACAGAGGACAGTAACAAATGTTATTGTCAACAATGTGTTCAATGGATTGCTTTGAAGATATTGATATTACTCTGTGATTAAACAGTTGAAGAAAGCTCTGGCCTCACTGCTTAGGAGGATTTACATCTTCTTTTTCTCTCTGAATTTTTCTGTTACATAAATTAACAGCTATGACAGAGTGAATAGCATGTAACTCCACAATAGAAGTGGCGCCTATGGACAAAACTGATTACTTTCATCAATATCATAATAACGTGGTATATATTACTAAAGGGTTTTTTTAAAAATTTACAGCTGTGTTTTGCTAATGTGTGTTACATGAAGATGATATATGTAAGAAATGTATGTTGATACTCTTTAGCATATTCCTAAATCTTAGTGTATATTGCATAAGACTAAGTAGTTAACTACTTAAAAAGGTATGAGTTTTGGAAATGATCAAGTACTGACCTATTAAATTATGTTACAGAAAGAGACACAGTAGAAAGGGAGAGAAGCTTGAAAATGTCTGTGGAAAAAAATACATGATAGAGTTATATATTAGATTTAGAAGAGAACCCGAGATAATTTCTAGAACTAAGAAATTCTATCAAAATATAAGCACTGTACTCAATTCATGTGTTTTATAATAGCATAGATACAGCTGACAGAGAAAGTAAACTTCCTAGAAGTGAAAAATAATTTTCCAATATTTTACCTGCAGGGATAAAAATAGACAGAAATTATAGAGGAGAGAGTAAAATGTGTGAGGTAGAAACATCTAACATATGTTTAATCTTAGTCCCAGTAAGATAAAAGGGAAAAATAAAGAAAATTAATATTTGGTATATTAATGGATTAAGTTTTCCTCAAAATGATTTAAAACACTAATTAAAAGTTCTAAAATCTTAGAGAATCCTGAGAATGATAAATAAAAATAAATTTCCACTAAAAATTTTATAGTGAAAATACAGAAGCCAAAAAAGCAAAGGATAATAAAACTTTTATAGAGTGAATAACTGTAATTCCCAAAATCAAAGTTTTTAACCTAAAAATATTGAAATTATCTATGCATGACAGTAAATTGACTACATGCTGTTATTCCGTAGTTTACATGAAGAAAATAAAATACATTTGGAGTAAATTTTGGTCAGTTTTGTGTCAATAAGTTTCCTAATTGTGACAAACTTGAGACATTTCTAGGAAACATAAAGGACTAAGTCTGAAAGAATAATCTTTTTTAAAAAATCATTCAATATGGAAGTTTAAAACGCAATTGGCAATCATCTATATTTATAATGCTTCAATTACAGATGGACCAAGATAATTATTATTTTTATTTATTGGCATGGACTATATGCTATTTTCAAGGTACTTTGCTTGATGGAAAATTAAATACAAAAGGATACATCATTGGCTTTACTCTTCATCAGCTTACTATTGGATAGTTACATAAGAAGCTTAGGAAGAATGAGAATGTGCTATAACTGTGAGAAGTTGGAGGGTGGAGGCATGAATTCTCATTCTGGGCATCTGAAAACAGTTTGTGGAAGAGATAATATTTTATCCAGACCTTGAAAATATAGGTATGATTTTGAAAAAAAAAATATGATGTGTGTAAACCAATAACATTCATTTACCAACATATTTACTCCTCTCTTTTTAAAATAACTTCCTGTACTTTAAATTCAGTCATCTAGGACCATTTTGTTTTGTGGAAATGTGCTATAGTACTCTTTCAGAAGCTATGTTAGTGTAAGCATTCTAATGATAGAGTTATTCAAGTTTTGTCTAAATATTTTCACATTTAATCAATATTTTTGAAAGTAATTTCATTGCATAGCATTCCAGATTGTCAATTATTGTTACTACCAATAATATTATTTACCAAAATATTTACTGTCTTTTTAAAATGACTTCCTGTACTTTGAATTCATTCATCTAGGATCATTTTCTTTTGTGGAAATGGGCTATACTACTTTTAGAATCTCTGTTAGTGCAAGCATTCTAATGATAGATTCAAGTTTAGTCTAAATATTTCTACATTTAACCAACATTTTTGAAAGTAATTTAATTGCATAACATCCTAGGTTGTCAATTATTTTTGCTTCATTATTTTTATCATTTTGTTGTTATACTTAAATATGTTACAGTAATATCTTGTCTTATTTTTGTGGTTGAAAATATTGTCAATTTTATTATCGCTCCCTTGGAAAAAAAATACGTATTTTAATTGAAGCCTTTTTTGGTAATTATCCATTATTATTGTGAATATTTATAAAGTATATTAGTGCCATAGATTTGGTAATTATTTACAATTATTTACATTCACCTTTTAGTAAAATCAAATATTCATTATTTTTATTTATTTATCTCTCAAATGTCTCCCACTATGATAGCAACATTCTTTTTCACTGTACTGATGGTATACTTTACCATATGACTTGCTTTGTTCCACTGAATGTGTACAGACACCAAGTGTGCCATGCTGAGCCAGGAACATTGGTGTGTCGTGTAAACATATTAGAAAATAAAAGAAAAAACTTTGTCTATTCTCTTTCACTCTAGATAGATATAAATAGACAGATAAAGGTATGACTATAGATATAAATATGTATATGCAGACCTTTATAAAAATGATAAATAAAAAGATACAGACATATCTATGTAAGTGTAGAATAGAGATAGATAGGATATATTTTTATTTACCAAAATGTTTATCGCATCTTTTCCTCTTTATTTCATCCGATGCATTTTTTCTTCCTTTAGTTAAAGAATTTCCTTTACAGTTTTTAATGAATGTCTCCTAATGGTGACTTATCCCTCTATATTTTTTAACTTGAAAATGCGTCTCAGATTTTTTTTGTTATTTTTGAAATATACTTTGGTGGGATATTGGATTCTAGATATTGAGGTGTATTTTTGAGGTGTTTGAATATGCCATTCTAGTATATTCTGGTGTCTATCATTTCTAATGATAAATTATTCATTATTTATGTATTTTTTCTTTCATAGAATAGGTAGTTGGCCCCTTCCCTTGCTCCTTTTAGAACATTCTCTGTTTTTGTCTTTTCAACAGGATCTTGTTAATATGGGAAAGTGAGGTTTCTTTGTATTTACCTGCTTGATATTTAATGATTCTTTTAGGTCTTTGGGTTAACACTTTTTACAAATTTAGTTAAAAAGTTTTGGCCACTCTTGCTCCAATTTGTCTTTTCCTGTTTTGTGTTAACTCTTTTCTGTTTTGGAGACTTCAATTCCATGTATATTATGCCACTTTATATTTTCCCACAAGACTCTGAGGTGCTCTTAATTTTTTTCTTTATTTTTTTCCTTCAATGTTTAGATTGAATAATTGTTATTGATTTAGTTTTATGTTAATGTGTTATTTAGTTTGCTATTTTCAATATTTTATTCAAGACATCTCGTAAGTATTGTATTTCAGTCTTACTATATCTATTTGGATCTTATTTTGTGAAGTTTTCTTTCTTCTTAAAATTACTTGTTTACTCGTTAAGACTCCTTCCTCCTTTAATCTATTAAACATATTTTTAATCCATTACACATATTAATAATACCTGCTTTGATATATTGTCTTCTAATTCTAATATCTAGGGTCATCTCCAATTCTAATATCTAGAGTCAGTTTATGTTTACTAACTTTTGAATTATGAATTACACTCTTGATTTTTAAAAAGTGAGCATGTTAGTTTTTGGTACCCCATGCTGATCTTTGAATGGGAACAGCTTTGGGGATGCACCATCTCTATTAAGCACAACAGTAGATACTGAAGAGTAGCACTGGACTCTGATGTGTACCTGTGATGATATTCTATGATGTATGAGATTGCATGCCTTTAGATCCAACATTCTATACCCCTTCTATTAGCAGTGCAGACTGTGACTGTGTGGATGAAAAGACAAACTCATACATACAATAAGTATGTATCCTTGTGAAAATAAACTGGTGTTTTGTTTGTCATAAAAGAAGGAGGACCATGTAGTGTATTTGTCATCAAGTGACCAGGTAATCCGAGTAAAAAATAATGCAACAATGTCACATTGGGAAATCAATATTGGTCTCTGTTGTGAAACCAGTATGCATTTAGACCTACCATTCATTTAGATGCAAAGGTAGCTATATAATCCTGGTTAAGTAGGAGTCCATGTTATGGGGAAAATATTCAGTACCTCTGCTATCATGGAAATTTTTTTCACCTACTCACCAAGCCAATGTATTTCCTGTATGAAAAGTGGCACGTCAGGGAACTGAGCAAAACATTGTTACTTTTTATTGGGGAAATTATTCTCAGCCTCCTGCATCTCAATTCTTGGCTTTTTCTGCTTTTGCAAATTAAGCAGTACCCTTGTTGACTGCCATTTTTTTCCCCTAGAGGTATTATACTCGATTATTTTTTAAAACTCCCTGTGGGTTCAGACCCCTTGATTTTCTTACTGATATTTCTGATTGCTGCAATTGAAGATTTCTGGTTTCTGGTGGTGAAGCCTTGGCACCTGACCTCCATTCATTTGGTTATATATGAACATATATACATATATACGAACATATATACATATATATGAACATGTATATATTTAAACATACATATGAACATATGTATATATATGAACATATGTGTATATATATATGAACATTAATGAGTTTAGCTATGAGACTCTCTCTCCTATTATCTCCAATCTGCAAAAAGGAACACTGAACTTCTTAGTGATGTTGGTTTCATTCTTACTACTGTGTTCACACTGGGTTTGAAATACTATGACTCTTGAGCCCTCCCATGAAACGCTTGTCAGTTTAACTGATCTGGAAAAGAGAGCTGAGTTGCCAGGTGTCAGAGTAGCTAATTAGAGCATCAAGCCAAAAATGAAATAGTTAAGTCTCTAATTATTTATAGTGATGATGATAAATCATCACTGGAAGAGGCACAAATTATTCTTGTTTTATGTTTTCCCATGGAATTTGTGGGTCAGGTAGACCAGTGTAAACATTAGGCTCTCTTACTGTTGAGAAAGCCCTGAACGAAAGGTCTGTCAGGATGGAAAAGTATCTTTGAGTTTTCATGATAAGGAGACCTTGGTGATAAGGAGTTTTCATTATAAGGAGACCTATGGAGGCACAGGTTCTAGGAGTGCAGATATGCATAAGAACATGGCTAGCCAGAGGGGCCTGAAGCCTTGACTGCAGCTCCCTTCACAGAAGGCAATGCACTGGCTGTGCATCAAGGCTGGTGTGGGGAGGGCAGCTTTCTCCAGCGAAACCTGCCAGGTAAAGATTTTGTGATTAGTCTATGGTGAGACCTGAAAAGTCACACATAGGTTTTTAATCAGGAACTAGACTCCTCAACACAATCTTCTGATGGGTCTTCTTGACACACATAATAATGAATTTTGGTATCCTTACACGTCTCCAATTCTTCCTTTGTTCCTATTCTGCCTTCCAGGCCAACTCTAGGATTTTTACTCCACTCAGCTTGGTCCCTTGGTTTCATCAGGTTTATAACAGCTGGTTTGTTTCATTTCCAAATGTACTTGGCAGTGAGTCAAATCCCATATCCTCAGACTTTGCCCTCTAGGTAACATATTCTTGGTTATCCAGACTTATGTTCTGTCTCCCTTGAGCAAGCTCTCTTACATTAAATCTTGTGTTAATACTACGCTGATTCTTGCCAGAATATGCTAGGAAATTATTTGATTTTTTGAATATATAATTACTTTCTGCCTTTATCAGATACAGCATATCTCTAGCTATTTATACTGCAATTTAATCTTACGTATAACCTAAAAGACAGAAGGGAAGATGGGGGCATCTCCTGAATGTGCGTTTGCCAGAGAGTATGGGTCTGGTTCACTTGTGGATGAGGATAATTGCAGTATATTTTAACTTGCGGATAGTGCTATCTCTCATAATGGACATGTGGACCACTTTTGTAAATGATGACAAGGGAGTCTGAAATATCCGCATCCTCAGTAATGTCTATTTATGTTTTCTATTCCATTTTTTAGCATCCCAGTTTTTGCAACAAGGGCCCGGATTTTGGCACAAGAGTACTGTCTTGGCAAAGCACATAAACATCTTTCAAGCAATGCAACTGCAACTACCAAAACCTGAGTCAGCTGCATAATGGCTTCCACTCCTTTTTTTACAGAATAAAAAGACAATTCTGTAAGGCTATGCAAGCTACCCTTTGACTCTTACAGTTAGCCTTTATGTGCTGTTCGATGTCCCTTATTTTCTCATTTTTCCTCTGTGCTATGTCAGTTTCAGCTTAGCAATCACCAGCCACCTTTGCTTTCTTCATAAGAATTCCTCTCTCACCCACATATTTTTAAAGCCATCACACCTGCAAGGGTGTTCTTCCTTTTCAGTATGTTTTCCAGGTCAATAACAGTAAAATCTTTACCAACTGGGCTGTGCTCAACATGCCACTAACCATAGTATCCATCTTTTTTCATCAGGCAGTGAATGTGCCACTCCTGAGACCCCATCTTACAACCTGATTTATCAGACTACTCCTGGTACCACATTTTAGGTCTTCTGAGAAGCAAGTAACAAGATGGATTTATCTGTGTACAAGATTTATTTGGCAACTTCCTGTAAAAGATAAATGGGGTATATGGAGCAGAAGTATGCTTAGAGAGCCTTTAGAACACATGTAGCTATGACATCAGTGAAATGAAACATAGGAGGAAGGGCAATTGTGTTGTTAGTCTCTGACTGAAGTGCAGAGTTCAATTTGCATTGGCCAGGATGATGGGAAGACTTCAAGCTAAAGAAACTCATCGGAAGTGCCCCATGTTTTATAGGTATATGCCTCCATTTGTATTCCCTCTACGCTTAAACACTGTCTGGGAGAAGTCCAGGGAGAAAGTGATATCTTTATGATGTAGTGGTATACCTAGTGAGATGGCAACTGGGGATATCTGTTAACTATGCTCCTCAGAGCAATAGATTTCATGGGTATATTTTCATGTCTACCAAAACTGGGCATTGTAGAAAAGGGTAATATCATATACTGACTCTGTATTCTCTCTGTTTTCTCTGTTATTGAGATTTATGTCTACTATGCAATTAAATTTCTTAGTCTTATAAACTCTGTCTCCCATGCAGTATGCATCACTTGATATACCTGCTCACTTCCAGAGGTTTTTTTTTTTACCCCTGCCTTCTTGGAGGGCTCTTGCCATTGCCTGTTTAGTGTAGTAGTCAGCCAATAATGTGGGTTGACTTTATTCTCATATACGTAGGTCAAGATTTCTACAGTTACCTTACTGCTGCTGTTTATCTCTTCCCTAAATTTCAGCTGACCAGTCATCCCAGAGCTGTATACTCTTATATTGTAAGCTACAGAATCTCCAATTTGAGGTTGCCCAAGATGAGTTAATGTTGAGAAGTTGAATTCATTATAAAAACTTTGAATTCAGCCAGGCGCGGTGGCTCACGTCTGTAATCCCAGCACTTTGGGAGGCTGAGGTAGGCGGATCACGAGCTCAGAAGATTGAGACCATCCTGGCTAACACGGTGAAACACTGTCTCTACTAAAAATACAAAAAAAAAAAAAAATTACCCGCACGTGGTGGCACACGCCTGTAGTCCCAGCTACTCGGGAGGCTGAGGCAGGAGAATGGCGGGAACCCGGGAGGCGGAGCTTGCCGTGAGCCGAGATGGTGCCGCTGCACTCCAGCCTGGGCGACAGAGCAAGACTCCGCCTCAAAAAAAAAAAAAAAAGAAAAAAGAAAAAAAAAACTTTGAATTCACAAAACTTATCTGGTATATTTTTGTCTTTCACATGTAGATTCCTGGCTATTTTCTGATTGCTGGTTTATAATGTTTTCAAGTATTTTCTTAAGGAATACTCACACTTCAACAGTGAGCCAAGTATATGGAAAAAATAATACTCCAAGTAGAAGTTCTACAGTGATTTTTCTATTGGAATCACATCTTCCACCCTGAGTCCTACTAAATTTCCAGGTTTGCTCACAAACTCTGAACACTGCTTCATGCAAATTTGAGCCAGGAAACCTGTGGTTTTCTGGCTAGTACATTTAGCGAAAAAAAAGCAAAGCAAATAAACAGCAAAGAAACCTCTTATTTTTCTCCTTTCCAGCTGTACCCTTGCAAGTATAAATTTTTCACCTGGTACTTTTTGTTTGCAGTCTTTCCAAAGCTTTTGAAATATTTTCTTTCTAAAATAATTTTTCAAGAATATCTGTTTCACTTGTGAAAAATTCTACCTGAATATGTCCCCAATCACTACTATTGTCTGAATGTGTCGTCTAAAATTTATAAGTTAAAACTTAATCACCAATGTTACATTATTAACAGCTGGATCTTTATAAAGTGACTAAGAAATGAGGGTGGAGCTCTTATGGATCAGATTAGCATTTTATAAAAGGCTTTGAGGGGGCCAGTCCATTCCTTCTGGGTTTTCACCATGTGAATGCACAGCGTTTGTCTGATACAGACAAAGAAACATTCAAGGTGCCATACTGGAAACACAGAGCAGTCCTAACCGAATACTAGTGTCATGATGTTGGATTTCCCAACCTCCAGAACTGTAAAAAAAAATTACATTTCTGTTTTATTTAAGTTACCCAGTCTCAGGTATATTGTTACTGCAGCATAAATGAACTAAAGCTATCACTACTTCTAGCACAATTGGGAGAAAACAAAATAATTACAAAGTATAAATAGCCCAAATATATTAATAACTACAGAAATGTAGCCAAGCGTATAGGCAATTGAGTATAACAAGTGAGAAATACTTGGCAGAAAAGGAGAATTCAATGAGCAGAAGTCTATGAAAATGTAGTAACCATCAATGATGAGAAAATAAAAAGCAAAATAATTTTAGGGTTGATCTCATTCATGACTTTAGGAAAGACAGCCATAAAATATCTGATAGTGCTGGATTTTACAATTAAATAGAGAAAAATACAACTACTGTTGAGAGTCTCAGGGGTAGGAATAATGCATTGTACCTCAGGACAGTAGATTCCTCTTAATAAAACCGAAGGTAGTAGGATTAGAGACATGTAAATAGAGGTCCTCAAACACCCCTAAACTTTCAAATATTTAATTTTTAAAGTATATAGAGCAAACAGGGCAAAAATATTCACTTTTAAAAGTTATTGGTTACAGTTTCATTTTTCATATTTATTGCAAAATAGATTTAACACTTGATCTAAAAGATTAATGTCATAATTCCTAGGAAGATCTGGGAGTATGACTCCAGTTGTGATTCCTCAGCACCAAATTCAATAATATATTCAGCACAGATTGTAGAAGCTAGGAGAATTTGAGAATGACAGGTGTTTTCATGTCAGAATATTATACTGCATGTTTATATTATTCGTGGTGTTGTTTGAAAATTATTAGTACTCCTTGTTCAAATGAGATAATTTCTAAATTATGTTATTGGACTTTATTCAAAAATTATTTATTTTTTAATAGATATGTGCGGAAATAATAATGCTTCTCAATGGTCAAAAATGACCAAAATCTCAAACATTGTTGTCAGCTCTTAAACTCCAGGAATAGTTTTGTTCAGTTGAGTAATATATGTGTATTTGCCTAATAGTGTGTAAATTTAGCCACCAATTAGAATATTATTAGATAGAATTTTAGAAATAAAATTTGAAAGTCTGAAGAAATTTCTGCCATCAGAGTAATTAAAATACTTGTGAGCCAGAAATGTCAAAATGCAAGTAGGTCACTAATGAAAACCAACTCCAGTTCCCCACACTAAGCTGCATCTAACAAATTTTTGACTGCCTTCACTTTAGATCTGATTACCATCCTTTTATGTTCTTGAACTATTTATATTCAACTCCTTGTCTCAGGGTTTATTTCTGGTACTATCCCAATAAAAACACAACTTTATTATTTAGTTAATGGTTTCTGGAGTCCTTTTTTTCTGGAAATCATTCCTGGCCTCATTTCTTTTAGATTCTAACTTCAAACCAGAGAAAGTGATGTGAGTTTCAGTACAAAGCCCAGCACTCCTAACTTCAGTCTAAACTTACTTTTATTCTAATTGTTTTGTTTATTGATCTCATTGCAGTCTCTCAATTTTTTTAACCTTTGTGGTTTCGACAGGATTAAACAACATTTGACTTATTTCTTTCTGCTTCTAATGTTTC
The DNA here is from genome assembly GCF_000001405.40 of Homo sapiens. NCBI lineage: Eukaryota > Metazoa > Chordata > Mammalia > Primates > Hominidae > Homo > Homo sapiens. The sequence continues at coordinate 63,976,441 of NC_000004.12, forward strand.
TCCCTCTTTTTTGATTCTGAAATTTCTGTGAATGACTACACAAATGATGTGGTTTTAGTAAACCCTATATTCTATATATTATGATATTACAGTTAAATGTCAATAAAAAATATAGCTAAAAAGCAACAAAAAATGTTATGGATTATCGCCCTTTGCTATCTCTTCCCCCAAGCTGAAATACCTTACTTCTATGAGAAATCATTAGAAATTCAGTGTTAGTTTTTAACATTAAAGTGGATGTCTCTAATAAAAATAATTGTCTATAAATTGAATAGCACTTGAATTATTGCCATCATATAAAAATTAGTTGCAAAGCTGTTACTCATCTGATGTTATACTTTTACTTATATACATATTCTCAATGTATGTTTTTTCTCCTAATATTTCAATGATAGATTAAGATTCTATATTGCTACCCATCTCCACAGGAGTGTTCCCACTGAAATAGCTCTTGAAACTACAAATGGTGTCATGAATGAGAGATAAAAAATTTTGTATTCGCTAATGTAATTGGTGATTATGATGAATTGGCAGTATCAAAATAGAAGGAAGTGTGATGGAATGCTGTGAAGTGAATGAATGATCTGAAGACAATTGATTTAAGATAAGAAATGAATGCCATAAAAATGAGATGAGCACTTATCTTACAAAAAGAAAAAGTTGTAGATATATAGAGAATAGAAGTATCATCACATATTTTAGTCATGTGCAGCATAATCATTGTAAAATATTTATGCTACATAATTATATTTTTTCTTTCTTTTTTTTTTCTTTTTTTTTTTGAGATGGAGTCTTTCTCTGTCTCCCAGGCTGGAGTGCAGTGGTGTGATCTCAGCTCACTGCAACCTCTGTCTTCAAGCGATTCTCCTGCTTCAGCCTCCTGAGTAGCTGGGATTGCAGGCACACACCATCATGTGTGGCTAATGTTTTTGTATTTTAGTAGAGACTGGGTTTCACCATGTTGGCCAGGCTGGTCTCGAACTCCTGACCTCAGGTGATCCCCCAACATTGGCCTCCCAAAGTGCTGGGATTACAGGCATGAGCCACCTCACCTGGCATGTTTTTCTAAGAATTATTTTGTAACTTTTAATTTTGATATAAATGTAAACTTACACAATTGTGAGAATAGTACAAGAATCACTTGTATAGTGTTAACCACAAATTCAATAAATTCGATTTCCCCAGCTTTAGGTCTTATTAATCCTCTCTCTGTCTCTGTCTCTTTGTGTGTGTGTGTGTGTGTGTGTGTGTGTGTGTCTCATTGTGTATGTAATTTGAATTTCCTAATCCTCAATAATGTTTAGCATTTTATCATGGGCTTAAATATATTACACATATTTTCTTACTAAAATGTTCAAATTTTTACCCATTATTTATTTTTTTCTAATTGTTGAGTTTTGAGATGGAGTTAAATTTCCTTTATACAAATTTTTAATTAGATATGTAATTTGCCACTATTTTCTTCCAGTCTGTGATTTGTCTTTTCATTATGTCTGTAACTTTGGAAGAGCACATTTTAAAAAATTCCAGTAACATATTGAGTTTTAGGTGTAATAGCTAAGAAATCTTTGTCTTTGTCTAAACCAAGCTCACAATGATTTTTTTTCTATGTTTTTCTAGAAGTTTTAAAAGCTGTATACAGAGCTCTCATGATTTTCCTCTCTTGGTTTTGTTGCATATTACTAAAGAATAAAGAGAAATTTTTTTCGATATACAATTTGACAAATAATGTTCTAGTAAGTTACATTTATTTCAAAAAGTTATGAACCACATATGTTAGCATTAAAAGCAAATATATTATATATAAAACTTTTAGAGTAGAGCCTGATTTATAATTGGTACAAGTGGTGTACTATGCAACTTGAAAATGTTAATACATCTAAGTTGCTTAAAGATGTGATATATCATAAATATATAATAAGTAAATGTTAGGACTGCAAACAAATACAAACGTAATGATTATAAAAGTTTTTTAAAATAGTATTTTCCTTGACCTTTTTAAATTTAAGATCTCTTTGATGGTACTGGCATTTATGGGTCTTTCAACAAATTTTAAGCCTATAGTAGAAAAGTCACTAGTCTATTCAGTAACATAGAAAAAGAGAAGTAATGTCATTGCTATCATAGCAAAACTGGCAAATTGCTTAAAATGTATGTTAGGAGTACTGTCTAAAATTCAATTTTAATATACTTGGAGAATTTAAATATTTGCATTTTCTATATTTCCCACCTTCATTTTATTTAATAGGTGAATTATATTTTGCTAAAAAATATACTTCTAAAGATTAACATTTTGACATTCTGAATAATAAAATAAGTAAAAAATTGAAGTGATGATAAAACTGTCTTAAGCTACAAATAGATTAGTTTCTACGTATAAATTGTTGGTGTTTATATTATATATTAACTACATTTACATCAGAATTAATAATATTAAATATATGAACTGTACTTGGCAGTAAAAATTCTTGAGATGGTTTTCAAAAGTGACTATTTTGATTAGGTATTTTAAACTATCTAGGCAGCTAGGTAGGGTTGCATCTCTATTTGTTATACAGCCAAATGACCAGTTTATTCACTCAGAGAAAAACTTTCAGTGTGTGTGTGTGTGTGTGTGTGTGTGTATTTTAATATTAGAAATATAGGTATAGTTTTAAGTGTTTTATGATAGGTATAGTTGCAAAATCTTCCACTACTGACATAAACGTAGAATAAATATTTGCTCATTATATATTTGGTTTGCCATTATAGTCTTTTGTGTTCCTCAATTTTACACTGTTTAAATAATTTACTTATTATGCAGCAATTGTCATAATGAATTACACATATTCAAATATAGGAATAATATATTTAGAACTTATGGTCAAACATTGCACAGTTAGAAATCTTTTATTTTTGTACACACACCAGAAAACCTAACTACTTATAAGAGCAGATTCATGGAAAAATCTGCTTTTTAGGGCAATAATTTCTTTAAACCTCTTCCTTCTTAAAACACAATAATATGACATCTTATTTTGGATCCTGGACTAAAAAAATAAAAAATTATTGAGAAAATTAGAAAAATGTGAATAGTCTGCTTATGATATAATACTGTATCAAGGACAGTATTTTGATAATTGTTTTATGGGTTTGCAAGATTCTTGTTATAGTAGAGTTTAGGTATGTATATAAATATGTGTATGAATGTTACTGAGAGAGAATAAATTATAAATTAATGCAGTAAATATCATACATCATTTCAGAAATACCTGAATAAAGGTTACTTAGAAATTATTTTGTAACTTTAAAATAATTTTTACAATAAAAAATTTTATAATTGGGATTCATTCAGTGCTGTAATTTTAAATGAATGATAATATAAATGTATCATAAAATACTTCATGTTTTTATAAATGAAATGATAATGAAAACCCAAACATTCCTTATAAAATTCTCTTGAAATCCAAGGGATCAAATTAAGATGCTTGGAAATGAAATGTGACATATGTATCTTATATTCAATGAAACATTTAAGCAATTAAACTGCCTTTTTATAACATTTATATGCTTAATCCCCTAACTAACCTTTTCTCTATCTGTAGTGTTAGGTGATTTCAGACTTATGTATCTTTTGATGTGCTTACCCTCTACCAAATTTTCTAGGACAAACTATTTACAAATGTTAATGTACCGTTTAGACTAGGCAATGCTTTAATTTAAGTCAGATTTACTTGTCGTTTATTTTCTCTGCTTCTCTACATTCTTACTTCAAGGATCAGATAACATGTTTAAAACAAAATCCAAACCAAACAAACAAACAAGCAAATAAAAAGGAGCAAAATATGAGATATTTGATTAAACTGGTGAAGTAGTGTGTGGAGAGTAAATAGTCCACAATTAACTACATTCGATTTAATTTAATTTACTCAGCATTTATCTATTAATGTTTTTCTGTGCTCATTCACATTAAATAACAACAATAAAAAAGCCTTATATAGTTTTGCAAACAAGAAACTTGGAATCCAGAATTAACTGAGTCTTGACACTTGATTTGTACCCCAATCCATTATAATACATATATAGATAGGGATGGATGATTTTGTTGTGAAGGAAAGGAGAATATTTCTTTATTTTTTACTGATTTAGTTTGTAAAGGATTTTAAGGATAGATTAATCTATCCTTAAAAGCCCTATCAGACCAACAAATATTCTTAGGGATAAAGTAGCCAATGATCTCATCACATTCAGCGAGGATTTCTTTCTCTGGAATCTTAGTTTATTGTCACTTCCATGGCTCTCCAATATAATTAAAGTGGTGATTAGTTTTTTGTAATTTACTGGATATTTCTGTGTTACAACAGGATTACCGGCTCTCTGCATTCTTACTATATTCTTTCTAGAGGTCAAGTTCTATTACATTTCATTTAGTATGTTCAAATCTATCATTGTGTTTGTCTTATTTGACTTCTTTGTTATGTATTTATTTATGTTTCTACTCTTCCCCTTTGCTGGACTTTATCTGGCCTCATCATTTGCTTTGTATTTATGTTTTCCTTTACAATAATATTAGCATTAAATCTAAAAATTAATTACTTTGATAAAAGGCAAATACACATTTCTGACAATGCAAAACCTTAGAAAAGTTCAAATACATATAGCATATTTCAATACATAGCATTGACTTACATATTTTTGATGTATTTTATTTATATTTGTTAAATTCAAAAGATATTGCTGCCTTTATATAGTCAATATTTATTTATTTTTATGCATAGTGTATTATTTTTCTTTTCATTCCTTACTACATCACTGTACTGTCATCTATAATAATTTATTCTATGTCCAAAATCTTACCTATTTTCTTTTCTGCTGGCCTGTTGATAAAAATGTATTTTGTTTTGTTTGTTTTTATGCTGTCCAGTGATTTCAAACTTACATTACACACCACAATTACAGTGTTAAAACATTCTCTTTTGTGTGTATATACTTACTATTACCAGTGAGTTTTGTACCTCCAGATGTTTCCCTATTGCTTATTAACATTGCTTTCTTTAAGATTGAAGTACCCCTTTAGCATTTCTTGTAGGATGGGTCTGGTGTTACAAAATTCCTCAGCTTTCGTTTATCTGGGAAAGTCTTTATTTCTGCTTCAGATTTGAAGGATATTTTCACCGAATATACTATTCTAGGGGAAAAGTTTTGTTTTGTTTTGTTTTCTCCTTCAGCACTTTAAATATGTCATGCCATTCCCTCCTGGCCTGTAAGGTTTCCACTGAAAAGTCTGCTGGCAGAGGTATTGGAGCACCATTGCGTGTTATGTGTCTCTTTCCTCTTGCTGCTTTTAAGATTCTTTCTTTATCCATGACCTTTCAGAATCTAATTATTAAATGCCTTCAGGTAGTCTTCATTGAGTTAAATCTTCTTGATGTTCTATATACTTCTTGTTGAATATTGATATCTTTCACTAAGTTTGGTAAATTCTCTGTTATTATCTCTTTGAGTAAACTTTCTACCCCTATCTCTTTTTCTACCTCCTCTTTAAGGTCAATAACTCTTAGATTTGGCTTTTGGATGGTACTCTAGATCCTGTAGTTTTGCCTCATTTTTTTTAAATTTTGTACCCTCTAACTGTATGTTTTCAAACAGTCTGTCTTTAATTTTACTTATCCTTTCTTCCTCTTGATCAATTCTCCTATTCAAATACTCTGATGCATTCTTCAATATGCCAGTTGCATTTTTCAGCTCCAGAATTTCTGCTTGATTCTTTATAATTATTTCAATTTCTTGTTAAATTTCTCTGATAGAATTCTGAATATCTTCTCTGTGTTATCTTGAATTTATTGGAGTTTCCTCAAAACAGCTATTTTGAATTAACTATCTGAAAGGTTACATATATCTATTTCTCCAGGATTGGTCCCTGGTACCATATTTACTTAATTTAATGAGGTCATATTTTCCTGGATTGTCTTGGTGCTTGTGGATATTCTGTGTCTGGGCATTAAAAAGTTAGATATATATTGCTGTTCTTTGTAGTCTGGGCTTGTTAGTACTCATCCTTCTTGGGAAGGCTTTCAGATCTTCAAAAGAACTGGGTGTTACGATCTAAGCTGTATCTGCTTTTGGCTGCACCACAAACCCTGTAATGCTGTGGTCCTTGCAGACTCATAGAGGTACCACCTTGATAATAATAGACAAGATATGGAAGAATTATTTAAATTCCAGAACTCTTACTTTTTTCCCTTACATTCTCCCAAACAAATGGATTCTATCTCTCTACTCTGAGCCACCTGGATTTAGAGATGAAGTGAAATAAGCACTCCTGTGTGCACCATCCGTAGGACTGTGCTGATTCAATCCCGAAGGCAGCACAGCACTGGGTCTTCCCCAAGGCCTGCTATAGCTACTCCTTGGCTAACACCTATGTTTGCTCAAGGGTCTGGGGCTCTGTGATCATCAAGTGGCAGCAATCACTGGGAACACCCATGTCCTTCCCATCAAGGCAGTGTGTTGCCTCAGGCTCTTAGTGGGCCACAAGTGATATTCAGGAGCTGGGGACTAGAGTCAAAATTCTTAGAAGTCTACCTGGTGTTCTATTGTATTGCAGCTGAGCTGGCATTCAAGCCACAAGAAGCAGTCTTTCCTACTGTTCTCTCCCCTTTCTAAAGGCTGAGGAGCTTCACTCTGTAGCTACCACCACTACCACAGGCTCATAAGAAGTAATTTTAGACTACTGCCAGTGTTCTATTAAGGCCCGAGGGCTCTTCGGTCAGCTTGTGTGAAGACTACCAGGCCTTGGACTCACCCTTCAGGGCAGTGGGCTCTTCTCTGGCCCAGGGCAGGTCCAGAACTTCTGTCCAATGGTCAAGTCCTGGAATCAAGGGTCACAACAGCCTTTTTGGTGCTCTACCAAACTGTGGCTGAGCAGGTACCTGAGGTGCAAGACAAAGTTCTCTTTACTTTTCCCCACACTTTTCTCATGCAGGTTTCACCCCACAGCCACCACAGCTGGTAATGTGCTGAGTCTCATCTGAAGCCAGCCACTTTCAGATTCTCACCCCAGGCCCTCAACATAGTACCTCAATATCATTGCTGGTTATTCAGAGCCCAAGGGCTTTTCAGTTGGCAAGGGATGAATTCTGCCAGGAGTTCATTCTTTCTTTCAAGGCAGTGGGTTTCCTTCTGGCCCAGGGTGTGTCTAGAAATGTCGTTTAGAAAGTAGGGCCTGGAAAGGGGGCCTCAGAACTCTGCTTGTTGCCTGATCCTGCTGTGGTTGAACTAGTATCCAAGAGGCAAAACAAAGTCCTCCAAAATCTTCCTTCTCCATTCCTCAAGTGGAAGGAAGGGGTTGTTTTGGGGCCATGAGATTGCAGCCTAGGCTTAGGGGAGGAATTATGTCAGCACTCCCTTAGTCATGCCCAGCTGGTATCTCAGCAGGTCATGTACACCCCCAGTCCACTGTCTCTGGGCTCAGTTCAACCCTAAGAGTCATTTGGTATTTGCATTATTTGTGACCTAGACTGCCTTCCAAGTTTATTTAGCATACCATAACAGTTTAGCTTAAAGTGATTAGGCTGCAGGAACTCTAGTTCTGATTGCTGGGTTTGGCAATTCCCTTCTGGCTATGGATGGTTTAAATGCTTCCTCTATGGCAGACAACAAGTGAGTTTGGTCCTATTTTGCCTTCTGCTGTAATAAGGCAGCATTGAGTTCAATGTCTCACAATTGCTGCACTCTCCTTATTTGCAGTACACAGCTTTCTGCACTAAGCCACTGCTGCTGTGGGGTCGGGGGAGGAGTGGCATCAGCGATTCAAGACTATTTTAATTGCTTCTTCAATGCCACGTTTAGCAAAACAAAGGTAAAAGAAGCTACTGTAAGTGCTCACCTGATTTTTGATCCTGATTTTTCGTTCTTAAAAATGTGTTTGTTTGTTTTTTGCATATAGTTGCTAAATTGGTGTTTTTGCCTGGAGGACAATTGTTGCAGCCTTCTATTCTGCCATCTTGTGTCAACCTCTTCCACCTAGTTGTTATATAAATTAACTGCCTAGTATTTAAGGAAATAATGGGCAATGGAACTGATTAGACATTTATTTGTAGTTTTCCTTTATGTTAAGCATGTTAGTCATTGTCTAGACTTTGTAACATATCTTCCTGAATTCTTTTTGGATCCTATGGTGTCACACATTTTAACTGTTGCATCATTGCATTCTATTTTCCTTAAAATATTCTGTTCAACATAATATGCTGTAGTAAAATATCAAAGCCCACTGCAGACTAACTCATTTATGAACCTAATATCTATAAACTGTCATCTTTATAGAAAGTCTAAGAATACAAATTGCATTGCTCAATAAATAACAGGTGTGCTCATGTTAGAGTAAGGACAAATTTAAGGGAATTATTTGTCAACTTTGGATCAATAAAGTTTTCAGAGGTGATCACAGATGCCACATTATCAAGGCTATGCAAAATAAGTATATACCAAAGAATATATATTAACAAGGATAAGTTTCATGCGCGTCTGTGTGAAGAGACCACCAAACAGGCTTTGTGTGAGCAATAAAGCTTTTAATCACCTGGGTGCAAGCGGGCTGAGTCCGAAAAGAGAGTCAGCTAAGGGAGGTAGGGGTGGGGCCGTTTTATAAGATTTGGGTAGATAAAGGAAAATTACAGTCAAAGCGGGGTTGTTCTCTGGCGGGCAGGAGTGGGGGTCACAAGGTGCTTATTAGGGGAGCTTTTGAGCCAGAATGAGCCAGGAGAAGGAATTTCACAAGATAATGTCATCAGTTAAGGCAGGAACAGGCCGTTTTCATTTCTTTTGTGGTGGAATGTCATCAGTTAAGGCAGGAACCCGCCATCTGGATGTGTATGTGCAGGTCACAGGGGATATGATGGCTTAGCTTGGGCTCAGAGGCCTGACAATAAGTTCACAGGATTGGTCAGTTACTGAAAATAGAAAGAGAATTGGAGAGTATCCTCAAAATCTCTTATTTTAAGTTTAGGAGAAATATAGTGTACATGAAATTCCTCTGGCAGATGTAAAATAATGAATGATTTGTATCTAGTCAAATAAAAGATCTGGACTTTATATTGAAGATATTGTAGATGAGCATAAGTATATGTAAATATAGCTCAATTCTGCTTAACAGCTGAGTTACCTTATATGTTGAGGGTTAGACAGAATAAATAACTCCGTTTTGGAAAAATAACTTTAGAATTGATCTGGATAGAGACACAAAAGTCAGTGAGAAGAAAAACAAAACTTTATTTCTGATATAACTGATCATAAGAATGGACTTTACAACTCACTATAGTTACTTTCTTTATTTTTACTCCAAATGTAGATTTACCCATTCAGATACAAACAGAGCTAAAATATTGCTGATCAAACTTATGGCAGCAGACCCTTAATTATATGTCAGCAAATCCACAAAAAGATAGTTTGTGTAGACAAGCATTTTAAAAAAATACCTAGACAGGGTTGTGTCATACCTACCAGATTCCTTCCCACAAATTACTCCCATATAATTCTCTCCTTTGTATCTGGGGAAAATTGAGAAAGTTAGACCTGAGACTAATGGAGTAATTATATTATATTTTCTTCCACATGACAATATGTGTGAAGTAATTTGTTCTTTTATATACTAATTTTACTTTTACTGTTCTGTTTATGTTTTATTTTTATGTAAAGAAGAAGATATCTTATTTCACATTATAAAATAAAATATAAAAAGAACAGTAAAATTAAAAATAGTATATATGAGAACAAACTGTTAGCAACTGGGCCTTTATACATGTTATTACTTCTCTCTAACATGTTACTTCCTAACAGTATTCAGTTCATAGATTTCCATGAAAACATTATTTGTTAAGGGAAGTTTCCTGGAAGGGACTGGGACTTTATCTTTAGTCTCCTCAATCAGAGTAACTATTAGCCAAGAATTTTCTATTCAGCAAAACTAAGATTCATAAATGAAAGAGAAATAAAGTTTCTCCTAGACAAGCAGGTGTTGAGTGCATTTGTCACCACTAGACCAGCCCTATAAGAAATGCTAAAAGGAGTTCTAAATATCTAAAGAAACGTTCAATATGCACCAGCATAAAACACTTAAAAGCATAAAACTCACAAGGCTTACAAAATAGTAATACAATGAAGAAAACAAAGCAGCTAAGTAACAATCAAAAGTATGACTGGACCATTACCTCATATAGCAATATCAATGTTAAATGTCAATGATCTAAATGCCCCACTTAAGAGATACAGATTGGAAGAATTGATATAAAAAAAAAAGCACAAACCAAATAGCTGTTGTCTTTAAGGGATTTATCTAACTCATGGAGATTGTTACAGACTTGAGGTGAAGAAGTGAAAAAAGCGTTTCATGCAAATGTTAATCAAAAGTGAGCAAGAGTATCTATTCCGATATCGGATAAAAAAGACTTTAAAGCTATAAGAGTGAAAAAATACAAAGAATGTAATTATATAATAATAAAGGCATCAATTTAACAAGAAGATATAACAATCCTAAATATATATGCATCTAACTCCAGAGCTCCCAGAATTATACAAATGCTACTAGACCTAAGAAAGTAAATAGACAGCAACACAATAATAGAGGAAGACTTGAACACTGCACTGACAGCACTAGACAGATCATTGAGGCAGAAAGTCAATAAAGAAACACTGGATTTAAACTGGACACTAGAACAAATGGACCAAATAGACATTTGAAAAACATTCTACCCAAAAACTGCAGAATATACATTATTTTCATCTGCACATGGAACATTTTCCAAGATAGATTATATGATAGGCAAGACAACAAGTCTTAGTATACATTTTTTTAAAAATCAAAATTATGCCAACTGTCTTCTCAGGCCACAATGGAGTAAACCTGGAAATCAACTAAATAAGGAATCTTTAAAACTATACAAATACATGGAAAGTAAACAGTATACTCCTTAATGACCTTTGGGCTAACAATGAAATTAAGATAAAAATTTTAAAAGTTTTCAAAATGAATGTTAACAGTGATGTGAGTTATCTAAATTTTGGGGATGCAGCAAAAGCTGTGTTAGAGAAAAGTTTATAGTAATAAATGCCTGCATAAAAACAGAAAAATTATAAATTGACAATTGATAGGTTTTGGCTCTGTGTCCCCACCCAAATCTCATCTTGTAGCTTCCATAATTTCCACATGTTGTGGGAGGGACTCGATTAGGGATAATTGAATCATGAGGGCAGGTCTTTCCCATGCTGTTCTTATAATAGTGAGTAAGTATCACAATATCTGATAGTTTTAAAAAGTGGGAGTTTCCCTGCACAAGTTCTCTCTTTGCCTGCTGCCATCCATGTAAGACTTGACTTGCTCCTCCTAGACCTCCACCATGATTGTGAGGTCTTCCCAGCCATGTGGAACTGTAAGTCCATTAAACCTTTTTTCTTCTCAGTCTTGGGTGTGTCTTTATTAGCAATGTGAAAACAAACTAATACAACACTCTAATATCTCACCTTGAGGAACTAGAAAAACAAAAACAAACCAATCCAAAACTAGCAGAGGAAAATAATAGCAAACATCAGAGTGAAACTAAAAATAATTGAAACAAACAAGAAAAAAACATACAAAGGATCAATGAAATAAAATGCTGGTTCTTTGAAAAAATAAAATTTGTAGACCATTAGCTAGATTAACCCAAAAAAGAAGAAAAAGGATTCATAAAGCTTAATCAGAAATGAAAAGGATACTACAGAAATAAAAACAAAGTTCAAGACTATTATGAATACCTTTATGCATACAAACTAGAAAATCTAGATGAAATGGAACATTTTCTAGAAACATGCAATTTCTAACCTTAAGGAAGAAATAGAAATACAAAATGGATCAATATTAGGCAGTGAGATTGAATCAGTTATACATATAAAAAAAAAACTCCCAAGAAAAACAAAAGCCCAGGACTGGACAGACTCATAGGAATTTATGCCAGACATTAAAAGAAGAATTGGTACTAATTCTACTGAAATTATTCTAACATTTTGAGAAGAGGAAATCCTCCCTGTTCCCACAAACCCAGTATCATCCTAATACCAAAAGCAGGACAAGACCAAGCAAAAAAAGAAAACTGTAGTCTAATATTACCGATGGTATGGTTTGACTTGGTTGAATTATAATTCCAATGTGTCAAGGAAGGGACCTGATGGGAAGTAATTGGATCATGGTGGCAGTTTCCACCATGCTGTTATCATGACAGTGAGTGAGTTCTCACAAGAACTGATGGTTTTAAAGTGTGACATGTTCTTCTTCTTACTCTCTCTCTCTCCTGCCACTTTGTGAAGAAGGTGCCTGCTTCTCCATCTTCCACCATGATTGTAAGTTTCCTGAGCACCCCCCCACCACCAGCCATGTGGAACTGTGAGTCAATTAAACCTTTTGTGATTATTAATTACCCAGTCTCGGGTAATATCTCTATAGCAGTGTGAAAACAGACAAATATACCCGTAAACATAGGTGCAAAAGTCCTCAACAAAACTCTAACAAACCAAATACAAGGGCACATCAAAAAGATAATTCACCATGGTCAAGTGGGTTTCATCCCAGGGATGCAATTATGGTTAATGTGCACAAGTCAGTAAATGTGATTCACCACATAAACAGGATTAAATAAAAAATATATGATCATCTCAACAGAGAAAAAGCATTTGATAAATTCAACATCCCTTATTGATAAAAACACTAAACAATCTCACCGTAGAAGGAATACTCATCCAAATGATAAAAGCTGTATATGACAAAACTTTTAGCCAAAAGCATACTGCACAAGAAAAAATTGAAAGAACCCCCACTAAGTATTAAAAGAAGACTATAATGCCCACTTTCACCACAAAGAATTGAACACAGTACCAGAAATCCTAGCCAGAGCAGTCAGTCAAGAGGAAGAAATAAAGGCATTTAAATTGGAAAAGAGGAATTCAAACTATCTGTCTTTGCAGATGATATAACCTTATAAATAGGCAGCCCTAAAAACTCCTCCAAAAGACTCCTAGATTTCATAAATGAATTCAGTAAATTCTTAGGTTACAAAAAGAATGTATACAAATCAGTGGTACTGCTATACAGCAATAATGGCTAAGCTGAAAATCAAAGTAAGAACTCAGTCACATTTATAATGGCTACAAAAGCAACACAAAACAAAAATACCCATTGGAACACACTTAACACAGGATAAATGTAAAACCCTGATTAAAGAAATCATAGATCACACAAACAAACAAAGACATTCTATGCTCATGAATCAGAAGAACCAAGATTATGAAAATAACCATACTGTCCAAAGCAATCTACAGATTTAATTCAATTTCCATCAACATATCAACATCATTTTTGGTATTTAGAATGAGAAATAGCAATGCTTAAATTCATGTGAAACAAACAAACAAAAAAAAAGAGCTCAAATAGCAATCCTGAGAAAAATGAACAAATCTGGAGGCATCAGATTACCCAAGTTCGAATTATACTACAGGGCTATAGTAACCAAAACAGCATAGTACTAGTATAAATGTAGATACATAGACCAATGAAACAGCAGCCAGAAATAAATCCAAATACCTACAACCAACTGATCTTCAACAAACCAGACAAAATTATACACTGGGGAAAGGACACTGTATTCAATAAATGATCTTAAGAAAGTTGGATAACCAAAGGTAGAAGAATGAACCCTTTGTTCATTCTTGTGATTATATCTGGACCCCTATGTTTCACCATATACAGAAATTAACTGAAAATGGGTTAAAGGCTTAAATCTAAGACCTGAAACACAAAAAAATTCAAAAAAAAAAAAACAAAAAAACTAGGAAAAACTCTCTGAACATTAGCCTAGGCAAAGAATTTATGACTAAGACTCCAAAAGCAAATTAAACAAAAACAAAAATAGATAAATGGGACTTAATGAAACTAAAAAGCTTCTGCATAGCAAAAGAAATAATCAACAGAGTAAACAGAAAACTTACCGAATTTGAGAAATTACTTGCAAACTATGCATCTGACAAAGGATTAATATCCAGAATCTATAAGAAACTCATACAAATCAGCAAAAAAAAAAAACATTAAAAAGTTGGAAAATGACATGAACAGATATGTCTCAAAAGGTGATATATAAATGGCCAACAAACATGAAAAAATATTCATACTTCACTAATCATCAGGGAAATGCAAATTAAAATAAGAGTGAGATATCACATTGGGCCAGCCAGAATGGCTATTATTAAAAAGTCAACAATAGATGTCACAGATGTGGTGAAAAAGAAACGCTTTCACACTGTTGGTGAGAATGTAAATTTTAACAGTACAACCTCTGTGGAAAACAGTATGGCAATTTCTCAAATAACAAATAGTAGATCTACCATTCAATCCAGCAGTCTCACTACTGGGTAACTACTGAAAGGAAAGGAAGACATTATATCAAAAACACACCTGTGTGTATATGTTTATTGCAGCTCAATTCACAATTGCATTGTATATACACACATCGTGGAATACTACTCAGCAATAAATAAGAAAACAACATTTTTGGAGCAACTTGGGTGGAACTGGAGGCTATTATCCTAAGTGAAGTAACTCAGGAATAGAAAACTAATACTGCCTATTCTCACTTATAAGTGGTATCTAAGCTATTTGTATGCAAGGGCATACAGAATGGTGTAATAGACACTGGAGATCCAGAGGAGGGAGGGTGGAAGGGGGGTGAGAGATGAAAAATTACCCATTTGGTACAGTGAACACTGTTCAGGTGACCAGTGCACTAAGCCCAGACTTTACCAGTATACAATTCATCCATGTAATCAAAGAAACACTGGTACCCCTGAAGTTATTAAAATAAAAACTTTTTTAAAAAAAGTTTAAATTTTCACAAATTTGGGCAATTTATAGATAATTATCCATGAACAAGTATCATCCGTGAGCATGATATGTTTCTCTATTAATTTAGGTTTTCTTAATTTGCTAAGTAATGGTCTGTTATTTTCTGTGTAGAAATCTTGTACATTTTTGTTGCATTTATTTATAAATATGTTTGGGTTTGATGCAATTGTAAATATTATTACCTACAAAAAAATTTGTTGTATTGGCATATTGCTGTTAGATATCAGTAAAATTAATTTTTGTAGTGATGTTATAAATTTAATTATTGTATTTTTTTAATATTCTACAATAACATCTATAAGTTTGAATAGCACATTCATTTTTATTTCTTAAACTCTATTTTCTTTTCCCTTATTTTGCTAGCAGTGTATTTCAGTTTAATGTTACATTGAGGTGATGATAATGAAAATCCTTTTTTTAAATTTCTAACTTCACTGGAAAAGGTTGAAATATTATATCATTAATCATTATGTATGCTTTAGAGTTTTGATGTGCTTATAAAATGAAGAGAGTTTTTTTCTTTTTAATTTTCGAAGTGTTTTTAATCATAGAATAGATTTTTGGTATTTTTCTGCATCTATCTAATAATCATAAGATGTGTGTTTATTGCACTATTTTTTTTTAAATGTTAAAACAATTTTTAGTTCTAAATAACCTTTTACTTGTAAAATTTGTATTTTTATATTTAAGTTGTGTCTTTTTATAAGCAGCAAACAGATTTTCTCTCTATTCTCAGATACTGATTTCTTAATTTGACCTTACAATACAATGTAATTTCTGATGCCTTTGAACTTGTAAGTCATCTCATCGTTTGCTTTCTATTTCTTCCATTCTTATATTATTTTGCCTTTCCTTTTTGGCTGTCTAGTAAATTAATCATATTTGTGTTATTTTCACATTTACACACACCCCACTTGTTAATTCTACATTATTTTACTATTAATTTATTGAGTACCCTAGATATTTCTATATATCCTTGTTATATTCTAATAATTATTATTTTACTACTTACTGTAATAATGCAATAAATCAAAGAGCTACTTCTATTTACTTTTCCTCTCATTTTTGTGATATTGTTGCTGTATGTTTTATTCACAAGTATAAATGTTTTAAGACATTACGACTAGATTAGGCTTTCTACATTAATTTAAATTAATTTATAATTTTGCCCTTCATATTTCTGTTTCTATTTTTTTTTGCATCAACATGGGATATTTTTATTTGAACAAGCAAATTACATTTATGTTTTCAATTTCGAAGGAATCCTTTTTAGTATTTTATCTGAAAATGTGCTTATTTCTCTTTATTTGAAGAGATATTTTGCTGGGTTGGAATTCTATGTTGGCTTCTTGGATTTTTTTTTTTTTTTTGTAGTTTGATGACATAATTTGATTGGCTTCTTCTGTTTTGGGCATTTATTATTTTGGTCCGTAAGTAAACTACCATTCTTATTTTGCTTTTTGCTTTTCAGCTGCTTTAAAATATTGTGTTCATTTTTACATTTTGTCAGTTTTTATCTAATATTTTGTGTGCATTTTATTTCAAATTGTCTCACTTTCTAAAACTTTCAGAGTCTTGACATAATGTATGTCTTTTATCAGTTTTGGAAAATTCTTATTATTGTTTCTTTACGTATTTTTTTCTGTCTGTTCTCTTGTCTCCTTTGAGGACTCCAACTACACATAAAATACCTTTCAACAAACCTATGTGTTTTATATACTCTTTTCTATGAACTTAACTGTGACTCCCTGCTTTACTTCATATGTTAAAGACCTAACCTCCAATGCAATGATACTTAAACACTTGGCCACTGGGAATTAAGTAGGTTTAAATGAGGTCATGAGGGTGGGGCTCTCATGATGGGATTAGTGGCTTTAAGACAACAGAGAGCTTGCTTCTTCTTTGCCATGGAGGACACAGAGAGAGCTGTCCTCAACATGGGAACACAGCCCTCACCAGAAAACCAAATTGGCCAGTACTTTGATTTTGGACTTCCCAGCCTTCAGAATTATAGGAAGTAAATATTTGCTATGTAAGCTACCCAGTCTATAGTATTTTGTTACAACAGACCAAGCTGACTAATATGCTATTTGTTCTCTCTTTCCTTTTGGTAAAAATTTTACTTCCTTCTATTCTCAGTGCTTTTGTATGAATATTTTCTTCTATTTTATGAACTCTTTTTTGTAATTATTTATTTTATATACAGTTGTCCTTTGGTATCCACAGGGGATTGGTTTCAGGATCCTTCATGGAAACTCATCAGCAAATGCTCAACTCTCATATAAAATGGCATAGTATTTGCATATAACCTATGCATTTCCTCCTGTTTACTTTAAATCATCTCTGTATTAAGTATAATACCTAATACAATGTAAATTCTGTGTAAATAGTTTACACTGTATTATTTTTATTTCTATTTTTTGTTCTTGTATTTTTTGAATACTTTTGATTGAATTTGTGGATGAGGAACCCATGAATACAGAGGGATGACTATATCTAAGGTATACATAATAATGTTTTGATATTTTTAAATGTAAGTACTGCTAGACATATTTCTTTACTTTCAGTTTTATTTATTAATTTTTTTAAGTTTTAAATATTCCTGATTTGGATCATGCGGAGAGGACATGGTCTGACCTGATGTAATAGCCAATAATTTAAGGGTTGAGACGGAGTCAGGCCTCGGGTTTACTTTAAAAAAATCCCAAATCATATTTATTTTTTTAGCTATCATGATCAGGGTCTTTAATTGTGCCTTCTTTCTTTTCCTGTATCTGGCATAACATTTACAAGACATACGTAATGCTAATACGGTGAAAAATTCCTAGCAAAGATTAGGCATCCAAAAAAGTTATAGGTAGAGTCAGAGGGGAGTAAACAACCTGACCAGCCACGAAAACCACTGAATGCATCATCATATTTTTCAATCAGACTCACAATGTGTTTACTTTCCTTATCAAGGGTCATTTGAACCTTATGATAAATCTTATTTGAGGATTGTAGGCCTGACACTAAATAAGAAACCAATAAATGTAATTTCTCTTCTGACCAATTTATCTCCATAGGTATAACATCCTATGTTATAAATTAAATGCAAGGAATGCCTGGTGCCCAATGTCTAAATTGTCATAGGACTTGTTAACAGTGGACAAATCAATTTTTCACACCACTTTTGTATTGCACCATATACTGGTATTTGGGAGAGAAAAGGTTTTGTCACAGGAGAAATCACATCATTCTACAGTGTTGTTTTGTTGTCCCACTCAACAGAAGCGGCCCTTCCCCATATACCAGATGCTATGTCCCATGGGGGTGGATATTAGAGGCCAAGTTTGGGAAAAATCAGGGTTCCAAGTGGTTTGAAGGCATAGCCATTCTCCTTTTCTGTTTTCACAATCTGCAAGGGAGATGGTGTGCCAAGTGTTATTATCAGCTAAAATAGCCCACCTATTTCCTAGGAGTGGGCATTCTTGTATTGTTTACTGTAGCCCCAATTCCTGCCCGTTGGATGACAGAGTACCTTTGAGCCTCATTTAACTTCTGTGTCTGTGCTCTGAGAACACAATGTTGAAGGTCACGTTTAACATCCAAAAATCTTCATAAGTTTGGGGGACCATATATTTTGCACAGGAGTTTGGATTGTGCCTCAGTACTGAGGATTATAGGCCATTGCTTCATAGCCACGTCAGATTCCATTTGTGATTAAATAGACATGAACCCCTTTTGGGGAAGAGTACATCCTTGTTCCCATCTTTGGTTTGGGAGCATGTTTTCATGGTTTCTCTGGTTTCTTCTATCCATTTGATGAGTGCTGCATTATCTTTTAAAGCAGCTTCCCATCTTTTTCCCTCTTCCTGGAATGGCATTTCTTCTATGTGGCCTATTTTTGATAGGAAAGTTTTTTCTAAAGAATGTCTCTCTTTGTTAGTCATGAACTCAGATTGCTTCAATATGCCTAGCCCAGCTCCAACTCCTCCAGCGAGGTCACGCTTTAGTTTTTTGTGTGGCCAATTTTGGCATATCCATTGGGAATACTGTTGCCGTTGTACACTAATGGCATTTGCACAATTTGATAAATAGAGTCAATCCAGAGCTGCTGGGTATCCCAAACAATTGTTAGGTGAGGGGATGTTACCTCTAAGTATACTCTTGTCTGGGCATTCCATAAGGCTTCCTAGAGGCATCCTGGTCTTAGTGTGGAATTTATGCCATCAGGGACCTCTGTCCACCAATTGACTCCCATAAATAATTCTTTAAGGGTGGTGTCAGTGTGCTTGGTGATGGATGGGGGCATCCAGCGCAAGCACAGGGCTGGTAGTTATTTAGCAGGCCAAGCTATGGCAGTTTACATAGGAGGCAGCTAGATTTTTCCCATTGTAATCAGGCAATTGTCTCAACTAATCATCCCCAATATCTATTGCTATGCAATATTCTACCTGGTTAGACCCTCTCAGTGATCATCCTGAAGCATTTTTAGGCAATATTCCTGCAGGACATCATATTTGGTTGTAGACCTATAATAGAGATACCCTAAAAAAGGGCACCTCAGGGAATGTTTAGAATCGTGCTGCTCCATGTAACAGTCTTCATTTTGTCCTGGTCTATATCATACCAAACGAAGTGTGCTCTGCCTACAGGAAGATTGCTGAGGTTTGCAGGGAACCAGGAGAAATGTTCAGGTTTGAAAAGAGAAGGAGTGTTGGGTAAGCAGACAGAGGAGACTGTGGTAATGAGAAAGAACAAGTAAAACATTTTCCTGACTTTAGCAAGGGAATGTATAGCCATACCCATTTAGAAATTTATACCAAGGAAGATTGCATAGATTCCAAACAGCTTCTTAGGGGCCTCAGTTAAAACATGCAGGGTTTTAGCAATATTCTCTAGCAAAGAAAGTAAAAATGAGAATTATTTTAGGGTTCATGAGTACTGGCCTGATCTGGCATCTCTGGAGGTATGTTGGCTTTTGTTTTAGTCCTAGAGACCGGCTGAGTCTCCAGTGTTCTCTCGATTTGCAGGTGGTATCAGAGACTGGTTCAGAAGTCTAGGGGTGGTCAGGAATGTGGTAAGGCCATCATTTTAGGTGTGAAATGTGAATCCAAAAAGCGACTCCCGTTAAGTTTAAAGCACAAGAGTTGGTTAAAAGCACATGATAAGGTCCTTTCCAGTGGGCTGTACAGAATCCTTCAGTTGGTGTCTTTTTCAATATACAAAGTTAGCTGATTGCTGTAATCTGTGGTCTTTGGGGTCATCAAGCCCCTGGAGCTCACTGTGGAAAGATTCTGTTACCAGCTTTGTTTTATTTGTTAAAGTTTTGAGGAGCCTTCGAGAATAGTGCAATATTTTCCCTTTGAATAAGGCTGGTTCATATAAGCCCTCATCCAGCCTCACAGGTCTCCCTGTTACGATTTCATAAGGTGATAAACAATGTTTTCCAAAAGTAGTGGATCTAAGATTAAGCAAGACCAGTGGGAGTAATTTTGGCCAAGAGTGGTTAAAAGCCTCTGTCAACTTAGCTAATTGAGTTTCTATTGTGTCATTTGTCCATTCCACCAACCCAGAGGATTGGGGATGGTAGGCACAATGGAAATGTTCTGTTATGGGCCAGATTTTGCAAATGGATTGAACAGCTTGTCCAGTAAAATGAGTCCCACAATCACTGTGCAGCTCAGAAGGAGTTACCCAAGCTGGAATGATTCTAACAAAATCTTTCCCTACTGTTAAGGCGGTAGCTCTCCAACAAAGAAATGCTTCTACCCAATAAGAAAACATACAAACTAAGACCAGAATGCATTTGAAAATTTGAGATGGTGGCATCTGGATAAAATCCAACGGCCATACTTCAGGAGGTCCTATTGGCAAAGGAAAATGACTTTGGGAGCCACGTAAGAGCTTGTCAGGTTATGTTTTGAGCATAATAGTACATTGAGAGTATACATTTTGGGCTACCATGGGGGATGGTTTTCAAAAGTATTGTCTTCCTCATGATACCATTTTTTTTTCAGGGGCCCCATGGGTCATGTCGTGAATAAACTTAAGGAAAGGCAATTGTGTACCTATTGGAACTGTCAGTTTTTTATTAGGCTCTAGCCATAATTCCTTAAATGGTTCAAACATGCCTCCCTTCTGCTGACAGGTGTGTTTCTCTTGAGGGCTAGATGCTTGTTGATATTGAAAAAGAATGTTAGGGTATTTGGAGGATGAAAGATACATTCCTGTACAGAATAGGCTATATTTCCTGGAGCAGCATTTTTTGCTGCAGCATCAGCTAGATTATTTCTTTTTGCTTCTTTAGTGTTATCCTTTGAGTGCCCAGGAATTTTTATGATTGCAAGTTGCCTTGGCATCTGAATTGCTTCTAGTAACTCTGAGACTTGTTGCCCATTTTGTATGGGCTGTCCAGATGAGGTAAGAAAATATTTATTTCCATGCCAAAATCATGGGCTACTCCGAAAGTATATCAACTATTGGTATATATATTTGCCACTTTTCCTTTAGCAAATTTGCGAGCCTTCTGGGCTGATTTGACTCCTTGGAGTTGGGCACTTTTGATTATTTCTGTTATAAAAATGATGATATATCCTGCCTGGTAATGCCCCTGGTTGTCCCTTAAATAAGAACCAACCATGAACCAAATTAATTCAGCATTCTCAATGGGAGTTTCCTGTAAATCTTCTTTAGGGGAGAGTAAGATATTAGTAGGTAAATTGTAATCACGTTTCTCTTCCTTTTGTTGTTTACCTGGAAGGGGGAGAAGGGTAGCAGTGTTAACGGTGTTACAGTGCTTTGAAGTGATGCTGGGGGCAGAAAGCAGGAGTATCTCATAAGAGGTGAGGTGGCTAACAGAATAGTGTCAAGTGTGGTGAGCACTTAGAAGAGATCTCACCGAGTAAGGGGCATAGATGTTAGAAGGGACACTGGGACAAATTCTTTGACATTTTTGCATAAGGTGGCTGTAGCTGATGTAGCCCTCATACAAGGAGTGTGCCCCCCTGCAACTGGATCTGTTGACTGAAATAACAAATTGGCCTGTGATTGTCACCATATTTTTGAGTTGATACTCCTAGAGCATTCCCGTTTATTTAATGTATGAAGAGGAAAACCAGAAAACTGTAATTGGTTTGGCCTCGAGCAGGTGCTTGGGTGAGAGCCTGTTTTAGCTCTTCTGTGTGTTGTTTTTCCCCTCTTCCCAGTAGATTGGGTCCAGCTGGGTCTGTTTTAGTTTTTTTATATAGGGTTTGGGACATTAAGGAGTAGTTTGGAATCCAACTCCTGAAATAGCCTGTTAACTCTAAGAATCCTCTTAATTGCTTTTTAGTTTGGAGGGGGGTGGGGGAAGATGGTAACAGCAGAGATTCTCTCAGGGTTTATTAGTAACCCCCTTTGGGAAATCATATGTCCTAAACATTTAACTTGGAGGAGACAAAATTATAATTTATCTTTCAATACTTTGTGTCTCTTAAAAGCAAGCTGTTTTAATAGGTGGACAGTATCTCCTCTGCATTTTGGTAGAGAGGATGAACACAACAGTAAATCATCCACATACTGAATTAGAGTAGATTCTTTTGGAAATTCAATGTATTCTAAGTCTGCCTTTAGTATTTGAGATAAATAAGTAGGACTTTCAGAGTAGCCCAGTGGTAAGACTGTCCATGTGTATTTGCAATTTTAGCAAGTGAAAGCAAAAATATACTGGCTATTTTTCTCCACAGGAATACTGAAAAATGCACTACATAAATCAGAAAGAGAGAAGTGGCTGGCAGTGATAGGAATATTGGTTAGTAAGATGTGGGGGTTAGGAACAACAGGTGTATAGGAATTATTTTATTTATAGCTTAGGTCCTGAACAAATCACCAGCCTTTCCCATTTGGCTTTTTAACTGGGAGAATTGGATTATTGCAAGGGCTGGTGCAGGGTATTATGAGTCCTTTGTCTAAATAGTCCTGAATGATTGGTTTGATTCCTAATAAGACTTCAGGTCTAATGGGGATATTGCCTTATATTTGGCAAAGGTTTGGATTTATTTATGGTTATCTCCATAGGGACCGCTGATTTAATTCTCCTAATATCTGTGGAAGGGCTTGCCCATAGGGAATCTGGTACCTTAGATAAGAAAGGCTCTAATTCTTCCTGTGCAGAATCTTGATTAACTTTCACAAGCATAATATTACATGTGGGTTTTTGTAATCTTCTATGTCTCCCAATTTGAGAATTATTTCCCCTTTCTGTTAAAATGAGGTGTGAGCATTATGAGACTCTAGGAAATCCCATCCCAGCAGGTGTATGGGGGCACTATCTACTTTAAGAAAAACGTGATGCCTCACTAGTTATCCTAATTGAAATTGAAGTGGATTTGATTTAAAGACTATAATAGGAGAGTTTGAAACCTCTACCATTTGGACTTTTTTTTAATCTGAGGGAGAGGGTTCTTAAACAAGGTATATTTGAGGACTGACAGAGTACCCCTGGTGTCAACAGGGACTTTGGTATTTTCCCCATTTATGGATATTTCTACTTCTCCTAAAGCATTTGTTGGAAGTAGAGGGAAAACTCTCTCTATTCTCTTGGAGCATCCCTATTCTGATTTTTGAGTTGTTCTGGTCCCTTTCTCTGGGGTCCTTTGCCCACTTTGTGCAAGCACCCATTTAAGTTTTTTATGTAGTTTTTTATATTCTTTTTTTAAATGTTCTTTCTTTTTGGAATAGTGGCAAGTTTCTTCCTCTTGGGGTCGCTTAGATCTCTGGGGACCATGGGACCCTTGCAAACTCCCAACTTTGTTGGAAACTAAGCTATTTTAGTTGTAAACTAATAATTTTAGAGACTGTTTCCTTTTTTTTAATTGATGATTGTTTGTGACAATTGGCCAGCTGGGGTGACTAGGTGGCTAGTGGGCAAGGAAGCCCAAGCCACATTGTTCCTCTTTATTAGGCTTGCTAACTCCTTATCTCAACCTTGAATAAACCCAGAATTTAGTAAGGTGTCACTTCAACCATACTCAAAGGTTTCAGGAGGCATTTCTGAAAACTGTTTGAATGTGTATTCAAACCTGATATAAAAGTCAGGCATGGTTTTGTTTGGGCATATTTTACATTGTTGAACCTTTGCCAAATCTATAACCTTGGGGAATATTTGTGGTACAGTTTCACAGAGGTGATTGCAAACCTCTCTGCATTTCTCTCTTCCAGTTGAACCCAGTTGAATCTATTCTGTCAAAATCTTCTGAAGACTGTTTCCAATCTGCTACTCTAAACCATTCTTTAGCTTTTTTTTGGAGGACCAGTAGTAACTCAACCAGCTGATATAGGGCAGAGAACCCTGAATTATAAATCTTAAGCATTAATTGGAATTCCTTAGCAAATCCAAAGGGTTCTTCATTTGGACTGGGGAATCCAGATACCAGGGCCTTTAACTCTGATTTGGTCCAGGAGGCATATATTATGTTAGGATCCCCTCTGCCTGTGGATTTTACTCTGAAAGGAGCAACTGCTATATTATTTTCTCCAGCTATTTCTGGTCCCCTGTGACTTGAGGCAAGGGAGTAGGGGAAGGAGGAAGAAAAATGGAGGAGCAGAAGGGGAGACAGTTTCTGTAGCCTTCCTGATTTCAGAAGTGGCTTCTACTAATTTATTTAATTCTGAGACAGTTACAATTTTTTGTTTTACTTACTTCCTGGAGGGAGGGAAGCTTATCATTCCCTCTTTTTGATGATTCTAGATGTCAGCTGAAGTACGAATCCCATTCATTTTCTTTGATTTGGGCACCTTATTTTTCTAATCTAGTGTGTGAAGAAACCAATATAGGGATATCGAAAGTTTCCCAATTTGGAAACCTTAGACCTAGGTAATATTTAGTAATATCTTTCCATTTACATAAATACTTGCAAGTAAAGGTGCCATAATTATTAAACAAACCCAGCGGGGCTGACTGTAGGGGGCCACTCTCTTGTCCTTTCTTCTCTTTTGGAGGGTTTATTTCCCATCTTTTTTTTTTTTTTTTAACTGACTTGTGGCCTAAGGATTTGTGTGGTGGATTGATATGTGCTGCTTGTGGGCCTGACTCCACAGTTTCTCACCACTGAGTCATTTCTACCCTCTTACATGTTTCAGTTTCTCTCTCAGAAGTCTGTCACCTCTGAGAGGGTCAAAACGCAGGGTGATCAGCTCTTACACGCATTTTCTGGATGAGTCTTTTTAAATTAATATTTGTTGGGAAGTTTCCTATAGGGCCACTGCACATCGCAGAGGGGTATACCTACCAGACACTCCCATGAGGACCCTGGCCACCCAGGGGGCCCTTTCAGCTGGGAGGAGCAGAATGCACTTTCTATTAGGAGCTGAGGAACTCAGTCTCTCATTTACTTATGAAAAATAACAGTTCAGTTCCTCATGCAAAGTGTGCACAGACAAGCCAATTGAGATTAATTTTGAGAGAAAAGGCAATGAAGAAAGACCCTTTTGAATGCACGTCTGAAACTAAAATTAAGATTTTAACCAACATCTTAGGAGAAAAGAGAGAAAAAAAACAGCTCAGAATTAATTAAGGACCATCAATCAAAACAGGAGGTCGGGGGCTCAGGAGGACTTACAAGTGTCACTGGAGGAGAAGCTTGAACTCGGTGAGGCTGAAGGGGTCCTGCTCATACCTTAGCTCTGGTTTTGGGCAACTCTTTTGGGGTACTGAGTCTTCCCTGAGGCCCCACATGTTTGGGCGCCAGATTATTGTTGATGAAAAGAGTCCAACTCTGTAAAATATTTGAGGAGATTTCTTCTGAGCCAAATATGAGTGACCATGGCCCATGACATAGCCCTCAGGAGGTCCTGAGAACATGTGCTCAGAGTGATCTGGGCACAGCTTGGGTTTATATATTTATGGGAGACATGAGACATCAATCAAATACATTTAAGAAATATTTTGGTTTGCTTCAGAAGGGCAGATAACTCAAAGAGGGGGCTGCCAGGCTATGGGCAAATTTAATCATATTCTGGTTGGTAATTGGTTGAGCTTGTCTGAAGACCTGGGATCAAAGGAAAGGAATGTTCAGGTTAAGATAAAGGATTGTGGAGACGAAGTTTTACTGTGCAGACAAATCTCTCAGACAGCAGACTTCAGAGAGAGAGAAGGTTGTAAAATTATTTCTTATCAGACGTAAAAGGGTGCCTGGCTCTTAGGTGGTTATCTCCTGGATCTGAAAAGAAAAGAAGGAAAACAAAGGGAAAGGGGAATGCTCTATAGGATGTGAACTTTTCCCACAAGAGACTGCAGGACAATTTCAAGGTATGGCAAAGAAATACATTTTGAGGTTAGATATTTTTTATTGCCTCATAATGTTATGCAAGAGTCAGATTGAAAAGTAAGTCATGATATGTAGGGTCAAATAAACCCATGTGATGAGGATTTATATTTTGAAGGGCACAACTCCCTAGACCCCTTAGGTAGAAATTTGGGCAAGATAAAAAAAAAAAAAAATCAGGGCTTAGTCCTCAGAAGTAACTTAACTTGCTTTTGATTTTATAGGCTCATAGGCAGAAGGGACTTGCCTTGTCTCAGTTGGGACTTTGGACTAGGACTTTTGAGTTAATGTTGGAATGAGTTAAGACTTTGGGAAACTGTTGGGATGGCATACTTGTGTTTTTACTTTTGAGAAATATGAGATTTGAGAGGGGCCAGGGGAGGAATGATATGGTCTGGCTCTGTGTCCCTACCCAAATCTCATCTTGAATCTTGAATTTTAATCAGAATTGTACTCCTCACATGTTGAGGGACAGACCTCGCGGGAGATGATTAGATTACACAGGTGGTTCCCTCATGCTGTTCTTGTGATAGTAAGTGAGTTCTCAGGAGTTCTGATGATTTTATAAGGAAAGTTTTCCCCTTTGCTCAGCACTTCTCCTTCCTGCTGCCCTGTAAAGTAGGACATGTTTGCTTCCCCTTCAACCATGATTGTAAGTTTCCTGAGGCTTCCCCATCCCTGCAGAACTGTGAGTCAATTCAGCCTCTTTTCTTAATAAATTACCCAGTCTCAAGTGTGTCCTTATAGCAGCATGAGAATGGACTAATGCAGTAATGTAGGAAAAATACAACAAAGAGGCAATAATAACAAAACATGCAATTTAACACTCATGATCATGTTTCTGGATCTTTACAGTTTTATTATAGTCTAGATCTGGAATGTGCATCTTTTTCAACTTTTTCTACTGTGTACTTCTGCTCATTTCTGAGATTATTGTAAATGTCATCATATTTTGTGTTTCCTCCAATATCCCTTTTAGAAGAGGTAACCACTTTTCTATGTATGTTCCCAAAGTACTTAGCACATATCTCTGTTATTGCAGCTATTACATTGGATCAGAGCTAACTTTCTGCAGTCTGGTTTACTTCTGCCAGATTCAGAAATCATCTAGAGTACATGTTGTCTTATCCATCGTAATAGCACCGACATCTATCATGGAAGAAAATCACACAGTCAATATAATCACTGATTGATTCTTAATGCAGGATCCACAGACAAAGAGAAAATGTTCATAGATAGAGAACAGTGAGGAATCTTGGGTGGGACAAATAATTATACATTTATTTTTAACTAGAGTAAAAGGGAAATTTAGAATTTTATTTAGCTACAAATATGAGTAACAAACTACATTGCTGTTAGCAGTATCTAGCATCTATGACTTTATCACTATTAAAACTCAAATTGCAGTATTTCTAGAGATCTTATGTGTGATTTAAGCTTCCTGCTTTGTTATGGTAGTAATGGCTAATTAGGTCACTATATCTTTTTATTGCTGTGTGATGTAGTTTGGATGTGTGTCCCCACCCAAATCTCATATTGAAATGTAATCCTCAGTGTTGAAGTTGGGGCCTGGTGGGTGGTAATGGAATCATGAGGGTGTATTTTTTTTTTTTTTGAGATGGAGTCTCACTCTGTAGCCAGGCTGGAGTGCAGTGGCGCGGTCTCGCTCACTGCAACCTCTGCCTCCTGAGTTCAAGGGATTCTCCTGCCTCAGCCTCCCAAGTAGCTGAGACTACAGGCTCCTGCCAACACACCTGGCTAATTTTTTGTATTTTTAGTAGATATGGGGTTTCATCATGTTGGCTAGGATGGTCTCTATCTCTTGACCTCGTGATCTACCCGCCTCAGCCTCCTAAAGTGCTGGGATTACAGGCGTGAGCCACCGTGCCCTGCAGAGGGTGGATTTTTATGAAAGATTTAGCACCATCTTTCTTGGTACTATCCCCATGATAATGAATGAGTTCGCATGAGATCTGGTCATTTAGAAGTGTGTATCACCTCCCCCCTCACTTTCATTCCTGCTTTCACCATGCAATGTGACTGCCCCTCTTTTGCCTTCTGCCATGATTATAAATTTGCTGAGGCCTCCCCAGAAACTAAGCAGATGTCAGTGTTATGCTTCCTGTATAGCCTGCAGAACAGTGAAACAATTAAACCCTTTTTCTTTATAAATTACCCAGTATCAGGTATTTCTTTAAAGCAGTGCAAGAATGTCCTATGACACTATGTTAATAGAGAAGAGCTAGAAAGCTAGATACATAGATGATTGCATTTTAAGATAATTTTTGTAATTTGAATTTATTTTACATATTTAAAAACATTCTGGGAAGAGCATCCATTAAGTTAACAGAAATGACAAAAAGTCCTTGGCAGAAAATGTTTAAGTTCTCCTGGGAAACATGTTTGTTTGAAGGGAGAATGTCAGAAATACTTTATTAGTGTTAGAAAATAACTTGCTCTCTTTAATATTTAAAATTAAATTTTGTATCAGGTTTTTGTTTTGTTTTGTTTTGTTTTTTTGAGATGGAATCTTGCTCTGTCTCCCAGACTGGAGTGTAGTGGAGTGATCTCGGCTTACTGCAAGCTGTGCCTCCTGGGTTCATGCTATTTTTCTGCCTCAGCCTCCCGAGTAGCTGGGACTACAGGCACCTGCCACCATGACCGGCTACTTTGTTTGTGTTTTTAGTAGAGACAGGGTTTCACCACATTAGCCAGGATGGTCTCGATCTCCTGACCTCGTGATCCGCCCACCTCAGCCTCCCAAAGTGCTGGGATTACAGGCGTGAGCCACCGCTCCCGGCCTGTATCAGGTTTTAAATTCATATCTTAGCCTAGCTAGTTCATTTTGGAAAAATGCAAACTGACTTTAGCATTCCAACTTTTGGATCTTGAAGAACAGAAAATTTAGGCATTGAAGTTTATTTTCTTATGCATAACATGACTGTACATTCAAATTGAAAAGACTAAGCAGAGAAACTCCTAGAAAGTCTTATTCTACATTGATTTTTTTTCTTTGCCTAACTTCCAAAAAAGATGAAGACTGAAAGCTTCTACCTCTTAAACTATACTGTATTCGAAAATAGAAAATAAAGAGTAACCTACTGGATCTCTTTCTCTCTTTTTCTCTCTCTCGTTGTGTGTGTGTGTCTCTCTCCTCTCTCAATTTTTCTTTCTCACTCTCTTTCTCAAGAGAAATGTTGGATGCATTATCCTCAGCTCTTTTAGCCATATTCAAAAAATTATTTAGCTGTACTAACAGTTTTCAATAAGAATTAACAGCAACTAAACTGTGAACTGTAAAACATAATTTGATTTAATAACAATGTAAGAATGATTCTATTTTCCTAATCAATTTGTGTTTTCCAATTAGATCATAAGCATGCACATCTAAAATTAGCATGTAATGTAAAAAAATTCTTTTTCACTCTTTTTTGATAAAGGCATAAGGACATTATCAGTTTAATCACAAAAATTACAGAAATTTCAAGATTTTACAATAAATATGAATAAAATAGTGACTTAAAATAGCACACTTAATCACACATATATTTGAATCTAACCAAATATTCAGTGTATTCAAATTAAATCACACATAAATTATAATCTAAAATGATCAAGAAAAAAATGCACTTCTCTCAACTTTACAAAAACAAAGAAAGGAAGAAAGAAGGAGACAAAAGAGAGGAAGGAAAGATGGAAGGAAGGAAGGAAGGAAAGAATCAGCCAAAAGCAAAACTAAAACTCAGAGAGAGAATGGGAAAAATGAAACAAAACAACAACAGGAAAAAGTATAAGTACTTTTAAAACTATGTACAGAACATTGTAACTTTACTATATTGAAATCCACTGCTCAAAAGCCTGTATGTGTTGAAGTTCTTTACTGTAAGGCACACATTTTTGCAGGCCAAAGCCCTTTTCTAGAATTAATTTTCATTTATTAGCAGGTTAACAAGAAGCTTATTAGCATTTTTTTGTTCTTTGGAGGCATTCTAAAAAAATAAGACATAATAATCTTGACACATGGCTTAAAATGATGATGAGAAACTTTACTAAGTAAAAAAAGCAAGGAATTGAATTTATGTGTAACAAATATTTCCCAAAGATATTAGAATTCCAGTGCACACTATGCTCATACATAAAGCCAAAGGCCGAATTGTTGCATGTGAAGTTCCTTTTCCTATTATAAAATCTTATCTACAAATTGAATATGGTCATGTGTCACATAAATTTTTGAATAAGAAGCTAAAATGTCAATTTTATCAAAGTTTCATCTGATTATAATGCAGAGTAGCCTTAAGCAGAGGACATTAAGGACCCTGCTTCAACTAATAGAGATATGGATAAATTATAAGCTTGCTTGCTGCAGAGCCCATAAGTCATACTGTAGCCACTTCTGTAAGAGAAGCAAGGGAATGGAAATGAGATTTCACAACTTGAGCATTTTTTTATATCAAGGTCATTATACTAGTTGATGAAACTCATAAAAAATTAACAATCAAATTAATTTACTCATAATCAACTCATTTAATTAAAATAATTTATTAAATTCGGGAAAGTTGACGTTAAGTTGAATATCATCAATATGTATAAAATAGTAAAAACTTTAGTAATGAAATGGATCTGGGCTTTGTCATTTCACCAATTTGAGTTCAAATCCAAGCTCTAATACTTTGGGGCAAAGTCTTCTAGAACCAATTACATAAACTCCCTGAATATAATTGTTCTTATTTATAAAATGATGTTGTATAAAGTATACAAATTATTTTATTTTATGTATTTTCTTCTTTCCAAGAGCTTCTTCTACACACTGCCTGGATGAACAATAAGTAGAAGGATATGCACTATTTTATATACTCAAAAATTCAATAATGTAAAGCCTAGAAAAAAATCTTTAGTTTGATTCTTTATGGGAGACTTGCAACTTTCTTACCTTCTTAAAAAGTTGCTTTGAACACTGAATTCGTGAATATTGAGGAAACATAGGATTAGGGTTCTACAAGCTTCTGGCCATGACATTTTCATCAGTTTGAAACCTTCCCCGTAAACTTTATAAAATTAATCAGAGAAGAAGGGATGGGGGGAAATGAAAATAAGCTAAGCATGCAGCACATTCAGTATTAATCTTGAGGTCAGTTTGCTCTCTTATCTGCTTCCTCATAGGAGTTTGGTGACTACTGCCTCAGAATACATACAGTAAGTTTCCCTTAAATAATCAGTAGGTATCAATTTGAACGTTATAAAATGTAAAGCATTCATTTGAGTTAGTCCTTCAGGTCTTGCATACCAATGAATCTACTGATGTCAGCTGGTCTGAAGAATCCCACTGACAAAAGCTGGTCTGAAAGACTCCACTCATGTTAGCTGATCTGAAGGACCCCACAGGAGCTGACTCACCAAAGAAACCAGTTTTCAAATCCTGGTGATTTAATTGCCCTTACCCCAATCAACCAACAACCTCAATTTTCCAGCCTTTTACCTTCCAGGATCCCTTTACAAACCCCAGCCCAGAACTCCTCAGGGAGATGGATGTCAGGGTCTCCTCCCATCTCCTAGCTTGGCATCCAATGATCAGTAAATTCTTTCACTGTTGAAAAAAAAGAATGTGTTTTAAGGAATTAACTTATGCAATGTAATAAATAACTGTCATGTGAGTCCTTGAATAATGACTATCAAAAACAAAGGACAAACCCAAAAATAGCATTCATTAAGAAATTCATTAGAAGACCTTTGAAAACATTAATGTTAAACCATGAAATAACATGTATCTAGTCTTTGTCTTATTTCTTTTTATATATTTGCCATATTATACAAGTAGTTGCAATTTCAAAGTGTGTAGCTAAAAATGAAGCATTGAAAATACAATTAATAATAATGAGATTGATATTTGATAGTTAATAGGCTTTTAATTATCACTAAATTCCAACATAATTGGACCTCATTGTCTCAGAGTTGCCAAATTCTTTTCATAATAGAAGATTTTCCCCACTTCTTTCTTGCTGGTGCTTTCCACAGTAGCATGGTTCATTTCTCATCATTCTTTTCTGTATAAGGAGCATCTCCTTACAAAGGCCTTGCCTGAATAATCCATCAGATTTGGTCTTCTGCTATTCTTTTAAATCTTATTCTATATGTTTTATTTATAGTATTTACCATACTTATAATTGCACATCATTTTCCCTCTTTGTTTTCTGTCACTTCACAAATGTTGGCAGGTCTACTATATGAAAACCACCTTTGTATTCTAAAACTTATAGTCTAAAAACTAAAATAGTACTCACAAAGCTGTTGCTCAATATTTTTAAATTAATATTATTTAATTGATGAATCATAATTGTATACATTTATGAGATACAATGTGATTTGTTTTGATATGTGTATACTTAAAGGAATAAGTTCATACAGCATTTGATTTATTATTTTAGGATGTGATACATAATATTTATAACTCCTAATGATATTCTTTAATTATTGGTAATTATATTGTATCCATGTAGACTCACACATTTTTAAAGCCTAGCAGATATGATGCATTAACTATTCAAAAGCCATGATTTTTCTTTTTTTCTTCTTTGCATAGCAATCTGCTGCCTAGAGACTATGGGGACTTTGAAAGTAAAAAATAAAATACATTGAATTAAATTAAATATATATATTTTTTAAATCCCAGCCCCCTCAAAGATAAGGTTAGCAATGCAATATGTTAAGGTTCATAATTAATCCCTTATAAGCGTGCTCAAATCTGTTGTCTTTTGCCCTAAGTGGAACTCACTAGGTTCAAACCAAGATTCAGACCACTCAGGTGAGGAAACTGAGGAGAGAAAATATTCCCAAATAAATATTTTAAAGACCTTGAATAAAGACAACTTTGGCCTTTCTGATTTATTTATGCCAGAATTGTGAATGTAGGGCCTAGAAGTACAGTAGACTCCAGCAATATGAGAATTAAATCATATCCTAATGAAAGAAGGAGAACCTGTTTCCTCGATAGCAAGGCAGAGCTGCAATACTACATCCAAATTGTCTTATCCCTTAACTTATTTGTTAAGTAATATAAATGAACTCATTATCTGCTTTTTGTTATCCATAGTGGATTACACTAACATATGTTTTAAAGATTCACATCACTTTGTCATATAATAGATCTTTATATCAATGTTCATGGAATTCTACATTCCAAAATCATAAGAATTATAATCCCTGAAATATTGAAGGATTATATTTACTATAGTCATGCTATATCTAAAGTATGTATTATATAAAATAACATCAATACTAATAATAAACACTTTTAATGAAAACCATTCAAATATTTAATGTAATATTTTTTGTCCGTAAGTAGTACCCATTAATACATGACAACTTTTATAAATAAAAACATTTCCCACTTATATACATTACCATTTATTTATTTCTTTGAATTATGCTTAAATCTGCATAGCCATTATACACATTTTATCATTATGTGACAAATCCACATTATACATATTAGAAATTTGAGTACATACAACAAATATTGTCTCTTTAATATCCAAGAAACTAGTCAGATCTATATATATTGTTTGTTTAGTGTTCTCAAAATATCAAAAACATCCAATTCAATGCATGATATTTTATGAAATTTGCAGTTAATTTAAAAATTGACCAGTAGTTACAGATGAATACTATTTTTCATTTTGTTTCTAGACACTTTAATCAACCTGCTGGCATGTTGGGATCAATCACTCGTGCCAGTTGTGTTCATTCATCTTTGTCCTGCCATTCATCCTATGGCAGCAAGGAGCACACTGTGTAATTGAATTTGGTTGAAATCTAATATAAGAGCAAACTGTGACACAGTAGTTATAACCAGTTTGATTGAAAAATGTGAGCACATGTTTTTGTTAGTTGCTTGCAGGAAGAGGAATAGTAAACTGCATTCTGTAATAGTACCATAAATGAGAGCTTTAGGGAAAAGGCACACACATGCTTTAGGATATACCAAGTGTTCATGAATTCTCACTTGAAAATTAAAGAGAGTGAGAGGAAAGAGAGCAATGAGAGCAATACAGTGTTTATAGACTATAAGGAAATAAGGCTTAAGCTTAGAAATTTTCCAGGTTGTATAAATAATATAATGCCTTAGATGTTTTTATAAGCACTATCATGTGTTTAGAAAATTCATGTGATGCAGTAAAGTTCCCTGTTTTAGAGATTCAGAGAGTCTGAAAATTATATTTATATTGACATATCTATAAATCTACAGCTATATCTATATCTATGTGTAGTCGTGTTCTGCAGCAAAGTTTTGCCTCTGGTTGTGTTTTTTTAAAGTTAATTTTGAAATCTGACCAAAGCTAGTCTATATGGATAAGAATAATCACCTTGAATTATTTGTTTTTATATTTGAGGCTAGTAACAAGTTTCTTTGTGAAGCAAGTTCACTGTGCACTGGTCTTCAACTTGTCTCTCTGTCTTGTGAGGCGAACACACTCATACACAGCAAGTAACAGGAAGTGGATTTATTGCTTCCATGTAGGTAACAAGGGCAAACAGAAGCCTAGGACCCATTGTCAGCTAGTCCCTCACAGCTTAAGAAAGTTTCCTGGGTCAGAGGGAGACTCAGCTGCATGTGCCCCACTAGCACAACCATTCAGAGACCCTGATAGGGAGTCCACTCTGGTTTATAGTCCTCAGGAGCCATGTGACAGATTGTGAAAAGCTTCGAAGGACCTTCTGCTTCCAGAAGAGAATAACAAAGCCTGGACTCTCTCAAGTAGTTTATTCCTATCTTATAATAATGCATTCCCAGCAAATTTTACAGTTAGTTTTTAGAACCACAAGAAAGGAAGGGAAGACAAATGGGTCCGTCCAAGGCCACCTGGGGAACTATCATGCCATTCATCTCCTGACCCAAATATCTCCCTTAGCAGAGCTAGTGCATGTCATAGAACCATTGACCTCCAAGACCTGGAGGCAGAGATTTGTCATGTCATATAGATATAACACTTTCTCTGACACAATCCTAGTGTAGAATCATTAAGTCATGACCAGAATACACGTTGCTGAGCTCAGGAGACTTACCCTCATGAGCAGGATGGCCAGGCCTTCCTGAAACAGTGACCTACCCCAGGGCCATAGTGATCTAGTTCTTCTTTGACCTTATAAGTGGAGGTCAAAGAAGAATCCCATGAGTGGCCCCACCCTCTACAGCCAGGAGAAAACCTGCTTTGGTATCTTCTCTACTTGTGTTTCTATAATACAAGACGTGTTTATCCAGGTATAGTAAGGGGTGTTGGCAATTACATACATTCCTCCAAGTTTGGTTAAAAAAGGTCACAATAATTCTGTTGTTTAAAACAACTTTCCCAAGGGAGTTGAAGGATGTCTGCTGGGCTGCCAAGGCAGTGGCAATGAAGGAAGTAATATCTGCCATGGTCAGAAACTGGTTTATTATTATTTTCTTGAGCACTGACTCCTATGTATGGTACCAAAGATCTCACTGAGGACATAAACCTAGAGTCAGTTATACCTCCTGGCATGTTCTTAGTAAGTGTGGAATAAATCTTTTGGATGCTGGCCCAGTGGTGCCTCTCATTCCTAAGGTTGATATCCAGGGCCACCCTCAGTGTGTCCAATGTGCAGTATCCCACCATTGGCCAGTATGGTAGACATGACATTTTCCATTCATATTTTGGTTGCTCCTGACTACTTGTAGAGAAAAATGTAGCCCTCAACTGAGATGGAGGCACACTGCACTCCTTTCCTCATTATATTGCTGAGTGATCCATTTATGAGTATGAAAGCATTGGCAATTATAACCAAGTCTCATTGACTACAGAGTTGCATAAATTCAGTTCACCCATATGATATTGCTCATGAAGACCCTGTATAGAGGGCTAGAAACAGTCCAGTCCTTGTTTTTCTTGTCACTGCTGGGACACTCCTCCATGTAATCAAAGGAGTTTTGTGCATCAAAGTACTAGCCCACTACACTTTTGTTAGCTGTGGCGATGGCACTCTGCTACAGAGTCAAGTAAGTTAAAATAGGGCACCTCCAGTTGCCTCCCATGTGGCGGGTGCCAGGTCTTCACTCAGTAAATCAAGGTTCAGGTTCTGTTGATTTGCGTATAACACAGCATTAGGAATGCTATTGTAGTTTATCACCATCAGGAAAAGTTGTTTCCTCTGGTTGATAAAAAAAAAATGAGGTCTAAGATGACAGATCCAGCATTTTGTCAGATTAACCATGGTGGCCACAGCTTTGGAGATCCTAACAGGTGTTATGCTTTTAGGCCTTTGTTACCTCATTGTTGTGAAATAAGCATATTGACAGTTTAGTGCTCAACCTTCCACTCCTCTTGGCGTCTCTGGTGTTCCCTACATATTTCACAGGAGTTGAGCCAAGTCGGTGTGGAAAACCAGTTTGTCTGTATCTGCTCTAAGGCTACTAACTCTGGTGGCACCCTTTCTCTTATTGCTTGATTCAGACCTTTCAGCCTCAATTGTCTAGTCCATGAAGGAAGGGAGGTCACATCTTGTACAAACTTGACATGTCTGATAGCATCATTAAACTGACTGGAGGTATCACATGCCCTCAGCAACACTAGAGGAAACCTAGCACCTGGCTATTCCTTACTTGCATCCCCCATTTTTATGAGATCCCATAAATGGGAGGCACCCTGCAGAAGCATCACTTCCAGGTTAGTGTTATGGGACTCTGCTGTGGTACTATAGCAGCCTGAGCCACAAACCACCCCCAAGACATACAGTGTAAAGGAAAAACAACAAAGAATGATTGTAAACACTGAGATTGGCATTTTGCTGGCACAGCATAATCAGGTGGTTGACTTGTCCACATCTGTGTTAGTCAGTTTTTGTGTTTCTATAAAAGAAAAAAAAACCTGAGGTTGAATAATTTATAGTGAAAACATGTTTTATTTTGGCCTGTGGATCTTCAGGCTGTACAAAAAACATAGTGCTGCTGTCTGCATCTGGTGAGGACCTCAGGGAGCTTCCGATTATCCAGAAGATAAGGGAGGAGTCAGTGTATCACATGGCGAGAGTAGGAGCAAGACAGAGAGTAGGGGGAGGTCCCTGACTCTTTTAAACAACCAAATCACACATGAACTGAGCAAGCACTTATCACCAAGGGGACTGGTGCTAGACCATTCATGAGAGATCCACCACCATGATTCCAATTACCTCCCATCAGGACCTGCCTCCAGCATTTCATCATGAGATTTGGAGGGTACAAACATTGAAACCATATCAACATCCACCTCCACTAAGCTCAGTGGTGCTCAACATGAGCCGTAGTGTCATGTTTTCTTTACATTAGAGTGCAGTGTTTAGTGTCCATATTGCCCCAGTCAGAGGTAGGAGGTACCATCTCACTGGTGGTCTGTCCTGACGTCCTTCTCTCATTTGCTTTATGATTCAGATGTTTGTAAATTAAAATCTTCTTTAGCTCATAAATGACAGAGTGTATGAAAAGTCCATTGTGCTCCGTGGGAGTGTGACCTTTGTCATGTTGCTTGGGAAATGAAGAATGTTCTTTGGTTAGAGTGAAGCCTCCTGGAGTATCCAAAAAACATTATATAAGTTCCTCTCCAGAATGGCTGTGGTAGTTCCAGTGTCCACATGAGTCATATATGTTTGTCCCTTCCAGTTAGGAAACTGATGTGATAATCCTTATCCCCAACACAGAATCCTTTAATAGTCCAGTCACTCAGTTGCCATTTTCCTGACCATATGGCTAGACTATTGGCAATGGCTCATGGGTCAGTAAAATTGTAGCAAGATATGGTAGTAAGGAATGGCCTGCATGACCATCACCATTTCATGTAGTTTATTCCACTGGGCAGGAGGTCGTCTCCAGTCTCAGATAAAAGATAGCCTTCTACCTGCCAGATGGCAGCCCAGCCTAATAGACCCTATTCACCTGTTATTTCACAGAGCCATCAGTTAGTCATGCCATACCATCATGATTCATGTCTGTAAATCTTAGGCCCCAGATAGTCACAGGAGGAGCCACAACACCTTCTACAGGTTTCTCAGTCCCTTATGATAAGCTAGTCACCTTTTCACGGAGCCTATTAGTCCCTTGAGGTCCTGGCTGGGACAAATCCTGAATGTACTGATTCCATTTGATAACTGAGTTCTGTTGAGCCTGTCTTATTTTACCGGCGGTTTTTATGAGCTGTCAGGTAAGAAAGGGAAGTTCATGTTGCGTGTCACATATGACATTCCAGCTATAAAAGAATCATTCTTAACTATTGCTCAATAGCAAGCAAGGAGTTACCATTTAATAGGGTTACATCTGGGGCTGTCTGCCTCAGGCAACTTACGTGTCTAAAATCTGAGAGGTTGTTGCACACTAGTGACAATTTTCTGTTGTTATAAACTTCAATTATCACATATGGGTATTGAGAAAACTTGTAATTCCATCGGGCTAGTAGGCTTTCAGTGTTATAAAGAAAGTGCCTGTGCTGCAGCTTATTGAATGGCTTCTAAAACCTGCTGTTACCAGGGGCTCCATTAAAACTCCATGGCTGTGTTGGTCACTTTGACTAAAGAGGCCAAAAGAACAGGTGGGTTGCATGCTTGTATCTGCTACTCAAAGAGACCTACCAGCTGTTAAGTATTCTTTTTATTAATGGGTGTCTCCCGAATTAAAAAGTTTTGTTTGACTGTATCTGGAATACTTGTTTTGGCTACCCACCCAAGTGGCCTTGGCATTCAGTCTGTGATAGTCCATTGTTAGTCTCAAAGCCCCAGACACCTTTTTGACCAGCCATACTGGGCTGTTACTGCCATGACTGGGCAGTTTGTACCAAGTCCTAAATTTAAAAAGGAATCCTTCATTTAATACACATTACTGTTTTGATGAATGACCCTTTAGGGATTAGGTAGCTTAGATATTAGGCAAGAGAAGATTATGACCCACTATTATGGCTCAAATTCTTAGTAGTTAAGGTGCATACCTCCTCAGGCAGCAGAAATGTTATATGCCACAGCAACCAAAATGTTAGTGCCTATAATGCATTTAGCAGTGGGAACCATGGTCACTGGCATCTAAAATGACACAAAGACCCCTATTTTCTGTAGATAAGCACCATGAGTCACTGTGTGTATCCCAAACTTCCCAATGTCATCAGTTTAATTTTTCCTCTAAAGGGATCTGGAAATATTATCACATGGGTTCCAGTATCCAAAAACACCAGAAAAAATCTGAATTACCTTCTGTTCTTTTCTTACCTTGACAAGATTACTGGATCATTGACCTCTAGTTGGGTACCCAGAGACCTTGGCCCCATTTCTAACTGTGCCATTTAGCCCAGGACATTTAGATTTGCAATATTTCTTTATCAGACACATTAACCCACTTGCATGAGACTTCCTATCTTTGTAGATGTAGACTTTGTCTACATCTATCCAAGAGATAGTGAGTTTCCCTTTCTGTGTAGGTCCTCATCTTGCATGTGGGTTCCCTATCAGATGCCCCAAGGACCATTTGAAGACCTCTGCCTAATTCCCTCTCAGGTACCTGAGGGTCTATCCGAGTACCCATTTCCCCAGATCTCTGGCACTAAAAATGAACAATAACATAAGTGCCCAATAATCAGAGAATCTAGCCTGTTTCCCTGTTTTCACATGGCTTTTTCTCTGTCCCAATCCATGTAGCCAGCTCACTCACATCTGCAGGGGCTTGAGGGGAGACTGATGTTCCCCTTATTAACCTTGTCCCCCATAAAACATCCAACTGCATGTTCGCCACTTGCACCTCCAGGCTAATGTCTCCACCCTGGGTTGGGTACTGGGAGGTTATATCACCTCCTCTGCTTCAACATTAAGCTATGTTTCTGTCAGACTGCATCCTGCTCACTGTATCAATTTTTTAAAGCAGATTTACTCTGCACTGTTTTCCAACTTGTCTGACTGGGTGAGGCAGAACCACTTATATGGAGCAAGTTACATCATGAGACAGATTTAGTACTTACAAGTAGTCAGAAAAGGACAGAAGAAGAAGCCTAGGATGCATTGTGAACCAATCCCCCAAGGCTCAAGAAAGCTGCCCATGGTGGGTGGTTTCTCAACTGTACATGCTCCACTTACGTCATAGGTGAAAGGTCCTGAAAGGCAGCTTGCCCTGGGTTATATACCTCAGGGCAACATGACCCACCAACTAAAGCTTTGAAGAACAACTTGCCTCCAGAGGAGAAAGGAACAAAATCTGTGTTTTTTCAGACTAGAGGTAGTTTCTCTCTACCTCAATATGTATTCCTGGGAAGGGAAAGGAACAAGGCCTGGGCTGTGTCAGGCTGCTCCTCCCTATCTCAGGAGGTTGCATTCCCAGCACATTCTCAAATTGGCAGAGTTGTTTCCTTATCTTCCTCGCAGGGCATGCGACAGGGGTGTGGCTCGCTTCTTTAGTGCGCAGCTGCTAAAACCCCTAGCTGGAGCATGCAGACGGGCAGGCCTTGCGGAGCGTTTTTGGGTTCAGACCCCACAGCAGCATCTAGGGCTGAGCATTTACAGCTCCTGAAGCCCCAGTAGGCGTGTGTTACAGTTCGCGCTTTCTGCTTTGCCATCGGCAGGCAGCTTGTGTTTATCAGCACAGTTAGACCCTCTGTCATATGGCAATCACAGAGGACTTTCTGTATCCCAGGTTCTTGCCCTGGGGTACCAGAAAAATTGGATCACACGGGGCTTGGAGGATGGGTGTAAAGTTTTATTGAGTAGTTCTCAGTGAGATGGATGGGCAGGCCAGAAGGGGGATAGAGACGGAAGATGGTCTTCCCCTGGAGACATGCTGCACAGAGGCCGGACTTTCTTCCAACCACCCCCAACTGAATTCCATGTTGTCCCACCTCGATGGCCTGCCTTTGTCTGCTGCTGTGCTCTTCTGCTCCTTTCGAGTCCAGTTGCTTGTGTCTGCCTGGTAAAGGTCTCAGGCTTACATGGGCAGAGGATGGGGGTTGTGGCAGGCCAAAACGCAGCTTTTCTGGCACAAAAACAGAAATGCTTGTCCTTACTTAGGTCCGTGGGCACAGGCCTGAAGGTGGAACCCTCGCCAGGACCTCCACCCTACTCTACCCAGCACTTCCCTGTCTCCCCGCCTCCGTATCAATTCTATAGTTATTCTTGAGAACCACAAGCAATAAAGAGTAGAGAACTAATCAAGTTGGTCTAAGGCCAACTGAAGAACTATCCAGTGTTCTCCATTCCACTTTCAATCTAGGCTAAAAGTAAATCTCTTCAGAGTATTTGAGTCTATGTTATACACATTGTATTCAATACATTGTTTTATACTACTTTCTGGATTATGTTTAATTTTTCATTTTCAATTGTTGAATGTTATTTCTTATTATGTAACTATATCCTTGTCTTAAGTAAGTAAATGTGTACTTGTTGATTGCAAAATAATTAAGACTACATTCTGAGATAAAATATACTCAGAAAACACGTATTTCTAATGGATTTGTTTCAGTGAAAAATAACCATTTTTGCTGTATTTTTTTTTTTTTGGTTTAAACTTCCTTTTATTTTAATAATTCTTAAAGATTCAGGTAGTTTTGAAAGATCTCTTATCTCAGATTATAGAGACTATATTATATTACATGGACATTCTGTTTTAGGTAGCATATTATGGTCTTCTACAGAGTTTAACTTAAAGTGTACAAGTAGGTGAGGAATCTAGTTGACATCAAGAATTATTGTTGCTCACCTGTAGTAAGAAAGAAATTTTATCTTTTCTCAAAAATCTCTGAAATTTTAGGAAAATGTATTATATGGATATGATTTAAAACATGTCCTTTCCCCACAAAGAACAAATTCTAGAAGTTATAAGCAAGGCTAAACTATAATTAATGAGAAAAATAATTTAATACCACTTTCTTAATTTCTATCCCATATGGAATATTTTTTATTATTTTTATTTCAATTGTTTTTTTAATTTTATTATTATTATACTTTAAGTTTTAGGGTACATGTGCACAACGTGCAGGTTTGTTACGTATGTATACATATGCCATGTTGGTGTGCTGCACCCATCACCTCGTCATTTAGCATTAGGTATATCTCCCACTGCTATCCCTTCCCCCTCCCCCCACCCCACAACAGTCCCTGGTATGTGATGTTCCCCTTCCCGTGTCCATGTGTTCCCATTGTTCAATTCCCACCTGTGAGTGAGAACATGCAGTGTTTGGTTTTTTGTCCTTGCGATAGTTTGCTGAGAATGATGGTTTCCAGCTTCATCCATGTCCCTACAAAGGACATGAACTCATCATTTTTTATGGCTGCCAAGTATTCCATGGCGTATATGTGCCACATTTTCTTAATCCAGCCTATCATTGTTGGACATTTGGGTTGATTCCAAGTCTTTGCTATTGTGAATAGTGCTGCTATAAACATACGTGTGCATGTGTCTTTATAGCAGCATGATTTATACTTCTTTGGGTATATACCCAGTAATGGGATGGCTGGGTCAAATGGTATTTCTAGTTCTAGATCCCTTAGGAATCACCACACTGACTTCCACAATGGTTGAACTAGTTGACAGTCCCACCAACAGTGTAAAAGTGTTCCTATTTCTCCACATCCTCTCCAGCACCTGTTGTTTCCTGACTTTTTAATGATCACCATTCTAACTGGTGTGAGATGGTATCTCACTGTGGTTTTGATTTGCATTTCTCTAATGGCCAGTGATGATGAGCATTTTTTCTTGTGCCTGTTGGCTGCATAAATGTCTTCTTTTGAGAAGTGTCTGTTCATAACCTTCACCCACTTTCTGATGGGGTTGTTTGTTTTTTTCTTGTAAATTTGTTTGAGTTCATTGTAGATTCTGGATATTAGCCCTTTGTCAAATGAGTAGATTGCAAAAATTTTCTCCTATTCTGTAGGTTGCCTGTTGACTCTGATGGTAGTTTATTTTGCTGTGCAGAAGCTCTTTAGTTTAATGAGATCCCATTTGTCAATTTTGGCTTTTGTTGCCATTGCTTTTGGTGTTTTAGACATGAAGTCCTTGCCCATGCCTATGTCCTGAATGGTATTGCCTAGGTTTTCTTCTAGGGTTTTTATGGTTTTAGGTCTAACATGTAAGTCTTTAATCCATCTTGAATTAATTTTTGTATAAGGTATAAGGAAGGGATCCAGTAACATGCCCACCGCTTTTTCCTTAAAGAGTAGGCACTGATTTTGTTTATTTACTCTGTGCTTTAATATGAAAAATAATCTAAAATGTTTACTTATAAAAGATAAACAACAACATATCAATTTAATCACCAGATTTAATTGAGCACATAGTAAAATTTTTTTAATCCATGAAAGAACATGTATTATTCCATTCTCTCACTGCTATAAAGAAATACCTGAGACTGGGGAATTTATTAAAAAAATGGGTTTGATTGGCTCATGGTTCTACTGGCTATACAGGAAGCACGATTCTAGCCATCTTCTTGGCTTCTATGGAGGGATCAGGAAACTTACAATCATGGTGGAATGTAAAGGGAGAGCAAGCACGTCTTACATGGCTGGCACAAGAGGAAGGAGCTGAAGGAGGTAATACTTACTTTTTAACAACCAGATCTCATGAGAACTCACTCATTACAAAAACAGCACTGAGAAGATGGTGCTAAACCA
Organism: Homo sapiens; assembly: GCF_000001405.40. Classification (NCBI taxonomy): domain Eukaryota; kingdom Metazoa; phylum Chordata; class Mammalia; order Primates; family Hominidae; genus Homo; species Homo sapiens. The sequence goes on from NC_000004.12 coordinate 64,020,250, forward strand.
TTCAAGAGAAACCACCCCACGATCCAATCATCTCTCTCCAGGCCCAGTGTCCAACACTGAGGATTACAGTTTGACATGACATTTGGGTGCGGACCCAGATCCAAACCATATCAGAACATATTTTCAAGTATCTTCCAATTCTAACATTTGATGAGTCCGTGACTATATTCCTATATAAATTACCTAACTTATTTCTCAATGATTTATCGTACCTGAATATTTTATGTTTTATTTTGTTTCTTTAAATTTTATGATACATTTGACTGATTACATCTTTTTTATCCATTTTAAATACCATTTTTATTATTGTTATTTGATTTTCTGTGGCGAGCAAATGAAAAGGAAGGCTTACAAGAATATATTTTTCCTTCTATATAACCCTATTAAGTATGAGGTTTATCTTCTTTCATTCCCTCACCTCCTGTGTGGTTAAGCGATTGGAGGGAAGAATGTGGAACAAAAAATACACCTAGTTCATTGTCCCTACACAGAACTCTTTAAAAGACTACTTTGAGAGAACAGCTTAGATTAACTGGTTTTTCTTGTGGTTGCTCTGTTTTATTTTGTTTAAATTTACATTTTGATCTGCCTGTAACATCTTATAATTTATAAAAAACAACAAATTCTTCAGGATTCCTTCAGGAGATCAATGTATTTTCAGTAAGTGTATATAAGAACTCTGATAAAATTTTAAACCGTTTTAGGGTGCCAATTATTTTTCTGGGAAAAATATGTTAAATTCGAAAATTTGAAATGCTATTGTTCCTAGAAAATATGTGTAAGGATAACTTTCCATGCACAATGAGTTTACCTTTAGTATAATGTATTGAATTGTTTCATTAGTTGTGAAAATGTTTTCACATTAATTAACTCTTATTTCTGCAATTTTGGTTGGTAATATCAAAGTAATCAATATTACTTTATTGATTAATCTTAGTCAACTTGTTAATGGATTACTTTTTTTTAGAAATAGCTGTATGGTTAAATTGTTTTGAATTTAGTCCCTATCTGTCTACAGTGGTTGAGTGTGTATTTATTAAATTTTTATTAAAAGATTTAATAAATTTTTTACTGATATAAATATTCTTGTTTATTTCACTTTGTATTGTTAAAATAAACTGATTCTATACAGTTTATAGAATCATCTGAGGAAAGAAAATAATGCACCATGTAGATAGTCATGAGCCATAATTGTATGTATAGCATATGCATACACAGAGAGAGAGAGAGAGAGAGAGAGAAAGAGAAAGATTCTTTTAAGGAGCTAGCTCATCATATTCTAGGGCTGGAAAATTCAAAATCTCCAGGTCAGACTGCCATGCTGGAGACCCAGGGCAATTTAGAATCAAAATACAGTCATGCGGCAGAATTTCTTTTTCCTCAAGAGGCCTAAATCTTTTCTCTTAAGGCCTTCACTTGATTGAATGAGACCTATCCACACTATAGAGGACCATCTGCTTTATACAAAGTTTGCTAATTTAAATGTTAATCATATCTTAAAAATACCTTCACAGCAATGTCTAGATTGGCATTTGAATAAAAGCTTGGCATTATACATATCCTAGCCAAGTTGACACATAAAATTAGCCATCATGCACAAGAAAGACAAATCTAATTAAGAAAAATTTCTAATCAATTTAACCAAATAATATTTTAACATTCTCTAATTACTTTATATGGTAGAATAGAATGACATAATTTAGGCTTAATGAAATATAGGCTTGAAATTAAAGAAGAAATAAATATTACATAATACTAAGCAAAGAGCTGGGGAAGATATTAATATTGGACAAAATACACTTTAAAGCAAAAATTGTTACAAAAGGCAAAAAGAACAATATATATTGAAAAAAGTGTCAACTGTCAATTCATAAACATCACATAACAAGTATAAACATACATGCATCAAACAATAGAACCCCAAAGTATATGAAGCAATAATTGACAGAATTCTAAAAAGAAATACATAGTTTTGCAATAACATTTGAAGACTTTAATACCTCACTTTAAATAGTGATTATAGCACCAAGGATGAAGCTCATTACAAAAATGGAGCACCTGAATAACATTATAAAACAACTAGACCTTACAGGTCTATACAGAACTCTCTGTCTACCTAAGAATAGCAGAATGTGAGAATTCTTCTTCAGTGCACATGGAACATTCCGAGATAGCCCATGTATTAGGAAAAAAATATGTTCTCAATACATTTAAACATATTAAAATTATACAAAAGTTCTTATCTGACCACAATTCAATGTCAAAGGAATGATGTAATGAAAACTAAAAACTCAACAAATCCCTGCAAGATAAACAACACATCCTTAAACCACCAATTGATCCAATTAAAAATTTACAAGAGAAAGTAGAAAATACTTTGAGATGAATGAAAACATGAAGCCAGCATTCAAAAACTGTGAAGTAAAGCCAAAGCAGGATCACATAGAATTTTATAGCTGCATATACCTACCAAAATTGTGAGTCACAAGCCCTGAAACAGAAAAACAGATCATGTTTCTGCTTATTTAGGATAAGGAGCCAATGCACAGTCCTCTTACCTCTTCCACCTCAGAGACCTCAGTGCAGTTCACAAGGAGCTCCTTTTAACCACCCTCATCAGGACTAGTGCCTGTGTTCAGCACTGGGATATTCATGGGCAAACCAGGGGGGTCTTCAGCTCTGCCCAACTGTGTCCTGCTAACCCTGAAAAAGAAGCTCAAGACACTGGGCATCCAACTATCCAGCCCTTCACCTGAGAAAACAGAGAGCACCTCATAATAAATAAAGATTAAGTCTATGCCCATCTGCTTCTGTGGCAACTGGATTTCACCTGAAAACACTATCTACTGGTCAGTAGGTCAATGTCCACAGCCCACTAGAAAACCCACTGGCAGAAGTGCATAGGACTATAGAGTAAAACCAAAAGATCCTACCCAACACAACCCTCTCCAGATAAGAAGGAACCAGTGTAAAAATTTTGTCACAATAAAGAATCTTAATTTGTGATACCACCAAAGGCTCATTGTAGCTCTCCAGCAATAGTCCCTAGTAAAAATGGAGGCACTGAGATAACAGATGAAGAATTCAAAGCATGGATTGCAGTGAAACTCAATGAGATCCAAGATAATACTGAAAATCAACACAAAGAAACCTGTAAAACAATATAGTAAATAAGGGAAAAGGTAAATATTTTAAAAAGAAACTAATCTGAGCTACTGGAATTAAAAAACTCATGTAAGGAATTTCAAAATGCAATTGAAAGCTTTATCAATACACTAGACTCGACAGAATAAAGAATTTCAGAGCTTAGAGATTAGGTTTCAAATTAACCAAGGCAAACCAACATGAAAAAAATTAAAGAATCTTAAAAAATGAACAAAGTTTCTGAGAAATATAGAACTGTGTAAAGCTACCAATCCTACTAATTTTTAGCATTCCTGAAAGAGACGGAGAAAAAGTTAATTATCTGTAAAACATACTAGAGGAAATTTTTTTTTAATTTCCTAATGTTGCAAGAGGAGTAGGCACCTAGTTACAAGAAATCTGGAGAACACCTCACAGACACTATACAAAATGAACATCACCAAGGTATATAATCACCAGACTGTCTAAGATTAATGCTAAAGAAAAATACCTTAAATGCAGATAGATAAAAATGTCAGATCACATACAAAAAGATCTCCACTAGACTAACAGCAGACTTCTCAGCAGACCTACCAGTCGTAAGAGACTTGGGGCCTATTTTCAGCAAGGTAAAAGAATGATGCTCCAACCAACAATAGACTTTAAACCAACAACAGTACAAAAGGACAAAATGCTACTACATAATGATGAAGCAGCCTCGTTGTCTGGGGTAAATACCAAGGTTCTTGGTCTCATGTCCAAGAAGATTGAGGTCATGGACTCACACACACAATTACACACAGAGTGAGTTTAGAGCAGGAATTTAATAGGCAAAAAAAAAAAAAAAAAAAAAAAAGAAAGAAAAAGAAGAGCTCTCCATCACAAAGTGGAGTCCTGAGTGGGTTTCCAAGTTGTAGTAAAAACGTCTGGGTTTTTATAAATGGGTGAGGAGGAGGCTAGTGAGGAGGGGATGTCACATCCTCCTAGGGTCCAATGATTTAGTTGGGACCAGTTGTGCTGTCTGTATAGAGTAGAGGTTTTATGGATATTTTAGTCTGTGTTGCTTATCTGGGAGGGAGAGTTTCTGTGTCTATTTCCAGACATCTTCTCGCAGGTGCAGGAATCCCTGCCCTCAACCCCAATTCTACTTTTAGCTTTCCTATCTTAGCGCCCCTAAAGGGGAAGGAATGTGTTTATTAAGGCCCACTGTTTTCCTGGGGCCCATTGTATAAGTGTGAAATTTGGTGATTACCCAGGAGACTCCTCCTTCTCTTTCTGTGTCCGAGCTGTTTATCTGTGATTTACAGTCTGCTCTTTGTTAGAACAGAAGTGATCTCTTTGAACTGCATGAGGTTAGAATGGGAGATATATCTGAGCTGCTTTTTGTTCAAAAGAAAGTTTTCTGCTGGGGACTCTTTACCCTAACTGTCTGCCTAAGTAATTTCTTTCTGCTTCTTATAATAATGATAAAGTGTTCAGTACTACAAGATGACTTAACTATTCTCAATATATATGCACCAAACATTGGAGTACCTAGAGAGTCATACAAGAAATACTTCTAGACCTGTGAAAAAATTTACAAAGATACACAATAATAGATAATATGGCAGAACACTAACAGCACTAACTAAAAAAAAAATTCTGGACTTAAATTTGGCCCTTGATCAACTGTATCTAATAGACATCTACAGAACAGTCCATTCATTAACCATAGGATATATATTTTTCTTATCTGCACATATAACACTCTAAGATCAAGCACATTCTTCATCATAAGGCAATACTCAATAAATGCAAAAAATCAAGGTTATAACACCATACTTTCAACCACAGTAGAATAAAATTACAAATGAATACCAAGAAGATCCCTGAAAACCACACAATTACATAGAAATTAAACAAGTTGCTCCTGACCTATTTTTACATACAAAATAAATTTAGGGAATAAATTAAAATATTCTCAGAGTAAATAAAAACACAGACAAAACAAACTCAGATCTCTAAGATACAGCCAAAGCAATATTAAGAGAAAAGTTTATAACAAGAAATGCCTATATAAAGAAGGTAGAAAGACCTCAAATTAATGACCTAACATTGCATCTAGAGGAACTAGAAAAACAAAAACAAACTTACTCCAAAGCTAGCAGACAAAAAACAAGAGCAAAAAATAGAACAGAACTGAGTGAAACTGATATGTAAATATCTATAAACAGAATCAACAAAAGTTAAAGCTCATTCTCTGAAAGAAACAAAAAGATTGTGAGACAACTGCTAAGTTAACTTGAAAAAAAAGAGAAGATTCAAATAAGCACAATTAGAAACAATAAAGGTGATATTACAGCCAATCACATATAAATACAAAAGATATTTAGAGACTATTTTGAATATAGTTGTTTTACACATAGTTAGAAAAATACTATTCTAAAATTAATATGGAACCAAAAAAGGGCCCAGATAGCCAAAGTATCAGTAAGCAAATGAACAAAGCTGGAGGCACCAGGTTACCTGTCTTCAAATTATACTACAAAGTTACAATAACCAAAACAGTATGAGACTGGTAAAAGCACAGACATAGACAAATGGAACAGAATAGAGAACTCAGAAATAAAGCCACATACCTACAACCATCTGATCTTCAACAAAATCAACAAAAAATAAGAAATGGGGAAAGGACCGCCTATTCAATAAAGAGTGCTGGGATAACTTAATATCTATATGCAAAAGAATGGAAGTAGACCCCTATCTATCACTATACACAAAAATTAACTCAATATAGATTAAAGATTCGATTGTATAAACTCAAACTCTAAAATCCTAGAAGAAAACCTAGGAAATACCTTTCTCAATATAGGCCTTGACAAGGAATTTATGTCTAATATCTCAGAAGCAATTGCAGCAAAACAAAAATTGGTTAAGTTTGACCTAATTAAACTGAAGAACTTTTGTATAGCCAGGAAAATTATCAAGGGAGTAAACAGACTCTTTACAGAATGGGGCAAAAATATTCACAAACTATGCATCTGAGCAAGGCCTAATATACAGAGTCTATAAGGAACTCACTCAACAAGCAAAAAATAAATAAATAAATAACCCTATTAAATTGTGGGCAAAACACAGACACTTCTCTAAAGAAGACACACAAGTTACCAACAAACATAAAAAAAGTGTTCAACATCACTAATCATCACAGAAATGCAAATCAAAACCACAGTAAGATAATATTTCACATGAATCAGAATGGCTTCTCTTAAAAAATAAATAACAGATGTTCACCAGGCTGCAGAGAATAGGGGACACATGTACAGGTGGTGGATTGTACATTCTTTCAGCCACTTTGGAGAGAAGTTTGTAGATTTTGCAAAGAACCAAAAGTTGAACTACAACTCAACCCAATAATCCAATTACTGAATATATATCCGAGGAAAACGCATTCATATACCAAAAAGACATACACTCTTATGTTCATTGAAACACTATTCACAATGGTAAATACATGGAATCAACCTAGGAGCACATTAACAGCAGATAGAATAAAGAAAATACTAAAAATTAGAGACTAAAATTGTTTTTGTAAAATTATGAATTTCTCTTCATTTTTTTTCTTATTTTTAATTTTTATGGGGACAAAGCAGGTGGTATATATTTATGGGGTATATGAAACATTTTGATACTGTCATGCAATGCATAATAATCACATAATGGTAGATGAAATATCCATGTCCACAAGCATTTATTCTTTGTGTTACAATCAAATTATACTTTTAGTTATTTTAAGATATACAGTATATTATTGACTATAGTCACTGTGCTGTGCTATCAAATACTAGGTCTCATTCATGTATTCTAACTGTTATTGGTACACATTAACTATCCCCACCTCCTTCTCATTCCCATCCCGTTACCCTTCCCAGCTTTTTATTACAAACTTTTGACTCTGTCTCCATGGGCTCAATATGAGGGGGGGTCTCCTCCCTTAATTGTATTGGAGTCTATTTCTCTCTTTAATTCAAATAGTGTTTGTTTTATATATCTGAATGCTCTAGTGTTGGGTGCATATATATTTAAAAATTTTATATCATCTTTCTGACTTGACCCCTTTATTATTATATAGTGATATTTTTTATCTCTTCTTACAGTATTTGTCCTGAAATTTATTTTGTTTGCTATAAATATAACAACTTGTATTCTTTTTTGGTTTCCATCGACATGGAATATATTTTTCCTTCCCTTTGTTTAAGTTCATGTGTGTCTTTACAAGTGAAGTGTTCTTCTTATTGACAACAAGTTAATGAGTCTTGTTTTTCATCCATTCAGCCACTATATGTCTTCTGATTGGAGAGTTTAATCCATTTACATTGAGTGTTATTATTGATGAGTAAGAACTTACTACTGCCATTTTGCTATTCATTTTCTGTTTTTTTGTGGTGTTCTATTTCTTCTTTATTTTATTACTGTCTTCCTCTTAGTGAAGATTGTTTTCTCTGGTGATGTAATTTAGTTTCTTGCTTTTTATTTTTGTGTACCCATTGTATTTATATGTTTGTTTGTTTTATGTTACCAAAAAGCTTGCAAATAATACATTATCATTCATTATTTTTAACTGATAACAACAGTTTCCATAAACAAACAAGCCAAAAAAATTAATACTAACTCTATGTCATAACTTCATCCTCCTGCTTTTTCTTGTTTCTTTACAAATCTTGTTATATTACATCTTGAAGAGCAGTTATAGCTATTTTTAATTGTATCATTTTTTGGTCTTTCATCTTTCTACTTAAGACTAGTTTACACACCAGAGTTACAGTGTTATAATAATCTGTTTTTCCGTGTACTTACCATATTCAGTGAGTTTCATACCTTCAGATGATTTCTTATTGCTTATTAATGTTCTTTTCTTTCTGATTGAAGTATTTCTTTACGATTTCTAGTAGGACAGGTCTGGTGTTAATACAATTCCTCACCTTTTGTATGTCTAAGAAAGCCTTTATTTCTTCTTCATGTTTTAAGGATAATTTCTCCAGATATATTATTCTAGGGTAAAATATTTATTTTGTTTTGTTTGGTTTTGCTTTTCTTCAGCATTTTAAATATGTCATGCCACTTTCTCCTGGCCTATAAGGTTTTCACTGAAAATTCTGCTGCTAGAGGTATTGGTGCTCTATTGTGTGCTATTTGTTTCTTTTCTCTTGATGCTTTTAGGATCCTTTATCCTTGACCTATGAGAGTTTTATTATTAAATGCCCTGTGGGAGTCTGATTTGAGTTAAATCTGCTTTATGTTCTATAACCTTCTTGTATTTGGATGTGGATATTTTTCCCTAAATTTGGGAAGTTCTCTGTTATTTTCTCTTTGAATAAACTTTCCACCATTATCTTTTTCTCTATCTCCTCTTTAAGGCCAATAACTCTTAGATTTGCCCTTTAGAGGCTCTTTTCTGGATCCTCTAGGCACCCTTCATTGTTTTTTTTCTTTTGTCTTCTCTGTGTATTTTCAAATAGCCTCTTTTTAATCTCACTAATTCTTACTTTTTCTTGATCACGTTTTCTATTAAAATACTCTGATGCATTTTTGTCACTTGCATTTTGAAGCTACAGAATTTCTTTTTAATTTTTAAGTATTTCATCACTTTATTAATTTTTTTCTCTCTATTACCTTTACTTTCTTACAGTTTCCTCAACATGACTATTTCAAATTCTCTGTCTGAAAGGTCACATATGTCTGTTTCTCCACGATTGGTCCCTAGTGCCTTATTTAGTTCACTTGGTTAGGTCATGTATTCCTGTCTTCTCTTGATACTTGTAGATATTTTTCTGTCTGTGTATTAAAGTAAGATATTTATTGTTGTCTTCTCAGTTTGGGCTTCTTTCTACTCCCTTCTTCTTTGAAAGACTTTCCAGATATTTGCAAAAACTTGAATGTTGTGATCTAAGCTCTATCTGCTTTACTATGGACCCCAAGCCCAGTAACGCTATGGTTCTTGCAGAGTCACAGAGGTACTGACTTGATGGTCTTGGACAAGATCCAGAAAAATTTCCTGGATTAGCAGGGAGAGACTGTTTTTCTGTTCTTTTATTTTCTTCCAAATGATCAGAGTCTCTTTTTATGTTCTGAGCTACTGGGAGCTTGGGGTGGAGTGACATAAGCACCTGTGTGGCCACTGTCCTATGACTAGGCTGGTTCTTGCTCAAGGTCTGCTGTAACCATTCCTTTGCTATTGCCTACATTTGCTCAAAATTCTGGGGATCTGCAGTCAGCAGCTGGCAAAGCTGTTCCGGCCTATATCCTTCCCTTCATGGTGACGAGATATTCCAGGCCCCAAGCAGGTTCAAAATCCTTAGAAGTCTACCTGGTGTTTTATTGTGCTGTGGCTAAGCTGGCACTCAACCCACAAGACACAGTCCCTCTCATTCTTCTCTCCCCTTTCCAAAGGCAGAGAAGCCTCATCCTCTGGTCACCTTCACCTTAGCCCATGGGGAGTACTGCCAGACTGCCATCGATGTTCTCTTAAGGCTCAAAGTCTCTTCAATCAGCTTGTGCATGAATGCTGCCTGGCCTTGGACTCACCTCTCAGGTCAGTTGGCTCCTCTCTGGCCCAGGGTACATCTGGAAATTCCACCCAATAGTCCAGTCCTGGAATAAGCCACCCCAAGGCCCCACTGGGGGCTCTAACATATTTTGACAGAGCTGGCACCAAAGGTGAAAGACAAAGTCTCCTATACTTTTTCCTTTACTTTTCTGAGGCAAAAAGAGTCTCTCCCCATAGCCACCACAGCTGGAAATGTGCTGAGTTTAACCTGAGCCCTGCAAGTCTCAGCATCTCACCCAATCTCCTCAGTGTAGTACCTGGGTGTTCCTACTGGATATTTAGGGCCCAAGGGCCCTTCAGTTAGCAGGTGATAAGTTTTGCCAGGTGTGGTTTCTTTCTTTCAAGGTAGCAGGTTTCCTTCTAGACTAAGGTGTATCTAGAAATGTCCAGGAACTAGAGCCTGAAAAGAGAGCCTCATGACTCTGACCAGTGCCTCATCCTACTGTGGCTGAGCTCGTATCCAAGACATAACACAAATCCTTCCCGTTCTTTCCTCTCCTCTCCACAAGCAGAATGAAGGGGTCTCCTTTGGAGCCACAAGCTGTGCAACCTGGGTTTAGCGGAGGAGTGATTCCAGTACTCCCTTAGCTACGTTAGCTGATATCTCAGTAGGTCACCTGCCCTCTAGCCTACTGTCTCTGGGCCCAGTTCAGCCCTAGGACTTGTCAAGGTGTTATGGTTCTCACTGTCTAGACTGCCTTTCAAGTTTTTCTGAGATCGCAGAGCACTTTAGACTGTGGTGGCAAGGCTTGTGGGAACTCAAGTTTTGACTGCTGGGATTGGCTATTCTCCCATTGCTAGGACTGGTTTAAATATTCCCTTTGTGGGAGAGCATCAGGTAAGTTTGGTCTGGTTTTGCTTTCTGCTATAACAGGGGCAGCACTGAGCTGAGTTCAATGCCTCAATATTGCTGGCTCCATCTATCACCAAGGCACAGAAATGCTCTTCACACCATGCCACTGCTGTTGGGGATGGGGGAGCAGTGGCTTTGCTGAATGAAAATGTTCTTTCCTATCACTTCATTGCCTCTTTTAGTGATATAAAGTTAAAATCAGTTACTGTGAGTGCTCCCCTAATTTTTGGTTCTTATGAAGGTGCTTTTTTGGCGTCAATAGTTGGTAAATTAGTGTCTTTCCTGGGGGCAAGATCAGTGGAACCTATTACACCATCTTCCTCTACCTACTCTTAAATTGCACATTTCTTTAAAATGGTTTTTATATTCAATGGATCAGAGAAGAGATAATTTATGTGTCATTAAATCATGTACATACACCGTAGTAAAATACCCAAAAGCTTAAGAAGATACATAATAATGGGAAAATTACTTTTGATTTAGGTACTTTATTCCATTTTCTCAAAAACATCCTATTAAGTGTATTACAATAAAAATGAATATGATGAATTCACCAAATCTTGAATATAAAATTATTTATACTAAGTTAATTTTAACCCTAAGAATTAACAGTAACAAAAGCAAAAGTGAAATTTGTAAGAAATTTGTAGCAAGATTACAGAATACAAATTTGACATAAAAATGTCTACTGCTTTTCTTTTCACCATCAATGAAAAATTGGATTTTGAAATTCAAAACATAAGAGCATTTATATTAGCACCAAAAAGAATGAGGTGCTTTTAATACAAACATTGTGCGATATCTATTTGAAGAATTCTTTAAAAAATACTAGTAAAAAACATAAGAAATCTGAATATATGGTAATATATTCCGTGTTTCTGAATGGGAGGAATCAGTATCGCTGTCAGTTTTTCCACCTTGATCTAAAGATTCAACACTATCTCGATCACTATTACAGCAAATTACTTTTTAATAGCAACAAACAGATTTTAAGATTTATATGGAAAGCCAAAAGATCAAGAATATTTAACAAAGCCCTGAAAATAAAAATTTGGTGGACTGACATTGACTTACTTAAAGACTCACTATAAGACTCCCGTGATCAAGACAGCATGATATTGGCAAAAGAATATATAATAGATCAACAGAACAGAATTAAAAGCCCAGAAAGAGATCCCAAAATATAGCAAACTGATCTTTTACAGAAAAAAAAGGCAATTTAATAGGTAAAGGATGATCCTTTCCACAAATATACTGGGAAAACTGGAAATCTGCATGTAAAAAAATAAATATATACACAGAACTTTTACAAAACTTGACTCAAAATAGAACATACACATAAATGTAAAATTTAAAACTCTGAAAAAGTATAGACAATAACATTAGAGAAATCTAGTGGGTGATGACTAAACACCAACACAAAAAGCATGATCTATAAAAGAAAACATTGATAATTTTGACTTAGTTAAAATTAAAACTTCTGTTCTAGAAAGGACACGTATTCAGAAGGTTAAAAGACAAGCCACACAATGTAAGAAAAGATTTGCAAAACATGTATTTTATAAAAGACTGGTATCCAAAATATAAGAACTATTAAAACTTATCAATAAAAAAGCAATCCAGGTATATATTGAGTAGAAATCCAAGTAAACATCTCACCAAATATATACAAATAGCAAATAAACATATGAAAAGATGTTTAACATTATATGTCTTTAGGGAATTGAAAGTTAAAACAACAATGAAATACCACCACATACCTATTAGAATGACTAAAACACAAAACATTGAAAACACTAAATACTGACAAGTATGTGAATTAAAAGGAACTTTCACTCATTGCTGGTGGAAATGCAAAATAGTATAGCTTCTTGGGAAGATACTTTGGCAGTTTCTTTACAATACCATTGATAGAATTAAATTTTGATTGATTGCATAGGATTATTATATAATAATGCTTCTAAGTACTTTTCAAAACAGTTGAAAATTTATGCCCACAGAAAAACTCTGCATATGAATGGCCACTGCAGCTTAATTCTTAATATTCAAACCTTTGAATCAATTAAGATGTCCTCCAATAGAATAACAGATTTTAAAAACTGTAGTACAGTTATACAATGGACTTATTATTCATCTATAAAAAGTAATGAGTTATACATGTCACAAAAAGTCATGGAGAAAATTTAAGTATGTATTGTTCAGTGAAAGTAGCCAATCTGAAAAGGCTATATACTGTATAATTCTAACTATAGTATTGTAGGGAAGGCAAACCATGGAAATATTTTAAAAAATCAGTGATTGCCAGAGGTTAAGGAGGAGTGTAATCATGATGAGCAGGTGGAGTACAGCAATTTTTTGTTGTGATACTTCATATGATATTTTAAAATTAGATACATGACATTTTGCATTTACAAAACTCCATAAAATGGGATAACAGAAAGAGCTAACTCATCTACCAAAACAAATGTACCACACTAATGTAAGATGTTAAAATAGGGTAAATATGTGCAGGAAGTGAGGAGCCATGTGGGATTTATCTGCAAACATAAAAATTCTCTATAATTTTTTTTTTTTTTTTTTTTTTAGACAAAGTCTTGCTCTTGTCTTCCAGGCTGGAGTGCAATGGCACGATCTTGGCTCACTGCACCCTCTCCCTCCCGGAATCAAGTGATTCTTTTGCCTCAGCCTCCCAAGTAGCTGGGATTAAAGGCACCTGCCACCACACCTGGCTAATTTTTGTATTTTTAGTGGAGACAGGGTTTCACCATGTTGGCCAGGCTGGTCTCAAACTCTTGATCTCAGGTGATCCTCCCACCTCCGCCTCCCAAGGTGCTGGGCTTACAGGTGTGAGCCACTGCACCGGCCTATAAATTTTTTTTATAATTTATAATAATGTTAATAATATTCATATTATTAATGATAATGTATTTTATAATAAGTAAATTATTTAAAATGTGTCAGGCATTTTTAGCACACAATGTAATTTTCTCCCTTAGTCTCATTTTAAAAATTCATATTTGCAATAGATTCAAGTTAAGGAGAAAATTTTCATCTGTCTTAGCCTTGTCATTTTTTTTATAGATAGGGTCTTGTTACATTGCCCAGGCTGGTCTCGAACTCCTTGGCTCAAATTATCCTTCCACCTAAGCTTCCTGAGTAGCTGGGACTTTACTGCATACCACGGTGTCCAGCTTCCTTTGGCCTTGTCATTTTATTTTTCCATTTGGTTGAATCAAATTATTATTCAACAAAATAGTTAAATAATAATTCAGCTCTAATTTGTGACCTTCAGTGTACAAAATGTTTATCTTAGCTCTAGCCAGAACACCAGGAAACAGCCATATCATAGAGGATTTGGGAGATCAATCAGAGATGCAGTGGCTTTCTGTGAGACACAAATTGTCACTTTTGAAGGAAGGTTCTTATGCTAAGGCAATTCTGAAATCTTTAGTGTTTTAATGATATTCCATCTCCTACAATTTATTATGAAATTATATGAGAAAAATACACTAAAAAAAGTGAGTCACTCGCTTATATCATGGACTTATGAATTAATTTTTAAAAGTTAACACCCTTTAAACTTTTACAGTTATTGCTTTTCTAGACATCTATTTCTTTTTAAAACTGCTTCATTTTTAAATATGGCAATTTGAAATAATATATTGTGCTCATTAATTACCTTGCTTTTAACCTACATGAGGAAGGCTTTAGAAATTTATATGCATTAGAGATAATTTATTTTCATGCTGCATCACTTCAAGAGAAAGTACCGAAATTATTTTAATATAATGTGAAATTTTATGCTTATGGGTTATGATGCAAATATATAAATGCTTATGTGGGCAAAATGATTATACACAATGTGTATTTTTTCTAATTTGAAAAAGACAAATATTATAAATTTCAAAAGAGAAAAATCATAAATTTGGTTTTATCTTTAACCAAACTTATTAGTTGCATATTTAGCAAAGATCAATTTTGATCAGAACTTATAAAAAGAAAATATATGCAATGAAGATATTACGCAAACACGTTTTCAAAATTTCCGTCTGAATATAATAGTAAAAATAACAGATAAATATATACTTTTCTTCATTCTATCCCCTAGGAATTTTATGTTCATTTCATTTATCATGCACACACAAACTCACTCACATACATACCCCAGGAAAAATCCTTTATCCTGATACCTTTTTTCACTTGCATTTAGTTTTCTTCATTTTATAAATTTAAAAAGTAGTTTTCTGATAAATGTCTTCACTATGTTTTTGTGATACTAATTTGATAATTTTAGTAACTCCCTTTTTTAGAATGATTTAATTTTGGAAGACTGTATAAAAATGTTTATATGTGATGTAAGTGGGTTTTTATTTAATTTCTACTGTCTTTTAATTGTACTATGTATTTAGACTTCAAAATAGCATTGTAAGGTGTTTGGTCCATCACAAGTATACTAGATGGAAATTGGGCATTGATGGCTTCATAACTTACTAATGCCTGAAAGAAATATATGTTCACTATTCTCAAATGAACCTGTTCTGTTAGGTATAGTTTGTGAAGTTGCATGCTTAAGCCAATAATAGAAAACTTAAATATTGGTTATCACTTCAAATCTTAGGGAAGATAGTAACAAATATCATGGAGAGCTCTGATTATCTCCTTCTGCACTTGTGCTTTAGGATAGATGTCCTATCCATTCATATCATACTATGAAACATTAATTAGGTATATTCTGTGCTGGTTGAACTTTGTGTAGTTACACAAAGTATAATGTGTTCTCTAAAATAACAGCAAGATAATTGTCATTTTTGAAAAAATAACATCAAAATCTCCAATTTACAACCATGACTGGTATTATACCTTTTTAATATTCTGTTTAAAAACAAATAACTAGATGGATTCACAATTGAATTTTACCAGAGGTACAAAGAAGAGCTCCACCATTTCTACTGAAACTATTCCAAGTAATTGACACAAACAAATGAAAAACATTCCATGCTCATGGACAGGAAGAATCAATATTATAAAAATGGCCATAATGCCCAAAGTAATTTATAGATTCAATGCTATTCTCATTAAACTACCATCAACATTCTTCACAGAATTAGGAAAAACTATTTTAAAATTAAAATGCAACAACAACAACAAAAGCCTGAGTAGCCAAAAAATTCTAAGCAAAATTAACAAAGCTGGAGGCATCATACTACCTGACTTCAAACTATACTACAAGGCTACAGTAGCCAAAACAGCATTGTACTGGTACAAGAACAGTCATATAGACAAATGGAACAGAATAGAGAACTCAGAAATAAGACTGCACACCTACAGCCTTCTGATAGTCTCCAAACCTGACAAAAACAAGCAATGAGGAAACAACTCCCTGTTTAACAAATGGTGCTGGGAGTGCTGCTTAGACATATGCAGAAAACTGAAACTAGACTCCTTTCTTACACCATATACAAAAATTAACTCAAGATAGATTAAAGACTTAAATGTAAAACTCAAAACTATAAAAACCCTAGAACAAAATTTAGGCAATACAATTCAGAACATAGGCATTGGCAAATATTACATGACAAAAATGTCAAAAGCAACAGCAACAAAAGCAAAAATTGACAAATAGGAAGTAATTAATCAAAAGAGCTTTTGCACAGCAAAATAAACTATCATCTGGGTGAACAGACAACCTACCAATGGGATAACATTTTTGCAGTGTATTCATTTGACAGAGGTCTAATATCCAGTCTACAAGGAACTTAAACAAATTTTCAAGAAAAAACAGCTCTCCCTCCCCCTCCCCCTCCCCCTCCCCCTCCCCCTCCCCCTTCCCCTCCCCCTTCCCCTCCCCCTCTCCCTCTCCCGCTTTCCACGGTCTCCCTCTGTTGCCAAGGCTGGACTGTACTGCCACGATCTCGGCTCACTGCAACCTCCCTGCCTGATTCTCCTGCCTCAGCCTGCTGAGTGCCTGGGATTGCAGGCGCGCACCACCCTGCCTGACTGGTTTTTGCACTTTTTGGTGGAGATGGGGTTTTGCCGTGCTGGCGGAGCTGGTCTCCAGCTCCTGACCTCGAGTGATCTGCCCGCCTCGGCCTCCCGAGGTGCTGGGATTGCAGATGGAGTCTCCCTCACTCAGTGCTCAATGTTGCCCAGGCTGGAGTGCAGTGGCATGATCTCGCTCGCTACAACCCCCACCTCCCAGCCGCCTGCCTTGGCCTCCCAGAGTGCTGAGATTGCAGCCTCTGCCCGGCCGCCACCCGGTCTAGGAAGTGAGGAGCATCTCTGCCTGGCCGCCCATCGTCTGGGATGTGAGGAGCCCCTCTGTCCAGCCGCCCAGTCTGGGAAGTCAGGAGCACCTCTTCCCGGCCGTCATCCCGTGTGGGAAGTGAGGAGCGTCTCTGCCTAGCCACCCATCGTCTGGGATGTGGGGAGCACCTCTGCCTGGCCGCCCCATCTGGGAGGTGAGGAGCATCTCTACCCCGCCGCCACCCCGTCTGGGAGGTGAGGAGCGCCTGCCGCCACCCCATCTGGGAAGTGAGGAGCGCCTCTGCCCGGCTGCGACCCCATCTGGGAACTGAGGAGCGCCTCTGCCCGGCCGCCCTGTCTGAGAAGTGAGGAGCCCCTCCGCCCGGCAGCCGCCCCGTCTGGGAGGTGGGGGGCGCCCCCGCCTGGCAGCCACCCCGTCTGGGAGGTGGGGGGCGCCTCTGCCCGGCCGCCCCGTCTGGGGGGTGGGGGGGCCCCTCTGCCCCGCCGCAACGTCTGGGAAGTGAGGAGCCCCTCTGCCCGGCCGCCACCCTGTCTGGGAGGTGTACCCAACAGCTCATTGAGAACAGTCCATGATGACAATGGCGGTTTTGTCGCATAGAAAAGGGGGAAATGTGGGGAAAAGAAAGAGAGATCAGATTGTTACTGTGTCTGTGTAGAAAGAAGTAGTCGTAGGAGACTCCATTTTGTTCTGTACTAAGAAAAATTCTTCTGCCTTGGGATGCTGTTAATCTATAACCTTACCCCCAACCTCGTGCTCTCTGAAACATGTGCTGTGTCAGCTCAGGGTTAAATGGATTAAGGGCGGTGCAAGATGTGCTTTGTTAAACAGATGCTTGAAGGCAGCATGCTCCTTAAGAGTCATCACCACTTCCTAATCTCAAGTACCCAGGGACACAAACACTGCAGAAGGCCGCAGAGTCCTCTGCCTAGGAAAACCAGAGACCTTTGTTCACATGTTTATCTGCTGACCTCCTCTCCACTATTGTCCTATGACCCTGCCAAATCCCCCTGTCTGAGAAACACCCAAGAATGATCAATAAATACTAAAAAATAAAAAAATAAAAATAAAAAAAAGAATTGTTAAAGAATATGATAGTCCTTAATATTTTGTATATATGGAATAAATTTTCTTTAATTTTATAAATGTATTAAAGGTTTTATATTTCCGTAAAAAAAAAAAAAGAAAGAACAAAGAACCCCAGTAAGAAGTGGGCAAAGGACATGAGCAGACACTTCTCAAAGTAAGACATACATGCAGTCTGCAAACATAAAAGAAAAGCTCAACATTGCTGATCATTAGAGAAATGCAAATCAAAACCTCAGTGAGATACCATCACATGCCAGTCAGAATGGATATTATTAAAATGTCAAAAAATAATCGATGCTGGTGAGGTTGCATAGAAAAATGAGCACTTTTACATTGTTGGTGTAAGTGTAAATTAGTTCAACCATTGTGGAAGACAGTGTGGTAATTCCTCAAAGACCTAGAGGCAGAAATACCATTTGCCCCAGCAATTCCATTACTGGGTATAAACCCAAAGGTATATAAATTGCTCCATTATAAGAACACATGGATGTGTATGTTCATTGCAGCACTATTCAAAGTAGCAAAGACATGGAGTTAAGCTAAATGCCCATCAATGATAGACTGGATGAAGAAAATGTGGTACATATATACCATGGAATATTAAGCAACCATGAAAAGGAATGAGATCATGCCCTTTGCAGGGATATGGGTGGAGCTGGAAACCTTTGTCTTCAGCAGACTAAATCCAGAAAAGAAAAGCAAATACCACATGTTCTCACTTACAAGTAGGAGCTGAATGATGAGAACATATGGACACATGGTGGGGGAACATCACACACTGTGGCCTGTTGGAGGGTCCGGTGGGGGAGGAGGGAGAGTGTGAGGAAGAATAGCTAATGAATGCTGAGCTTATTATTTAGGTGCTGAGATAATCTGTGCAGCAAACCATTATGGCACACATTTACGTATGTAACAAACTTGCAAATTCTGCAAATGTTCCCCTAACCTTAAAATAAGACTTGGAAATCAAAAATTTATTAAAAAAAAAAAAAAAAAAAAAAAAAAGAGAGACCGGGTGCGGTGGCTCATGCCTGTAATCCCAGCACTTTGGGAGGCCGAGGTGGGCGGATCACGAGGTCAGGAGATCCAGACTGTCCTGGCCGACATGGTGAAACCCTTCTCTACCAAAAATACAAAAATTAGCTGGGCATGGTGGCGTGTGCCTGTAGTCCCAGCTACTCGGGAAGCTGAGGCAGGAGAATAGCTTGAACCAGGCATTCAGAGGTTTCAGTGAGCCGAGATTATGCCACCGCACTCCAGCCTGGCTGCAGAGTGAGACTCGGTCTCAAAAAAAAAAAACAAAATCTTCCATTAGGTGTTCCACCAGAAGCTTACAGAGGCAGTGACACAGAACACATTATATAGAGTTAGCTTTGGCAGAAACTTGCAACCATGTATCAAAAATGTAAATCTCAGTAAAGTTTTGGACAGTGGGGAAAACAAACAAACAAAAAAGGAACCTGACATCTGCTGCTGAAGGCTCTGCCACCTCAGATACTTTTCCTTGCAAGTCCAAAGGAACAACCAGCGCAGTCCAGGAATCCTTCAGTCTTCTTAGCTCTTCCTGGACTAGTTCATTAATCTTTTTTCCTATGTCTTTTTCTTCTTGATGTTGAATGTTACTTTGTTTGTAGTGAAATGTTTAAACTAAAAGATTTATACATTGATTAAGTGCACTATTATGTATGGTTTACAATATTGACTGACTTGTGGAGTGGCTTGAGCCTGTGTGCCCAGGGCTTTGACTCCATGTAGCTTGTGGATCAGAATAGCATTAATAAAAGCCTGACATTGTGGAAAGACAAAAAAAAACATAAAATCCTCATTCAATAAACTAAGTATACACAACAGTAATATAGGAGTTCCTAGCAAAGATAAAATTATTTTTTCAAGGTCTAACATTATTTCATGTATCATATTCCTTACTGGTGTCTTTCCTACATTACATATTTAACTTGAGAAACACTCTGGTACAATGGAAAAAGAATTAAACTAAGAATCTACAGCCTTATACTCACTCTGAATTCCACTGCCCTCCTGTTCTTAGTGACTATATTAGTAAAACAAAAAGGGAGGGATTAACAACATCCACAATGCATATTTACACACAAGTGCACTAATACTATAAAATCATCTTCAGTGTTAAGATCTTATTAATATAATCACAGACATGTTAGAAATCTAGAACCATAGACATTTCAAAATGCTTCACTCTATTGACATTAAGTGTATACTAAAAAGTCCATTCTCATTATTAACATCCATCTTTAGAGCAGAATATAACTCAACAAGACTATGAGTATTTAGAACGTTTTGAATGAATGTTTGTCATTTATTATTGCACAAGTTTCTTTACATTTGTCATCACATGATTGGTTTAAATATTTGGTATGTGTGAAATGCTATGTATTCATGGGGATATTTTAGCTTTTGTGGTGTGAAAAACTCAAATATGTTAATTCTTCTAAAAGTAAGGTGCTCTTTTGTTCCTTAGTAAATGATAACTTACTGAAAAAAAACAAATTAAATTTAGATTTTGTGACTCTAAAGTAGCTTTTGGAATGACAGTAATTTCTGTACACTGATTTTGTATCCTACAACTTTGCTGATGTTGTCTATCAGCTGAAGAAGCTTTTGGGCTGAGACTATGGGGTTTTCTAGATATAGATTCATGTTGTATGCAGAGATAATTTGACTTTCTCTCTTCCTATTTGGATGCCTTTTATTTCTTTCTCTTGCCTAATTGTTCTGGCTAGGACTTTCAATACTATGTTGAATAGAAGTGGTGAGAGAGGGCATCATTTTCTTGTGCCAGTTTTCATAGAGAATGTTTCCAGTTTTTGTCCATTCCCCATCAACAAAGTAAATAGACAACCTACAGAATGGGAGAAAATATTTGCAAACTATGCATCTGACAAAGGTCCAATATCCAGCCATTATAATGAATTTAAACAAATTTACAAGAGAAAAGCAAGCCACACCATATAAAAGTGGGCAAATAACATGAACAGACACTTCTCAAAAGACATACATGTGGCCAACAAATATGTACAAAAATACTCAATGTTACTGATCACTAGATAAATGCAAATCAAAACAACAACGAGATACCATCTTAGATCTTATGCCAGTCAGGATGGCTATTATTATAGTAAAAAAAAAAACAAAACAAACAGTTGTGGAGAAAAAGGAATGATTTAACACTGTTGGTGGAAGTGTAGATTAGTTCAACCATTGTAGAAGATAGTGCGGCCATTCCTCAAAAACCTAGAAACAGAAATACCATTTGACCGAGGAAACTCATTACTGGGTATATACCCAAAGGAATATAAATCATTCCATTATAAAGACACATGACAACTATTTATATTCTAGTGCATTTGTATGTTCACTGCAGCACTATTTACAATAACAAAGGCATGGAATCAACCTAAACGACCATCCATTAAAGACTGAATAAAGAAAATGTGGTACTTACACACCATGGAATATTATGCCGCCATAAGAAAGAATGAGATCATGTCTTCTGCAGGAACATGGGTAGAACTGGAGGCTATCATCCTTAGCAAACTAATATAGGAAAGAAAAACAAATACCACGTGTTCTCACTTATAAGTGGGAACTAAAAGATGAGAACTTAGGAACACAAAAAACAACTGACACTGGGGTCTATGTGAGTGGAGAGAGTGAGAATAGGGAGAAGAGAAGAAAATATAGCTATTGGGTACTGAGTTTCATACCTGGATGATGTAATATGTACAATAAACCCCTATGATACCTGTTTATCTATGTGACAAACCTTCACATGTGCCTCCAAACCTAAAATAAATATTTTTTAAAAAACTTTAAAAATTAGCTTTAATAGTTTAAAATATCTGAGGTCTATTTTAACGTTCTATACATTTGAATAAAAGAGAGCCAAAGAAAGTAATCAAAATTTATGTTTACCATTCTTCCCTCATTGTCTATTTGTTAACAATATAATAATTAGAATTGGGGTTTTTGTCTGTTTCCTTTTTGGTTTGCTTTTGTCACCTTATGAATTCGATCAGTAAATTAGAAAAGCATCTTACGTTTGGAACACTGAGCAATAACAACTACTTATATTTCAGTGTTTTTAAGCAACTGGATACTCAGATAATCATTTGACACTTAGTAGGTAATTGTCTTATTGTTCCTACATCTGCTGTTTCCTCTTACACTATATCCTTTGTAAAACTATGATTTCTTTTTTATGCCGTGTAGAATATTTTCTTTTTATTATACTTTAAGTTCTGGGATACTTGTGCAGAACATGCAGTTGTGTTACACAGGTATACACGTGTCATGGTGATTTGCTGCACCAGCCAACTCGTCACCTACATTAGGTATTTCTTCTAATACCATCCCTCCCCTAACCCTCTACCCCACAACAGGCCCCAGTGTGCAATGTTCCCCTCCCTGTGTCCATGTGTTCTCATTGTTCAACTCCCACTTATGAGTGAGAACATGCAGTGTTTCGTTTTCTGTTCCTTTGTTAGTTTGCTGAGAATGATAGTCCCTGCAAAGGACATGAACTCATCCTTTTTTATGGCTGCATAGTATTCCATAGTGTATATGTGCAGCATTTTCTTTATCCAGTCTACCATCGATGGACATTTGGGTTGGTTCCACGCCATTGCTATTGTGAACAGTGCTGCAATAAACATATGTGTGCATGTGTCTTTATAGTAGAATGATTTATAATCTTTTGGGTATATAGCTAGTAATGGGATTGCTGGGTCAAATGGTATTTCTGGTTCTAGATCCTTGAGGAATCGCCACACTGTCTTCCACAATGGTTGAACTAATTTACACTTCCACCAACAGTGTAAAAGCGTGCCTATTTCTTCACATTCTCTCCAGCATTTGTTGTTTCTTGACTTTTTAATGATCACCATTCTAACCGGCATGAGATGGTATCTCATCGTAGTTTTGATTTGCATTCCTCTAATGATGCGTAATGACGAGCCTTTTTTCATATGTTTATTGGCCACATAAATATCTTCTTTTGAGAAGTGTCTGTTTATATCCTTCGTCCACTTTTTGATGGGGTTTTTTTCTTGTAAATTTTTTTAAGTTCTTTGTAGATTCTGGACAGTAGCTCTTTGTCAGATGGATAGATTACAAACATCTTCTTTCATTCTGTAGGTTCCCTGTTCACTCTGATGATAGCTTTTGTTTTTGTTTTTGTTTTTTTTCTGTGCAGAAGCTCTTTAGTTTAATTAGATCCCATTTATCAATTTTGGCTCTTGTTGCCCTTGCTTTGGTGTTTTAGTCATGTGTCTTTGCCCATGCCTGTGTCCTGAATGGTATTACCTAGGTTTTCTTCTAGGGTTTTTATGGTTTTAGGTCTATGTTTAAGTCTTTAGTCCATTTTTTAGTTAATTTTTGTATAAGGTGTAAGGAAGTGGTCCAGTTTCAGTTTTCAGCATATGACTAGCCAGTTTTCCCAACACCATTTATTAAATAGGGAATCCTTTCCCCATTTCTTGCTTTTGTTGGTTTTGTCAAAGATCAGATGGTTGTAGATGTGTGGTGTTATTTCTGCAGCCTCTGTTCTGTTACATTGGTCTATATATCTCTTTTGGTACCAGTAGCATGCTGTTTTGATTACTGTAGACTTGTAGCATAGTTTGAAGTCAGGTAGCATTATGTCTCCAACTTTGTTCTTTTTGCTTAGGATTGCCTTGGCTATACAGGCTCTTTTTTGGTTCCATATGAAATTTAAAGTAGTTTTTTCTAATTCTGTGAAGAAAGCCAATGGTAGCTTGATAGGGATAGCATTGAATCTATAAATTACTTTGGGTAGTATGACCATTTTTATGATATTGATTCTTTCTATCCATAAGCATGAAATGTTTTTCTATTTGTTTGTGTCCTCTCTTATTTCGTTGAGCAGTAGTTTGTAGTTCTCCATGAAGAGGTCCTTCGTATGCCTTGTAAATTATATTCCTAGTTATTTTATTCTCTTTGTAGCAATTGTGAATGGAAGTTCACTCATGATTTGGATATCTGTCTATTATTGGTGTATAGAAATGCTTGTGATATTTTCACATTTATTCTGTATCTCGAGACTTTGCTGAAGTTTCTTATCAGCTTAAGGAGATTTTTGGGCTGAGACGATGGGGTTTTCTAAATTTACAATTCTATAATCTGCAAACAGAGACAATTTGACTTCCTCCTTTAATATTTGAATACCCTTTATTTCTTTCTCTTGCCTGATTGCCCTGGCCAGAACTTCCAATACTATGTTGAATAGGATTAGTGAGACAGGGCAGCCTTTCTTACCGTAGAAGCCACAATCTTCAAATTTCTATCAAAAAATAATCTTGAAAATATGTGATTTCTACCCATGGTTTTCTGAATTGTTCACTTTTTCCCCTTAGACTTCCTGATCTATTTCACTTGTTTACTCAATGAAAATGTAGTATGTTTGAATGGTTCTCTCCCATGTTGGATGAAAAACTGCATGAGGATAGTCAGTGTGTCACATGTTTCCCAAAGTTCAATACATTGTTCTAGGAAACAGTAAATATGAAAACGAATTGAGTCACTCTTAGCAATTTTAACTTTGCATTAGCTTGTTTGACAGTCTTATTAAATTATAGACAAATCAAATTTGCAGATAATTTTTCCAAATAAAGTTAAGCCTATTCTTTGATCTTCTCTTTATAAAATATTTATATTTATGTCTATTTTTACTCAATTTTGCCACTCAAGATATTTTTTTGTTAAACATATTCGTTTCCCAACTAACTTTGAGCCAAATAGGAATTCAATAAGTAAGCTTTATCTATCTGAAATAGATGGACATCTATTCAATGCTTCTTGGATTGAATGTTCTAGAGTGCTTGAAGTATCAATGTCCTAGTCTCCACCTTTAAATGTAATGGTTTTCAGGTTTCTTATTTAGGGTTAGAAGTGACCATTAGCAAAGGTCACTTATAATAGGACAAAAAAATTGTTCTCATAGGATTCAAGAGCCCTGTATTCTTTCTAGATACCTTTTATTCTAAAGATCCACTCTTTCACCAGTCTCATGAACTAGACTTAAGGAAACTTACCATATGATTTTTTGTTATTTCTTCTAACCCCAAACATCCCCCCAACACACACACACACACACACACACACACACACACAGAGGCACATGTATGTACAAGATATCGGGTTTTTGTGTTTTCCCTTCAATAAGAGTGCTTTAGCCTTCCATATTATCAGAAAATGTTTAATTATCCATTAAATTTGATCCCAAATCATTAGTAACACAAAATTGTCTCCTATAATCCTTAAGGATAAGAGGACCATATTTTTGGCAAAAGATAGTATGTTAAAAAATCAAATGGAAATAATAGTGGACAACTTTAAAAGCAAATATATCAATAAAATAAATTGATTATAGAAGCATTGTTTAATACATTATGGGAATTTGGTTGATTTTAATACTGTGACAATTTGCAAAATATATTAAATGCAGTGTGTGAGTAAATGCTAATGTGTAAAGAGCACAATTAAAGCTTACTATAAAGACCACTATGTGCTCTTTGCCAATTTTGGAATTAATAAAAATGAACTGCTTTTTTATGTATGTGTGCATATAATGAATTTTTAAAAGAGTATACAAATAACATGAAAAGTTGTTACCTGGATGGAACTAGAGGCAGTTATCCTTAGGAAAACTAACTCAGGAGCAGAAAGTCTAATACCAGAAGTTCTCACTTATAAATGGAAACTAAACTAAATGATGAGAACTCATGGTTACATAGCAGAGAACAACAGATACTAGGGCCTACTTGAGTGTAGAGGGTAGGAGGAGGAAAAGAATCAGAAAAAAAATAACTACTGAGTACAAGACTTAGAACCTGAGTGGTGAAATAACCTGGATAACAAACCTCCATGACACTAGTTTACCTATAAAACAAACCTGCATATGTACCCTTGAACATAAGATAAGACTTTTTAAAAATTTCTTACTTTTGGGGAAAATGACTGGTTATATTTAAGATAAGGAAACTCAAGTTTTCAACTTTTAATTTTCTATGTGTGCTGGGTTAAATTGTGGCCCACAAACAAACAAGCAGAAACCATATGTTCCCTAAAAGCTATGAAGGTAACCTTACATATTTGGGGAAAAAAAAGTATTTGCACATGAAATTAAGTTAAAAATATTGAAATGGGATTATCTTAAATTAGGTTGGGCAATAAGTCCAATAATAAGTGAAGGGTACTTATAGGGCCTTTGGAGAAAGACATGTGAAGATGAAAAGTATTGAAGTGATTTATCTATAGGACAATGTTTGCCAAGGATTTCTGTCAGCCATCAGAACCTAGAAAACAGGCATGATATGGATTACCCCTAAGAGCTTCAAAAAAGAACCGGCCACCACCTTGATGTCAGACCTCTGGCTTCTATAACTTTGAGAAAGTAAATTTTAAGAAGACCAAAAATTACAATGTGATATTCATGCAAGATCAGGAACAAGGAGGCAAGAATAGACACTGTTCTGTTCAACACACTATGCGAAATACTAAACAGAGCAATTAGGAAAGAAAAAAGAAGTAAAAGGTCTCAATTGAAAAGGAGAAAGGGAAATTTGTTCTATTTGTGGTGAGGATGTGATCTGGTATAGATAAAACTCTAATAATTTCACCAAAAATTGTTCGAACTGACAAGCAACTTAAGTAAAGTTGCAGGATAAAAAAATCAACATACAAAACTGAGTAGCTATGCCTTCCCAATGAACTATCTGAAAAGGAAATTAAAGAAACGTCCTTATTTGCAAAAGCATAAAAGTAATAAAATACTTAGGAATAAAATTAACCAAGGAGTGCAAAGCGTTATACAGTAAAAACTGCAAAACATTAGTTAAAAAAGTGAGAGAAGACAGAAATAAGTGGAAAACAACATGTGTTCATAGATTTAAAAATCTCATAAGTTAAAATATTCATACTACCCAAAGCAATCCAAATTTATTGCAATCTCCATCAAAATTGCAATGACATGTTTTCAGAAATTTAAAAAAAATTCAAAATTTTTATGGAACCATTAAGGATCACTGTGATGATTAATACTGTGTGTCAACGTGATTAGATTGAAGGATGCAAAGTATTGTTTCTAGGTGTGACTGTGAGGATGTTGCCAAAGGATATTAACATTTGAGTCAGTGGACTGGGAAAGGCTGGCCCACCCTCAATCTGGGTAGACACAATCTAATCAGCTGACATCGTGGAAGGAATAAATGCAGGCAGAAGTACATGGTTAGGTTGGCTTAGTCTCCTAACCTACATCTTTCTCCCATATTGGATGCTTTCTGCCCTCGAACATTGGACTCCAAGTTCTTCAGCTTTGGGACTCAGACTGACTTCCTTGCTTCTCAGCTGGCAGAGAGCATATTGTGGGATCTTGTGATCATGTGAGTTAATAATTGTTAATAAACTTCCCTTTATATATACATCTATCATATTAGTCATGTCCCTGTAGAGAACACTGACTAATACAATCACCAAAATACTAAAACAATCTTGGAAAAAAGAAGAAGGCTGATGACATCACACTTCCAGATTTCAAAATATACTAAAATTACCATAATTAAAACAGTAGGGCACTAGCATAAAGACAGACATATAGACCAATTAAACAAAACAGAGTCCAAAAATATATCCACACATATACTATCAACTGATTTTTAACATGAATACGAATAATACACAATGGAGAAATAATAGTCTTTTAAGTAAATGGTGTTAAACTAGATATCTGCAGGCAAAAAGAATAAAATTGGACCCTTACCTTACACCGTAGACACAAATGAATTAAAAATGGATGAAATACTTAAACATAAGACCTGAAACTATGCAACTCTCAGAAAAAAACATAGGTAAAAAACTTTATGACACTGGCCTGGGCAGTGATTTCATAGATATGACAGAAAAAGCACAGGCAACAAAAGCAGAAGTAAGTTACACTACATCAAACTAAAATGCTTTGCTATGAACCGTTTATGTCCACCCAAAATTTATATTTTGAATTCCTAATCTGCAAGATAATGGTATTAGGATGTGGGGCCTTTGGGAGGTAATAAGGTCATAGGGACAAAACCTTCATGAAAGGAATTAGTTCCCTTTCAAAAGAAACCCTGTAGGGATCCCACCACCCTTTGACCATGTGAGCACACAACAAAAATATGGCTTCCTGTGAATGAGAAAACAGGCCATCACCAAACATCAAATCTGCTGTTGCCTTTTTCTTGAAGTTTTCAGCCTCCAGTATTGTGAGAAACAAATTTCTCTTGACTACAAGCCACCTGGTTTATGGTATATAAACCATATACATATATACACACACATATATATATACACACACGCACATACATACATATATATTATATATGTGTGTATACATATGTATGTGTATATATATATAACATAAAGTATATATATATAATACAGTATATATATCTCAGCCAAAATGAATTAAGAAACACTTTTTTAAAGGAAAGGAAATAATAAATAGAGTGAAGACACAGCTTATGGAACGTTAGAAAATATTTGCAAACAATATATCTAAAATATGTAAGTAACTCTTACAACTCAATAGCAAAAAGAAAAAAAGATAGCCTGAATTAAAAAAATAAGCTAAGAACTTAAATAGACATTTCTCCAAAGAAGATACACAAATTGCTGATAGGTATATGAAAAGATGCACAACAAAACTAATCATCAGGTAAATACAAATCAAAACGATAATGAGATATCACCTCATGCCTCTTAGGATAGTTATTGTTAAGAAACAATCAAAGACAACAACTACTGGTGAGGCTATGAAAAAAATAGAACCCCCATAAACTATTGATGGGAATGAAAATGGTGCTGCAGCTACAAAAAAAAAACAGTATGGAGTTTGCTCAAAAAAAATAAAAAATAAAGTAAAGTGAAATAAAAAAATTTTAAAGTAAAAATAAAATAAAAGCTTCTAAAAAAAGCTTAATGTGTTATTTTATAAATTG
Organism: Homo sapiens; assembly: GCF_000001405.40. Taxonomy (NCBI): domain Eukaryota; kingdom Metazoa; phylum Chordata; class Mammalia; order Primates; family Hominidae; genus Homo; species Homo sapiens. Next base: position 64,049,190 of record NC_000004.12, read on the forward strand.
ATAATTGAAATCATGTGTCTGCATTGCACAATGAATACAGAAATATTCCCCAATTCAGTTTGTTTCATGATCCAGAAAAATAATCCATGTAAATCTAGTTCACCATATATTTAAATAAACAGGATATTCTAATTACACACATCATGTCTCTTATCAAGTAGTGATTAAATGAAATATATTTGATGCTCAAATTATCATTGCAAGTTTGGCCAAATAGTCATAGAGATGGCATAACTATATGGTATAACTTGGTTTCTGAATTTTTTGTAACAATTTAGGATGAAAAAACAAGAAGGAGTCAACAAGTAATAAGTGACCATGATATGCTGGTAGCTTGTACTCATGTGTCAGCCCTCTAATGATAAAATTTATTTAAATATCCTTGTAGGCCAAATTTTAATGGTGAGCTAATTGGAGAATCCCAATTCTATGCATGACATTACTTTCTAAAGACAATTGCAGACAAAATTAATACATAATCGATCATCCTTGCTATTTTACTTTTTACTTATTCTGTATGAAAAATTATTTATGAAAATTTGTTAATTTTTAAAATCATCTTTTTGTGGTTAATTGGATGGTAACACATAAATTTGAATGGAGATATAAAACATGATACAATGGAGTGTACTTGTCTACACATACATAGAAATACACATGTGTATATATATCTACTTGATAAATGCATGTATGCATATAAACATACACATACATACACACTCGTTTCTTGCTATCTGTAGGGGATTAGCTCAGCCTCCCCTCACCCCGCCGATACCACAATATGCTAATGCTCAAGTCCCTTATATAAAATGGCATAGCATTTGCATATAACCTATGCGCCATTCTCCTATTGTTACATGTTGTTTTAAAACAAAGTTTATCGGTATAAGTAAAGTCTTCGGGATCTGGCAAGCTCTGATTGATGAGTGAAGGCAGTGGGTAAAAGTTTCAGTAACTATTGGATAAAGCTGATCTCAGGTTACAAAAGGCATTTTTAGCAGCCAGGCTTGCAGAGAATTGCATTTTAGAGTAATGTTATGTGTCCCGAGTGGTTTTCCCATCTCGATCTCTTGAGTCCATTTCAGTTATTTATGACAAAAACGGCCCAATTCTTATGATCAACTTTTACAATACATATACACTGATTCTAATAGATATATAGATATGTAATTTCATCTATTGAATGCTTTCTACCTGTGAAGAAATTCGTGAATGTAAGAAAAAATCTTTAATATGTGTTTCATTTCCTACATATATATGAAGTAAATCACACATACCGAAAATAGTCAGCTAGCCATCCCCAAACTTGTGATATGTTAGAAGTAGATTCTAGTTCACTTTGGAGTTTCATTTAGCAAATGATCACTGAGGTTCTGTGCCTTATGTGTATAAATTATATATTTAAAGCAATATGTAACTCATTTAGCATTTATAAAAATTAAGTACAAAAATGAATGGTGTGAGCCTTCAAATTAATATTTGTATATGTTGGCTCATATAATTGTCATAATTATAATTATTAATAAGATCTCAGTAATAAGAAAATGTAAGATACTGTCCCACAAAATTTTATTTTATGTCTCCAAATTTCCAGAAGAGTACATATTTTTAATTTTGTTGGACATTGTTGTAACTCCAGTTGTAGATACTTGACATTTATAATCCAAAATTTTGGAGCAAAAACATCAGCTTCAACAGCACCGTCATTAGTTTTGAAGAAAAATATTTCAGAATGTTGATATTAAATAATATTAAAGTGACATAGTTATTTAAGTGTATTGGACATTGTAAATAACATTTTTTTCAAGGACATGTATTTGAGTCTATGATATATGAATCACACATGCATCACTGCTCTTTTACAAAGTATAATAAATATTTTTACTAGTGTCCTAAAATTTTATAATGATTATTGAAAAACCTACATGTTTATAGTAATTTACAGCTATATATATATGTGTGTGTGTGTATACATACATATATACACACATATACCATTTCTTTGCCTAATGCTTAGATAATTCCTATTTAAAAGAAAGTCGTCACTAGTTTAAATATGTGGGATCTCTCACATCATAGCCTCCGAACAAGGGACCGATTTTTGTTCTGCAGGAGGTGCTCTGAATGGCACATGCCCTGGGACTTGTTATTCTCATAACCACATTACCTAGAATGCACCAAATTGGGTATCACACCCTGTAGGTCTGGAGGCAAGTTCCTCACTATGCCACGTATGCATAGAAACAAAGGATGAAATATTGTGTGGAAGTAAGGATGATCTCTCTCATCATCATTCCCAGTGTCCTGTTAGCAAAAGCTGTGCTTCTCATTCCCACTGGAGGTTGTACAAATTAGAGACTACTGCTCAGTAAATATTCACTTTCTCTACTCCTCCAACCCACTTGCTCACCCTTATCTGTTTTACTGATGTTGGACTTGGCAATGTAGTTCTCTTGGCCCTTTGGGGAATGTCTTCCCACAATTTGACTCTGGGCTCAGACAAGTGACCTGCTTTAGCCAGTGTTGTTGTAGAAGAAATGACACAAGTAAAAGCTTGGTATGTGCTAGTGCAGTTGACCTTGCTCTCCTAGCTTCTGCCATTATCATGGGAAGCACATGTCCAAGTAGCCTGCTGGTTCCAGAAGAAAAAGAAACACATGGAGCAGAAGCAAACCAGCCAATCAGTAGGCCCCAGTTTAAAGCAGAGATTTTCTAGTATATATGTGAGCATGATAATAAATGTTCATTATTGAAGGCTAAAAATGAATACATAAGTTCACAAATATAATATATAAAATAAAGTCTTCGGGTTATCTATAGCCTCTTAGATACTCTGACAGTCAACCTGGGCTCAAAAATTTAAATAAAAAATGGAAGTTTCTGAAGGGCAAGGACTATAACATGATTTTTCCACTCTACTTTTCACTACATGTCTTTGAGCATATCTGGGCATTTTGGGGGAAAATTTTGTAATTATAGATTTACTATACTTGAAGAAAACGTTAGAACTCAGTTAAACATATTATAATATCGAATATGAGTATATATTTTGCTTACCTTTCTTTCTGATTTTAAAGTATATTTATTATTGCTGTAAAACATAAATCAGCTTTTTAAGTGCCAACATAGCTGAATCAATAAATATGCCAAATATTCACATTAAAGTAAGTGCTGGAAAATTCATGAGTTGTTAACATCTTACAATGAGGTCTATTCTTTATGATTATTTTTCACCAAGGAATAACACCGGAATAATCAGTTTCATCAGTTTATGTGTGCTTGTATTTTCTTCTTTGTTATCTGGAGGAAGAATGTTATTTGTGACTTATTCAACCTACTGCAAAACGTGGAAGTGAATTTCATACATTATTTTGTAATGTGAAGGAGGGAAGCTTTAAGCTGTCACAGCCTATGACAGGTATTTAAAACTTCTGTTGCTAGTTCTCGGTCTATTATAAACATATTTAATAAAAGCTGACATTTCTGAACTCACTAGTTCCTGATTTCAGCTCCCAAGAATATTTATTGAATTTTTTTTTTTTTTTTTGAGACAGAGTCTCACTCTGTCGCCCAGCCTGGAGCGGAGAGGCACGATCTCAGCTCACTGCAACCTCTGCCTCCCAGGTTCAAGCAATTCTTTGGCTCAGGCTCCTGAGTAGCTGGGATTACAGGCTCCTGCCACCACGCTCAGCTAATTTTTGTATTTTTAGTAGAGACGGGGTTTCACCATCTTTGCCAGGCTGGTCTTGAACTCTTGACCTCATGATCCACCCGTCTCGGCCTCCCAAAGTGCTGGGATTACAGGCATGAGCCACCACGCCCGGCCTATACATACATATACATATACATATACATATACATATACATATACATATACATATACATATACATATACATATACATATACATATACATATATATATATACACATTTTTTTTTTTTGAGCCAGAGTCTTGCTCTCTCGCCCAGGCTGAAGTGCAGTGGCACGATCTCCACTCACTGCAAGCTTCGCCTCCCAGGTTCATGCCATTCTCCTACCCCAGCTTCCCGAGTACATGGGACTACGGGCGCCCGCCACCACGTCCGGCTAATTTTTTTGTATTTTTAGTAGAGATGGGATTTCACCGTGTTAGCCAGGGTGGTCTCGATCTCCTGACCTTGTGATCCTCCCGCCTTGGCCTCCCAAAGTGCTGGGATTACAGGCGTGAGCCACCACATCCAGCCAATATTTTTTCTTTATTGAATACAAATGTATACTGAAATTGAAATGACTAGGAAAAGTAACTTCTGCAATTGAGGTAGTATAATTTAATTTAAATACCAAAAAATGCTTTTTATTTAGTATAATTGGGCAATGCCCAATTTTCAGGATAATAATTTAAAACATAAATCAGCCAGCCCTTCCCTCTAGCTCCAAATAATTGACCCATTGCCAATTTAAAATATTAACAATAGGTAAATTGGCCTATTGTTAGATCTAATATAATGTTGCTTTATGCAAAACAGCACCAATGTCCTCTGTCTGTGTTTTGTGTAGATGAAATTTAGAAAACCTTGATTACAAAATTACATATATAGACATTGGCCTATAAATCAAATGTATATGTTAATTATTAAAAGTAATTTTTTTTTTTGAGACAGAGTCTCACTCTGTAGCCCAGGCTGGAGTGCAGTGGTGCGAGCTCGGGCTCCCTGCATTCTGCCTCCCGGGTCCCGGTTAAAGCGATTCTCCTGCCTCAGTCTCCCAAGTAGCTGGGATTACAGGCACGTGCCACCATGCCCAGCTAATTTTTGTATTTTTAGTAGAGAAGGGGTTTTACCATGTTGGCCAGGCTGGTCTTGAACTCCTGATCTCGTGATCCACTCACCTCAGCCTTCCAAAGTGCTGGGATTACAGGCATGAGCCACCGCGCCCGGCCAAAAGTGAATTTTTATAAGAAATATTTTAATTCAATATTCGCAAAAGTGTTGTACAACAGTAAAAAAAAGACAAAATTCTCAGAAGCAAAATAGAAAAATCTAATGATTTTAATTAAATAGTTTTAATGACATAATTTATGTTAAAATCTTTGAAGTCATAGCCTAGTTACTCACCCAGGTATTTTTTTAGACTCCAGATGAATCACATAAAACATACAATATTACTATATAATCATATGCACTATATACAATTATATAATATATGAAATATGCAGTTTAAAATGTATAATAGTTAAAATAATAAAATAAAATATTATAACAAAAACTTTTTTCACCTTCTATTTTAGGTACAGATTATGCATGTGCAAGTTTGATACATAGGTATTATATATTGCAACCAAGTAGTGAGTATAGTGCCTAATGCTATAGTATAAGGTAATTTTTCAACCCAGACTCGCCTGTCTCCCTCCTCCTTATAGTAGACCACAGTGTCTGTTGTTCCCATGTTTATGTCCATGTGTACTGAGTGTTTCATTTCCACTTATAAGTGAGAACATGCAGTATTTGTTTTTCTATTCCTGCATTAATTCACTTAGGATAATGGCCTTCTCCTCCAACCATGTTACCGCAAAGAACATAATTTCATTCTTTTTTATGGCTGTGTAGTATTCCATAATGTATGTGCACACCATTTTCTTTATTCAATCCAGTTCTGATGGGCACCTAGGTTGATTTCATGTTGTTGCTCTTGTGAATAGTGTGGTGATGAACATATAAGCATATGTGTCTTTTGGCTTAATAATCTACTTTTCTTTGGGTATATACCTAGTAATGGGATTACAGTGTCAAATGGTACCTCTTTTTTAACTTCTTTGAGAAATCTCCAAACTGCTTTTCACAGTGGCTGAACTAATTTAAATTCCCACCATCAGTGTATAAGCATTCCCTTTGCTCCACAGTCTTGTCCGTATCTGTTGTTATTTGACACTTTTTGATAACAGCCATTTTGACTGGTTGAGACGGTATCACATTGTGTTTTTGATTTGCATTTCTCTGATGATTAATAAAAAATTTGCATTTTTTCATGTTTGTTGGCCACTTGTATGTCTGTTTTTGGGAAGTGTCTGTTCATGTCCTTTGCCCATTTTTTAATGGAATTCTATGGTTTTTGCTTGTTGATTTGTTTAAGTTCCTTATGGATCCTGGATGTTAGACTTTTTTCAGATGCATAGTTTTAGAATATTTTCTCACATTCTATAGGTTATCTGTTTATTAATAGTTTATTTTGCCATACAGAAGCTCTGCAATTTAATTAGGTCCCCTTGCCTTTTTTTATTTTTATTTTTTTCTGTTGCAATTGCTTTTGGAGAACTAGCCAAAAGTTATTCGCCAGGGCCAGTGTCAAGAAGGGTATTTCTTAGGTTTTCTTCTAGAATTTAGATAACTTAAGGTCTTACATTTAAATCTTTATTTCCTCTCAGTTAATTTTTATATGGTGAAAGGTAAGGGTCTAGTTTCATTCTTCTGCATATGGTTAGCCAGTTGTCACAGCACAATTGATTAAATAAGGTGTTCTTTCCCCATTGCATATTTTTGTCAGACTTGTCAAAGATCAGTTGATGGTAAGCGTATGGCTTTATTTCTGAGTTTCCTAATCTGTTAAATTGGTTTAGATGGCTGTTTTTGTACCAATACCATGCTTTTTTGGTTACTGTAGCCTTACAATGTAGTTTGAAGTTGAATAGTTTGATGTGTCCAGCTTTGTTCTTTTGGGTTACAATTGCTTTGAACATTCTGCCTCTTTTATGGTTCCATTTAAATTTTAGAACAGTTTTTTTAAAACTCTGTGAAGAATGACATTGCTTATTTGATAGGAATAACATTGAGTCTGTAAATTGCTTTGGACAGTATGGCTAGTTTAATAATATTGCTTCTTTTAATCCATGAACATGGAATGTTTTTCCATTTACTTTTGTTGTCTCTGATTTTTCTGTTTTCTCTTTCTTTTGAGCTGGAAGTTCTTGGTGACATTTATTGACAGCAGTTTATACACTTGTTTTCTTCTCATGATTTATTTCAGCAATGTTTTGTAGTTCTCCTTATAGAGACCTTTCACTTCCCTTGTTAGCTGTATTCCTAGGTATTTCATTTTCTTTATGGCTATTGTAAGTGGGATTGTGTTCTTGATTCAACTCTCAGCCTGAACATTATTGAGGTATAGAAGTGCTACTAACTTTTGTACAATTCAAGTAAGATATCCTGAAACCTTACTAAAATTGTTTATCAGTTCTAGAAGCCTTTTGATAGATTGTTTAGGGTTTTCTAGGTATTGAATCATAACATCAGTGAAGAGAGATAATTTGACTTTTCTTATCCTATTTTGATGCCTTTTATTTGTTTCTCTTGCCTGATTGCCCTGGCTACAACTTTCAGTAATATGTTAAATAGGAGTCATGAGAGTGTTTTAGTTCTCAAGGGGAATGGTTCCAGCATCTACCTGCTCAATATGATGTTGGCTGTGGGTTTGACGTAGATGGCTCTTACAATTTTGAGGTATATTTCTTCAATGCCTACTCTGTTGAGGGTTTTTAATCATAAAAGGATATTGGATTTTATTGAAAGTTTTTGCTGCATCTTTTGAAATAATCATATGGTTTTTGTTTTTAATTCTCTTTCTGTGGCGAATCACATTTATTGATTTGCATATGTTGAACCAGGCTTGCATCCCAGAAGTAAAGCCTACGTTATCATGGTGTATTAACTGTTTGATGTGTTGCTGGATTTGGTTTGCTGGTATCTTGTTGAGGATTTTTGCATCTATGTTCTTCAGAAATATTGGCCTGACATTTTCTCTTTTTATTGTCTCTGCTAGATTTTTGTATTAGGCTGATACTGGCTTCATAAAATAAGTTAAAAAGCTCTTCCTCCTCACCTTATTTTGAATGATTTCAGTAGGATTGGTATAAGTTCTTCTTTCTATATGTAATAGAATTCAACTGTGAAACCATCTGGTCCAGGGCTTTTTGTGTGTTATCAGGTTTTTTATTACTTATTAAATTTCAGAGATCGATTTTGGTCTATTCAAGTTTTCAATCTCTTTCTGATTCAATCTTGGTAGTTTGTATGTTTGTAGAAATGTATTTATTTCCTCTAGATTTCTAACTTGTGCACATAGACTTGTTCATAGTAGTTTCTGAGAATCTTCTGTATTTCTGAGGAATAGACTGTACTATCATCTTTGTCATTTCTGATTGTACTTATTTGGATTTTCTTTTCTTTCTTTGTTAATATAGCTAGCAGTCTATCAATTTTGTTTAATTTTTTCAAAAAATCAATTCATGATTTTATTGATCTTCTGTATGGATTTTTCCATCTCAATTTTATTCAGTTCCTCTCTACTTTTAGTTATTTCTTTTTTTCTCATAGATTTGAGATTGTATTCTTCTTTTCAATTTTTTCTAGTTTCTTGAGGTACAAAGGTAGATTGTTAATTTGAGATCTTTCTAACTTCATTATGAAGGCATTTGGTGCTAAAAAATTTCCTCTGAAGACTGCATTCCAAGGAGAATGGTGTGCACCCAGGAGGCGGAGCTTGCAGTGAGCCGAGATTGCGCCACTGCACTCCAGCCTGACCTGGAGAACGAGACTCCTTCTCAAAAAAAACGACTGCATTCCAGAGATTTTCACAATTTGTGTCCCTATTTTTACTAATAAAATAATGATTTTATTTCTGCCTTAATTTCAATGTCGACTTAGCAGTTATTCAGGATCAAGTTGTTTAATCTCCATGTGTTTGAGTAGTTTTGAGAGATCTGGTATGGATTTCTATTTCTAATTGTATTGTGATCCAAGAGTGTGCTTGATATGATTTTAACTTTTTTAAGTGTATTGACATTTGCTTTATGGCCGTGCATGTGACTGATCTTGAAATATTTTCCATGTGCAGATGATAAGAATGTATATTCCGTGGTTCTTGGGTAGAGAATTCTGTAGATGTGTATTTGGTCTAATTGGGCAAGTCTCAAGTTTAAGTCCAAATTTTCTTGTTAGCTTTCTGCCTCAATGATCTGTCCAATGCTGGCAACAGACGTTGAAGTCTCCCACTATTATTGGTTATCTAAGTCTTTTTGTACACTGAGAAGTATTTGTATTATGAATCTGGGCACGCCAATGTTGGGTGCATACGTATTTAAAACAGTTAAGTCTTCTTGTTGGACTATATCTTTTATCATTATGTAATGTCTTTCTTGAATTTTACTTCTTTAAAATCTGTTTTACCTGATATAAGAATAGCTACTGCTGTTTTGTTTTTGTTTTTGTTTTTGTTTTTGTTCTTGTTTTCATGGAGTCTCACTCTGTCACCAGGCTGGAGTGCAGTGGCGAGATCTCAGCTCAATGCAACCTCCACCTCTGGGGTCCATGCAATTTTCCTGCCTCAGCCTCCCGAGTAGCTGGCACTACAGGCACGTGCCACCATACCTGGCTAATTTTTGTGTGTTTTTAATAGAGATGGGATTTCACCATGTCAGCCAAGATGGTCTCGATCTCTTGACCTCATGATCTACCTGCCTCAGCTTCCCAAAGTGCTGAGATTACAGGTGGCCTCTGAGTATCATTAAATGTGAGATGGACCTCTTGAAGACAGCAGATTGAGACTGATTGGGTCTTTCTCTCAATCCAACGTGCCACTCTGTGCCTTTTAAGTGGGTGTTTAGCCTATTTACATCCAGGATTAATATTGATATTTGAGATTTGCTCTTGTAATTGTGTTGTTAGCTGGCTGTTATGTAGACTTGATTGTGTGATTGCTTTATAGTGCCTGTGGGCTATGTGCTTAATGGTAACAGATGTCATTCTTTTGGTTCTATATTTAGCACTCCTTTAAGGACCTCTTATAAGGCTGGTCTAGTGGAAATGTATTCCCTCACCATTGGCTTGTCTGAGGATTTTATTTCTCCCTCATTTAATGAAGTTAGTTTGTCAGGACATAAAATTTTGGTTGGAATTTCTCTTCTTTAAGGGTGCTGAAAATAGACTCTCAATCTCTCCTGGCTTTAAGGTTTTTCTTTTGTTAACCTTGGTGAATCTGATGACTATATGCCTTGGGGATGGGGATCTTGTATAATATCTAGCTGGGTTTCTCTGTATTTCTTGGATTTGTAGGTCAGTCTTGCTAGCAAGATTAGAAAAATTTTCATGAACTATGTCCCGTTTATTCTCTCTTTTTCTCTCTCAGGAATGCCAGTAAGCATTTATTTAGTCTCTTTACGTTATCCCTTATATTTAGAAGTTTGCTGATTTTTAAAAATTCTTTTAAATTTGTTTTTATGTGACTGAGTTGATTTGAAGAACTAATCTTCGAGGTCAGAGATTCTTTCCTCAGCTTGGCCTATTCTGCTTTTAATATTTACAATTGTATTCTATAATTCTGTGTGAATATTTTAGCTCTAGAAGTTTAGTTTGGTTCTTTATTAAAAAGACTATTCCATCTTTCAGTTCTTGGATGGCTTTGCTGGATTCTTTGGATTCTTTGGATTTCTTGAGATGGATTTCAACTTTCTCCTGAATCTCAATGTTTCCTCGCCATCCATCCAGACTCTGAATTCTATATTTGTCATTTCTGTCACTTCAGACTGGTTAAGAACCACTGCTATGGAGCTAGTATACTCGTATGAAGGTAAAGGGACACTCTGGCTTTTTGAATTGCCAGAGTTCTTGTGCTGGTTCTTTTTTATCTGAGATGATTGGTGTTCATTTAACAGTGGTATAATTTGAGTATAGTCAATTGGCTTCATGTCTAGATGTTTTCACAGGGCCAAGGTTCTGTGCAGGGCTTTTATTTGTGGCTAAATTTGTGTCCTTGGTTTCATAGGGATGTATATTAGCAAGGTATGTTTGGTGCTTTAAAAAAATTAAATATAAAAAAATTATTCAAATTTATTTTACTAACTTGTAAAAATAAATGTCAGTTTTCAAACTCGTATATATTTGCCAGTTTGAAGCAACAGTTGCCTGATTTAATGCCTTTGAGTAGTGGTGATGATTCACTGCCTTTCCATACATTTACCAAGATAATGTGGGTTGTTTCTGGCTCCCAAGGAATAAAAAAACTTACATTCTTTCAAGAAATATACTTTTTTAAATCCTCCCCAAATTTATTATGACCTCTTCTGTAGAAATACATCAGAAAATCAAGAATATGGAAAAATATTCAGATTTAAAAAGGCAGACCCAGAAAAAAAAATATGGGAAAGGTAAACTATTCCCAAAATAGCAAGTATAGAAGACAAGTAATATGTTGAAAAACTTATAAAAGAAGCAACAATCATTCTTAAATATGACAAGGGTACCTTCTAATAGGCCAGTGCTAGGCATAGATGCCTATGGAAAAGAGAACACATATACTATGCAGGTAGCATTTCTGTTGGAGAGTTCCAATGTGTATTCAAATTAAAGAAATCCTTCACAAGAATGACAGCACCATGAAAAAAAAAATAATTTTATTTTGTTTTTCATAATCATATTCCCAGCACCTGGTACCCCACTTGGCATTATGGTTAGCATTGATAAATACTAAATGAATGGACAAATGAATGAACTACTTGAATAGAAGCCACTAATAATTTACACAATGTGGTAAAAATAAAAATCCCATCAGGACAAAGTCATATCCTAAACTTGAATGATTTAAAGGAACAAATTTTATGAAGTGGTATTCAAAATGATATTTTTAAAAAGCATGTAAATCACAAAAGAATTCTAGGTTTCCTTGGAGACATAACAGATTCTAGGTCTGGTAGAACAGTAAAAGATATGCCTGAAACATTTTTTTCAAATAATAATGTAAAGGACTTAATAATATACCTTTTTTAGTAAAAAATATAAGGGGACAAAATAAAGATTACCACTGATAAATACTGAAATATTTAAAGATAATATAATATAATATCTACAATGGACTTCAACATAATCTGTTGGGTATGGGTATAATGTAGGATTTAGAGATGAAACACAATTGATTCTGAGCTGATAAATGAGAATTAGGTGGTGGGTCCAAGATGGTCCATTATACCAGACTCTACATTTTTGCATAAGTAAACTTTCCTCTTATAAATTTCACCAGTGTACTTGATATGTAATGTATCCTGATGTACAGGTAACCTTTTTCAAAGATGAAATTTTGTTTTAAATGGTACCTTGTTTCTTCAGGCTGTATACGCTTGATATTCAAGTAAATGTTTAAAAATTAAATAAAATAGGAAAATAAATATATAGCACACATATTATTTATCCCTTTCTGGCACCTTGGCCAATCTTTTTCTTATAAAATGACCTGTCTTGCTTAGACATAGGTAGGCAAGTCAAGCCAAGTAGACAACTCCTCTGGAATGTTATTCCACAGTTTTGAATAAACTTAAGCTTAATACTTGTTATTGTCCTTGAAAAGTTAAGATGTATAAGATACCAGGGGCCATGATGTCTGGCAATTAGTAAGAACCTGTCCAGGAGATGCAGAGATTAACTGGAATCAGAACAGTCTTTTGATCATTTGAATTCAGCCATACCTAAATGCCTGTGTGAAAATAAATGTTGCTTATTTTTTCAGTTATTTTAATATTGGATTCTTTAGCCTTCAGTCTAAATATATATATTAATAAATATAGGAATAATGAAGCTTAATCACACAGTCAATAGATAAATTATTTGAGATAGTTCTTGTAAATAGACTAGTCTCCATACTGTATGTGGAAGGGACTAGACAAATAGTACATATTTAATCTGATGCAGGAAGGGGAAGATTTAAGCTAACATGAGGAACATGCCCAGAACAATTGGCTTAATGGATTAACAAGAATATTGTCAGTGAGTGGACCAGCTGTTTAGGGGAACAAGGTCAAAAGGATAGCCAGGATTACCTTTATTGCAATGTATATGCAAATACCTTAGATATGTTAAACTTAAAATTATTGAGCAAGTAAAGTTTTAAAAAATGGGCTCTGAGACACAAAAGAGAAGTAAGGCAGAAAAATCAGAATAATGGTAAGTAGAAAGTGGAAAGAAAACTCCCAATCATAATTAATATATATTTTTAAGCCAGACTCGCAAAAAACTTCTCCTCAATTCTGCAGTAAGAAGGAGGTAAAAGTTTAACATCAGAATCACAGTTTAATGTATTAGTAATTATAAATAAATAGTAGTATAAAGAAATTTATAATTTTAGAGCATATTCGACCTCAACTTTTTTAAAAGAGTAGTTTCATGGAGATAATTTACTTACTTTTTCTCTTCATGTTTTTAATGTCTAGTTTATAAGCAATATAAAACTAAACTTCCTGGTCAGTTTTATACACCAAAATGTATGAATTTTGAGGCTTTTATATCATAATTAAAGAGCGAGAATTTTCATACCAAGATGAAGTAAAACCATGCAAATACACATTAAGGAACAGTGCCTTATTAAGCTTCATCTCTGTTGGTTATGCTATGAAATATAGTAAACATAGAATCCATTGCTAATTATTCTAGAAGACAATGAATAATTTGTTGGAATAAGTAATATTTTAAACTGTAAATGACTGTGTTGCTCTGTGAATATTTTGTTTTCCTCGAATAGTATTCAATGTGTGGTTAGAAAAATATAAACAAAAGTTTCAAAAAAATAGTGTTTCCAAGTATAAATTTGTCAACAGAAATGCATTTCCATTTCAAATATAAATGTATGTATATTCTACTTATTTTTATATTCATGGAAAGTCTCACTTCCATTTGTACAGATAAGCAAAGCTTAACTTCATTCAATTTTCTATATTTCCCACCTATTTCAAAAAAACACAGGCTAAAATGTTTTTATTGTTTTCTTTAAAGTTGTTAAAAACTACCATAGCAAAATTTTCTGGCTATCTTTCTAACAGTCTCATTTTAATGGATTGATCTATATGGATACTGAAGGAGTTAAGGACATAATACCCCAATATGCCATGACCTGGCATATAGATTATTTGGAGTTGAAAGCACTTAGGAAGCAGCAGTTGTAGAAAGAGCCATCTGAACTGCCTTTGCTTATCTATAGCAAGCCATACAAATCCCTGTGAGAAAGCTGCCTTCCCTGCAATAACACTAGAAGATAACCCTTATTGCCAGTGAGACTGAGAATTGATGCTGCGATGGAGCTGTATAAATAAACTTACTAAAATATCCCTTATCTCCCACTAGCTTTACAGCTCTATATATATGTCTCAATGAATCCCCTGGAATTTATTGCCCCTAGCTCTGACCCCTCTTTCTTGTCATTTCTTCACAAAATTCATCATTTTTTGATGAAAAAGTGTAAAGCTTTCTGTTTTGGACATTGCTTTGGATCTCCACTCTGTGAAAATCCCCATGTACATGTAAAATTAATAAAATGTGTGTTTTAATCCTATCACTCTATCTTTTGTCAATGTAGTTCCTAGACCCAAAAGAAGATCTCACTTAAGAACCAAGATGAGTAAATTGGGGATCCCTACAATACTTCACCAATATTTAACATAGTTCCACAGGAAAAAAATCAAGAAATTAAAACCTTGATATTAATATTTTGAAACCCTCATGATAATGAATTTAAGTGGATAAATATACATCTGCTAATTTACAGAAGGACATAAATTTCTCTTTAGAAATTGTCTCTGTACCTATTGTCTAATTTTCAAGGAAAGACTTAAATTGAAGACATCTCAGTATGCCTTTGGGAGCTTTTAAATGATTTCTCTGATGATAATCAAATCAGATAATTAATTACTTAACATACAGAGGTAAAAAACACTTAGGAAACTTTATAAGGCATTGTCTTTAATCGTGTTTTTATTCATTATTTTATTTGACAACTATTTACAAAAATTTATTACATGCCTAACCACCCTATTGGGTTCCATGTACAAGGTAGTGAAAGCAACAGATATAATCTCTCCTCTCCTCATATGGGGTTGGAAAAAAAGTCAAAGTCCTAAAATTTATAGAAATTATAAATGCACAGATAACTGCAAAATGTAAAGTGCAGATGGAGGAAACTTATTGGAGGCTATTATAGAGGATTGTGGGAAGTGCACATTCAAAGGTATTACACAAACGTTAGTTAACTGAGGAGATGATATATAAGGTGAAACCTCCAGAATGATTTATCACTATAGAAGTGCACTCCAGACAAATGACCAGCCTGTCTGATAGCCTTAGTGCTGAAAAGTTATTTGTATAGTCATTGAACTATATAAAGGCCACGTTGACATTGGCTGTTGGGGAACAAGTGTTAGAACATCACAAGATTTGGCTGGGGTGCTACAGTCCCAGACCAAAGAAAACCCTGTATGCTGGACTAGAAAGCATAGATTTTATTCTGAACAGAAAATCTCTGCAATATAAAGCAGATGTTTGGGTTGGGGTTGGAAGTGTTTCCTGGTGTTGCTGTTACATAATGTGATTTATGCTGTAAAACTATCACTTAGGTATGTATGAAGAATGCACTGGAGTTTAGAAGTCTAGTGATCATACCTTGGGTATTCCACCTATAAAAATACAATATTGAGAGGTGTGGTGGTTCTCACCTGTAATCCTAACACCAGAAAGTCAAGATGGAAGGATCAGTTGAGCCCAGGAGCTTGAGAATTTCAACACTTTTCCCAGCCCCAGCAACATAGATAGACTCTGTATAGAAAAAAATAAAAAATAAAAAATTAGCCTGGTGTGGTGGCACATACCCATTGTTCCAGCTGCTGGGAAGGGTAAGGTAGGAGGATCATTTGAGCCCAGGAGGTAGAGAAGGCAGTAAGCCATAATTGCTCACTGCACTCCAGCCTCAGTGACAGAGTAAGATGCTGTCTCAAAAAAATAAAAATAAAAATAAGAAAAAACATTGGAACCTCATACAAATAAGTGAGAGTTTTCTGTATATAAATAGAATTATATATAATTCTTTGAAGTGACACTTCCAACTTAGGTGAAAATTCTGATATTCAAATGTGTCATTTCTCTGAAAAACTATATACTGAGCTACAGATGAAAACACATGTTTTAACATACTGCATTTGAACTTTCGGAGCTTGAACCCAGGAGTTTAAGGCAGCAGTGAACTATGACTGTGCCACTGGGCAGCAAAATGAGACCCTGTCTCAAAATTGCATTACATTAAAAAATAAAAACACTGCATTATAATCTCTCCTACTACTATTTTTATGTATGTAGTTATTTTTATTCTTGCAAATACATACTTCTGAATTTATTTGTTACATGGGTGGGTGTTCTGTCTCTAGAATAAAGTAGGAGCTAAATATCACACAATGAACAAAGCAACCCACCACAACAAAGAATATTTCAGCCTCAAATCATGTCAAGTTTGAGAAAGGCTGATATACCAAGACCATGTAAGTAACATAAAATGAGAACAATAAAACATAGGGATTTTTTCTTCCAAAATCTATATATTTTATAATCAAAGATACATTCACAATGATGAATGTCAAGGGTCAGTGGTTTTTATTTCGGACTGTCAAAGGGAATGGTATAACTCAGGTATAGACTGTAGTGTGCTTGCTCTGATTACGATGGCCCTTCACTTTTAGTCCATTATTTAGGCACACTTAGGCATTTTAGAAATAACAAAAATATAATTGTGATGTCTTAATTTTTAAATGTTGCTAGTAAAACCACATTTGTTTTTAAAGTTGATATGGATTGGCTAAACATGGGACAAACTTCAGGCTTAATTCAGCAGAATTTAGTAATATGGTGGTATTTGATGCTTTTTTTTTTTTTGAGAACTATTTCAGTGTTATATTGGGAAAAAAACCTAATCGAAATTGTCTGGGAAGACACAGGGGAGGTGAGGATGCAGATTGACTTTGTATAGATTCGGTTTTTGAAAATTTTGCTCTGAAAAGAAATCAGTAATGAGTTTATAGCTAAAAAAAAGACATGGGTTCAAGTTTGAAATTTTTTTACATTTGCATATATTTTTTAGTTTGTGTTGGGAATTTTAGAGCATGTCTGTTTGCTAATAAGTATGATTCAGTAGAGCGTTACCAACTGAAAACATGAGAGAAAATCAATAATTTCAATAATCAGTCTCGAAAGATAAAAATAGAATCCAGAGCAAAATGGAAGGCTTGATTCTATAAAGAGAGATTACGAATTCACACTAATAGGGAAGCAAATAAAGATAAGGTAGCTAGCACAGAAAGGATCAGACATTTGGAGGTGAGATTAAAACAAAATCTATTTCTTTTTAGGTTATAGCAGCATATACTGGCTAAATGTTATTTAAGTATATATACCTGGAATTTCACCTGCTATATATTCCGATAATAGCAGTAAATATCTAAAGAAATAAACATTTGATGTGCATTGAATTTCTCTGTATTATATGTGTCCTACTGATACAATTGTTATAATGTCTACAACTCATTTCCATAATCTTTAAGAAATGTGTAGTAGTCTTTGGACATGTTTGTCAATAATTTTTCAAGCAGTCTGATTCACTACAAATCCAGTTATTAATTTTGCATGCATAACTATGCTTCATTATGGTTAACCCCAAAATTGTTATTTGCATGAGAGAAAAATCTCCTAATGGATACAAATATATGAGATATATTTATACACACATACATATGCATATGTTTATGTCACTCATTTGAAAAAGAACCTATTTAAGAAAAAGAGGGAAAATTAATCCTGAAAGGAATACATAATATTGAATTAGAAACGTAGACTTAATTGTCAAATTAATATTGTAGGTAGCAGCATACAACAGCATTTTATTTTTGAATAATTATTTAAATAAAAAAGAAAACCCTGTAATATTTTACTCTTTTCCTTAGCAGTTGTTTTTGCACAGCTGCATACCATTAGTGTTTTAATCTGCTGATCAACCAAAATGATAACTTGACACAGAAATACTTGCTTCCAATTATCAACAGTAATATAATTGATATTGATTCTAATATGTGACAATTTAATAGTCACAATAGTCATATATATATGATGTATATATATCATTTGAGATATATATATGATATATATACATCATATATATATATAAGTTGAGAAGCACTACTGGTTTAATGAGTAATAGCACAATATTTTAGTTGCTTTCCAGCATTTGTTCTGAAAGTGAGGTTCTTAGGCCACCAGCATAAATTTCACAGAGAAGTTGTTAAATATGTATACTTTGGGGTTTCATTCCAGACCTACTGAATCAGAATATATATATATGTATATATATATATGACTATTGTGACTATGAAATCGTCACATATATATATGTGGGTTCAGGGTCATACTTATGTCTATCAATATGTTAAAATTTTTTTTTCAAAATGCTTCCATTTGCAATAAATTTGAGTAGTGTTAATATTGTTACCTTTCTAGACATTATTAGTTCAACTTAGTACATTAAAATACGATAAATGTTGCAGTAAATAAAATTCAACTGTTTACCACATTGTCTTAAAATATATTTGGTCACAAAAAATTTATTTACCCTCAAAGATAACCTACTAACATTCCCTGAGAAATTAGACACTACTGTTTCAGTCATCAAAGAACAAAATGATGTTTTGGGGAATTTGCCATGCCTTCATGTTTAAGGGGAAGAGAAACTGCCTCTGTAAATACATATAGTGATTAATGGCAAAGTTGTGTGTGTGTGTGTGTGTGTGTGTGTGTGTGTGTATTTTAATGATATCCTCTCTATCCTGTTGAGCCAACATTATAGTAAGGAATAAAATAAAAACCATCTGACAATCTTTAATATAAAATCAATTCCACCACTCCTCCATAAATTTCTCTCCCCCCAGTCTCCCAGAATCAGAAACTTTCCTCCCTCACTATTCTGTGATTGTATTTGCTAAAGAAGAAGGGGACTTTTTAACAAATTCCAGCAGCCAGGACATGGAAGATTCAGGAAAGTCATGAATTGCATAAGAGAACATTTTAATAGTACTCTTTATTCCTGGATAGTATGCATTTAATTTCATAGAAAATTGAATACAAAATGTTGGTGACAACGACTATATAAAAGCATATTTTACTGTGGCCTGGTTGGCAATAGAGTTGCTTGTAGCCAGTCGTAACTCAGTTAAGCATTTTGTAACATCAAGATCTCACCCAGTGGACTGCTGAGGCTGGCTCATACCAGCTTACATCAGATGCATCTCTTCCCAGATTCATGCTCAATGACATCATATGGGTAGCCTGAAATCAGCAGTAGCCGTTGGCAGCACTAAAATTAGAAATACTTTTTTTTCTAGAAAGCCAGTTGAGAAGCACTACTGGTTTAATGAGTAATAGCACAATATTTTAGCTGCTTTCCAGCATTCGTTCTGAAAGTGAGGTTCTTAGACCACCAGCATAAATTTCACAGAGAAGTTGTTAAATATGTATATTTTGGGGTTTCATTCCAGACCTACTGAATCAGAGTACATGGAAAGAGCCCAGCGATCTGTTTTATCAAGCCTTTGGAATGATTGTGATGCACACTAAAGACTGTAAACTCCTTCTCTAAGAAGACAAAGTGTGTGTGTGAGTGTGAGCGTGTGTGTGAGTGTGAGCATGTGTGTGAATATGTACATGGGTGGTGGGGGAGGAAAAGAGAGAGTATATTGAATGAAGAATAAGAAGCCATTTTCTAGATCCAGAACAGGATTTCATCACTGCTTAAAATTTCTGAGGAATTTTTTATGTCACTTTAGAGTGCTTTAGGATAGGAATTAGTATACTAAGTCACATGTGTATATTTAGATGGCCTTTGTTCCTAACACAGGCATGTCTCACATGAACTTGGGTCAGTTCTTGATTCTAGATCTTTTAGGGAGATTTACTACTGCAACAGGTACTATGACAAATGGTGATTGAGGTATATGAATTTTACTTTTCTGAATTAGGTCTATGCCTTGATGTTTAGGTTCCCTACTGGAGGAGAAATGAACTAGAACTCTGCGTTTGGAGATAGAAGACAGGACTTCATAAAAGACTTTACGGAATAGTGGAGAAACTCCTGGATCTCCACAGTCCTTAGCTTTTACAACTGTAAAATACATTATGAATTAAGAATAAAATAATAAACATTTTGACTGTTTTGTTTGGAAATCACCTTAAAATGAGCTGTAAATATGCTGAGATTTTTCCAGATACACTTCAAAACACAAAATATGAAAGCAAAAGTAATTCTGTCTTCTAAAAATAATTAATATAAAGAGTGTGTTTCATTGCATTGTAATGTTCAAACAAACCACATCTATAATCAATATTATATAGGTGATTGGCCACTAAGTATTGTTTTCTCCTTTAAAGATATCCATTTCTAAATAGTAGGATTCCCTTTCTTTTTTCAGTCAGATTTCAGATCTATCTTTCCAAAAGATAAAAGCTAAGAGAGCTGATCTCCTCATTTAACACTAAATTATTTACAATTGATAAATGTTATCACATATATGTTACCAATTTGTGTTTATATCTTATAAGTTTGAATTCTGATTTGCTGCATGTAACTTGTAAGATAGATATTAGAACTTTTTTTCCTGGATATCCTAAAATATATCTGTAAAGGAAAAAATGCTTTACTACTTCCTATAGCAACTTGACTCTTCTAGGCAGCTACAACATCCTTTTAGCCCAGGGTTTGATACTATGGCATCGCCCAACTTCAGATTGAATCCTGATTCCACCTCTTACTAGCCATGTTTCTATGCCTCAATTTTGTTATCTTTAAAGTTGATGTGATCATAATACTTAACTCAGAATAATGTTATGAGAATTAAATATAAAAATTCTCAAGATAATGTCTGAATATGTTAAAAGACTCAGTAAATATCATCTATTCATTCTTACATTATCCATCTACTTTGAACTTTACAATGTAATTCACCATACTAACCAACTTAGAGAAGACATATCACATAGAATCTTCATAGAAGTATAAAAAACTTTTGATAAAATTTAATAACAATTTATGGTTAAGAAAATCATCAAACAGAAGGTAAAGGAAATTTTTCAACCTGATTAAAGTTTTCTGTTTATTTAAAAGCTAACATCATATTTAATGATGAAAGACTGAATGTTTTCCCCTAACATCAGGAAAAAAAGAAGAATGTGTACTCTCTTCAGTTCTACTGACATTTTACTGAAAGGCCTAGTCCATATAATTAGTATAGATAATAATAATAATGACATTCAAATTGCAATGGAAAAAGTAGAACTCTGCCCACAGAGAATTTTGGTGAAGATCAATTGATCAGGGTTTCTCTAGAAATAAAATAGATGGGCAGCCTATTGAGTACTGTTTTCCCTATGTAAAAAGTCTAGTAGCCAAAAATTTGACTTCAGTCTCTATGCTGAAGAATCATACTTTTTCTCAACTTCCCAGAATGATATACTTTGGCTGTGTTTTCCCACTCAAATTTTATGTCAAATAGTAATTTCCAATGTTGGGGGAGGGACCAATGGGAGGTGATTAGATCATTGAGTGATTTTCTCCTTGCTGCATTCATGACAATGAGTGAGTTCTATAAAGATACCTGAAAATGGTAAAGCAACTTTGGAAATAGATAATTGGCAGAGGTTGGAGCAGTTTGGAAAGCTCAGGATAAGACAGGAAGATGTGGGAAAGTTTGAAACTTCCTAGACACTTGTTGAATGGTTGTGACCAAAATGCTGATATGAACAACGAAGTCCAGACTGAGGTGATCTCAGATGGAGATGAGGAACTTATCGGGAACTGGAGCAAAGTTCATTCTTGTATGCTTTAGCAAAGAGACTGGTGGCATTTTGCCACTGTCCTAAAGATCCAGGGAACTTTGACCTTGAGATAGATGATTTAGGCTATCTGGCAGAAGAAATTTCTAAGCAGCAAAGCATTCAACATGTGACCTGGTTATTTTGGAAAGTGTATACTCATATGCATGAACATAGAGATATCTGAAACTGGAAGGGAAGCAGAGCATAAAAGTTAGGAAAATTTGCTGCCCAGTCATGTGGTAGAAAAGAAAAACTCATTTTCTGGTGAGATATTCAAACCTGCTTCAGAAATTTTCATAAGTAAAGAGGAACCAAATATTGTTAGCCAATACAATGGGGGAAATGTCTCCGTAGAGGGGCTAGGGGTCAGAATGATATGGTTTGGCTCTGTGTCCCAACCCAAATCTCATGTCGAATTGTAATCCCCATGTGTTGGGGAGAGTGACCTGGTGGGAGGTGATTGGATCATGAGAGCAGATTGCCCCCATGCTGTTCTCATGATAATGAGTGACTTCTCATAGGATCTAGTTGTTTTAAAGTATGTAGCACTTCCTCCTTCATGCTCTCTCTCTTCTGCTCTGCCATGGTAAGATGTTCTTGTTTCCCTTCTTCTTCTGCCATAATTGTAAGTTTCCTGAGGCCTCCTGGCCATGCTTCCTGTTAAGCCAGTGGAACTGTGAGTCAATTGAATGAATCTCTTTTCTTCATCAATTACCCAGTTCAGGTAGTTCTTATAGTAGATGGGAACAGACTAATACACAGACCTAAGTCATTTCACAGACAAATTGATTCAAGAGAAGGCCTACTTACCCTGAGAAAGGACTTTGTGTTATTACAATTACAGGTGTCCAAAAGTACCCACCAGTAATATTTCACCAAATATTCAACTGAGATTTGAGGCCATTTGTTAAGTGGATTTGTTGTTGGGGAGCAGAAAATAATCAGAATTTTGGAGAATTATTAGATATAAGCTCTGAATGACACAGATTCTTGTAACCTACCACTTTAAGTAGGGCCTTAAAGTGGTCAGCTGATAGATGAGATCTTAACTGAAGTTAACTGAGAATGAATTAACTACTCAGTCCATTAGCTGAGTTGGAAATTATTGTCCCTAGCTCCAGAAGGTAACATTTTAATAGACATACTTGAAAACTTGAAGAATGAGTTCTGTCAGTTAGTTCATTGAGTTGGATCTCTGAAACATGGGGTATAGATCATTATGGAAAGCCAAATGGAAATTCCTGGAACATCCCTTCCCAATAAAGATAGTAAAATTCTGAGAAAATCTTAGCAAATAATGCTTCCATCAAAGACTTGAAAGAATAAAAAAGATAAAAAGATATAATAATAACACCCACATTTAATTCACCAATGTGACCTGAGCAGAAGTGAAATAGGTCTTGGAGAATGACCATCGACTATCATAAACTTAAGCAAGTGGTGACTGCAATTTCAGTTGCTTTCCTGATTGTAATACCTCTACCAGAGCAAAATCAACATTATTCCTGCTATAGTATATGTAACTATTGACTGGACAAATGTCTATTTAACCAAAAATTTGTAAGGACTATCAGAAGCAATTCACTTTGAGAAAAAAACAGTGTACTGTGACAGTGTTGCCTAAGAGTTATTTCAATTCTTATGTTCTTTGCCATAATATATTCTGCAGAGATCTTAAATGTCTTGAGGTTCCACAAACATTATATTGATCCAATAAATTGATAAAATTATGTTAATTATGAGAAAGGAGTAGCAAGCAATATAAATGTCTTAGTAAGACCTATGCAAACTACAGGATGGAAAGTAAACCCCATAAAAATTTTGGGCCTGCAACCAAAAAGAAGTTTCTGAAGATTTAGTAGTGTTGACAATGTTGAGATATCCCAGCAATATGAAGACAAGTTGTTACCCTCTATATTATGTATCACGTATAGGAATCACAATGGTTGGAAGAACTTTTTGGATTCTGGAGGCAACATATCACCTTTGAGTGTTTCAATTTGACTTATTTAAAGATCACTGATAAAGCTGTCAGTTTTGAGTGGGGACCTGAGCAAGGCAATGCTTTATAGCAAGTTTCTGCTGCAGCACAAAACACTCTACTGGCCCTTATGAATCAGGAAATTTAATTATATCTAAAGTGTTCATTGCAAATAGGTTGCTATAGAACCCTCTGGAAGGAACTAATTGGAAAAATCACGGTACAGAAGCCTAGGACTTTGGAGTTAATCTATGTCATCTCCTTCAGATAAGCCATTTCCTTTTTATAAATAGAATCAGGTCTACTAATAAGCTTTAGTAGATAGTAGACACCTAATTATGAGACACTAGGTAACCAAGCAGCCTGACCTTTGCATCATGAAATTCTCTAAGTTAACAGAACTATGTGCTGTGAACCTGGTTATACACTTGGTTCCAATAGAAAATTGGCCCTAAATCCATTTCTTCTAGATTTTCTAGTTTATTTGCTTAGAGGTGTTTCTAGTATTCTCTGATGGTAGTTTGTATTTCTGTGGGATTGGTGGTGATATTCCTTTATCATTTTTTATTGCATCTATTTGATTCTTCTTTCTTTTCTTATTAGTCTTGCTAGTGGTCTATCAATTTTGTTGATCTTTTCAAAAAACCAGCTCCTGGATTCATTGATTTTTGAAGGGTTTTTTGGATAAATTCCTTGACACATACACTCTCCAACACTAAATCAGGAAGAAGTTGAATCTCTGAATAGACCAATAACAGACTCTGAAATTGAGGCAATAATTAATAGCCTACCAACTAAAAAAAGTCCAGGACCAGATGGATTCATAGCCGAATTCTAACAGAGATACAAAGAGGAGCTGGTACCATTCCTTCTGAAACTATTCCAATCAATAGAAAAAGAGGTAATTTTCCCTAACTCATTTTATGACGCCAGCATCATCCTGATACCAAAGCCTGGCAGAGACACAACAAAAAAAGAGAATTTTAGACCAATATGCCTGATGAACATCAATGCAAAAATCCTCAATAAAATACTGGCAAACCGAATCCAGCAGCACCTCAAAAAGCTTATCCACCGTGGTCAAAGGGGCTTGCTTCATCCCTGAGATGCAAGGCTGACTCAGCATATGCAAATCAATAAACGTAATCCAGCATATAAACAGAATCAAAGACAAAAACCACATGATTATCTCAGTAGATGCAGAAAAGACGTTTGACAAAATTCAACAGCCCTTCATGCTAAAAACTCTCAATAAATTAGGTATTGATGGGATGTATCTCAAAATAATAAGAGCTATCTATGACAAACCCACAGCCAATATCATACTGAATGGGCAAAAACTGGAAGCATTCCCTTTGAAAACTGGCACAAGACATGGATGCCGTCTCTCACCACTCCTATTCAACATAGTGTTGGAAGTTCTGGCCAGGCCAATCAGGCAGGAGAAAGAAATAAAGGGTATTCAATTAGGAAAAGAAGAAGTCAAACTGTCCCTGTTTGCAGATGACATGATTGTATATCTAGAAAAACCCATCATCTCAGCCCAAAATCTCCTTAAGCTGATAAGGAACTTCATCAAAGTCTCAGGATACAAAATCAATGTGCAAAAATCACAAGCATTCTTATACACCAATAACAGACAAACAGAGAGCCAAATCATGAGTGAACTCCCATTCACAATTGCTTCAAAGAAAATAAAATACCTAGGAATCCAACTTACAAGGGATCTGAAGGACCTCTTCCAGGAGAACTACAAACCACTGCTCAACTAAGTAAAAGAGGACGGCCAGGTGTGGTGGCTCATGCCTGTAATCCCTGCACTTTGGGAGGCCAAGGTGGGTGGATCATGAGATCAGGAGATCGACACCATCCTGGCTAACACAATGAAACCCCATCTCTACTAAAAATACAAAAAATTAGCCAGACGTGGTGGTGGGCACCTGTAGTCCCAGCTACTTGGGAGGCTGAGGCAGGAGAATGGCATGAACCTGGGAGGCAGAGCTTGCAGAGGGCCAAGATTGCACCACTGCACTCCAGCCTGGGTGACAGAGTGAGACTCCGTCACAAAAAAAAAAAAAAAAAAAAAAAAGAAATAAAAGAGGACACAATCAAATGGAAGAACATTCCATGCTCATGGATAGGAAGAATCAATATCGTGAAAATGGCCATACTGCCCAAGGTAATTTATAGATTCAATGCCATCCCCATCAAGCTACCAATGACTTTCTTCACAGAATTGGAAAAAACTACTTTCAAGTTCATATGGAACCAAAAAAGAGCCCACATTGCTAAGTCAATCCTAAGCCAAAAGAATAAAGCTGGAGGCATCATGCTACCTGACTTCAAACTATACTATGAGGCTACAGTAACCAAAACAGCATGGTACCGGTACCAAAACAGAGATATAGATCAATGGAACAGAACAGAGCCCTCAGAAATAATACCACACATCTGCAACCAACTGATCTTTGACAAACCTGACAAAAACAAGAAACGGGGAAAGGATTCCCTATTTAATAAATGGTGCTGGGAAAACTGGCTAGCCATATATAGAAAGCTGAAACTGGATCCTTTCCTTACACCTTATACAAAAATTAATTCAAGATGGATTAAAGACTTAAATGTCAGACCTAAAACCATAAAAACCCTAGAAGAAAACCTAGGCAATACCATTCAGGACATAGGCATGGGCAAGGACTTCATGTCTAAAACACCAAAAGCAATGGCAACAAAAGCCAAAATTGACAAATGGGATCTAATTAAACTGAAGAGCTTCTGCACAGCAAAATAAACTACCATCAGAGTCAACAGGCAACCTCCAGAATGGGAGAAAATTTTTGCAATCTACTCATCTGACAAAGGGCTAATATCCAGAATCTACAAAGAACTCAAAAAAATTTACAAGAAAAAAAAAAAACCAACAAAAAGTGGGTGAAGGATATGAACAGACACTTCTCAAAAGAAGACATTTTTTGCAGCCAAAAGACACATGAAAAAATGCTCATCATCACTGGCCATCAGAGAAATGCAAATCAAAACCACAATGAAATATCATCTCACACAAGTTAGAATGGGGATCATTAAAAAGTCAGGAAACAACAGGTGCTGGAGAGAATGTGGAGAAATAGGAACAGTTT
Source organism: Homo sapiens (assembly GCF_000001405.40). Classification (NCBI taxonomy): domain Eukaryota; kingdom Metazoa; phylum Chordata; class Mammalia; order Primates; family Hominidae; genus Homo; species Homo sapiens. The sequence goes on from NC_000004.12 coordinate 64,075,992, forward strand.
TACACTGTTGGTGGGACTGTAAACTAGTTTAACCATTGTGGAAGATAGTGTGGTGATTCCTCAAGGATCTAGAACTAGAAATACCATTTGACCCAGCCATCCCATTACTGGGTATATACCCAAAGGAATATAAATCATGCTGCTATAAAGACACATGCACACATATGTTTATTGCAGCACTATTCACAATAGCAAGGACTTGGAACCAACCCAAATGTCCATCAATGACAGACTGGATTAAGAAAATGTGGCACATACACATCATGGAATACTATGCAGCCATAAAAAAGGATGAATTCATGTCCTTCGTAGGGACATGGATGAAGCTGGAAACCATCATTCTCAGCAAACTATGGCAAGGACAAAAAACCAAACACCACATGTTCTCACTCATAGGTGGGAATTGAACAATGAGAACACTTGGACACAGGAAGGGGAACATCACACACTGGGGCCTGTTGTGTGGTGGGGGGAGTGGGGGATAGCATCAGTAGATATACCTGATGTAAATGACGAGTTAATGGGTGCAGCACACAAAAATGGCACATGTATACATATGTAACAAACCTGCACGTTGTGCACATGTACCCTAGAACTTAAAGTATAGTAAAATAAACATATATATAAAGATATATATATATATATATATATATATATATATATATATATATATAAAGAAAATTGACCCTAAATAAGAAGATATACAGTTTCACAGAATGGTTAGTTGGAATCCTGGAAGAAAAAAGATTAGAACATATGGACAAAAAGCTATGGGGAGGAATAATGTGGATGGACATATGAGAGTAAGCAAAGTGTGAAGAATTTTTAATTGCATATTAATTTTCAAAAGAGATCTTCATCATAGATGCACTAAAAACAAACAACAAGAAAAGAAAAGCAAGTAGACAAACTAACTCAACCTGTTAATATTAACCAGCTTCTGTCTTTTCGCCCCTGTCTTTACCTCCATTGTACCAATGCTGGTAAAATGAAGACATAAATACATTTTTTATGAAGGGATGAAGGCTAAATAATATGCAGGGGCTCAAGCACATGGAATCCCCATCACCAACAATGATCTTTTCTCTGGCTGCTACTGAATATTAAATCTATCAGCAGAAGCAACATTAAGCCCCAATGCAACACTGTTACTTGAAGCAACCAATGAGTCACTCATTAGCAAATTAATTATTTTAGAGCCCATCTGTGAAGCATAGCTAATAATATTGATTGGAATTAATACAAATTCAAACTATGGAAATTTAATTTATTATTATGTTTATTATTTTGCTTACAAGCTAGTAGCCATCACTAACATTCAAGGGCTTAAAATGCATTTGATAGGCTTTCATAAAATACTGATTAACATAGCCTCCGTAACAAGAAGTCCACTTGTTACCAAAAGAAATGTTGAATGGGCCAATCTATTGGTCTTTTCATTGTACCCAGGAAGTGCCTGGCTGATAAAACACTGAAATAGCCATTTCTTATGTGCAGCTTAGGAGCTAGCTTGGGTTTATGCACTGGAGTGAGGGGATGTCCATCATATCAAAGAATGTGACATAAAGTCTAAATCAAAAGCCATCATATGATGTTGTATCCTAAGTTGGCAGAATATTATCATTTGGGAAATGAGAGATAGAAATGAAATTATTCTCACCATCACTTCCAGTAATTTAGTTGAAAAAAATTTGTTCTCCATACTCATGTATAATGGCCTTATAGGTCTAGAGTTCTTCCTTCCCAATGGAGGAATGCTTATACATAGCCATATTAAGAATTCTGTTAAACTTCAAGTTAAACGGTGACCCATTCACTCCTACCTCCATTTTTACCAAGAAACCAGGAGGCAAGGAAAAAAGTTGCAATCTTGGCAAAGGTAATTAATTCCAATTATCAAGAGGTTGCAGAGCTGTTCTAATGTAATGTGTACAGAATTTGTCATTTCAAAACCATGATTATTTCATAGAGTAAATATTGGTACTTTTTATAGAGCTTAAAGTAGACAATAGCATAAATTAAAGTTTATGAATGTGGAATCTTAAGTTCTTAATTTTGATGGTAAATTGACAATGTAGCAGTGAAGAGGTAAGAGGGGTATAATAACCAGGGGCTTAGACACCACTTCATTAATTCTGATTCACCCCACCAGATAAGCAACCTAGAGTAGAGTTGCAAGAAAAAAGTGAAAAAGTGAATGGATCATAAGATGGATGGTAAAAGAAGGAGGTGTTGAATATCAGATAATGCCTCAAAACCAAATGCAGCCTTGGGAGCTATAGTTGTCCCACTAATTTTTCTGAGATAAGTTTCACCAGAAAGGGAATAAACTAGAATCCCTAAGTAGTCACTACTAAACAGGGATAAACTTTTTCAATAAGTAAATGAATTTTAGCAACTCAAAAGAATTGTAGTTAACATCGTGGTAAGCCACCAAGATAAGGATGAAAGCATTTATTCCTCCATTTCCTGGAAGTGTAGACTGCTTATTGTTCACATCGGAGTCTCTCTTCAGGAACTGTCTCCAGCCAAAGAGAGTTTGGAAACATCACTCTTCCTGGGATCAGACCAATCTTAACACTGGTGGCTGTGTAGTTATAAAGTTCATCTTCTTGCCTTAATTTGGACAACTCTACTAGCTCTAGAAACTTCCATGTTATTAGCCAAATACATGATAGTTCAATCTCTCACTCTCTCGCTCTTTCTCTGATTTGCTTTTCTTATTTTCTCATCTGTATAGTTTTTAAGAACAATTCCTAATAAACTTTTCACATACAAACTCCATTTTGGAGTCTGTTGTTTGGAAAAATCTATGTTGGAATTGTGGCTCATAATACTTACCTTAAAATAGTAGATTGTAATTTGATTATAATTGCACTAAAAAAATTTATTTGAAATTTGAATTTTAGAATGTAAGATAGCAATATCTTCTATAACAAAAAGTTATTTGTGTTAGTTTTATGTTGTGCAGCAAATTATGACAACCTCAGTGGCTTATAACAATATTTGTGTATGATCTCACCGCTTCCACAAATCAGAAGTCCAAGTACAGGTTACTGAGTCTTCTATTCAGGGTCTCACCAGGCTTTAGTCAAGTTGTTGGCAAGGGCTGTAATCTGATCTGAGTTTTTAAGTCATCTTTCAAGCTCCTGTTTGTTGGTAGAATTCAGTTCTTTGTTTTGTAAAAGAACTTTACTTTTCTTGTTACTTATCAGTCAATAATACCTGTCAGCCTAAGGAGGATGATACCAGGTTATTCCACATGACCCCTTTCATAGGTTCTCTTTCACCTTGATGGCTTACTTACTCAAGGTCACCAGGTCAAAAGAATTCCTCTGATGCTTCACCTTTTTTTTTTTTTAAGTGCTCTCCTGATTAGGTAAAGCCCACCCAGGAAAATCTTCCTTCTGATTCACTCAAGGCAACTGATTAATAACAAACAACTCATGGGAGAAATATCCCAACATAGTCATAGTTTCTTTTTTTTTTTATACTCAAGGTGCAGGGAGTGTTTTACACAAGAGGAGAGTAATAAAAGTATGAATCATTGGGTGCCAGAATTCTGCCTACCACAATATTTACTTATCTTCCCTTCATCTGATTATGTGATTTTGAAAATGTTGTCCTTAATAAGTTAGAGGATATTAAATTTCACAAATGAACCATAGAGAGCAAATGGAATGAAAGTGCTCAACAATTGTTATTGCCATAATTGAACTGTAGGTAAATTTCTCTGAGAAAGAAAGAAAGTAATGGAGAGCAAGAGTGAGGAAAAATGTAAACAAAAGTAAAGGGGAAAAGGAGGAGAGAAAAAAGAAACAAAAACTTAGACTGAGTTATCTTCTGTAATGCTGTCGGAAAGTTTATTACTTTCCATGATTGCTTACACTAGAAAGACAAAAAGCTAGAAGTGGCAACATTTAAGTTTCCAGAAGCAATTTATGATATAGTATAATGTGTCATCCTTCCCACTTTCATGGTTAATTTTGCAATGTAACGACCAGAGGAAATAAACTCAAAAAATTTATTTTGTCTCTTGGTCCCTGCAGTTTATTCCTTACCATAGCATAGGAGTGATTTGCCAAGTGAATGAGTTCTGCATAAGAAATTGTCCGTGCTCCAACTGTCTCTTGGCATTTGGTTCCAAATTTACCAGCAGAAACGACATCACCCTACTCTGATGTCCAGCCCATGAAGGTTTTTGTGTGGCAAGCCTATGGTTGTCCACTTCTCACTAGTTCTGAATTTGGAAAATAGAAACAAAAATACTAATCACTGGCTCCCTAAATTATCAAAAACCATTAAAAAAGCATTTAGTTCACGTGCATATATAATTATAAAGGCCAAGTGGAAAATTCCTAGAAGATCAAGTCCACATGCTTTATAATTTTGAGAAAGGTTAATAGCTTTAAAATGTTGTGTCTTTCAATTTCTGAATTCTGTACAATTATCAAAGAGATGCATTTTAATCTTTTAATAGTTTTTTTTTTCAACTTTAGTTATGCATGCTTTGCATCTGTTTTCACAGCTGTTAACCACTGTGTCCTCAGATTGCTTTTCTGGACTGCATTTTTTTAAAAAAATTATTTTTCTGTGCTCCTCATTAGCACTCTAATTTTGTGTCATGGAGTGAATTTCCACTTCTGAACTGATGGTATGCTAATTTCCAAAGCCCTGGACATAATTTCCAAAGCCCAAAGCCCTGAGACTTTTGCTCAATGTCATATTTACTGTAAGGCATCAAAGTTTGACTACCAGGTAAATGATTATCTGTTAATATTGGATAAACTAAGTTGCTTTTAGAAGTTTTTTGACATAGCTACTATATCTACATCCTAATTCTATCAAATTCTTAGAGAATAGCAAATTGATGTCCCCATTGTGTTAACTGCATTATTATTTATAGGATTCTATTATATCTCTTCATAAAAGTAACACTAGGTACAATGATAAAGGTGACACAACTATTATTATGCCTACATAACTGAATATATGGTTAATGCATGGCTATTACAAATTTATATTTTAAAGCTATTTCATATTATTTTTGAATATTTACAAAGTCTTATCATTACATCAGTTTTTAACAACATTCTAAGTAGCACTGCTTTTTAGAAATTAGTATTTCAAGGCAAAATTTTAATTATCATCTAGGCTTAGAAAGCGAACCTAATATGGTTTCATAGATTTCTCCCTGTTGTCTCATCTGGCTGCACTGATTTATTGATTAAAATACTTGATAGTCTTTGATCTCTTACAACCTCAATTTATTTTTGCTATATGGTTGATTACTTTTTCTCATCAAAGAGCTAGAGATAGGCATGCTGTACTTGTAATATATATAAATCCAAATGAAACTATAATGCAAAATTTATAAATAACCTAATAAATATCTTAAAAATTAACATGCTTTATGATATGTGGGTAGTTTACAATTCTAAAATATTTATTTGCATTTAGTAAATTTAATGAAAATTAGGAATTTACTGCATTAATGTATCATTCATTTAACAAATATTTTAACTGTATGTATGATGCTAAAACTGAGGTAAATTACAATACTACATTTCAAAAGTTTTTGTATCAAGTGATTTATTCATCATGCTTACTTTATAAAGATGTATGCTGGCCAGGCACCATGGCTCACGCCTGCAATCCCAGCACTTTGGGAGGCCGAGGCAGGTGGATCACCTGAGGTCGGGAGTTCGAGACCAGCCTGATCAACGTGGAGAAACCCCGACTCTACTAAAAATACAAAAATTAGCCAGGCATGGTGGCACTTGCCTGTAATCCCAGCTACTCAGGAGGCTGAGGCAGGAGAATCGCTTGAACCCAAGAGGCGGAGTTTTCAGTGAGCCGAGATCATGCCATTGCACTACAGCCTGGGCAACAGAAGAGAAACTCCATCTCAAAATAAATAAATAAATAAATAAATAAATTTAATTAAATAAAAAAGATGTATGCTGTAATGCACTGCTGTTACTATTTCTAGGTTAAATAAAGTTTTTACTGCATTAAAAAATTACAATTTATATAAAACTCATAACCCTGGAGTCTATGGCAAACTGCTTTTGTTGATTCTCTTCAAAAGCCCATTCATTCATTAATGCATATTCATTCAACAAATATGAAGTTTTATTCTGTGAAAGGTATCCCACTAGACATAAAGATACAACAGTGAACTACATAGCTGTGGTACTTAATTTCATGACATTTCAAGTAGCTAATCAAAAAAACTATATTTTACAAATGTGGAACCTCGAGTTTATACTGTTGAAGCCATGTGTTCAATCTCCAAATCGAATGCATCCTTTCTTATAATTTTATTTTATTGGCACTCCTAGTGCTATTGAGCAGACCGTACCATTTGAGTATATAATACTAACAATAAAACTGTTATTTATTCTTCATTTTGTCCCTGGGTCTACTCCTGTATGAAGATATTCAGAGCAATTGCTTCTTTTTAACACATTTAGTCTATGCCCGTACTTCATACTGCTATAGCCTTGCTTATTAATTTACCCAGTTTTTACATAGATGTGTACCTGGTATGCCTCTCTTTTCCTGCATTAAGACTCTACCTAACTCTCCCAGAAAACACACTTCTTCAATTCCCTATCATCACATAAATAGGTATTTTTCTGTCCACATAGGTAAAATCTACTTTGACCTATTTTTTTCTCACCTTTTGTGGATATTTTCTTTACATTTTTTAATCTGCCTTCAAGAAATGGCTCCTAGTGTATTAAGAAATAAGGCTTTTAAGGGAAAAAATAATTATAGATAGTTATGGAAAAATTTATATCCAAATGTGTTTTTTCATTTTTTTATATATTTTTATTCATGCGGTTTATTGATTGTCAACTTACCATGTGAAATCTCAGCATATAAAAACTTTTAATCTTTATGTATATATTTATTTTATTTTCCTAATGTATTCATTTCAGAAAATGGGCTCCAATATAGTTGTGGCTTCAGTTATTTTCTGGAGAAAAATTTTCCAAAATTCCTAACTCCGTTTTGTATTCTAGAGACAAACCATTGGGGGTGTACATAGGAATCAGAACAATTTTTTATGTATTCAGAGTCAGACTTATAATTGACCTTCTAAGATTATTTTCATATCAGCTTCCTCTTTGCCAATACATTTCCATTTTTTCTATTTTGAATATTTGTTCTCATTCATGTCTGCGTAATACTCAGCACCAACACTTGTCATTTCTTTCTTTATGCGTTTCACCTTATTTATAGCCATGTGTGAACATAAAATAAACAATGGATGTTCTACTTTACTAGACATATTTAATTCTAAAAATACAAGTACATTTCCCCTTTCATAATTTGAATAGTTATACTATTTGCTCATTAAACCAAACTCTTATGGTAACTTTAAAGATACTTTTAAGTAGTTAATAACTTGGTTATTAAAAAGACAGGAGACAAATTAATAAATAATATTTCAAATTTACAGAATTAGATTGTTCTGATGAAAAAACTTACAAAGATAGAGATTTAAAAAACCTAATCATTTTCTTTCTCCTAACTTGAAGATTTTAAATATTTGCTTATGATTATTGAAATATCATGTCTAATATCCATATAATGAATTTAATATGTTCTCTTTTGTTGTTTTTGGTCTCATTAATAAATACTTAAATAATAGGAAAAATGCATTAGTCTCTTGGATTTACTTAATAATATGTCAGCGATCTTCTGATCCTCTGATTTTCTAGGTTATATTTTGGAAATTTACTTGTAAGTTCAGTCACTGCTTACAGAAAGGGGAATATATGAGACTTCGAGCCTGATTCCTCTTAAGAATAATGTCTAATTCTTTTTAAAATAATGGAGAAGACATAAACAAGAACATTATAATTTTTGAACAAAATAAATATTTCAATAAGATAGTGAAGATTAGAATTTATCCTTGGTTGGTTGAATGCACCCTTCCTTTTTCATAGCAACACCGTGGATCATTTTTAATTTGTAGATATAAAACAAAATCTACAATCTAAATGGAAAGATAAAGTGGTTTGCTTAGTAATATGAAACGTTGAGTATGGGCAACATTTTATATCTGTAATCTGTAAGTTATTCATCTGAAATTTACAATTATGAATGTAGTATTCATTGAACTTGAAAATCATTGCTAATTCTGTGTGTATGTTGTGTGTATGCATTTATGCACTTCCACAGTTGCACAGACCTGTGTATGAGACTGTTCGGGTTCAAAAGATTTCCTGAAGGAGATTAAAAGCACAACTGAAAGAGAGTAAAACAGAAGTGGATATGGATCTTTACCCCAAGCTGGTAAAGGAAAAAAAGAATCTTGTCTTTGATTTTCAAGGTCTAGTGTGGAATCTACTATTAAGGTTCTCAAATATCTATTAGGTATTACACCACAGTGAATAATTATGTATTAATAAAAAAATGCTATTACTTGAATGGTTGTGTCCCTTTACAATGTATATGTTGAAATTCTAACCCCTAGCTGGTGATATTAGGAGGTCGGGCTTTGAGGAAGTGATTAGGTCATGAAGGCAGAGGCCCTTCGAATGGGATTAATGCCCTTATAAAAGAGGCCTAAGGGATCTTATTTGTTCCCTTTCACTATGTCAGGACACAGTGAGAAGGTCTCATTTATGAACCAGGAAACAAGTCCTAACCAGACATCTTGATTATGGACTTCCCAGCCTTCTGAACTCTGACAATATTAGCACAAATGGAAGTTAAGAAAACACATGGTAGTAGATAGAGGTACTCTTGGAAAAAATATATTAACATTATTTTCTGTTTATTATTTCATCCTTTGTTATAATCTTAGACAATATAAACATATGTGCATCTTTCATAATATAACTTGACCATGCTGTGTAGATAAAGTTATAGTAGTAAACTAATTTTATCATTAAAAAGTAAATCTAAGTTTAACTTCTTAAAAATTGATGTTTTATATATATATGAAAGTTTATAAACTTGCATGTATTTAGTACTGAAAATAGTTTACATATATCATTATGTACATGTTAGATGACGTGTTTGTGCAAAATAAAAAACTTGTAATATTCTATTATTTCATAATAATGACATAATTTGGTTTACAAATGAAAATTTTACAATATACATTCTGAACTACATATAATCTTCTATTAACAATAATGCAAAATATGCTTATTATCTCATTAATCCTTAACTTAAACTTTCAATCCCCTTCTTTTAGAAGTTCTTAAATTAAAGGTGTATTACGTTGTCAGCTAGGTGTGGTGGCTCATGCCTGTAATCCCAGCACTTTGGGAGGCCGAGGCAGGAGGATCACTTTATGTTAGGAGTTCGAGACCAGTCTGGGCAACATGGAGAAACCCCATCTCTACTAAAAATACAAAAATTAACTGGTCGTGGTGGTGCATGCCTGTAATCCCAGCTAATTGGGAGGCTGAGGCTGGAGAATTGCTTGAACCTAAGAAGCGAAGTTTGCAGTAAACCAATATCGCACCACTGCACTCCACCCTGGGCAACAGAGCAAGACTCTGTCTCAAAACAAAACTCCATCTCAAAAAAAAAAAAAAAAAGAAAAGAAAAGAAAGGAAGAAAGAAAGATAAAGTATTGAATTCTCAAGTTTGAAAACATGAATTGACTTACAAAATCAAATAAAAATATTTTGATTCTATATTAAAATCTTCAGTTAAAGGCTTTTGAAGAAGATAGGGAATTAATTAATAGAATTAGAAATATTTCAAAAGCAGAGTACTTTTAGAAATAAATTATTGTAATAGTAGTAGATAACATTCTCTGATTTTTATGGCAATCATATAAGCAATTTGCTTGTCTCCCTTTTAATTCTGTCTATACACTTTACCCCTCACGGCAATTTTAAAATAGAGATCAAACCTGCTTTTATTAATAATGTGAATGAATGCTTTTCAAAATCACTACACCACACAAAAGTTATGAATGACTGACAAATATTCATGAATTTGACACCATTTTATTACACAAAAAATTTATAGTGTATTCTGAAATTGTTACCATGAAAAGTGATTTAGGGCCTTTTTTCTCTTATTGTTCATAGGAAAAAAATCTAATATTTAATATACTTATGTCAGTTTTTAAAAATAACAAATAAATTGAACATTAGTGAAATTACACAACTCATGTCTAAATTGTCAATATTGCAAAACATTTTTAATTATTTAAGTACGTTTACTCTGTTCTTATACTAAAAACGGTTTTCATTCTCTTGTTTCTATTAAAATAATTCTAATGTACTAAAATTATTTAATGATTTATATGACTTCAGTGTACTTCTATTTTTTTAAATTATAAAGAAATATATTTGTTTATGTATAAGGTGGTCTAGATTCATTGGATTAGAATTAAAACACTACTATTATCAGATTTTCTTTCAATAAGCCTTGAAATAAGGCATGCAATGTTTTATAATCAAGTCATCTATTTTCCATAAAATTATGAATTATCAATGTCTGAATTTATATCAATTTTAAGATAGAACTAGTAGAAATATACTTTATTAAGTATAATAAAATATTCTAACAATAGTTTTGACATTTAATTGGTAATTTGACATAACAAAAGCTAATCAAGAAATACATAAAAATAATTTCAAATTCCCAGAGAGATTTGGAAAAATCAGTTACTTACAAAGGACAATAAAAGCTAAATTGAAGGAAGAAATGGGAAATAAATCTATTTAATATTATATGTTAAAATCCTACAAATCATTATGGTTATAAAATCACTAACGAAGGTAGTATATCAGTGTATCGTAGTAAACACAAAGTTATAATTAAAAGTTGAAGAGATACATTATATTTTATCTCTCTGGGGTTCAACTTCGAGTTTTAAAAAATGACTCAGAGGAGCAAAGTTTTTTTGCAATTTTACTTTGTTGGTTGTCCTAAATAAATATCTTCTTTATTGTATACTTGAAGTTTGCTTGTAGAGTAGATTTTAAGTGTTCTCACCACAAAAATGGTGATTATAAGGAGATGGATATGTTAATTAACTTGGCTGTGCTAGTCATTCACCATGTATATGCATATCAAAGTAGCATACTGTATACCTTAAATATATGTAATTTCCATTAAAAAAGAAAGAAAAAATGCTCAGAAATAGTTTATTTAAAGAAAAGTATATTTATTAAGATATAAAACATGCAGATAAATATGGCCAAGAAATCTATAAACAAAGTGTTTAGTCAAGCTAAAATTTATGACAAGTTAATGCTTTACTTGGCTTAAATTAGAAAGTCTTAATAGATTTAAAGAAATCTTGTTTTAAAAATGAAATGATTATAGAACTTAAATGCTTTAAGCCACTAGAATATTTTACATTATTTTTCAGTTGTGGGTTGTTTTAAATGACAGTTTTATTGAGAAATAATTGTCCCAACATAAAATCTATACTTTTAAACATACAATTCAATTTTGAAAATATATTCAGAGTTGTGTAACCTTCAACACTATGTCACTATATAAAAATTTTAACACCTGAAAACGAACCCCTATACTCATTAGTTAGTTACTCCTAATTTTCCCCTATACCCATGCCCCGTAAATCACTAATCTACTTTCTGTTCCTATGGATTTTTCTATTCTGGACATTTAAATGTAATCATACAACGTGAGGCATTTTGTGTCTAGATTATTTCCCTTAGCATAATGACATAATTTATTTTTAATTTAGTTTAAAGTATGGCTATGTTATAGCATGCATATTTCATTCATTTTAATAGACAGAATATTCCATTGTATGGACATACCACGCTTTACGCATAAGTCAGTTTAAAGATATTTGTGTTACTTACACTTTTTGACTATTACAAAGAGTGTGTATATTTTTCTTGGGTATATGCCTGGGGTGGAATTACAGGGTCATATGGGAAATCTCTGATTAACTTTCATAGAATTTTCAGTTTTTCAAAGTGGCTGCATATTTTCAATCTAGCAGTGTATAATGGGTTCTATTTCTACCAACACTCCTCTACATTTTATTGTTTGTTTTATTTGTTTTAGCCATCCTAGTGTGTGTGAAGTGGTATTTCATTGTGATTTTGATAGTGATATTGAGCTCATTTTCATGGGCTAATGTGCCATTTGTTTGTCTTCTTTGGAATAATGTATATTATTGACATATAATTGGCAATTTTATTTAACAAAAAACTAAACAAATCTTTTACCCTTCAGGTCATTTACCCAAAAATTGCTGTTGTTTAAGAATTATATATTTCGGAATTAAGTACCTTTGAAAAGATACTTTGTAAATATTTTATCCTATGCTTTGAGCCATCTTTTGATTGTGTAGACTTGTCCTATAAAGCACAAAAGTTGTTTTGCTTCTTTTTTTTAATTTTGGTTATGCCCATTTACCTATTTTTCTTTTCTCACTTGTACTTTTGATGGCACACATTAAAAAAAAACCATTGCTTAATTCAAAGTCATGAACATTCACTTCTTTTTTTTTTTGAAGCTTTTTTTAGTCTTAAATCTTACTCTCAGGTCAGTGTTTAACTTTCAGGTGATTTTTGTATATTGTGTGATATACACTGCACATTTAGTCTTTTGCTTGTGGATACTAGATTGTCCCGTGAAGGTTTGTACAAGATTTGTGCAGGGTGTATTAAAAAGTATCACAGAAATAAATTGGAGAAAACAGAAATAAATGAAAAAACTCACAAGATTCATGAATTGGAAAAATTGATATCGTTAAGATGGCAATACTTCTCTAATTGATTTACAAAGTCAAAGCAATTTATACCAAAATCTCAGATAGTTTGGCAGAAACTGATAAATTAATCACAAATTAGGAAACTCGGGGAACCCTGAATATCAAAAATTGACCAAATAACCCTTTAATAAACAAAATTAGAGTGCTCACACTTCCCAATTTCAGAATTTACTTTATGGTTACACTAATTAGGATAGTATGGCACTGACATTTGGATGGATATATAGAACAATAGAATAGAATTAAGATTGTATTTCTTCTTAGGTCAGTTTTGGCACTAGGTATCTTTGTATAGGTTATTCATATCTTTTAGGTTACCTAATTTGTTAGTATAAAATTTTTCATAAAAATACTGTATAACTTTTTTTATATCTGTAATGTCAGTAGCGATGCCTCCTGTTTTAATCCTGATTTTAAGTCTTTCTTTTTTCTTGATCAGTCCAGCTAGATTTATGAATTTTCTTGATTTTCCAAGAAATAAAATTTTATTGATTTTTTCTATTATGGATTACTTTCTCTTTTATTTCTATGTTTATATTTATACTTTCTTTTTTTTCTAGTTTCTTAAGTAGGAAGAGTAGAAAGCCACATTTCTTATCATTTTCGCTCTATTCTTCAAGTTTTGGTGCATTGTGGTTGTATTCTCATTTATCTCAAAGTATTTTTGAATTTTACTACTGATTTCTTCTTTGACTCATTTGTTACTTAGTAGTATGTTAATTTGTACATTTTTATAAATTTCCAAATGTCTATCTATAATTGATGTCTAATTTCATTTCACTGTGGTTCAAGAATATACTTTGTATAATGTTAATCCCTTACAATTTTTAATTTATTGAGACCCTTTCTAATGACTTAATATATGGCCTATGGCAAATGTTTCCTGTGCCCTTAAGTGAATGTTTATAACTCTTTTACTGACTGAAACAAAATAAGCCAATTAAGTTTCATTGGTTTATATTGTATCTTAATCTATGTGTGTTGCTGTAAAAGAATATATGAGGCTGGGTGATTTATATATAAAAGAGGGTTATTTTGCTCACAGTTATGTAGGCTGTACAGGAAGGTTGGTGATGGCATCTGAATCTAGTGAGAGACTCAGGCTGTTTCTACTCATGGCGGAAGGTGAAGGGGAGCCAGTTTGTGCAAATCATATGGCAAAAGATGAAGCAAGAGCGACAGAGTGGAGATGCCAGACTCTTTTTAACAATTGGCTCTCAAGAGAACTAGCAGAGTGAGAGCTCACTTATCCCCAACCCAGGGAAGGAATTAATCTATGAGAATCCAACCCCCTCATAACTCAAACACCTCCCATTAGGCCCCATCTCCAACCTCAAGGAATCAAATTTCAACCTGAGGTTTGGGAAAACAAACATCCAAAATATAGAATATTGCTTTTCAAATCTTGTTTTTCCTCTTTTCTTCCACCTAGTAATTTTTCGAAGTGCATTAGTTAAGCCTCTGTTATGGTTTGGCTGTGTCCCCATCCAAATCTCATCTTGATTTGTACTCCCACAATTCCCACATGTTGTGGGAGGGAGCTGGTGGAAGATAATTTGAATCATGGGGACAGTTTCCCCCATATTGTTCTTGTGGTAGTGAATAAGTGTCATGAGATCTGATGGTTTTATCGGGGGTTTCTGCTTTTGCATCTTCCTCATTTCTCTTGCCGCTGCCATGTAGGAAGTGCCTTTAACGTCCCGCCATGACTCTGAGGCCTCCCCAGCCATGTGGAACTTTAAATCTAATTAAACCTCTTTTTCTTCCCAGTCTGAGGTATGTCTTTATCAGTAGTGTGGAAACAGGCTAATACATCCTCCAACTATTACTGTCAAATTGTTTATTTCTCCAATGAATTCTGTCCGTTTTTGCTTCATGTATTTTAAGCTTCTGTGGCTAAGTGCATATATCTTCATAATTATAAATTATAAACTGCTAGTGAATTGACTCCTTGTGATTTGGCACTTTCATCATTTTAAATTTCCTTCTTGGTCTCTAAAACAATAAAACAATGTTTTTCTTAAATGTTACTTTTTTCGTGATATTACCATTATTACTCCAGCTCTTTTTTTGTATGTTCCACGGTCTATGATTTTTCAGTTCTTTCATTTTCAAGCTATTGAATCTAAAGTTTGTCTCCTGTAGAAAACATATACTTGGGTTATTTTTTCTGATTCTTCTAATCCCTGTCTTTCAATTGAAATGTTTAGTTCGATCACATTTAACAAAACTATTATTTTGCTATTTGTTTTTTGTATGTCTGATGAATTTTTAAGTGTTAGTCCTCCATTTTTTCTTGTGTTAAATAAATATTTATTTTCTAAAATACCATTTTAATTTCCTTCTTTTTTTACATGTTTGTGAGCTATTTATTTAGTGGCTTTCCTGATAATTAAAATTACGAACTTAGTTTAATCCAATTTCAATTAACACAAACTTAATTTCAAATTATACAAAAAATTGCGGTAGTATAGCTCTATTTCCTCTCTTCTATCATATCATTGTCATGCAAATTATATATTTATGCATTATCAACCTTTCAGCTTAGTTTTATACTTATTACTTTATTATTGTTTTTTAATACAAATAGCAAGATAAATTATTTACAAAAAAATACATTAATATAGTGTTTTATATTTATCTGTGTAATTATACTTACCAATGCCGTTTATGTCTTCATAAAAATTTGAGTTATAGTCTACTGTCCTTTCATTTCAGGAAAAACTGTTTTTAGTATTTTTTGCAGGATGTGTCTTCTAGTGATAGAATCTCTGGGTTTTGTTTATATGGAAATCTTTCTGTTTCTCTCTCCTCTGTGTGTGTGTGTGTGTGTGTGTGTGTGTGTTATTTTTAAGGATAGTTTCAATGAATAAAGAACTGCTGGTTGGCAGTCTTTTATGATGTGGAATATGTCATCCACTGCATTAGAAAACTGACTGGTTTCTAAAGAAAAGTCAACTGATGATCTAATTGAATTGATAATCTCTTTTAAATGATGAGTTGCTTTTTCTCTTACTCTGTTCAAGTTTTTCTTTTTGTCTTGGTATTTGGCAGCTGACTGTGATCTGTATATGTATGGATCTGTTTGTGTTGATCCTATTTGGGGTATCCTGAGCTTCTTTGGTGTACAAATTAATGTATTTTTTTAATTTGTGAAGAAGTACTGTTTTTTTTTTTTCAAATATTCTGTATCTCCCTTTCTCTCTATCCTCTCCTTTTAAAATTCCCATGATGCCTGTGTTAGAACTATTGTTGGTGTCCCAAAGTTCTTGGGCTTGTGTTTTATTATTATTATTCATTCTTTTTTCTTTCTCTCCTGTGCATTAAACAAAGTCAATGGACCCATTCTGAATATACTGATTCTCTGTTATGTCAATTAGAGTATGATGTTGGGCCCTTTTTTTTCAGTTATTTTACTTTTGACTTCCAATATTTTTATTTATTTCATTTTTATAACTTCTATCTCTTGATGTTCTGTGTTTGGACAGACATTATTTTCATGCTGTTCTTCATTCCTTAGGCATGGTTTCCTTTCTTACATATATTTTAATAACTGACTTAAAGAATTTCTCTAGTATTCCTAACACCTGGCCTTTCTTAGAGAATTTTCTATTAATTTTTTTTTCTTGAATGTTAGTTAGAATTTCCTATTTCTTTTCACATCTTGGAAGTTTTTGTTGAAAATTTTCATTTTAAATAATATATTGTGGCAATTCAGGAAATCAGATCTTGCTCCCTGCACCTTTAGGTTAAAAGATACTTAAAATTCTTGAACCAATTAGGTTCTCAGCATTTGCCAAAGGGGTGTGCGTGTGTGCGCGCCTATGCTTGCGTTTGTGTGTGTGTGTGTGTGTGTGTGTGTGTGTGTGTGTATGAGTCTGTGTCCTGATGATTATAATTTTGGCAATCATTTGTGCCCTCATTATGACAAACAGTTTTTGTTTGGCCAAACTTTATTTAGGTTTCTGAAACTTCTAGGCTCATCTGTGTTCTCCTTTGTAAAATTCAGTTTTAGGAGAGAACCCTGCTAAGTCAGTTATCAGGATTCCCCAACCTTTATATCTGATCATCCTTAATATCTGATCAGATTCTTCATTTTCCACCATCTTTTAGGTGATATCTGATCACCAGGCCTGTTTTCAGCAAGAATCCTCTTAAGTGAGTTTAGCCAGAATCTTCTTTATTGCTGATATTTCTTCATAGTAATGTTCTATTCACTGTGGTCCTTGGCTATAAATTTCCACTTGCCAATGCTGTGTTTAAAGTTGAGCCCAATCTCTTTTTCCCACTGCAAAACCCCACTGCAGTAGTCCCTATATCCATTGCAACGGACCTGAATAAAGTCGTTTCACCATTATTTAACAAGGATCAATGGATAATTATTTTTTAAAAATTTCTTTTGTGGAGGACCATATTTTTCTTACTTCGCTATTCCTGAAATGCTTCCAGCCTCCAAATTTGAGAAATATTTAATAGATATTCCTAAGTTTAAGAAAATGCTCAAGGGCCGGGCGCGTTGGCTCACGCCTGTAATCCCAGCACGTGGGGAGGCCGAAGCGGGCAGATAAGGAGGTCAGGAGATCAAGACCATTCTGGCTAACATGGTGAAACACCATCTCTACTAAAAATACAAAGCAGTTACCCGGGCGTGGTGGCAGGCACCTGTAGTCCTAGCTACTCGAAAGGCTGAGGCAGGAGAATCACTTGAACCTGGGAGGCGGAGCTTGCAGTGAGGCGAGATGGCACCACTGCACTCCAGCCTGCAATAGAGCAATACTCCATCAAAAAGAAAAAAAAAAGCTCAAATATTTCATATGTCATAATGAATTTATCTAGGAGAGGATTCACAAGAAGAATATATTACTAAGATGATGAATTGCCTATTATTATTATTATAATGTAGCAGCAGGTTCATTGTGTACAGCAATGATCTACAACCAAGTCATTATATAGAGCCCAGTAGTGAATAATTTAGATTATTCTATGAATCTGGGTATCTCAAATAACTTTTAATCTCTAAGTAATTGCCAAAATATTTTCTGAAGTATTATAAAAATGGTGATGTAATGAAGATGGCAGCTGGTTAAATTAAAAAAATATATATTTTCCTCAGAGTCTTTACTTTGTGGAAAAGAAACAGTATAAGACAAATGCTCAAGCATTTTCCTGGATTGGTTATAACATTTTGAAGACAACAAAGCAAACCAGCAGTAACAAGAAAATATTTTGAAATCAAAAATGATAGAGAATGCTATGCTAGGGAGAAAAATTTTCATTTAATAGAAGTTAATGTACTTCATTAAACAACAATGGTCTTCATAACTAAAAATTAGCCTAGCACATAAATAATTAAACCCTTTTATTTAGAAAGCAATTTTGAGTTCCTCCTTTTGTAAAGCATTTTACTTATCCACATACCCTACTTTGGAGGATTGCTTATTCTGCATGAAAACCAATTGTGAAAGCAAAAAACAATAACTGAAATTCAAGTAACAAGTAACTAATTCAATTGGCTTCTGTGAAAGTCCTTAAAAATAAATAGAATTTTCCTAAGCAAATTACTGGGAGAATATTGAGAAAGAGTACATTGTAATCAAAAGCACAGATATGTAGAAGAACACGGCATGTTGAAGACATATAAAAGATGGTCAAGTGTGAACCTAACCAAAGGCTGTGCTCAAGGAGATAAAGCTAGGGTGGTAGGTAATGGCTAAAATATAAAAAGTCTTACAAACAAAAATTCTTCCACCTACTTCTCCAATCATGTTTATTATAGATCTGCATTATATAATTTCACACAGTGGCTTATTCTCAAATAATAAAACCTTCAAACTTAGAATATCACATTTATATTTAGAAATGACAAGGAAGGAAACTGGAAGAGATTTTATAGGGCACAATGATAGATATTAGGCTATGGTGTGTTACATTTTCTGTAATATGTTTACATTAATTTTACATAAAAATGGATTCCTTCTGAGATATTTATAAAATCATATCAGGAAAGTCAATAACTAAGGCTTTCTGTCTTTAGCGTTAATGAAATATTGTTACTATGTGCTGCCTGCAATTTAAAACAATTCCTTCAAAATACCCCTTTAAATATATTTATGGTTAATTATATACATAATTCTAGAGTACAGGGTCAATGTGAAAAAATAAAATAAAAATATGAATTAAATGTTGAGGTGCAT
This sequence comes from Homo sapiens, assembly GCF_000001405.40. Taxonomy (NCBI): domain Eukaryota; kingdom Metazoa; phylum Chordata; class Mammalia; order Primates; family Hominidae; genus Homo; species Homo sapiens. The sequence continues at coordinate 64,094,931 of NC_000004.12, forward strand.
ATAATCTCTTTTTTATTAGTTTTATATTCTGTGAAACAAATTACCAGAAGTTTAATAGATGATTAAAACAAAAAAAATATTATCTCACATCTTCCATGGGTTAGGCATCTGGTATATTTCAAATAAATCTTCTGCTCAGTGCCTCCATATTGCAAATGTATTAAATTTGTCTACATATTATGATATTTTGACATATTAAAAAGCCTTTCTGACTGGGGAGAATCTGCCTTTTAAGATTGGTCAGCTCTTAAAGATTACAAGGGGCCCAGTAAGGAGTATGTCTTTGATAATCAAACTAACCAAGCTGAATCCATACACCCCCCCATCTGTCCCATATACTCCAGGAGACAATATTCCTCTGCTTTAATCATCCTAGGCCCTTGTACCTGGACCACCCCTACCACCCAAAACCTGCCCATATGATTCAAAATAGCCAATCTCAAACTGTTCACACTGTGCTGTCTTACCTTTCCCTGGAAAATTCCAATTAAGGCAATGGCCTAAAACTTCCCCTAGCTCTTGTTTTCTGCCTTCTGACTCCACCCAGGCATCTTTCTCATGTGGCCCTGCATGGCATGTCTCTAGGACCTGTGAGTATAACAAACTTTTTTTTTTTTTTTTTGCCTCTTCTCTGTCTCCTTTTGTGACTGCATCTGACTCACTATCTCATAAAAAAAAATATATAAAACAGTCTCACAGGCTGGAATCGTGGTATGAGTTGGCTGGGTCCTCATCTGGCAGTACTAGAGAAAGATCTGGTGCATGCTCCCTCAGGTTGTTGGCAGAATTTATTTTCTTGAAGCTGCAGGCCTGATGTCTCCTTATCTATTGTCTGTGAACTGAGTACTACTCTCTGTTTCTAGAGACCACTTTCAGTTTCTCACATGTTACCCCTTCCATAGGTCGTCTCACAACCTGGCAACTTACATTTTCAGGACCAGTAACAGAATTTCTCTTATGCTTCAAATCTTCCTTCAGGCTGGACATTGTCCATTTTAAGGACATAACTGATTAGATAGAGCAACATTTTGATTAACTCAGCTTAACTGGTTTGGGCCACAACCCTGGGCATGATATCTCATCATATGTACAGGTTTTGCTAAATTCAAGAGGAGGGTATTATATAGAGGGTCGGCATGAGGGAGAGGAACATTAAAGACAATCAGAATTTTGCCACTCACATCTCATATTCTACCCAGATATAACTAATGTTATCTATCTATCATCTATCTATCTATCCATCTATCTATCATCTATCCATCATCTATTTCTTTCTCTGAATGCAGTAGTATTCCTTCATCCTTTATCCATGTGGAATACTTTCCGAGACCCCCCACACTCACAAAAATTCAATAATTACACTGGGAAATTGTGGAGCAAATATTGCCTGGAAAAGACTGGCCTTTTCACTCAAGATCTTGACCTTTACACACCAATTTAATGACTGATTTATCACCGTATCAGTCAGTAATAGTGCTTCCTAATAGCAAAATAGCTTTATAGGAACATGAAGTACCAACATCATTAGGTATCAAAATTTTAAAAACTTAACGAAGGTGTTTCATGAATGAGATACCTTCTGGAGTGTTACTTTATGTTATTTTTTTGACAGATGTTTCAAACAACCTGGTGCATCTAAGTGCTTTCAATGTCAAACTGAAAAATTTATGCCTAAGACCACATTAGTGAACTAAACAAAAATCTCATCGTAAAAAGTAAAACTTTGGTTAATTAAAACTAAAGATAGAAGAAAATGCTAATTTTATTTTTTTCTCAATCAGAAAGGGTAGCATATTCAAAAAATAAACTTTTAATCATACAAAAGAATACAATTCCATACACTGATGGTTCAGGATAGACACCAGATATCATAAGTCTTATAACATCAAATAGTATAAAGAAAAAAATAATGGAAACTTAATAGTATAACTCATTGCTTTCTAAACAGCATAATTACTCTGTAATTATGCTTTTATGTAATTATGTTTAATATGTAATTACTCTGTTTTGGTGTTATAACTTTGAGAGATATAATTAAAGAGATATTTTCATATATACTGAACTTTGGGGTATATCTTATGAATGGAAAAGTGTTTTAAAACCATTTTTTAGCAAACATAAGTAGATACTGCTGTGTGTTTCCCAAATCCCTGCTTGAGAATGGAGGCACTCAATCCTGGAGCATTACTTCCTATGGACTCAAAACTTCTTACTCTGGAAATTGCCATTGGTGGAATAAAGCAGCCTCACTCAAGTATGTCACCTTGGAGGCATACCACATTCAAGTCACTGACTGATAGGAAGTAATAAAGGTAAGGTCCCCTTGGCTTAATTGGGACAATTCAGAAAGGCCTTCTAGCTGATAGATTTTCTGGAAGTTAGCTGAGGACTATTCACAGATATAGCAAAAGTCAACTTGTGGCTCTTTCCATCCTGCTTCCTTCGCTCAGTCATGGATATTGCTGCTAATAGTATTGTTCCATAAACTTTCTGCATGCAAATCTCTTTCTTTTACTTTGTTTCCAGAGCACCTAGCCTTGGAGACAGAACATGTAGAATTAACCTGAGAGGAAAAGTAAGAAACTCTGCAAGTAGCTAAAACAATGTTTTCTATCAAACCCAGCTTATGTTGTTAGATTGTGAAAGTATATCAGTCCTAGAAAACATATTTCAATTACTTACTTTCATATTTACTTTCACATTTCAATTATCTTTAGTGTAGTGTAGTGGTTGAGGGCTCTGGCTCTGAAGGTAGACTTGGGTGTGAATGCAGAATATAGCACTCACTAAATCTGTACCTAGACATTTGCAGCTTCATAAGAATATGATGGCAAGAGAAATGTATATAAAGCTCTCAGCATAGCACTCAATAAAAATAATAAAAATAAAATCATTGTCAGATACAATTGCTATTATTAATAATTATAATATGAATGTGACAAATTATGCATAATTTTAACAATATATTAATGGACATAGACTCACAGACTAGACCGATATATCCTTTTTTCATAATGTATAAGATATTTGCCTAAAACAGTAAACATGCTTTATTTAAAGTTGAAATTTCCATAATTATGAACAGCCTATTTTAATATAGTTTTAATTTGAAAACACTTCTCTGTACTGTTGGGATAGAAGACATGCATTAAAAGTATTCATGGTAGCAGTATACAGGTCTTCTCTTAAATTGCAATTAAAGGCTATGCTTTAATAAAAGTCTATTCCTATTAGGTTTTAATACCAAAATGTAATGTCTAAACTGTTATACATGGCTTGTTTGATAAACGTTTTAGCTTAGATTATAGCATTAAGGCATTAAGCTTTAGTATCCTGTAATCTTCCCTTTAATCCAAATAATAAAATATCTGAGTTAAAATCCACAAATAGTAAAGAAGGTTTATCCAGAAACAAAAAAACTAAGTAAAAGTTCATAAGAAACAGATCAGTGGCAAGGGAAGTTGCTTAGAATAATAAGATGGTATATTCAGACCCTCAAATGTTTTTGTTTTCCTAATGGTGCCATGAAGAACCAGTTAAAGAGTAAACACTCACCACTACTTTAAGTTTTCACCTTAATTGAAGAAATGCAGCCCTATTATATTTCTTTAACCAAATTATGACATACTACGTAAAGCAACAGTACCATTTTCCTCAGCCATCATCACTAATATTGGGGAAACAATTTAGTCATTTATTGGGGTAGTAGTTCTTTGTTACATATCTCTAGTATTGAACCAACATTTGGAGTATTATCAGAGGGTTCTTAAAAGAAACTTCTTGTGCCTGCCTGGACCGATGGAGGAGGAAGATATATACCAGTCGATTTCATTAGCGCATTAGTGCGGAAGACTAGTAGTCAGAAAACACTTCTCAACCCTCAAAGGCCCCTCAGCCCCTTTTCTAATAACGTTGAATCAGAGGTATAAATGAGCAAGGAATTCAACAACTTTACAGTATTTTTGTGATTGTTTACAATGTTTATTTGTTTCCTTCTTTAAAAAAAAGTAATAGAAGTCCTAAATAAGAATTTTAAAAAATGGGTAAGGGAGCCGGGTGCAGTGGCTCACGCCTGTAATCCCAGTAATTTGAAAGGCCGAGGCGGGTGGCTCACCTGAGTTCAGGAGTTCGAGACTAGCCTGGCTAACATGGGGAAAACCCGTGTAGTAAAAAATACAAAAAAATTTAGCTGGGTGTGGTGGCGGGTGCCTGTAATCCCAGCTACTGGGGATGCTGAGGCGGGAGAATTGCTTGAACCCAGGAGGCGGAGGTTGCAGTGAGCTGAGATTGCACCATTGCACTCCAGCCTGGGCAACAAGAGCGAAACTTCGTCTCAGTAAAAAAAGAAAAGAAAAAGAAAAAGTGGCTAAGGGAGGGAGATGGAGAGGACAATTTATAAACAAAAACTTCTGAGAAAACCTGTAATAAACATGAGTGGCATCCAGCTTACTATCAGGAAATTGCTTATTTTACAGAGACATAGATAAGCACCATTAATGTGTGGGCAAAAAGACCATGCAAAGTAACTCTTCCCTGATTCTTACTGCTTTCAAAGTCCATCTGCACTACTCAATATCTCAGAATCCCTCTTCCTGTTCAATCCTTTTCCTTTCCCATTGAAAAGACTGAAGAGCAACTTATGTCAAAATAGGAAAAGTCTCAAAATGATGTGCCATTTTTCAATTAATTTAAATATTGTTTTAATTATGATTATGCCTACTTGGTGACAGAAATTGATATTTATTTTTTAATCAATAAAACATTTGGATTATTCAGATTATGCAATAAATTTTCAAAATCATTTCTTTATTTCTATTGAAATGATTCTGACTATGAAATAATAAATAATGCATGCAATTGTATAAGTTTAATCATAGTGTGACTAGACATTCAGTTGTATTAGAAACATGAGTAAAAGTTGTGTTTTATACTGACTTTAAATATTTTACACTTTTCTATTTTTTTTATGTTTCTCATCTTATTCTTTTAATCACTCGTATCATTTTCTAACTTCTTTATTCCGTCCTTTTAATTTCAAACAATATTTTCAAAATTGCTTATTTTTAAACATTGTCAATAAATAAAGGGACAAAAATATGGAAAATGCCTCATAAGATGTCCTTATTTCTTCTAAATTGACCATTTTAATTATAATATCTCAATTATAATTAATTAGTAATATATTGTATTATACCAGATATATAAGAAACTGGAGATACATATGAAAACCAAAATGTAGGTAATTTGAAAAAAATTGAGATTTTAACTGTCATTTTTACAAGTAGAAATACTAGCAGAAGTAATCATTATTTATTCAATATTTAAATATTCTTTCATGATTTCTGTAATTCTGGTGATACATTATTTGACTGTTACATTATTTTGCTGTAATGTTGGAAATCTCAATGTATCCTGAATAGAAACATATTCACCTGAATCTGAGATTAGTTATTAGTACACTTCATGCCATAACATGCCCTAGATAATGTGAAGAAAATTTAGCCAATGTAAATTTGCTTACTTGCAGATTAGGAAATATGAAATACATGATTATATCTACTAAATATTCTGAAACAAATATAAAAAGATTATATTATATATAGATAGATATAAGTGCTGGAGTCTCATGATCAACTCTAAGTTAAGTTCAGGGCAGATTGTATTTATCATTTTTTCAATTGTATTTTAATTTGGTGCTTAATTTTTTAAAATTAAAACTCTGCATTTTAGTGTAAGATGGTAGAAAGGATCTAGCAAAACTTTCCGAAATGATTATGAAATTACATAATTTTAATGTTAATTAAATTATTTATTCCTAGAGAGCCTTTAATATAACAACGATATAGGGCTATCTTAATTAAATTAAGTACATTTATTTTATTAAATCAGTGTATTTCAGCCACCTTGAAATTTAGGCTCTGCCATTTGATGTCCATTGGAGTTTCCAATAATTTCAGATTCTCTCCAGTTGTTAAAGATCTACATAAGGGTCAGAATTTTACTTTTATTTCTAATTCACACTTTATATAATACTATCTTAAAGATGTTATTTTCTTTGCATTATGTCATGCCTTAGTTGGCTAAACTTTTGATCTTTTTTTCACACGGATTATCTGGTTGGCCAATCTTGACATTAATAAGGCATATTTTAAAAGTTAATATAATAATAAATAAATAATATAAAGCTTACTATTTTACGACACACTAAGTCATAAAAGCTTTTTTATTTTTTTTGAGACAGAGATTTGCTCTTGTCACACAGGCTGGAATGCAATGGCGTGATCTTAGCTCACTGCAACCTTGGCCTCCCAGGTTCAAGTGATTCTCTTGCCTCAGCCTCCCAAGTAGCTGGGATTAGAGGCATGCACCACCATGCCTGGCTAATTTTGTACATAAAATATTTTAATAACTGGAATTAATTTAAACTTTCATGGTTTCATTGTTTGCAACAAAATTAACAAAAATATTTTTACCCCACACAATTTCTCTACACTATTCTCTATATTAGTGAAGATAATCTGACTCCTGATATTTGTGTCATTCCTCACATAAGTGAGATATTTCTTTATATTTACTTCCTTTGATTTGTTTCTATTTAAGTTGGTTCTCTCATAAAACTGAATTTGTTCATACATTTTTCTTAGTTCTACTTAATTATTTCAAACAAGATAATAAACCTACTATTCTAAAAGTTTGCAATTTCTATCTTAATTTATATATAAACATAAAGCATCACCTATAAATTTTTATTCCTTTTTCTTTTATGATACAGCGTTTTTATCTCATAATGGGATTTCCTATCGACAGGCAAACAACATATCAGAGAAGAAGGTGAATTTATTCACTGAAAATTAATTCTAACTAGATAGATCCCAAATATGCAAACAAGGTTAATGTCAGGCACTGCAGTGAATGACTGATAGAAATCAAACAAATTTTCACATATTCATTTTTAGAGTGCTTCTGCTTAAAAATATTGGACCCAACTCCTTAAAAATTTTAAAGTGGCAAAGTTTTTACAAATATTTTCTAGCTGTGATAGATAAATTATGAAAATATGAACATACTCCTTGAAAAGAAAAAGAGCTTGATTTTTTATTTTGATTTCGTTTTAAGAAAACATTTGCATTCAATTTTTTTTTTGAAAAAAATTTTGGTAAAAAGCAGTAAACAATGAAAAAAGGCCAAATGTTACCTTATTTTGCATGTATTATTAGTTTTACATTTTTTATTGGTGTGAAAATTGAATATCATTAACAGCAATATCTTGTGATCTTTTAGTATACATTATATTTTCCAACTTGTAAACTTTATTGTAGAATTCCAAGTTAATTTTCACAATATTGTTATTTGTTAGGATTTAAGAGTCTTGACATCTGTTGCCACTTTTATCCATATTAAGTTTAGTGTAGCTCATGAAATGTGTTTAGCTATCAAGAATTCTGCTGTTTTTACTTAAAGTTAATTTTAAAATGTGTTTAATCAATCACATTTGTTCAATCATTTTAATGAAAGTAACTCAGAACTACAAAGAAATTTAAGTATCTATGTTAGTTTTGGCCCAGTGATGGCTAACAAACGCCATAGCTTGTTTTGTTTTGTTTGTAATTATCCATACCTCCTGATTATGAATGAGGAAATCACTGTAACTTAAAAGGAACACAGATGCAGAAGAGGTGGTTTTACATAGCATATGTTACATCTGTCATAGTAATTCTACTTTATGAATGTAACATCATATTTAACACGGCATTCATCACATGAATATAATGGTATTAATTTAATATTTTGCATTACTAGCACTGATTTTGAATTTTTTATGGATTTTGTGTTGATTTACATCTACCTTTTTGTCTATATTTAAATGTTTACAGTTGTAAATAATACAGTAAGGAAATATAATTTTAAGACCATATTAGTACCTAGAATTCTATTTACCATGTAAAGGTTTCTGTAAATTACTCAATTTATTGTCAACATTTGAAGTATCAGCTTTGTCAATTTAGAGGACTTACTACTTTTAGCCTAAAGAAATTACCCTTGTCTAATCTTAGAAATTGGGTGTACTAGGATGTTATCCACTTTCTTCATCCATGTAAGTAGGAATAAGTATAAAACATAGATCAAAAAAAAACATGGCAGGAAGATCTATTTTGTAAATATTCTAACTAGAGCAGAGTATAGACAGAGAAGACTTGTCATTTTTTCAATACATTTCTTATTCTTGCTTGCCATCTCTATTGACATGAAATAGATTTATTGAAATTTTCCATCGGATTTTGTACTCAAAACCAGTCATTTATCACAGCAAGATATTATAGTAAAAACTTGCATGTAGCACCTCTCTGAGTGTAGTACTTCTAAATTACGTTCTGAGAGAGGTGATTTTATATCAATAAGGGTTTGCAGGCATATGCGCACTCTAAAAGATAACTAAATGAAAAACAATAATCTCTTTTTAGGTTTTTTGTTGTTGGCATGCCTTTTTTTTTTAAAACTCCTCTATGTATTTATCTCACAGGATGAGATTTCAGCCAAAGTCAAGGCACTGTCATTATAACAACTTCAATGCTTTCATGACTTTTTTTCTCCATTTGATCAATGAGAGATGCGTAAGTAGTTTCTTTCCCCTAACACTTTATATTTTCCCTTGGAATTTTTTGCTCTGTATATGATAACTACACAGCATATATATTTAATATTTAAGAATTATACCAAGAAAAATAAGAGGAGCCAAAGATAAGCATGAGAGGTGAAAGGTAAGAGTTAAGATAATTTGATTCCATTTAGGAACTTTTATGTTGAAATTCAGAGGAGTACTTCAGACATTTACGGAAACAAAAAGGACAATACTTGGATTATTCTGCTAGGGCTGCCATAACAAAATATTACAGACTGCATGGCTTAAACAACAGAAATTTACTTCTCAAAATTTTGGAGCCTGGATGTCCGAGATAGAGGTGCCAGCTGGTTGGTTATTCTTGAGGCCTCTCTTTGGCTTTCAGATGGTTATCTTCTCATTGTCTTCACGTTGCCTTTCCTCCGTCTTTTCTCCATGTGCACATCCTCATGTCTTTCTCTTCTTATAAGGATAGCAATTATATTAAACTAGAGCCCTACTCTTATGAACTCATTTAACTTTTATAGCCTCTTTAAAGACCTGTCTCCAAATATTTTCACGTTGAGGGTTAGGGTTTCAACATAGGAATTTCAGGGGAGTGTAATTCAGTCTACCACAATACTCCTTCTAAGTAAATGTGTTAACTGGTTTAAAAGAGGAGGAAATATTGAGATAATATTTCCCATCATGCAAATTTTTTTTTCTGTGTAGGATGTGGTCAGGATAGACAAGATGCTCAGAAGTCCTCAGAGGACTGTAGGGTCCATGTCCCCATCTCCTTGACAACAAGCATGTTGTGAGAGAGGTTCAATAAGCCTGGGTAGTAGAGATGTATATTACTGTGGGCAGGCCGAGATATCTTCCTTTCTTGGTGTCTTTGTTTGTAGACCAGATCAAAGCAGTATAATCATTGTATAACTTTTAAAAATCCAGAAAGATGGAGATATCACAAGAAGGAAGGCACCAGGATCTCTGATTTTTTTTTAAAAAATTGGACTATTGTTGAGAAATTGTCAGCGATTATTCATTAAGATTATGTATCTCTAGCCATTTACTTGTATTGATTTACAGGTACTTTAATGTTACATACACAGAAAGAAAAAATGAAATAAAGTATAACTATGAATAAGTACACTGACTCAGGGAATTGTCAAAACTGTTATGCTGTGTACGAGAAGAAAACAATATGTACACAGCCTTAATTGATATAAGGAAAAAGTTTTAGAGCTGTGTAGCATTTTTCCTTTATGTATATATCCGAGAAAATCCCTTTTTCCTGAAGCAACATAACTACTTTACGGAGTTCCTGACAAAGTGTGACCCCTAATTACTTGCTGCCTCTTCCCCAGTATGCACGTCGGCTTTGTCAAGCACTAAAATAAAGAAAACCTCTATCCATTTTTGCATCATAATGCTCATGCCGGAAAAAAGGTAGAAATTTACTGTCCCTTCAATTTCTAGAATATGAGAAGGTTTAAGAGTCCAGGGGAAGGGGTGTCATGTACTGAGATGGTAGTGAGAGCAAGTGAGGTAGGGGGTATAGATGCAAATACTTCACGAATGAAATGAAAAAACTGTTAAGCCCCATGGGAGACTTACTTCTTGCCATGGCAAATAATGGCAGAATGAGCAGATCTTCCAGAGCTCTTTCTCTTCTCCCTTGTCTTTATGAAATGAACCGGCCATCTTTTATATTCTGGAGTCTTCATATAAAAATCATGAACCTGGCTGGGCGTGGTGGCTCACACCTATAATCCCAGCACTTTGGGAGGCCGAGGCAGGCAGATCATGAGGTCAGGAGTTCGAGACCAGCCTGGCCAATATGGTGAAACCTCGTCTCTACTAAAAATACAAAAATTAGATGGGCGTGGTGGCATGTGCCTGTAGTCCCAGCTACTCGAGAGGCTGGGGCAGAAGAATCACTTGAACCCGGGAGGCAGAGGTTGCAGTGAGCCCCAGCCTGGGAGACAGTGAGACTCCATCTCAAACAAACAAACAAAAAGAATTTCTGTCTCCTTATTGCAAAAAACACATATGAAGCTTTCCTATAAACTTACTTTTCATCTGTTATTCTATGGCACTTGGGTGGGCCTTTAGGTTTTCCTACCTTCTTCAAAATAATCCAAGACAGGAAAGAGATGAAAAAACAGTTGTATATCCATCCTTACTTGGTTCAATGTGAAGGGAAGACAGAAAATAAAAGAAAACTCTTGATCAACCTCTCACTTAGCCAAGCTCACAAAATATAGATCTTTCTTTTGAAATTCTGATGTCATATTATATGGGCTGAATCTAGTATTGAATTTAGAGTTAAAGATTTTCAGTTTGTTCACTTTACGATAAGCACAGGACTATGTATTGCAATTCCTTGGCACTTTAAGACATGGAGATACTAACTGCCTTCTTTCCCTAATGTTGTGGCTTTAGCTGAAATTCTGAGATAAGGAAAAACATTTGCCCTTATTTTTTGTTCAATGTATTTGATCTCTCACAGGACTGCCAATTATGTCTACAACAATTTGAAGGATCAGATATTGTCTTTAAGATTCTGCTTACATGACATTTCTGTTTTTGTTATTTTTTTCTTTTGTTTTTCTTTATCTTTGATTATATGCTTTTGCAGATTTTTTTGTTTGTTTGTTTTTGGTTTAGGCTTAGTGCCACGAGAGACATGGTTAGTTGGTTTGCTGTTCTGATGAACAATGGATAATTTACTTAATTCTCTGCCTTCTTAGTTACAAAACAAAGATAATGTTGACATTACAGTATTTGTGTAAAGGGAGTATAAATAATCTATTTACAGTCTCTGCACATTAGTACAAATTTCTACAAGAGAAGACTCCTTAACAGGATTTACTTGGTCACAGTTGCCCTTTTCCCCCATCATCAGGCAAAGTGCCTACTCAGGCTAGGTGATCAATTAAAATCTGAAAAATTAATGAATGAATAAATGATTCAGTTATGTTTTATTGGAAAGCATTATATATCTTGGAAAAGTTCCACTTAATAGCCTAGGTAACAATTCACTTTCTAGACAATATTAAAGAGAACAAGTAAGTTTCAGGGAGAAAGTCTCTGGATCAGTTAGTGCCAGAACATAAAACAATGTGTGCTGCTGAGGATTATGTGCATCCCAGGATATAGAAACATTTTGAAAACACCAGCATATGTGGTGAAACAATTACAAGTCGAGAATCAATTAGAGTATAAGTATGCATAAAACATCATCCTTTTAGTTTTCATTTTTCCTTTGGACAGAATGAAGCATGCAGATATCATTGCTAAGTTTACAGTGAGGAGGTAGAAGCATTGGAAATTCAAATGCTTTGTTAGTGTTATTGTCAAATATTAAAAGTGGTCATTTTAACATATTAAAAGTGGTCATTTTAACTTAAAAGGGAGTAGATGGAAGCACTGAAAAGTCAAATGCTTTCTCGGCATTACTGTCAAATATTAAAAGTGGTCATTTTAAAACTGAATGTGGCACTTTTGTGAGTGGGTCCCTAGAAACTTGGTGCTACTTTACATCCAGCATAGTTGTCATCTGAAGCTCTTAAAACTCACCTAACTTTTATCTAATATCCAAAGAAAGTCGTTCAAATCTATTAAGAACATATGTGTCAAAAGCAGCAACTATTCCTGTGCTATACCCGGCATTCCAATACTAACGTTTCTCAGAAGACTGAATATTGTAGAGTCTGAAGTAGCAGTTCGCAATAGCTTTACCTTTGTGACCTTATCTTTTCAATTTAATTAGATGAAACGAGAATATGAATATGTGTTAAGGCAAATTTATCAAATTATCTCACCTACAAACACTGGAAGGCAGTGACTGTTACTACTGAAATAACGTGATGGTATTAGTATGAACTCACTTTTCTTCTTTCAAAGTTATCCCCGGATTTTACTTAAATTGAATTTTGTTCTTGTGGATCAGTAAAGATATAAGTGCAAAAGCATTTTAATGTTATCTTACTTGTGGTTTTGATTGCTTTGAGAAATTTCTATTTCACTGTCCTGGTTACCTAGGAAACAATCACGTGAGAGAGCCAGACTTCTATAATTTGGGTCTTACTTGATTGTCTTATGTTTGTTTTGTATTTTCTAAGACAGTTGGCTATTACCAGTTTGCTCCAAAACTCATATCAAAAAAATGGTTTAACGGGCTTTGTGATGCTTGTATGTGCTCTGGCTGTTCATAGGTGTCCCAGAGTTCCCATGTATTTAGCTTATTTTTATATAGCACTACTCCCTATTGATTTGCATCAAAGAAGGGTTTATTATGCAGGAGTATGGTTTATTATGTTGCTGATGCATCATATTTAAGCAGCTATGAAAATTAACTGCAGTGCATGCTCAGCAGCTAATTTTCAAACTCATAGCTTTTGGGGATATGCTCGTCACCCATATATTTAAAAGGCAAAAAGATTTAGGCAGTTTATTGCCGACCTTTAATGATATTTTGTGAATGTTTTTATGATGCCATTAAACTAGTTTGTAAATAGTAGATTTAATGCTGAAACTCTGTTGGCTGCACCTTCAGGGCAGAGAAAAACACATTATATACAGAGTAAGGAGCTGAGACTAACAAAATGCCACTGGTGCACGATTGCCTTTCAGACATCACAGAATCAGAAGAAAGTGTAGTTAACTGCAAATATGTGGAAGTATTTAGAGATACAGACATTTTTGATTGGAACATACATATCTCTGAAGTTTAATAATGTATGATGCTTCAAGCAGAACACGACGTAACTCTCTCTCCAGGATCTGTCTCTCCAGTTTTCCTGTCTTTACTGCTTTTCATCATCTTCACCACACCTATTTTATAATGAGATTAAGTAACTACCCAATGAGGTGACAGAGAACTAGTTTAATGCAGAGACCAACTGTTTCAGACTTGCTGATTTCTATAATTCATGTAACAAGTTAGTTATTTCCACGTTATGTTAAAATGTCCTTCGTTAATTGCCTTTACACAAACATGGCAGTTGGAAGTTAGTTAGAAAAAGGCTTGCAAAACATGGAAACATCATTATTATTTGAGTGTAATGAGTACTCAAATATTGAGTCGTATGAGTAGTATGGTGTATAAGTTGCCATCTACTTAGTTTCTAGATGACAGATGTTAAATTGAAATCTTGGTGTTCAAAACTTGAACATTCTTCTTTTCTATGGTTCCTGACCTGACTACTAATAAGCAATTGTTAACCAAAAAACTAGAGGGATGATAAATTGATATACTGAAAGAAAGCATGCTGGCAGCACCTTCCATTATTAACTAAGCAAGTCTATTTGCTTCCTCTGTGCTCGCTGCTTTTCATCAAAGGAAAGTTTAGACTAAATTTTATAACTTTATCACATGGCTTAGTTTACTATCTTTGGAGAAATCTTTAGAAATATGGATTTACATGTATATGTTCATTAATGTCTCTATGTATAACTTCAATTAATTAGTAGGTATCTTAAAATACCTTTTTCTGATATTCTGATTATACTGCAAAGTTAGTATTATTGTTATTCTGAATTGTATAGGCAACCAATACTGAGTATTCTTAAAATGTCCATTTAGAATTGTGGCAATTAAGTGGAAAATACTTTGTTTAAACAGATACAACAAACTGTTCCTGACAGTGATATGACATAACACACACCTAGTAGCATGTTGTTATCTTTTAGCTGATCTGAGACTAAAGAAGTATTGCTAACTTCAATGAATTTTGACCCTGATTTTGCACCAGTAGAGGATATAGTTGTGGTTGTTGTTTCATAAGCAAATCTATATAGTCCCCACGTGCAAGAGATGCTAAGAGGCAGAACCAAACATCTCTCTATATATTAAGCTCCACATGTGTCTAATAGACTAAGGTTAAAAACTGTAGCAGTGGATATCCCTGTCCCTCAAGGATTTAAAATAATTTGAGAATACCATGATATTTAAAGAGAAATACAAAGTATGCTTATTGTCTGAGTTCTCTACAAAGACATAGTGTAACATTTGATTCAGAACAGAACTTCTTGTTAGCAGTCAGGCATGACTTGACCTGTGAACCTAACAATAAAATGAATAAATAAACAATCTAAGGCAATAAAATAACATTTTACCTTTATGCATACCTAATATAGGCAAAGATGTTGGGGAAAAGATATATTTGTTCTTTATTGTATAAATAATCATTGTTTTCTCTTGAAAACAATCTGAAACTCTTCTGCTAAGAGATACTTAGTTGAAACTTGGCATGGCTTAGATAATGACACAATGAGGGTGCTCCTTATATTGTAGACATAAATTACAAACTTTGGTAATTTATCCTTTAAAAAATTATTCAAGTAACACTTTACATTAAGCTTTGCTGTGACATGGCTAAACCCAAAGTTAAGAGGCTAGAAAGTGCATTATCACTCTCAGAAAGCCATAGAAAAGAGGGGGAATTAAAATAATGAGGGCAATATTTCAATCTACAAAAGTTATCAATTTCAGGATGATTAATAGATTTTAAGAAATACAATGCAAATATAATTTTAAAAATAAATACTAATGATCCACTAGCTATTTTATGTATAGCATATATTAACTGCTTGTTTCTGAGCTAAAAATTACTAGTGAACTATCAAAATTTATATGCAGATTGCTCTGATACTTCTAGAATAGCAAAGTGGACTAAGTGCTAAATACAGAGACCGTACTTTTATAGCCTTGCCTCTAAGTGATATAATGCTATTTTATATTGGGCATATCTTTAAGTGTGGTGATGATTTTTAGATGATGTTTAGCTTTACATGATATACTGCAGGTATGCAGCAACTCCTCTAATTGATGAATCTTATTTATAAGTTGAAATATTTCTTACAAATAAATCTGAATTTACCTGAATCCACACAGTGCTTCAGCCAGTCAGCATCAACTATTTGGATGTGGCTTGGACAATGAAAACTATTTGTAATTTAAGATGAGATTATTCTTAAAATCCCTTCCATTTGTAATATCCTGGGATTTCTAAGTGTCCTTTGATGCCTAAAAACCTCTTCTCCAATCTTGTATAGGTTCCAGTTTTGAAGGGTGAATCATTAATCTTGGCCCGGATTTGGATATTTTAATTTGAATGGCATTTATATACTAGCACTGTTGTCACCTATTCTTATCAGATCTTCAGTTTCATGGCAAAACACATAATTTTTTTTACATACTGGAGCAAAACTGTTTTGTGGTTCAAAAGAAACTGAATGTTTAAAGTGCTCATCTTTTTTTCTCTTCTTCAGTACAACCAGTCTTATCTGCCTAGTGGCTCCTCATCCAACCTCCCAATTCCGCAGGATTGGGTTATCTAAAGAGACCATTCAATACCAATATCTAAATATTGGTTATTTAGATAACCAATAATTGGGTTATCTAAAGAGACCTGCAATAGCAGGACAGTAAACTCACTCCTGACTTTCCAGGAGACTTTTCTAGCATAAATTCTTCATAAAAGGTTAGCCATTTCACTGAGTGAATATTTTTTAAATTACAAAAACCCTTATTTTTTTAGTTTAAAAAATTGTTGAAGTAATTTCCTTGTAGTTGATCAGACTGAAATGAGTTATTACATTTAAGAAAGAGAGTGCAGCTCAGATAGCACAAGAGGGACTAGAACAAAACTATGAGCCATGAAGTTTCTTAGAACTTCCTCAGCACCCCAGAAGGGCCCCGAACATTACTTAAATTACAGTACTTTAAGAATGTTTACATAATTTTCTAAATAAATAGCTTATTTCAATAGTTTTAATTTTTGTTTCAATATATCTAATGCAGATTGTACAAAACGAAGAAACTTTGAGCCTACATCCCACTTCTAAACAAATCTGGAGATAATTTTAAAATGTTCATATTATAGTAGACTTTCTGACATATATCAATGGTGCTGGATACTCTTAAGCAATAAAGTATAATCTTTCTGGCAGCATATATTCTTGTTGAGTAACAAATTATCTTAATTTAAAGGGAACACGTGATCTCTGCTCAATTTAACAATTTAAAATAAAAAAAAGTTTTTTATAGGAATGCAACTGATTTTTATTAGTTGATTTTGTATTCTACAATTTAATTGAATTTGTATATTACCTCTAATAATTTTTGGTGAAGTACCCCGGCTATCACTATTCAATATTTTGTTAAAAATCTAGAAATAAAGTATTAAACGAAAATAGTTTCACAGCTAATAAATTGTCTACCATAGCTTAAAAATCTATTGTTATCATTAGCAGTGCTTTTGAAGTTTTCCTCTGGTTAAGGTGACTGTGCTACGTATTCTTTCACAAGCATGCAAGTTAAGCCACGAGTCTAAAGAGAAGTTTTTCAAATGGAAGTTCTACAAAAGTGAATTTTGTCTCAGTTCACAAAAATATCAAAGACAGGAAAACAGATAAAAGCAAGAAGGATGTAACTGGTTCTCACCAAATATCATTTTTAATAAATGGCATTTTATATAATGTATTATAATGTGTAAGGTATATATGTGCATATAAGACTATCTAAATGATCGTCTGTAAGTATCGTGCTAAAATACTTTTTCCATAATGAATATCACTTTATTATTTGGTAACTAATAGAGACAACAATTCAGCAGTCATTTTCAAAAATCTCCTTCAGCCTGGTTTGTTATACTGATTCTTTTTATTATAAAACAAATATTTCTATGAAAATTTTAACATAATTTTGATAGATGAAATTTGATAGTGTTAACATTCATAACGTGTCATTATTTTGGACTAGCCTTCCATATTGGGTCCCAACTGACCAGATCAAATGAAGCAAATTATGCTTAGTGCCATTTGATCAAACTGAACTTGAAAATGGGTCAGTTTTTCTACAAAAACAGAAAACTTTAGTCACTCTGAGTTAGCATAGTAAGAAAGTCTCCTCTGTTTTAAGCCTGTAAAGCAAGTAACTTTTAAATAACCAATCCATTTTTTGTTCTTTGATTTTGCTTTCTTTAGCCCTTTTCTGCCTATAAAACCAAACTTCTCTTTTCAGTTTAATGGGATACTCATGTCATTTTATAGTAAGAGGTGTTGCCTAATTCTAAAATTACAAATAAAAGCCAACTCAATCTTTAAATTAATTTTTTTTGTAATTTTGTCTTTTACCAATAGGTTTACATGTGTATTGTAGAGTCATATTTTAAATAATGATAATATTTGTGACTGTACATGTATGAGCACTTTGGAAATACATACAATCTTATATGGTGTTTTAAAAATTAAATGTACTGCATAGAGTACATACATTTTGAAAACATAACTTGAGTAAAATTTGTTCACTTTTTATAGAAAATGTAATTCCAGCTCCATCTTGTGGTTTATAATTTGTTTTCTAAAATGATGCATTATTATGATTACATTTTATTCCTATTTCTGTATCTATTCATTAATTGAATGTCTAATGGATACTTGCAGTTCTATATACTTAAGTTATATACCTTTTTCTCTATAACATACTAAATATACTTTCAATTTTAAAAGTCTCACAAAATATTTACTACTTAAAATATTTACACAAATTATCTACAAACATATACAAAAGTAAAACAAGTATTCATGTTATACTAATCAATACTGTAAGCCCCCTTGAAGTATAGTCTGAAATGTCTAACCAACATAGGACTTACATTTATTTAGAACTTTTAAAAGTACAATATCAGTATAACATTACTTCTTTCAAAAATATTTTTATTTGTTTTCTGAATCACAATACCTATATCACATATCCTAGAAAAATTAGAGACTACTTTACCTGAATAGTCTAGGTAAATTAAGAGTTTTACATTTCAAATATGCACTCTGGTTTTTTTTTGTACTCTGCAATGAAATGCATTTAATGTGGCATAGCTATTTAATAGTGTGGTTAGCCATTCACAACTGGATTAATCTTTGAGCAATTTTTAAATTAACCAGTATTTATGAAGTGCCTATTTTAGTAAAAATATAAATTATGCTTCTTTAGATATTAATTTAATTAATATTTACACTGATTTCAGGTCTAAAATCTCATGAGTTTTTTAATGATACAATTTAGTATGTCTTATTTGAATTTCAACCTGTTTATTTCACTAATTTCATTAGTGAAACTGTATGCCTAGACAATAAATAGCCAATCAGAACACAAGATTAGTCCTGCAACTATACTCTTGAATTCAGAAGGGACAATATATGATTCATGAAACATTTTTATTTAGTTTTAATAATTTATACACAGTCATGTAGTCGTCTGGCTATAATAATCAGAAGTAAAAATGGAGTATGACAGAAAGAATCAATCTATGAACTGTTGTGTTTGTCATGAAAATAATTTGCATGTGGGATAGATATAACAATAGTCTAAGATCTATTTTCCCTTTTATCTACAGTTTTTTCCATGTAGTATGTTATACTTCTTGTATGTGCAATGATAAATTATTTCTAACTTTATGACAGTTTAAATACCAATGAAAGTGAAAGAATAATTTACATCTTACTAAATAAATTTTAAGATAAATTCAGTTATCCAACCATAAACAGAACAGGGCTTTACAAGTTAAATGTAAATATACATGTACAAATGCAAAAATAAGAAAATATTCTTTAATAAGTCAAAAAAATAGGCAACTTAATCACCTCTTAAAGTATTTTAGGAGAAAACATATGAGAGATTAGGAAGCTTCTTTTAGCTCTTTCTTGATATGCTTTTTGATATCGTGGTCACAGAAAAGGCATCCTGGCTCATAAAAACTTTTGGTTAAATAAAACTTACTTGATATAGATTATTGATTCTCAAAAATGTACAATAAATTCAAGCATAATGACATATAATAAAATGTATATATAGATTATAATAAATATAAACAGAATTTTCTTCCTGGCATAGATTATTTTCTGGCACCTTGATCCTCACCTCATTTCCTCATCTCATGACTTTCAGCAAGAAGGCCTTACTACATAAATTGCCTTTAAGCCAGAGGTTTTGGTCAGATATACAATACACTACAAAACTGGACAAACTAATCCTATGTTTCTTTATTATTATGGATTGGAAAAAAGACTATGACCTGGGTTCCTTTCTTAGCTAAAAGAGAATTATGGAAAATCATAGAGTTGCTTGGATCCATGTTTCTTGCATTGTATATTAAAGTAGCATAGGAAAAACACCTCTATTGGGGACAGTAAATGGATGGGAACAGAAGAAATGAAGAAAGTCCTCAGGCCATGGAAGTTCCCATTTCTAGTTTTTACTCAGACCCTACAATATATCTACACTTGCATTTGATAAAAAATTGCTATATTTTCATAATGGTGGTTCCTTTTTGCTTATGCCAATTTAAACTGCATTTTAGTCAGTCAAAGTCACCTAACAAACAATGCTAAATTATATTTAATGCAATATTTCAGAAGGCACTTCGAGGCTGCAAAGTGTTAAACCGCCATTAACTGAAGTTTTAAAAATGCAATGTGTACATCATATTCAGGTACTAGAAATTTTTTTCATAATTTACCATTTTATATTAAACTTCTTTCTCAATATTGATATATAATCCCCTCAGAAGCACAATGTGCCATATTTGAGAAGTTTGTAACTACAGGCACACACACACAAATATGAATGTATTTGTATAATAGCTCAGAAAACGGTAAGAACAAACATAGTTGTTACTCTATCGATGTTTTCAGTCCTCAAAGTGATGCGTTACATTTCTTACATAGCAAATATTATTATGAAATTTTAAAGTCAACATAAAGGGATCCGGAACATAAACGTAAGATGTTTGCCAAGATATAAGGCACAATTTTTGTTTACTCATTAATGTGATCAAAATTTAGATGTTAATCTTTGGAAGGTCCATATTTGTCAAAAATATTTTGATTAATAAAAGTTTTGAATCTATAGATGCATGCCTTCACTTGTCTATGAGCTTCTCCCCTCATTCTCAGCATAAGAAATAAACCAATTCCTCATCTGTAAATTTCCATTACTGATTATAATGTAACACACAAGATACCGCATACTCCAGCACTGTGCATTTTGAAGTAAAACAGACATGAAGTGGAATCTTGGATAGACCATATATCTGATGTGTGTATTTGTACAACTTATTTATCTCTAAACCTCTTCTATTTTTTCATCTATAAAATATCAATAAACTTTACTTTTATGCTAAAATGAAAGACTTGATATAAAGCCTTCAATTCATTGTCTAGGTCATAATAGATGTTGAATTTAAAAGGGGTAGCTTTTAGTCTTCTTTTTATTTTTAATAATTATGTTCAATGTTTCTGTAAATGAAATTGTGAAGTACTTTTATAAATAAAAAGAAATCTGAAAAAGATTTATATGACTTCCGCTGAATTTAATTAAGCTAAATACTTGCAAACAGTTTTAAAAGCAAAAGAAAAAAATGCTTATTTAAACTATAAAAATCTCAATAGTATTATCTAATCTCGTAATTGGAGACTTTATGAGGTTTTTGTACTAACATGTAATTTTAACATCTTTCTCTAAGGATAACCATATTCAAACTAACTTTCTAAGCTATTTAGTATGTAAGTAGAAAATACATGTACAAATTCAAATTCAGAAAATAGCAATTAATAAAATCATTTCCTGCCTTTTATGATTCTATCTGCTTCACTTTTATCCTACATCATCTACCCCACAGAATGGCAAAGATCACTCTCTAAGAATTCTTTGAAACTGATAATGTACCAAATTCTGTAATTGGTTGAAAAGGTGGGAATTTCAAAATAACAACACAGTACGTCGACTACATGGTTAATAGTTTTTATGTTATGACACTCCTAATCCTTACATCTTCATATATTATCTTTGTGTGTGTGGGTATTTTCCTTTAATAATGACAAATATTATGGCTTTTTAAAAAAAATTCTCAGACGTGCAAATCTAGTTCCATCATATTTTGCATCGTATGCTTCAAAAACAGTTGCTTACTCTTTTTGTCAGTCAAAACTAAATGTCATCTTTTCAAAGGGGACTCCTCCAAAACCTCAGCCTCCCAAGATCTTGTTATTATGTTGCTAATTGCCTATTACCCTTTCTTAATTCTCTGCATCATAGTTACTAGTATATAATATTTTTATGTATTTATTTATTTGACTGAAATGCACATTCCTTTTATTAATCAAATATTAAAGGCCAGGAATGTGAATGGATATGTCAATGAATGTATGAATGAATGAAAGAATTTCTACAAGTGTCAGATTTTTTTTAAATGTTATCCAAATTCCAACACTAATAAATATAAAAATTTTGCTTTGTACCCATGTGTCTGACTACAAAATGTGAACATTCTTCTAACTTATTTTTTTCTCATTTTAACACTCTAGTCAATATTGCATACCACTGCTATTTTTCAGAAAATATGATCTGATTGTGACTAGCCTAATTTAAAACACCGATTTTGATACTTTTCTGCCCCCATGTTGCTTATTTAATAAAGTTAAAGTACCCTAGAATGGCTGATCAACAATATCTACAATCTAAAATCCAGTCACATTTCTAACCCTAACTCATAATGTAACTTTAGGCTGTATTTTTACATAGCTATTCCTTGATTTCTGAAAATAAATATGTACCTATTTAATTAACTTATTTCTACATTATATTAATCTTGCAGGAAATGCTCTTTTCTTTACTGTCTTATTCATTTTGTCCACTTAATAAGCTCTTCTTATTTTTCAAGAGTGACAGAACAGACATTCCTGGACCACTCAAGAATACTTCCTTTCTCTTCTCCATTTAGTTTCATGTATGGTTAACAGGACAATAGACATTGTGAAATAATTTTCTACTTTAGTAACATCTTTTCTATTTCTTCCCCTTAAGGTAAAGAGTACCTCTTTTAAAAACAAAAATATTTTCTTCAATTAACATCAGTTGACAAAGAAAAGAATTCTCACAATTCAACAAATATTTAGTGAATCAAAATGAATTTTCTAGTCCTTCTACCTGCAATAAAATAAAATTTTTCCTAAGAGATAACATGAAGAAACAAGATTTATGTTTTTTATGCTTTACTTATATGCTTATATTTCTAAGCATATCAATTTTTGCTTAGACAACAAGTATTTATTGAAGATTAACTTTTACAAATTTAACTTTTATTTTAAGTTCAGGGGTACATGTGCAGGTTTGTTATATCGGTAAACTTCTGCCATGGGTGTTTGTTTTACAGATTATTTCATCACCCAGGTATTAAGCATAGTACTTATTAGCTTTTGTTTGTGATCCTCTTCCTTCTCCCATCCTCCAACCAACTTCCGATAGTCTGCAGTATGTGTTGTTTCCCTCTGTGTATCCATGTGTTCTCATCATTTAGCTCCTACATAAAAGTGAGAACACATGGTATTTGGTTTTCTGTTTCTGAGTTAGGTTGCTAAGGATAATGACCTCCAGCTCCATCCATGTTCCTGTAAAGAAGAGAATCTTGTTACTTTTTATGCTACATAGTATTCCATGGTGTATATGTACTATATTTTCTCTATCCAATCTACCATTGATGAACATTTAGGCTGATTCCATGTCTTTGCTATTGCAAATAGTGCTGCAATGAACATACGCATGTATGCGTCTTTACGATAGAATGATTTATATTCTTTTGGGTATATACCTAGTAATGGGATTGCTGGGTAAAGTGATATTTATGTTTTATTGACTTTGAGAAATTGCCTACACTATCTTCCACAATAGTTGAACAAATTAATCTCACCAGTATCTATTATTTTTTCTCACTTTTTAATAATAGCCATTCTGATAGATGTGACATCATATCTCATTTTGCTTTTGATTTGAATTTTTCTTTTTTTTTTTTATTTTTTTTAGACGGAGTCTCACTCTGTCACCCAGGCTTGTGTAGTGGCGTGATCTCGGCTCATTGCAACCTCCACCTCCCTGGTTCAAGCAATTCCCCTGCCTCAGCCTACCGAGTAGCTGGGATTACAGGTGTCTGCCACCAAGCCACGTTAATTTTTTTATTTTTATTTTTTTGTAATTTTAGTAGAGACGGGGTTTCACCATGTTGGCCAGACTGTTCTCAAACTGGTCTCGAACTCCTGACCTCAGGCAGTCCGACTGCCTCGGCCTCCCAAAGCTCTGGGATTACAGGTGTGAGCCACCACACCCGGCCAATTTGAATTTTTCTAATGATCACTGATGTTGAGCTTTTTTTACATATGATTATTGGCTACTTGTACATATTATTTTAAAAAGTGTCTGTTCATGTACTTTGACCACTTTTTAATGGGTTCTTTTTTCTCTTGCAAATTTGTTTAGGTTTCTTTTAGATGCTGGATAGTAGACCTTTGTCAGATGCATAGTTTGCAAAAATTATCTCCTGTGCTATAGGTTTTTCTGTTTACTCTGTTGATAATTTCTTTTGCTAAGCAGAAGATCTTTAATTTACTTAGATCCCAATTGTCAATTTTTGTTTTTGTTGCAATTACTCTGGCATCTTCATCACAAAAATCTTTGACCGTTCCTACATCCAGAATGATATTGCCTAAGTTGTTTGCCCAGGATTTTATAGTTTGGGGTTTTACATTTAAGTCCTTAATCCATCTTAAATCCAATTAATTTTTTAACATGTTGTAAGGAAAGGGTCCAGTTTCAATATTCTGCACATGGCTAGCCAGTTATCCCAGTGCCATTTATTCAATAGGAAGTCCATTCTCCATTGCTTTTTTGTTGTTGTTGTCAGATTTGTTTAAGATCAGATTGTAAGGTGAGGTTGTAAGCTGAGGAGCCTATTTCTAGGTTCTCTATTCTGTTCCATTAGTCTATGTGTGTGTTTTTGTACCAGTGCTATGCTGTTTTGATTACTGTAGCCCTGTAGTATAGTTTGAAGTCAAGTAGTATGATCTTATTGCTTAGGATTGCCTTAGTTATTTGGGCTCTTGTTTGGTTCCATATGCATTTTAAAATAGTGTTTTCTAGTTCTGTGAAGAATGTCATTGATAGTTTAATAAGAATAACATTGAATCTATAAATTGCTTTGAGAAGTATGGCCATTTTAATGATATTGTTTCTTTCTATCCATGAGCATGGAAAGTTTTTCCATTTCTATGTATCATCTAATTTCTTTGAGCATGTTTTATAGTTTCCCTTGCAGAGTTATTTCACCTCCCTGATTAGCTATCTTCCTAGGTATTTTATTCTTCTTGTGGCAATTGTGAATGGGACTGCATTTCTGATTTGGCTTTCCACTTGACTATTGTTGGGTTATAGGAATGCTAGCAATTTTTGCACACTGATTTTGTATGCTGAGACTTTGCTTAAGTTGTCTATCAGCTCAAGGAGCTTTTGGGTCAAAACCATGGGGTTTTCTAAATATAGAATCATGTTGTCTGAAAACAGAGATAGTTTCACTTCCTCTCTTCCTATATGGATGCAATTTATTTCTTTCTTTGGCCTGATTGCTGTGGCCAGAACTTCCAATACTTTGTTGAATAGGAATGGTGCAACAGGGCATCCTTGTCTTGTGCCTTTTTTCAAGGGGAATGCTTCCAGCTTTTTCCCATTCAGTATAATGTTGGCAGTGAGTTTGACAGAGATGGCCCTTATTATTTTGCCGTATGTTCTTTCAAAACCAAGTGTATTGAGAGTTTTTAACACGAAAGGGGGTTGAATTTTATTGAAAGGCTTTCCTGAGTTAATTGAGATAATCATGTGGTTTTTGTCTTTAGTTCTGTTTATGTGGTGAATCATATTTATATATTTGCATATGTTGAATCAACCTTGCATCCCAGGGATAAAACCTACTTTATCATGGTGGATACATTTTTTTGATGAACTGCTGGATTTGGTTTGCCAGTATTATGTCAAGGATTTTTGTATCTATGGTCTTTAAGGGTATCAACCTTAAGTTTTCTTTTTTGTGTTGTGTCTCTCCCAGGTTTCGGTATCAGAATGATGCTGGCCTCATAAAATGAATTAGGGAGGAGTCCTTCTTCCTCATTTTTTTGAGGAAGGCTTGGTATCAGGTCTTCTTTGTATATCTGATAGAATTCAACTGTGAATTCATCTGGTCCTGGGCTTTTATTATTTATTTATATTTTTTGGTTGGTAGGCTATTTATTACTGACTCAATTTCAGAACTCATTATTTATCTGTTCAGGGATTCAGTGTCTTCCTGGTTCAGCTTGTGAGGGTATATGTGTCCAGGAATTTATCCTTTCTTCTAGAGTTTCTAGTTTATTAGCATAGAGGTGTTCATAATTCTCTGATGGCTATCTGTATTTCTGTGGTGTCGGTGGTAATATACCCTTATTTCTTATTGTGTTTATTTGGATCTTCTCTCTTTTTTTCTTTATTAGTCTAATAAAGGTGGGTCTGGTGGCAATGAATTCCCTCAGCATTTGCTTATCTGCAAAAGATTTTATTTCTCCTTAGCTTATGAAGCTTAGTTTGGCTGGATATGATATTCTGGATTGGAATTTCTTTTCTTCAAGAATATTAAATATTGGCTCTCAATCTCTTCTCACTTGTTGAGTTTCTGCTGAGAGGTTCACTGTTAATCTGATGGACTTCCCTTTATAGGTGACCTAACCTTTCTATCTGCCTTTAACATTTTTTCTTTCATTTCAACCTTGGAGGTTCTGACGATTATGTGTCTTGGGTATAATCTTTTTGTGAATATCTTACTAGGGTTCTCTGCATTTTCTGAATTTGAATGTTGGCCTCCCTAGCTAGGTTAAGGAAGTTCTCATGAATCATATTCTGAAATATGTTTTCCAAGTTGGTTCCATTCTCCGTATCTCTTTCAGGGACACCAATAAGTCAAAGATTTGGTCTCTTTACATAATCCCATATTTCACAGAGGTTTTGTTTGTTTCTTTTCATTCTTCTCTATTCTTGTCTGACTGTCTTATTTTAGAATGACAGTTTTCAAGGTCTGAGCTTCTTTCCTCTGCTTGGCCTATTCTGCTGTTAATACTTGTGATTGCATTTGAAATTCTTGCAGTGTGTTTTTCAGCTCTAACTGGTTGCTTACATTCTTTTCTATACTGGCTGTTTTGTCTGTCCACTCCTGCATTGTTTTATCTTGTTTTTTAGATTCTTTGGATTAGGTTTTGATGTATTTTTGTAGCTCAATGATCTTCACTCCTATTCATATTCTGAAGTATATTTCTGTCATGTCAGTCACTAAGCTCCATTCAGAAATCTTACTGGAGAGGTGATGCAGTCATTTAGAGGGAAGAAGGCACTCTGGATTTTGTCAGAGTTCTTATGCTGATTTTTTCTTATCTTTATGGGATAACATTCCTTTAATCTTTGCAGCTACTCACCTTTGGATTTTTTTTTAATCCTATTTAATGACCATGAGGGTTTGATTGTCGTATATGGTAGATTCAGCTGAGTCACATCATTTCCGGGAGATGTTATGGGGCAATGCTTAGCTCCCAGCTCCCAGACTAAATTCTCTAACTTGCGGGGACTTGCATTGGGCCCGACTTTGTTCTCTAGCTCCTTGAGGTTAGGAATCCACTGCACTGTGGGAAGTTAAGTTGCTCCTGGAGTACCACTAATGGCTGGTGTCACCCAAGCTTTTCATAGTGTGGTGACAGAGGGATTTGTTCTCCTTCACATATGCCAGCACCAGCCACAGTGGTAGTGCTGTGGGGTGCATGCTTATTGGCTGTGGCAAGGTGCTAGTGAGTGCCAGGGTAGCTGCTTCCCTGAAGGCATTAATCACAGTGGAGGAGGCCAGGAAGTTAGGAGGAGGAGATAGTGGGGGAGAGGGTCTCTGCTGGCGACTGTGTTCTGGTTGCACTGGTGCTGGTGTTGGCTCTGGGGTGGAGCCCTGGTGGATCCAGGTTTGTGTACCTTCTCTGTGTACCACAAGCAGGAGTGGGCACTCAGGGCGGGGGAGGATTCATTGTTCTCTCTGCCTGGCTTCACTCCTGCAGTAGTGTTAGTACAAGGGTGGGCTGGCTGACTCTGTGCCCTCCAAGGCTCCTTCCACAGTTGCCAGGGGTTAAGGGGATGGACTGTATTCACCTGGCAGCAGTGTCCGCCGGCAGGGCAGGGTGCAGGCACATTTACGTACTGGTGGAGCAAGGAAGGCAAAACCCGCCTGTTCAGACACACACCAGCAAAGTAATGTGGGGAGTTGCGATGGGTCCAAGGGAAGCTGCAGTGAGAGGAGGGAGTCTGTAGGCTGGTGCGTGGCCATGGGGGCTGCCCGTCTGAAGTTCTCCACTGGTCAGACAGGGTCCTGCTATCACAGAAGCTATGATACGGATCCCCAGGGCACCGAAGCTGCCCTGCAGGTAGGCGTGACCAGGCTGGGGCTCCTGGAGAGGCCAGCAGACCAAGGGGTGCTAAGGTCAGACAGGCCCCATCTGATGGGCAAGACCACCCTGCATAGTTCAGGACCTGCAGTTTCCCTAGGGTTAAAGTCTGGTGTGGTAGCAAGTCTAGCCTATGGGGATGGCCTTCTCTATCCATGCATCCTACAGAGGCTCCTGCACCAAACCCTTTGGGCTCCATTTCAGTTGGTGTGCTGCCCCTACCACTTCTCTAAGCAGATCTCCCTGCCAACTCTAGTCTTCCTGGTGATTGAGGGATCTCCTCTTGCCAGAGTTCCAGAGGTCCCGTGGAGAGCTGGTTGCTCCTTGCCGGTTCAACCCACCCATGCCCCTGGAGTCACTGGGGGCCAGGAATGAGTCCAGGTGCTCAGTAACACTGTGTAGGATTCCCAGCTTTCTCCCCATTCACCTTTGCTTCTGTATGTTTCCCTCCCCCAAGAGGGAAGATCTGTGAGAAGTACAGCGGTCATCTGGGTCCCTGGATGGCAGCAGTTCCACCTGGATGTGTCTGGTCGGCCATCTTGCCCTCTGAAAACCCGAGGATTAACTCTTTAATGCTAGTTCCGTTGCCTAAGCATTAGCCTTCATGAAAATGTGATATGCAAAAACAGCCTTGAAAAGGGTAACTGGAATTTAAAATATGAGAAAAATCCTGAAAGAAAACCCAATAAAATAATCTGTAAATTCAAAATGTATTATATAATGTGTAATTTGAGTACTTACACACTAATTCATTAAAAAATAAATATACGTATAATATTTATAAATATATATCGCAGATGAATAAATATAATGCATGTTTGTGTTTTTATGTGCGTGTATTTCATACACATTTAAGAAAATGTATACATAAAACAATATTTTGGGGTGTATATATGTATATGTTTTATATTCTGTCATTTACTTAGAAAACTAGAAAATATTAGAAGATTCAAATCCAAAAAAGTTTGCATAAATAAATGTTTGAATATTTTAAAATATATTTTTTTACCAAATGTAGAATAAGATCATTATAGGTTTTTATTTTTATTATAATTTTTGTTTCTATTTCAATATGAAGTGCTTAGAACTATATTAAAGAGGAAATATTTTAATAATCCTGATTGTAGCTTTTTCTTATATGTTAAATATTTTATAATATTTATGTTATATGTTAAAATATTTTATAATAAATATTCTATAAATGACTATTAGTATTAATTAAGAAATTATACTTTAACAATTTTAAGGTTTTATGTATCGTAACATAATAGTTGAATCTGAGAAATAACATTATAATGGGGAAACTAAAGTGGATATTCATTAAATGTGATCACTGGATATGCCAAAAGTTTTATATAGTTTGGCTCTGAAATCTCAAATTAAGAAACACGGTACAAGCATAAAATGTCATGACTAAGTTATTGCCTTAATGAGACAAATTATGATAGATATAAAGAAAATATTTTGTTCTTCCTTTAGGGATAGCTAACCTTTCAGCTTGATTTTCATATATTCAATGTGACCAATTAGAAGTAAATGTCTGTGGACCCTGTTAAAATAAGCTATTATATTACATGTACAAAATCTCTCTGCTTTACAATGAGCCCCAGAGGAGTGATTGACAGTCCACAGAAACCAATTTATAAGGATTACAGAAATACTAATTTTGGGTATGACAGAAGGTAGGACATTTCGACAAAGCAGCAAATCTCAGTCCTGGTGTCCTAGCATTTAGGCGGCTAAATGTAGGCAATTTGATTTAAACCCTGCTTTTAACATGATGAATATACTGAAACCAAATTCTGGAGTCACAGTATAAGCGACTGGAAAAATATGAACTAATATAATGAGTAAATTGAATTTGTCTAGAAACAATTAAATTATTTATATTCTTAAAAAAAGTACATTAGGTGACATATTTCTTACAGGTTTTTATGGTATCTCTAAGTATTTATTGTATGGTATATTTCATATTATCGCATTTCTCTTTTTGAGCTCTTTTAAAATTATTTAAATTCCAGAATAACCAGTAACAAAGAAGGCATTGTAAAAACCTTTATCAGAAATATCAATTGCACTTTTATACCAATTGGAATTAGTAATATTGACAATAGCCGATGAATTCTTTGATGACTTGATGAGCAATTCTCATTTAGCTACCGAAAAATCTTCCACTGTTTCTGTTTCTCTGTTTATCATTCCTGGATTTAAACAGTAAATAAAATTATCTTTTTTCATTAGAATTCCTCTAAGGATAGAACTCAGCTGTAAAACAAAGAAGCACAAAAGAGAAAACCAAGCAAAATCAAAAGAAAAACCTTTTATCTTATCCCAGTTGCAAATCTTTCCTTTGTCTATCCCTTACTGTATTCTGCCTTTTCTTCCCCTTCTTTCCTAACATCTGGGAAGCTACAATACTGAAAACTCATTACCTCTTTAATTTACACTTTTTGTGGAAGAGGAAGAGAAGCAGACAAATTATTTACAAAACAGTCAGAGATATTAATACTAGGGAGAAAAATTCTTCTTCTCAAGTGAACCCATATCATTCCTTATGTCTTATTTTTTAATGAATTGACCTTGGAGACATCTCTTATTTCACACTAGAAAAAAAACTGAGGTGCTTTTAAATAATAAATAGATATAATAAAATGCTCACGACTGGCTTCTCTGTCCAGAAATGCTGATTCAGTTGGTTTGGGGTGGACCTTCAGCATCAGCATTTTTTAAAAATCCCTGAATATTTCTAATGGGTGAACAGATTTAATAATCATTTCTTAATTGTTCATACAAAACATAGTTTTTAACTTAAACCTGCCCACACCCAACTCTCTTGTGCTTCTGTAGTTTGTCCTCAAAATTTTGTCCTCAAAATTTTACTAGTGTATCCCCTAAAAGCTTCTGAAAAAACAAGTTATCTTATCCTTTTCTTTATAAAAAGTATACTTTTATTTTAAAAGAGAGTAAATAATTTAACTTGCCATTAAATAATTTAATATTTTAATGCATATTTAACAGTAAAATTTTAATATAAACTATTGCCTCATTTTTCAATGAATCCAGTGCTATCTAAACAAGATGATTTGATGTGCACTAACATTCAATGAAAAATGCAATTTACAAACAATCTCTAATTTAATCCTTTTCAATTATGCTTCACTAATAGATTATATCATGCTGACATATTGAAATACTGAAAGTCTTTCCTTGTATATCTTTTATATTTGTTATTATATCTATGTAAACTTTAAATATAGATTTCTAAAGCCTGAATATTTGTGTCCCACAAAATGTATATGTTGAAACTAATCCCCAGGATGATGATATTAAGACATGAGGCCTTTGGGAAAGTGATTAGATTGTGAAAGTGGAGGTTTTTATGAATGGGACTAGGGCCCTTATAAAAGATGCCTCAAAGAGCCTAGGCCTCAGAAAAGCCTAATCCTTTCCACAATATTAGGACACAGTGAAAAAGGCACAATCTGTAAATCAGGAAACATTCTCTTAGCAGACATAAAATCTGACAGCACCCTGAACTTGGATTTCCAAGCCTCCTGAACTGTGACAAATACATTTATGTTGTTTAGAAGCTTCCCAGTCAATGGTATTTCGTTACAGCAGTCTGAACAAAGAAATATATATGTCTAAATTTTAAAAATAATTTTTTGTATTAGAGCTTATTACGACTTAATTATTCAACATATGATTAGTGTAAATTTAACCAAAATTATACAGATACTTAAAAATTTTTATAAATATTTTGTAAATAATATTTAATTAGAGATACTCCTCTTAGTGAGATTACTATAACTCATACAAAATTGGTTGTTGTGCTCATGGATAAATATTACTTATACTGATTCAAGGAGGCAAAATTTATTATTTTTTTGTTCCTCCTTTTTTTTTTTGTTTTTGTTTTTGTTTTTGAGACAGAGTCTCACTCTGTCACCCAGGCTGGAGTGCAGTGGCATGATCTCGGCTCACGGCAACCTCCATTTCCCGGGTACAAGAGATTCTCCTGCCTCAGCTTTTTGAGTGGCTGGGATTACAGGAGTGCACCACAATGCATGGCTGATGTTCATATTTTTAGTAGAGACAGGGTTTTGCCATGTTGGCCAGGCTCAGGCTGGTCTCAAATGCCTGATCTCAAGTTATCCACCTGCCTCAGCCTCCCAAAGTGCTGGGATTACAGGTGTGAGCCACTGCACCTGGCCTGTTCCTCATTTTTTTATACATGTAACTGTTGAAGAACTTTTCACATAAATATTTATGTAGAAATAAGAAATTATAGCAATGAAACTCAGTTTTTAAAAATTCCTTGAAAATGTACAACTTAATCTCATATTTCTGCATCATTAGAATTAATATGAATTATTCATTACTTAAAAAATTAATTTGAAGCTCCCTTATTTTATTGAAAACAGATAATTACAAGCACCTACATGCAAAAACAACTTTTGAGCCAGTTTAGAGTCATTCACTTTTTCAGTAGATGCATCAATTATTGCCAATTGTTCCTGACAGTTTTTTGTACCCCTGAGCAGGTAAGAGTTTGAATGGGTAAATGTTTGCCTTTCTAATGTAAAGTAGAAGAAGGAAGATTACAAACATGCAATTTGAATTGGTGTCATAAAGCCAGAACAACATATGCACAGACTCAGGAAGATACATTTTAGGAAATAGTGCAAAAAGAATTTGAGTTCTGGAAATTAATTGTATTAAAACTATCCAATCTTTCCGTCCCCTTGGAAACATCTCTTGTATCCCAATGGTAACCCAATAACAAGATTGCTATTCAATGTTTGCCTATAAAACCCTTCTATTATAGTTTTTTAACAAGAATAAACCAGGATAACTTATCCAGAAATATAACTACTCTTTCTTCAGGAAAATATATATATGTGGTGTATAACAAGAAAACCAACTGTAAAATTTGAATTCAAAATTTATTAACTCTTTTGTGGTTAGTTCTTATTGTTACAGAAAATATGCTAATCAACATAGCAACACAGATTTGTGTTTTTAGAATTAGACATTTATGTTGAATTCTCATTTTGTAAATTATGTCTTTACTTTCTATGTTTTCATAATTGTTATTTTTTTCATAATCCTTATAATCCTTTCTTTTTCTTTTTTAGTGGTATAATAGAAAATATCTATTTAATACAAATGAAGTTAGTTAATGGCAGAATATGCAAACAAAAAGGAAATAAGACATATGGAAATGAAATAGCAAAATTACAAATGTAAATTCTACCTTATCAACAATTACATTAAATGCAAGTAGTTTAAGCACTCCAATTTAAAGGCAGAGATTGACAAAATAGATTTTAAAAACTGTAAACCAATTCCATACTCTTTACAACAGGCATGCACTTTAGAGTCAGACACAAATAGGTTGAAAGTATAAAGGATTAAAAAACAAACAGTAAGCAAAAGAGAGCTAGAATGGATATACTAATATCAGACAAAATACACGTTAAGATAAAAATTATTACTGAAACAAGGATATTTTATTTTATTTTATTTTTATTATATTTCTTAAATTTTATTTTATTTTAGATTCTAGGATATATGTGCAGAATGTGCAGGTTTGTTACATAGGTAAATGTGTGCCATGGTTATAATCCTTTCTTAATGTGTTCCGACATTTCCAAACAGCCACTTGTTTAATTATTCTTCATTTTTTAAATGCTTCTTTATATTTAGTGTCATTTAATACTTTTTCACTATGTATTACACATATATAAATTATTTTCTTTTTAAAAAATGATTTTCTGTTTAGTGTATAAAACATATAAGAAGATGAAGAAAAATGTTACTAATTACTACTAATACAGAGATAGTTACAATCAATAATTTGGCATGTAGATTAAATGTTCTTTTTTGATGTTATTTTAAAATTATTAATATTTTACTGGTAAATCATAAAAGTATGAATTAGTATGTATTTTTCTTTCCAGCTTGTCAATTCGCAAACTTTTCATTAGTTCCAGTAAGTTTTCATTTCTCCTAATGGCATTTCCATGAAATATAATCATGCTGTCTTGAAAATAGTAATTTTCTTTTACTTTCCATTGGTAAACCGATTATATTTTTCTGTTTCAAAACATATCTTGTTTATTAGCAATAACTACTATACATATGGCTACTATATTAATATTTATAATGCTTATCTGCACACAGACTTCTATAATTGAATGATCTACTCTATGTATCCTCTTTTAGTTCTTCAGCTGAACTTATCATATCCTTGTTATTCCTTGTATCTGACTGGATTTCAGATTAATAGTATCTCTTTAGCCCAATCTCCCATTTCTTAGTCTTTCATCTACTTCACTCTTCATGTAATTAGTTGCCATATCCACTGATCATATCACTGTAATACTTGCACCCTACTTGCATTTTTAGTGTCATACCTTAAGTGAGCTCCCACTTCCCTCTCAAAATCAATGAATTCAATATATTTTATTTGATTATCAATTTAAAATACTTGTCAAGAAAATGTATGCACACAATTAAAAATTCAACTGTTATACAGAAAAGCTGACAACAAAAATAAGCCCTCTGCCTCATCCCTCAGCAGATGTTTTATTCTTCTGGTTGATAGGAATATTTTATGTATTTTATACATTTTTAAATAAGTAACTATATATAGTTCTATATCTAATATATACATATTTATATGCTTTTAATATTTTATATATGTGGTAAATAGGAATAGTCTTTATTGGGAATAAAGAAAACTGTTATCACTTAAAGAAAGCTAGGCATATAGAGGTCTAACTTACTTGTAACATTACCTATCTCTGCTTTCTCTCTTTTCCTATTGTTACATAATACTTCAATGTTGAATGACATTCTACATTTCTTTTTCTTTTTTAGCAAGTATACGCAATTTTTTTTGACATAGTACTTTATGAGATGGGGATGCTTTGACTCCCAAAATCTCACTACCATTTCTCTGCTATCTGTTTTCATAGGCTCTGTCATGGGAACATCCACTTTTATAGTAAATATAATAATAGGTATGTTTTGCTCTGGAACCAAAAGTATACTCTGTGTGATTTGTGTTTAAAAGTTTAATCTAAGGTTGAAAAACAGTACATAATTTTTTTTCTGTATATCACAAAATAAATATCGTTTACCACAGGTCCAAGTAATATACAAAGGACTTAAAATACTTGAGTTATCAAATCTATATGAGCAAATCTAGTCAACTCTTTTTTAAGGGGTCACATAATCTGTGGGTCAGGAATTTGGATGAAAAATGACTTGTTCTGCTCTGCTTATGGCCACAATTGGGAAGATTTTCATGCCTAAGCATAATTAAAATGACCAGGAGCTGAAAACATTGGACAGTTTCTTTTTTCATAAGTGTGATGCTTGTGCTGTGCTGAAACAAAGACTGGGCTCAACTGGAACTGCCAACCAGAGCTGCTACACATGGCTTCCCATGTACCCATATGGTTTGAGCTTCTTCATACCATGGATGCTTCAGAGTAGCTGAACTTCTTGCATTGTGGCTAAAAGATCAATGAAAACAACAGAGATGTTACACGATCTTTTATGACCCAGTCTCAGAAATTACAAAATATCACTTTCACTATTTATTGGTGAAATAAGTCATTAATAAGGAAACCTGACATCTTAATAGGTGACATGTCAAAGAATTTTGAGTATGTATTAAAAATAACACAATATTCACATATTCAAAGTGTTATCTGAAGACATTATATGTAAGCAAAATAGGATATTTTAGCATTCCAATGATACAGCATATTTTAGTTTGCAAATTTAATGAAATTCCGTACTTCAACTTTGGAAAACTGTAATGCCACATGATCCTGAAGCAGCTTTGTCATCTGGGATAAATACCCAGGATTCATTGTCTCGTGCCAAGAAAATTTAGGACATGTACACCCACGAGGACTTTTAGAAGTGGAGATTTAATATGTAAAAGAAAGAGAAAGGAGACAGCTCTCTCTCTAGTGAGAGAGAGGGACTTCTGAAAGGAAAGACTGGCTATCAGCGAAGTTTGTCAGATTTTATAGGCAGGCTTGAGGAGGTGGTGCATGATTTATGTAGAGCCCACAGTTTGGTTTGATCAGGTGGGACGTTTACATAGTGCACAGGAAGGCTGGCCACCCCACCCTAATCTTATTATGCAAATATAATTTCCAGTTGACTGGCACCATCTTATCTGCTCTTCACTGTACACATGGCTGACAAAGGGAAGGGAAGATGAAGCCTCCAGTATGAACATATCTAGTCTCAGGCAGTTCTCTCCTGCTGGCATTCACCATTGTAAGCCTCCAGCTTGCTTGTCTGTATCCACAGCTCGATTTTACAGGCTGCTCTTCGTCAGAAAATGATTTGAGGCTGCTTTTCATTAAAAAGGAAAACCATACCGAGGACTCCAGTACCCTCACTATCAGCCTAAGTAATTTCTTTTTAACTCCTATATCAATCCTAAATGTGGAAGAAAATTATAAGAATATTCATGGACTGGATATTATAGTTACCTGATATATGACATGTTCAAACATTGCCTATGTCTTCTCTGAATACCAGCAAAATTGACAAAGATTAGGAAGCAGTGATAGCCACAGAGCTTAGGAGTCAGTTTCCTTCTAACTTAGATAAGTATTTTTCAGTACCTGAAAATATCTACAACATTTTTGACAGTGTCAAAACTAAGACAATCCTATTAGTTCAGACTATAGTAATGACTATAAATTGATTTATGTTTATATATTATGTAAGTTTTTCAAATCCAATTTATATCAGAAGGATGCTTCGATTTGAATCTGTTGATTATTAACAATATGTCGAGTAAAAATGCTGCAATAATTTAATTAATTCTGAAATATATATTTTTGGAGGACATATCAAAGGCATATCAAGGGTTATACCTTCATCATAGTTGGGTTATAAAGAAATATGACAAGCCAACTGCATATTTCCATATAAAAACCACATAATACCTTAGAATGTTTCAATAATTAAATAAAAAACTTGTGAAAGAGCATTATTGTTTTCATTTTGTTGATTGCAAAGTTGGTCTTCCTGCAGGGGATATTGGAAAAATTTATGCTTTTAACCTTTAGTTTAGAATTAATGTTATTGCAGAGCTTTGGGATTACAAATAGCTATCTATTCCCAACATAACTACAGACAACCTTTAGAAAAGCCATTTAATAATTACTGTCCTTGCTAGGAAATAAAAAAAGTTTATTGTGTGACAGCTATTGACAAAGGGCAGATAATCTAATGAAGAATGGTTACAATATTAACAGAGGAAAAAAGCAACTTTACTTCTCTTGATACTTTCTATACAAAGGGCAATACTACAGCCAAATTTCCTAGCAAAGATCCTTTTTTAAAAAAAATTTCTGAAAATGTATGCTGCCTAGATGGCATTTTATTTAACAAAATTAAAAACCACTTGTATACATTCCTAAAAGCAAGAAATACCAATTCTTATGTTAACTGGGGGATATTTTGAAATACATGTTAATATTCAATTTATATATTTTATTTTGCATATGAAAAAGTAATAATTAAGCCAAAAAATTATCTTCAAGGGTTTTAATAATCTCAACTAAAATTTTATAAATATATAAAATTAAGCTTTTGGATAGTATTTTTTAGATTCCTTATCATTTCATGCCATTCCCTGACTAGTATATTTTCATTATATAGTTACATCTGTAATTCCAGCAAAATATATTGTTTTTATCTTTTGTTTGTATTAGAATACTGAAAATACCCTGGTAAACTATTGTCTGTGACCGTATATGTCACTTTTTTTTTTTCTGGTGTCCGTCCAAAAATTTTGTAAAATTAGCTATTTTAATATGGAGTGCATTGCATATTATTTTCTTTAGGCAGTCTTTTGGCTCAATAATGCACAAATAATAATGTCTGAGTTCAAGGATTAAGGATGAGCTTCTTCATAAAGATATAATTAGCTCTCTGTGTGATCACTCCATGTGCAGTTTGTGGAAAGTGACACCAGGGCACTAAACACAGAACACAAGGCAGAGCATGAATATCCTTCACTGTGTCCAATGTGATTTGTTGTTTAAGATTACCACAGTTGGCCAGGCATGGTAACTTACGTGTGTAATCCCAGCACTTTGGGAGGCTGAGGGGAGCGTATCACCTGATGTCAGGAGTTTGAGACCAGCCTCTCTAACATGGTGAAATGCCGTCTCTAATAAAAATACAAAAAAAAAAAAAAAATAGCCAAACACAGTGCCACATGCCCACATGCCCACATGCCTGTAGTCCCAGCTACTTGGGAGGCTGAGGCTGGAGAACTGCTTAAACCTGGGAGGAGGAGGTTGCAGTGAGCTGAGATCATGCCACTGCACTCCAGCCTGTGTGACAGAGGGAGACTCTGTCTCAAAAAAAAAAAAAAAAGATTAGCACAATTATGCACATTTTTTCATCTACATAAATTTAGGTTTTATCATTTTTAAAGAAATGAGATTTGCAAATAAGTCTATAAATTTCTTATTCAGAACAAAACACAGGAAGAAATATATGGAAACATGTATTAGTGCATGTTATTGTTATTTTGTTATGTTCCATATTATAGAAAACTCTTTAGTTAAAAGGCAGCTCAGTCAGTAGCAACATTTCAAGATATGATTTAATACTATGGTATTAGGTAAATATGCTAACAAAAAGTGTTTTTTCTCTTTATTCCTTTCATTAATATTGTTCAAACACCTGGTGAGTTTTTTCCAGTGTCATTCAAAGGAAAAAGTCTAAGTAAAGCTTAGTTCCAAATTAAATAGGACAGACCAATCAAACAGTTAGGCAATGTGGCTTATAGTGAGTTTTATTTGTTTATGCGTTTGATTGTTTACTTATTATATACATGCTATTTATGTACATTTGTATATATATGATAAATATATATACACAGATACATGTACTATATTGTACTTATATTTTAAAGTTTTACAAGGTATATATGAATCATGATTATCGTTTAAGGTAAAATAGTGAATTACACATAATTTATAAATTTTATTTTTAAGAATACTGCTACCCATTTTGGGTGCAAGTTCTAATTGGAGAGAAAAAAATACATTTAAAAAAAGTTGGAAAGACACAAGTTACAATAAATGACAGCACTTTGCCTTTCTTGACACAAATAATATTTTTGCCTAACTTTAAAACAATAGAATATTTCATGGAAATCACATTATTTTTCAATTCTTGTTACGACTGCATTTGTTTTCAAATTTTAAACAAAGTTCAATGTTGCTGTAAGACAAAAGTGTACAGAAAAAAAATTTCAAAATGTAGTATGAACATAGATTCATACACACTTGACAATGTGAATGAAGCCTAATTTTTTTTTTTTTTTTTTTTGAGACAGAGTTTCACTCTTGTTGCCCAGGCTGAAATGCGATGGCGCCATCTCAGCTCACTGCAACTTCCGCCTTCCAGGTTCAAGAGATTCTCCTGTCTCAGCCTGCTGAGTAGTTGTGATTACAGGCGCCCGCCACTACGCCCGGCTAATTTTTGGTAATTTTAGTGGAGACGGGGTTTCACCATCTTGGCCAGGCTGGTCTCGAACTTCTGACCTCAGGTGATCCGCCCACTTCGGCTTCCCAAAGTGCTGGGTTTACAGGCGTGAGCCACCACGCCCATCCATGAAGGCTAAAATTTTTATAATTTTTAGTTTGCAAATGTTTCCCCATAGAGCAGGCAGAAGACTACTGAAGAGTTCAAGAATTGGCAGAAATAATCTTACAACATAATTTACATAAAGGGGCAATGGGTTTTTAGGTAACCAAATATGAATTAATTATAAATACACTGACAACTAAAATTCAAGTTTGCTTTTAATTACAGTTCTTTTAGCATAAACTTTACACTGTCTTTCTACTTGTTTCAATGTATTATAAATTCCAATAGCTTTTAATTTTTCTCAGAAATAGTACAACCAAGAAAGAACCTAAATTTTTTTGTCCTTCAATTAGGGATGCAGGGATGGCTAATAGGTACAAAAAAAATAGTTATTAAGAATGAATAGGACTTAGTATTTGCTAGCACAACAGGGTGACTATTGTCAAAATAATTGAATTGTACGTTTTAAAATAACTAAAAGAGTACAATTAAATTGTAACATAAAGGATAAATATTTGAGGTAATAAATAACCATTTTACCCCAATGTAATTATTATACATTGCATGCCGTATCAAAATATCTCATGTAACACCAAAAATATATATACCTATTCTGTACCAACACATTTTTTTAAAAAGATGAAAATACTTGTGTGGTTAATGTGCTTAATCCTGTGGATAATCCAAAAGGCAAGAGAATGGCGGCACAATATAGTATTTGATTATTTATAACTGTCAAGTACAATCAACTAATCAGAGTAAGGAGTGAGCATTATATGCTGGGTTTTTGTTTGAAGACTTTCACCATGATAGACTTTAAATAGTTTCTAAGTAAAAAATGCTCATTTCAGAATGTGAAAATGTGTGTTGGGAAAACACAAGACCTAGGGAGCAAACAGAAGTAAATATAGTATGAAGGGAATACAGAGTTCTAAATAAGAATAAGAATACAGAATATGCATATTAAAGCCTGAAAACAAACAACCCTTTGAGGGGAGTAGAAAAATGGAGTGAAAATTTTTAAGAGGTATTTTGGGAAATAAATTTTCTAAATTTCTTCAACTCAGAGTTTCCCATGCTTAATCGACCACCACACACAATATTTCTTATTTGTTCTACATCAATTTTGATGTCTGGACAAACTTCTGTTTTACAGAACAACTTTGGGAAAACGCGGATATACATAATTGATTTTGAGACTGAGTTTTGATGACATTCAACAGGAAAAAGAAATGACTGAATAGTTTTTCAGTTGATGAAATGATTGAAAATATGTATTGGGTGAACGGGTTTGGCGACATTATGTAAAATGGACTGGAAATGGCAGCCCATCTTACGTTTATGCAAATAATGTCTCAATGTTTGATCACATCTTTGACTCATTTGTGGAAGCCAAGATTACATTAGCTGATGTGGAAAAGCCAATCTAATTCTAAACGTGTGATGCTAATTCTGGACTTATAAAACAAGGGGGCCGGGCGAGGTGGCTCTCGCCTGTAATACCAGCCCTTTGGGAGGCCGAGGCAGGCAGATCACGAGGTCAAGAGATGATAGAGACCATCCTGGCCAACATGGTGAAACCCCGTCTCTACTAAAAATACAAAAATTATCTGGGCGTGGTGGCGCACTCCTGTAATCCCAGCTACTCGGGATGCTGAGGCAGGAGAATCTCTTGAACCGGAGAGGCGGAGGTTGCAGTGAGCCGAGATCGCGCCACTGCACTCCAGCCTGGTAACGGAGTGAGACCAAATACAAAAACAAGGGGAAGGATTAGGATCTGATACATTTCAAAGGAAGAATTGTTAAGGAATAATGTCAGTTTTCAGATAAAAATGAAAAGGAATTAATACAGATTATAAATATAAGAACAGAGCAGAAAGAATTTATAATAAAAAATGGAAGCTCAATCGTTTAAGCCTTTTTTTTTTATCAAGAGGCAACTGGAAGAATTTGTGGAGATTTCTTGTTTTGTTTTGATGTGTGCGTGTGTGTGTGTGTATGTGCGCGCGCGTGTGTGAACATATTAGATTTATAGATGTTTCAAAGAACTCCAAGACGAAGTAAATATTGCTCCAGAGGAATAATATAATAATGATGCATCTAAGATTGTGTATTAATTAAGAAGACTTTATCTGTAAGGAAGCTTTTGTGGAGAGATCAATGGTGGGGAGAGAAGAAGGGCCTGACAATGCCAGGCAAGGGGAAGAGAGAAGAAAGAAAAAAGAAGTGAAGAGAAGTGAAGGCAAGGCAAAGGAAGGAAAGGGAAATAAAAAGGAAGGCGAAATGACAGTACCTGGCTGGGCACAGTGGCTCACGCCTGTAATCTCAGCACTTTGGGAGGCCGAGGTGGGTGAATCACCTGAGGTCAGGAGTTCAAGACCAGCCTGGCCAACACGGTGAAACCCTATCTCTACTAAAAATACAACAATTAGCTGGTCGTAGGCTCAGCTACCCAGGAGTCTGAGGCAAGAGAATTGCTTGAACCTGGAAAGGCAGAGGTTGCAGTGAGTTGAGATGGCACCACTGCACTCCAGCCTGGGCAACAGAGAGAGATTCCACCTCAAAAAAAAAAAAAAAAAAAAAAAAAAAAAGACAATACCCAAATTCAGAATATCAGGACTACTATCTTAATTTTTAAAAATATATTGTTGTTAAAAATTGTATTCATCTCAAAAGATTGTAATGGAGCTGAAAAGTTTCTAGTGCCTAGTGACACCACAGTTGTCATAATTTTATAGCACATTTAAAATAAAAACTCTAGTGTAGCCTAAGTCTACAGTGTTTAGAAAGTCTATAGTAGTGTACAGTATGTTCTATGCCTTCACATTCACTCACCACTCACTCACAGACTCCTCAAGAATAACTTTCAGCCTTCCAAATTTTATTTATGATAAGTGTCCTATACAGGGGTACCACTTTTTATCTCATAAAATATGTTTACTATGCCTTTTATATGCTTAGATGCACAAATACTTATTATTGTATTACAACTGCCTGCAGTATACAGTACAGCAACATACTGTACAGGTTTGTAACCCAGGAGCAATAGTTTATACCATATAGGTATATAGAAAGCTATACCATATCGGTTTGTGTAAGTACACTTTATGATATTTGTACAAAGACAAAATCATCTAATAATGCAATTACCTAAAGGTGCACTTCTCAGAGCTTATACCCACCTTTAAGCTGTGCATGACTGTATATTGAAATAGCTGTATGAACAAGAGTCTGAAAAATTAAAGCTTTGGAAATATTTTCTAACTAACTGATATTGACATAATATTTCTAAAATATGGGTTCAAATGTAGGACTTTTAATATATAGGAAAATGACTAAAACCATGAATGTAGTTATTATTAATAAAATATTGTGCAATAATAATTTATAAAATTTATTATAATAATAACTTATGTAAACATATGGTACATTTTTATGCTTTTGAATTAAATATTATTCTCAAATAAAATTACATCATTGTAAGTATATTCTGTAGTGCCTGATAGTAAATATTTTA
The DNA here is from genome assembly GCF_000001405.40 of Homo sapiens. Taxonomy (NCBI): domain Eukaryota; kingdom Metazoa; phylum Chordata; class Mammalia; order Primates; family Hominidae; genus Homo; species Homo sapiens. The sequence continues at coordinate 64,138,034 of NC_000004.12, forward strand.
TGCCTTTCAGGCCAAAAAGACAAAATAGAGAATATGATGTGTGGACTTATATAACAAGAAATAACACGCTTCCACAAAATTGTAATTTCGTAAGTCAAAGAATAATAACAATAGAATATTTTTATAATACAGGTATACTAATAAAAGTAATATATTTGGGAGGGATAATAACATTTCACTTAAACAGGATTCAAAGTGAGTATTCCATATCATCAAAATTGATTGCAAGTATTCATCTAACATATAAGGCTGATGTGGAGTGAGATTTGCATATTTCATTTTTCAAATTTTTTTTACTTTTTATACATATAGAAACTTCCAAATAATGTTATCAATCCATGATTTGTTGTAAGATACTTATTGAATGTTATTTGATCTTTCTCTTGATGAAATTGTTAGTATCTGTGATCCTAGTGATATAAGTAATTGTTCAGATTTTTACAATACATGTTAAAAAGATAAGTGCTATTTTGCTTTGTAATTTCAATAAAAAAACATTAAGAACTTTATAAGGTCTGCAGCAAAAGTTATTTTCCAATGCTATTTAATGTTTTACATTAGTGGTTGAGGGTGGTACTCTTTCAGAAAAAAAAAAAAAATCTATGCCCTCAACTAACACAGTCACAATAAAACTTCATTATTTTAAAGTCATAAAACTTCTTTGTGGTAAAGCAAGCCAGAATATTCAGCTTCTATTTTGGCAAAAACTCATTAATTGGCAATAATTAAGTTCATGAGAAGAAATGAACCTTACCATTGACACTACTGGCACAATTACACATGATAGGTTTAAATATTTCCCACAAAGTATCTGCTCAAAAATAATGCATTGGATAACTATAAGCTTTAAAGCCTTGCATTTTTACAAGCTTTGTGAGTTTATTTAAATGTCTTTTTCTGCTCTATACCTTTTTTCCACAATCAGCCATAAAACATCTCAGCAGATTCCACTACAAGTTGTACTGCATTACTGCCTTCTCAATTTCTTTAAAAATCTTGTCACCTGTAGTTGTTTCATGCAAAATATTTTGTAGGAACTTCTTTTGCTGTCACTTCAAACTTGACATTGACTCTTCAAACAACTGCTTTGCAGTATCAGTAGCATCTGTGAACATACCAAGAAAAAGGTAAACCTCTTGAGTAATTTTTCTTGTTTTTTAAGTGAATATTGAGTTTACTCCTAATGTCCTGAACTCTTCTAGCAACTGTTCTTGCCAAAGGCTAATAATCTTAAACAGTTTATTTTATTTGAATACTTTTCTCTGGCTACTGCAATTAAAAAATATTTGAAGAATTCATCATAAGCAAAAATTTCCCTTAGCAAAAAATGAGCTGCCTAGACTTGCTTTGGTCCTGTTTTTATTTACTTTTTAAAATTTTTGTTAAAAAATTCTGATAAGATGAAGTATTCCTTTTTAAATTTTCTTTTTTTTTTTATTTTTTGTTTTACTTTAAGTTCTGGGATACAAGTGCAGAATGTGTAGGTTTGTTACATAGGTACACATGTGCCATGTTTTTTGCTGCACCTATCAACCATCATCTGGGTTTTAAACCCCACATGCATTAGCTACTTGTCCTAATGCTCTCTCTCCCCTTGTCCCCCATCCCCCAACTGCCCCTGGTATGTGTTGTTCCCCTCCCTGTGTCCGCGTGTTCTCACTGTTCAACTCCCACTTGTGAGTGAGAACATGTGGTGTTTGGTTTTCTGTTCCTGTTTGCTGAGGATGGTGGCTTCCAGCTTCATCCATCTCCTTGCAAAGGACATGATCTCATTCCTTTTTATGACTGCGTAGTTTTCCATGATGTATACATAGCATATTTTCTTTATCCAGTCTATCATTGATGGGCATTTGGATTGGTTCCATGTCTTTGCTATTGTAAATAGTGCTGCAATAAACATATGTATGCATATGTCTTTATAGAATAATTATTGATATTCCTTTGGGTATATACCCAGTAATGGGATTGCTAGGTCAAATGGTATTTCTGGTTCTACATCCTTAGGGAATTGCTACATTATCTTCCACAATAATTGAACTAATTTACATTCCCACCAACAGTGTAAAAGCATTCCTATTTCTCCATAACCTCGTTTCTTGACTTTTTAACAATCGTCATTCTGACTGGCATGAGATGGTATCTAATTGTGGTTTTGATATGCATTTCTCTAATGATCAGTGATGCTGAGCTTTTTTTTCATGTTTGTTGGCCACATAAATGTCATTTGAGAAGTGTCTGTGCATATCCTTCGTGCACTTTTTAATGGGGTTGTTTGCTTTTTTCTTGTAAATTTGTTTAAGTTCCTTGTAGGCTCTGGATACTAGACCTTTGTCATATGGGTAGACTGCAAAAATTTTCTCCCATTCTGTACATTGCCTGTTCACTCTGATGATAGTTTCTTTTATTGTGCAGAAGCTTTTTAGCTTGATTAGATCCCGTTTGTGAATTTTGGCTTTTGTTGCAATTGCTTTTGACATTTTTGTCATGAAGTCTTTGCCCATGCCTATGTGCTGAATGGTATTGCCTAGGTTTACTTCTAGGGTTTTTATTATTTTTTGTTTTACATTTAAGTGTTTAAACCATCTTGATTTAATTTTTGTATAAGGTGTAAGGAAGGGGTCCAGTTTCAGTTCTGTGCATATGGCTAGCCAGTTTTCCCAGCATCATTTATTAAATAGGGAATCCTTTCCTCATTGCTTGTTTTGTCCCCATTGCTTGTTATTTCTGAGGTCTCTATTCTGTCCCATTCGTCCAAATGTCTGTTTTGGTACCAATACCATGCTTTTTGGTTATGATAGCTTTGTAGTATAGTTTAAAGTCAGGTAACATAATGCCTCCAGCTTTATTTTTTGCTTAGGATTGTCTTGGTGACTCAGACAGATTTTTGGTTCTATGAAATTTTAAGTAGTATTTTTTCTAATTCTGTGAAGAATGTCAATGGTAGTTTAATGGGAATAGCATTGAATCTGTAAATTGCTTTGGGCAGTATGGCCATTTTCACGATATTAATTCTTCCTATCCATGAGGATGGAATGTTTTCCCATTTATTTGTGTCCTCTCTTATTTCTAGAGCAATGGGTTGTAGTTATCTTTGAAGAGGTCCTTCACATCGCTTGTTAGCTGTATTTCTAGGTATTTTATTCTCTTTGTAGCAACTGTGAATGGGAGTTCATTTGTGATTTGACTCTCTGCTTGTCTATTGTTGGTGTATAGGAATGCTTGTGATTTTTGCACATTGATTTTGTATCCTGAGACTTTGCTGAAGTTTCTTATCAGGTGAAGGAGTTTTGGGCTGAGATGCTGGGGTTTTCTAAATATGGAATCATGTCATCTGCAAATAGAGACAATTTGACTTCCTCTATTCCTATTTGAATACCCTTTATTTCTTCCTCTTGCTTGATTGTCCTGGCCAGAACTTCCAATACTATGTTAAATAGGAGTGGTGAGAGAGGACATCTTTGTCTTGTGCTGGTTTTCAAAGGGAATGTTTCCAGCTTTTGCCTATTCAGTATGATATTGGCTGTGGGTTTGTCATAAATAGCTCTTACTATTTTGAGATATGTTCCATTGATACCTAGTTTATTGAGAGTTTTTAACATGAAGGGATGTTAAATTTTATCGAAGGTCTTTTCTGCATCTATTGAGATAATCATGTGGTTTTTGTCATTGGTTCTATTTATGTGATGGATTATGTTTATTGGTTTCCATATGTTGAACCAGCCTTGCATCGCTGGGATGAACCCAACTTGATCATGGTGAATAAACTTTTTGATGTGCTACTGGATTCAGTTAGCCAGTATTTTATTGAGGATTTTCACATCGATGTTCATCAGGGATATTGGCCTGAAGGGTTTAATTTCTTTTTGTCTCTGCCAGGTTTTGGTACCAGGATGATGCTGGCCTTATAAAATGATTTAGGGAGGAGTCCCTCCTTTTCAATTGTTTGGAATAGTTTCGGAAGGAATGATGCCAGCTCCTTTTTGTATCTCTTTTTGTAATTTGTACAGTTAGATACAATTATCACAGTGATCCTGAGGTGACATACATCCTCAGCTTACGAAGATAACAAGATTAAGAGATTAAAGTAAGACAGGTGTAACAAATTATAAAAGTATTAATTTTGGGAACTGATATGTGTCCATATTAAAATGAAATCTTCACAATTTATGTTCCTCTGACACAGTTCCAGCCGGTCCCTCCGTTCAGGGTCCCTGACTTCCCACAACATCTCTCCCTTTCTTTTTATATAAATGTGCCATGGCGATGAAGGCTTGTTCGTTCTCTTGATTTTGATGCAGGATTCTTTGACTGATCCGTCACACTAAAAACAAGCCGATTAAACAGAGAAACATAATTCCAAAATTTGCTACAGTGGAGCCCCCAATAGACTTAATCCAAGTCATGGGGTTTAGTCCAGAAAGACTTTCTGCCACCTGATCTAAGGCCTCAGCTCCAGGCACAATGGATAAATGAGCTTGAGAGGCTTCAAAAAAAATTTTTTTTTTAATCTGGTTATGTCCAAGGATAAATTATCTTCCCTACCCAGAAGGTGTCCTTTGACCATTTCCCATGAATGATCAGTCTCGTTGTAGGAATATGGTGTGATACAGAAATCAGAAGTATTCCAATCGCACTGCATTTTCATGCCATGTTCGGGACTCATAAGCCGATCCCCAAGCCAAATAACAGACTATCTTAGATCATTAATTTGATTAGCCAATTTTTGATCAATTCCTTGTTGAGAATTCCACATTTGAGTGGAATTGGCTTGCCAATCATTATCAAAATGAGCCATTTGAATAGATTGATGTAATGCCATTCTGGCAGTGGTGGCCAGTGCAGTGACTGTAATTAGGCCCATGATCACAGCGATTAAAGTGAAAACAAATCTCTTAGATCTTTGAGAATTAGTTGTAACACTTCATTAATTAAATGTACTGAGGGGCAGGATTCCCAAGGTCTGGGCAAAGTTACCGGTATCCAGATTCCTTCTTGAGCTCGAACCAACATTACATTTTTCCTGGAGTCAAAACGGGAGTTAACACAGTGTATAAATGACAGTTAATGCATTGGACAGTTTGATTGTTCATCCAAATCTGATATTTCCCACTAACAGCATGTAAGGAGGCTTAACACAACTCTGTATAGGAATAATTAGGTTGGAGGTAAACAAAGCAGAATGTCTGAATCTACATTGATACTGAGGGAGAGGAGTGGTTGTGGCCACACCTGATGTTCTCCGCTGTAAAGAAGCAATCTAAGGCGCCCCAGGATGCCAAAGAAGTAGAGGGACATACCTGGATTGAGAAGCATTATTATAATGCCAATTGCAGTCCCATAAAGGAAGATGGGCATCAAAAAGAGGAAAAGGGCCGAAAGGGGATTTATCATGGGGTTCAGAATCATGGATGCGAGAGGCGGTAGTGGGGAGAACAGACAGAAAAGTTTCCGCTTCCCATACTGGAAGTCTGGACATGACAATAGCCAATTTCCAAAGTTCTGGGTGTTCTGGGCTCAGAATGTGGAATATCATAGGAGGCCTCAGGGGGATAATGCCCTTATCTTCCCATTTTAAGGGAAAGAATGAGCTGAATCTCCTATGCAAAGTAGGATGATAATCCTTGTCCTCCCAATAAGAAATAAAATAAGTAGCCTCCAGGCATTCCCTTCCACCACAGGAGCAATTGTTTTTTAAATAGCCCTTTGGTGCCCAGTCTATTACCAAAGCATATGAGTCATTTTTTAATACTACTACATGTGAGTTAACACAATCTTCCCAAATTAAAGTTTTAGATGGGCCCTCAAAATTTTTAGGACGTGGTTTTCCTGCACATTTGTATTGAAAATATGGAGTATCTCCTATTACTCCCCCTTTCATTTGTCTTAAAGGAGAAAGGGAGAGGCCAGAGACCAAACGTCCCATTTCCTCTGAAGCTAATCTCTCCAGAAGATAAGCAGCCCAGACTTGAGTTTCTAGGTGGATACAACCAGGTGCATGTCTGAGGCACAGAGGGTGGTATTTATAACCCGTAGTAACATTAAATGCAGTGCCTTCTCCTGGTTGAGCGGGGCAATGGTCATCTGTAGCTCCAGGCATCCCCACACTATCATTAGTATAGATTTCCGCAGGAGCATCCATCCAGATGAGAGGTCAAATAAGTGGAGGAAAAGGCACATAAGCCCAGTAAGAATAATTTTGTGTAACAGGTAATTCAGTATGAGGGGAAACTGGTGAGACAGAAAGTATAAGGAGGAGAATCATTAATTAAAACCTATTTTAAGCAAGATCCAGTGCTGAAGGAGGAAGCTAAGAACAGAGGGATGTTATTTTCAGGCTAATAGAAGTGATGAGATTTTTAGGTTTGTAAGGAGAAAAAGAAAGGTAATTAAGAGAAGTGGGATTAGTTAGAGGGGTCTCCATTGCCATTAGGGAGGATTGAACCAGACCTATTTTGATTTGGTGTGCCAGGTTCTGAGGAGTCGGCCCAGGTCTCACCATGTATGAGGATAGTCTCTGACGTGGATGTCTTTTCCCCGTGGTTTTCATTGTCAGTATTCACATGAAGTTTAAGTCTTCTAGTGGGCACCCAGACAGGGAATTGGTGATCTCCTGGTGAAACACAAGCATACCCTCTCCCCCATGTTATAATTGTTCCAGATACCCAGGTATTGATCTGGGAGTTTTTCCATAACACTGGCTTGCCTTCATTTAAGGAGAATTTTTTGCCTGTATAATGGCATTCAGCTGCAGTCAGAGTATTGTCTTTAGGAACATTTAGAAAGTTTAAAGTAAACAATGCTAAATGTAATTGGGAGTGGGGAGTAGTCAAATTATGCTTTTGTTGTTCAGAATGTTTGGACAATTGAGTTTTTAAGGTATTATTGGCCCGTTCCACCACAGCCTGTCCCAGAGGATTGTAAAGGATTCTGGTAATGTGGGAAATTCCCCATTATTGCATAGATAAATCAAAAGCCTTACTAACATATCCAGGGGTGTTGTCTGTTTTTATCTGATATGGAAGCCCCATAACTGCAAACAAGAATACAGATTTTTTTTAACATGGGCTGTGCCCTCCCCTGTTTGGCAGGTAGCCCAGATAAAACCTGAGATGGTATCTACAGAAACATGTACATATGAAAGTCTGCCAAAGGAACTAACATGAGTTACACCCATTTGCCATAAATCATTAGGAGTTAGGCCTCTGGGATTAACGCCAGGTTCCTGATTTGGAAGTACAAAGACCTGACACTGAGGGCAGCTGTGAACAATTAGCTTAGCCTCCTTCCAGGTGAAAGCAAATTTATTTTTTAATCCAGCAGCATTGACATGAGTGAGATTATGGAACTCCTGAGCTTCCTGGGTTGCAAAAGAGACCAAACAGTCAACCTTTTGGTTACCAGCAGATATGGGTCCCAGTAAAGTGGTATGAGATCTAATATGTGCAATATAGAAAGGGTGTCTACACTGGCGAACCACCTGTTGTAACCTTGAAAATAAAGAAGCCAATTCAGAATTATCAATATGTTTGATAGTAGTGGTTTCTATATTTTTAGTGGCATGTACAACATAAGCTGAATCAGAGACAATATTTAAAGTTTTGAGGAAATTCTGTAAGGCTGTAATTACAGCAATTAACTCTGCCTTTTGAGCAGAGGAATAAGGGGTAGAAATAAGCTTGTCTGTAGGACCCACATAACTGGCATTTCCATCATTGAAACCATCAGTGAACACTATAACGGCCTCAGGAATGGGCTGATCTTTGGTCAATTGAGGGACCACCCAAGAAGTCATTTTTATAAAATCAAACAATTTGTTTTTTGGATAATGATTGCCAATAACACTGATAAAATCAGCCAAGTGAATTTGCCACAGTATGGAATGTTGAAAAGTGGCTTGAACTTTGAGCTGATTTAAAGGAACCACAATTAAATTCAGATCAAATCTGGAAATTTTAAGTATTCTACACTGAGCTTGTCCAATTAGGGTGGCCATTTGGTCCAGATAAACAGACAAAGTTTTTGACACAGAATGAGGAAGAAAACACCACTCCACCAAATCATTATGTTGAACTATTAGCCTGGTAAGGGAGTGCAATGAAGCAAAAACCAGAAGCTGAAAAGCCTGAGACAGCTGTACTCTAGACAACTGAGCAGTCTGGATTCTTTCTTCCACAAATTCCAGTTCCAGTAAAGCCTCAGGGGTCAAAGTCCTGGGACTGCGGAGATTGGAATCTCCATGCAGCATAGAAAACAAGTTAGACAGAGCATATGTTAGAATGCCTAAAGTAGGTTTTAAATAATTAATGTTACCCAAAAGTTTACACTCTCGGGCTGTCCAAGTCAGGGCTGTGGGAGCTACAAGTATCAGCTCTTCGTGAAAAGAAATAAGATCATCAGGGGATGATGTTAAGCAGAAGTCACCAGAGTTAGATATTGATTTCTCAACATTGTCAGGTGGGGGAGGAGTAGGTGAAGGGAGAGTCTGATCAGATAACAAAGGCCAAGCAGGAGACGAAAGCTGAGGAAGAGGTAGAGGGTTGCCAGATTTAGAAAACTGTGGTAACTGCAGGGGGTCACAGGATTGGTATGTCATTAGGATGTCACATACCGTGGGCCGATTACCCCAAACAGTGATGGGAACATAATTTCCTGTTGGGACCAGTTCCCGGAATTTTGCACAAACATGATCCCTTACTTCCACATCTAAGATTCCTTTTTCAGGAAACCAAGGACAGTGTTCTTCCACTGCCCTGAATAGAGTGACCATATTTTCCATGGAGACTCAAACTCCCTCCTGTTTTAACAGGAGCTTAATATAGCAGAGATAAGCATAATGTTTAGACTCCGCGTGACCCATGGTTGACCTGGACAACTCACCAATCGTCAGGGAACCAAACAAGCGTTTCTGTGGACCGGACCAATGAACGTTTCTCTGCAACTACCAAAGGGAATCAGGTTCTCACATGTACTTAAGAAAAAGAAAGACCATGTTGGTGCTCCAGATATCAGGGGAACCAGCCCCCAATATTTCAACGTAGGTTCTTTCTGTTTTCCCTAAGTGTCGGCCAGCTGAGAAATAAAGAGAAAGAATACAAAGAGGGGAATTTTACAGCTGGGCCTCCAGGGGTGACATCACAAATCAGTAGGAACATGAAGCCAACCAGAGCTGCAAAACCAGCAAGTTTTGATTAAGGATTTCAAAAGGGGAGGGGGTGTACGAACAGGGAGTAGGTCACAAAGATCACATGCTTCAAAGGGCAAAAGGGAGAACAAAGATCACATGCTTCTGAGGAAAGAGGGCAAGGACAAAAGCAAAGATCACAAGGCAAAGGGCAAAATTAGAATTACTGATGAGCATCTATGTTCAGCTGTGCACGTATTGTCTTGATAAACATCTTAAACAACAGAAAGCAGGGCTCGAGGGCAGAGAACTGGTAAGACCTCAAATTTACCAGGGTGGGATTTCTTCCCCACCCTAATAAGCCTGAGGGTACTGCAGGAGGCCAGGGTGTATTTCAGTCCTTATCTCAACTGCATAAGACAGACACTCCCAGAGTGGCCATTTATAGACCTCCCCCCAGGAATGCATTCCTTTCCCAGGGTCTTAGTTATTAATATTCATTGCTAGGAAAAGAATTCAGCAATATCTTCCCTACTTGCATGTCTGTTTGTAGGCTCTCTGCAAGAAGAACAATATGGCTGTATTCTGCCCGACCCCACAGGCAGTCAGACCTTATGGTTGTCTTCCCTTGTTCCCTGAAAATCATTGTTTTTCTGTTCTTTTTCAAGGTGCACTGATTTCACATTGTTCAAACACACATGCTTTACAATAGATTTGTACAGTTAGATACAATTACCACAGTGATCCTGAAGTGACGTACATCCTCAGTTTACAAAGATAATAGGATTAAGAGATTAAAGTAAGACAGGCATAAGAAATTATAAAAGTATTAATTTTGGGAACTGATATATGTCCATATTAAAATGAAATCCTCACAATTTATGTTCCTCTGCCGTGGCTCCAGCTGGTCCCTCCATTTGGGGTCCCTGACTTCCCGCAACACAACAGAACAAGAACTTGTCTAAAAAAAAAAAAAAAGAAAAAAGATTAAACCAGGGGGATGATAAAGCAACCATAATTTTACTAGCACATTTATACTACTAGATAGATACATGTATACACATTATTTTAAGTCAGTTTAATTAGATTTTAGTGGCTGATTTATTATTACAAGATAATAGCTACTACAATAATTGGCATTTATTAATTCCTGAATTTGTCTGACCTGTTCAAACTAGCAAATTCATCTGCTTAGATATTTTCATAAATTTACTTCATGTTGCTTATAGTGAGGTAGATATTTGAAGACCTGGCTTTTCAGCCTTGTCTTTTATTATTATTATTATTATTATTATTATTATTTTTAGACAGAGTCTTGCTCTGTCGCCCAGGCTGGAGTCCAGTGGCACAATCTCAGCTCATTGCAACCTCTGCCTCCTGGATTCAAGCAATTCTTCTGCCTCAGCCTCCTGAGTAGCTGGGATTATAGGTGCATGCTACCACACCCAGCTAATTTTGTACTTTTAGTAGAGATGGGGTTTTGCCATGTTGGCCAGGCTGGTTTCAAACTCCTGACCTCTGGTGATCCGTCCACCTTGGCCCCCCAAAGTGCTGGGATTACAGGTGTGAGCCACTGTGCCTAACCCAGCCTTTTCTTTTTAAGCACAGAGTGCCTTTTAAACATTAATATATTAACTTTACATTTACAGGTATATTACTATATACCTTTTTTATACAAAGCCATAAGATGCCAAGCATAATAATGCAGATAAGCTGCCCATAAAAACTAGTAGCATATAGAATTCAAATTGAAAGGTGACATTTCTAGAAAAGATATCTTTTTATTTCTCTGAAAAATTATAATTTAGTAATTCTATACTAGTGGAATGCCATATTGGTATATTTTCTTAACAGAGTGGTTTCCTATCATTACAAGAAAACACCCATATTAAATCACCTTTTTGTTGGTATAATGATAGCTTTGAACAGTGCTTTACAATTTCAAAGAGTATCTTCATACATTACTCCTTCTATTTTTCAAAATAACTCTGTAAGAATGTAGATAACTTGTATTATTTAAAAAAAAAAACAAAGGGGAAATTGTCGTTTAAAGATTTATAATGTCACTATAGCAACTTAGTAACAGACTTGATCTTGAAACCATGTCATATAACTCTCAGCCCAATGTTATCATCACTAAACTACATAGAAGACAAATGTGAAAAATGAAAAATCAAGTCATCAAGTATCATAACAAATTAGACTGTATTTAGATGACACCAATCATTTGGCTAAAAGAGGGCTTATTTGACTACAAATAAAACATTTACAAACATCTGATATTTCAAATCCTACAGCTCCAACTTCGGCTAGTTTTTAGAAAAGAAAGTTACAGAACAATAAAGACAATTCACCTAATTAGATCCCAAATACCATTTACCTGAATTTAGTTAGTAGTGAGTCATATGTGACACATAATTATCTTTGTTTCAAAAGACTACACTTTCAAAATAGAATTCACTAATGATGTAGTCTATACTCTGGAAAAATCCATATTTTTCTTAATGATTCTTAGAGCTGTTCACTGTTTGAACTGATTTTGCAGTTCAAAAGGATGCAAATAATCAATAGAAAGGTTTCTATGAAAATGTGACAAGTTTCAGGCACAATGAATATTCAGATGCAGCCAAATGATCCTGCTCCTTCTCTCTCCTTCACTGGAAAAGAAATCCCGGGTCATGCCTGCCTACTATACCAGTTTTCAGAGAAAAGCATCTTACCCATTCTCACTCATCTGTTGCTGCTCTTGGAAGTTTCTTAGGAGGCTCCATGTAAAGAATAGGTGCTGGGCATTTCTTCTGACCCGAACTGTCTTCCCTGATATATCACCATAACATGTTTTCCTGCCTCTTTTAGTTCCCTGATCAAACATCACCTTCCTTAAGAATATATCCTAGATCACTTTATGTAAAAAAGCAGCTTTAGTTCCTCATGACACTCTTATGTTAACTTTATTATCTCCATTAAGCATTTATCCTTAAAGTCAAAATAAAATTATTTATTTGTTAGTTTCATTCCTATCTTTCCCCCTATAATGTAAGTGTAATTAGGAAGGGGCTGGGCTGCTTTTACTTCACTACTGTATCAGCAATACCTGGAAGAGTAGCTTGCAGGTGGGAACTGATATTTAATAATTAGTTTATATCACTCTCATTTTGCTCATGGAGATTCAATATTCTACTATTGCTACCATAAGATTGGAATTCATATACTATAGTACCAATGACTGGATATTTCCAAGTTCAGACTTGGCCAAATAAATGCTCTCCATCACACGTGTATTGAGCTATTATACAGACACCTTCAGCAACTAAGTTGGTATAGTAAATGCTGATATATCTATTAAAATTTTGGATTAAATTATTTTAATATCTTCATTTACCAATTTATTGATTAAGATTTAGTAGATGTATTTTATTTTTTGTGGTTCATTAACAATAATGAGAAACAGAAGAGTATTTTTATTAGTGCCTACTATAGAATTTGCTAGAGAATATCTTTTATTTCAAAAGCTTCCAATCAAAACTGAATCTGGGAAAATATTATTTGATACTATATTTGTATATTAAAAAGCAATGAAAGAGATGTATTATTAGAATCAGCATTTTCATGAAAGTATTTAAAGATCTTAACTAAATATGTAGCTCATTCAAACTTGGAAAAGGCTATGTATTTAGCTGAGAACCCAAATAACTACATTATTAGAGTATGTTGTTGATGCTCAAACACATTGTTAAGTGTGGAAAGAGCTATTATTTGCATTTTTTCATTGATACATATTTTTCTATGAACATCTTTTATTAATAAATAAAAATAAAGCACTTCTTTTATTTACAAACTTCAAACTTTACTTATATTACTAAATTAACTTCAGCTAATGTAATATTTAAATAGGCTTTTGCCAGCTGAGAGCTCATTAGCATGGTACTTTGCTGAAAACAAAAGTCATTTATATTGCAATCAAAACCAGATGTTGCAGACATATTTTTGAATTGAAATGTGGTGTGATTATGCTCAAATAATGTTTCATTAAGCCAAAATCAGATTCAAAACTTCACTCATAAACAGAATTATTTTACTAATAATGTTAATGAGTTTTTACCTAATAAGCCAAATTGTTGACTGCATAATATGTGTGCAGTTTTATAGGAAAATACACTCACTTGAGTGAAAATGCTCATAAGTTAGGGCTGATATAGAATCAAAATGCAGTAAGCTGAGACTGACAAATATGAGGTCATAGGTCATTCTGAGGTCATTGATCAGTTTTCAAGTCTCTTAACCTACTTGAATATTTGATGGTTTTCTTTTTACTTTTGCGGAGGCAAATACCATTGTTTTTTGTTCATCACAAGTTGATTCAAATAAAATGGTGCTATGTTAGACCTGTGCCTGACTATATAACATTACAATAATTACAGTGTTTATAGCAAGTCTGGTAAATTTCCAAAAACATATATTAACTCAAGCCACTTTTATAATAACCTTCTGCAAAGTTAAATAATTTGCCCAAGGTCACATTACTTGGAAATAACAAGGCTAGAATATTAACTCAGTCCATCTGGCTCAGAGAATCTCTCCTTAGTTTAACTATTGTTCAAGACTCTCCAGGAGGTTGTTGGAGTCACTACTTAAGTTTTAAAGACACAGAAAGAATAAAGTTGTTGTAACCCACATCCTTCCTTTCACACTAACTGATTCTTTCTTGTTAAAGAATATTTCATATGGAAGTCAATTTTGATATCTTGAGCAAAACAATGTGGTCTCTCAGACATTAGCATATGTGTCAGAGGATTTCCTATCTATGGGAAAGTAGTAGGTGCATCTCTTTAAACAGTATTGTGAATATTCTGAAGTACTCCAGTTATACTTTATTTACTAGTTAATTATTGAATTAAACCACTTCAAATATCCTTCCCCTAGAGGAAAATTAGAAATGAAAATTACTGTTCTACTTTTATGTCTCATAGCATTTTGTCATAAATATTCTCAAAATGAGACCCAAATCACTGTTGAAACTTTCCCCATGTCTACCAATTTATAATAAATATGTCTATTCAACTCTGGAGTGTATTTAAGTGTTTTGCAATTGTTATTCATTTGTTTTCTAGATGGGATTGTATTGATTTACATCTCCACCAACAAAATGCCTCTCTCATTACACATTGCCAGCACAAGTATTATTCTTTAAAATATTGACAATTTTATAGTTGAAGTAGTATTTCTCTATTTTAGTTAGTATTCTTTCAATGAATAGACATAATGGGCACTTGCTACATATTTGGAGACATTTATATATCTTATATTACATTTTGTTCTCTTTCTTTATTTTTATTAATATGTCAGTGATTTACTCATTTGTTTATAAATAGCTTTGTGTAGAATGGGCTCCAAGACTTGTTCATTATGTAAGTTATTAACAGGTAGTCCAATTAGATCCTGCTCAAATCTCCGTCTCCCATACAAATCAGCATAACTGTTTTATGTATACAAAATTAAATTATTTCCTAATATGCATAAAAGCTTCAATCTTCAAGCTGATTTTACATCAGCATTACTTACAGAGCTTAAGATATGAAATATCTATTTAATATTGGCGTTCTATTACCATATTTTTTAAAAATCCCACAGATGATTCTAATGTACAGTGAAGGTAGAGAACCACTATGGATCCAGAAGTCTAACATATGATTCAGTTCTACTAGAGTAAGTCTCACTTTCCTACTTCCAGAGAGGTGAAGGTTGGAAAAATATAGAATTGCATGATCCTCACTGTGTATTATTAACAGAGTCCTTCATGTCTCTGTACTCTTTTACCTGTGCTTGATTTTTGTCAATTCTGTTTCTAGAATACATTGTACTACCATCAAGCCCACCACGCCTCCAATGCATTTTTTCTTTTTCTGAAAGTTGCAGTCAAAAAGAGATTTTAATAAAATAGTTAAAAAACTTCGTGTAGATGAAGCAAACATAATTTTAGCTTAATTTACAATAGCAAAAGCAGCCACCTACTGTAAATGTTCAGAAACATACAGTTCTTTTATGTATGTGTGCTTTGCTGTTTCTGAATGAAACTCATGATAAGGGGAGAAGGTCAAGGAATTTCTGACTACTCAAAGCCTTTTGCATTTTTTGTTTCAGCTTTGTTGCATCAGTGGAACATCATCTCAATCTGCTAATACATGTATGTTCCCAATCATTTCACTGGATATATACTTTGGTAACATCAATCAGCTTATGTAAAATATTTTCTTTTCTACTTTGAAATACAAAATTTAACTTATTTTTCTCATAAATGTTTTATATACCAACAGTGTGTAGTGAAAAAAAAAGTACATTGTCCATATGCTCTGTTTGCAACTGGCTAAAGTCAGGACTGTCTAATACATGGACAGGGGTAGACAAAATTAGGAAACAGTAAGTTTTATTTATTTTTCTAGTATGTAGATGACATAAAATTTAAAAGATATTAAATTTAAGAAAATGTTTTTATTTTTTTCTTCTACAGATGAATGGTTGAATATATTTAAAGTCTTTAAATCAGAAGCCTCAAATGCAATTTGGTGAATTCTAATTAAATTGAAATATAATGACCATACTATAAATATAAGATCTATGACAGATATTAAGTCAAATGATTTAAGCCAAAACCAAACAGTAGGAAATGAGAGATATATACTGAGTAAATTATAGAACACTTTATTCAAATTGATGGTTCCAGCAAGATAAAATAAACATGTGTCCATAATGTGTTAATGATTCATTTACTATGTTAATTACTCAGTTTGCAATTAAGCTTCTGGTTGTACTCATTATTCTAATAGAAAGAAAATATTTTTGTAGAAGTATTATGCTTGAATCAGTAAGTTTACATTGTATTAATTTTGAACACAAAATGAACAAAGAAAGAATTTTGGTTGACTAGGATTATTTTGAGTTTGTCTTTCTGTTCTGATGTTCTTATTCTTTATGCTTAGTGACACACAATTATCAATTAACTCAGTCAAAAACCAAACTAATAACATTGCTTCTTTTTCTGGCAATCTTTAAGGGAATTCAATAAGAACATTCCAAGCCAATAAAAAGAAGCAAATTAAAGCATTCAGTATCACTTGGGATCCTCTCTTACAATGCCTTTTCATTTAATGTGTTTCTAACAGCTAAAGTCTCTGTTGATTTTTTCAGATAAAGTGGCTTTTAGTAATTAAAACCAAGGTCAAGCCAAATCTAATGACAAAGAATGCTGTTAACATAAAAAATTAATCCTAAACCACAGGCATGACTGAAATGCTACACATACATGCGTAGCATATATATACATTCTATATGTATGTATCTATACATATATATACATTCTATATGTATGTATCTATAAATGCTATGTAGTAGAAATTTATGATATCACTTAAAGCATGGCTAATTTATTTTCTAGTTTGCCTTACTTACCCAGATATTAAGTTTTTTAATGTTTTATAAATATTGATCTCTGGAAAAATTGTAGCTTAATTTTTCAAGGCATAATATATACAATTATTGATTAGCAATAGTTTTTAAGTTCATATTTCAGAAAGTCATTTTCTTAATTTTATGATATAGAGAAAACTCTTTTCAGATCTAGTGAGCTTATTTTAAAAACTATAGTGTAATTAATAAAAAATATTTTGAAAAATTAGTAAAGCAGACAGTTTGGTTATTATTTTCCCACTAATCCTTTATAATATCAGTATCATCCTTCTATGGTTACTTTATAAGAATATTTTGGTTTTTTTGTTCACTATTGTGGATTAGTTTAGTGAAAATTAAAATATCCTATAGATCTATTTTTTGGTGAAAAATTTACACTGAAATGTGTCACCATACAATGAAAGCCAACAAATAAAGGGGAGTCCTCACATATTTTTCATGACATCTTGTTGATTGGAACAAACTATCTTCTGATATATGCAAACAAAAAATGTATTTCCATTCATGCTTCTCCATTCCTGCCATCAATATTTTTTCAATAAATAATATTTCAGCAATGTTCTTGAATCACTGTGTATTAGTATGTTCTCCCATTGCTATAAAAAACTACCTGAGACTGGGAAATACTCATACATACATGTACATATGTGTGTATATACATACACATATACATATGTGTGTACACATATACATATGTGTGTATATATATACACACATATACAAATGTGTATACACATATACATGTGTGTATAAACATATACATATGTGTGTATACACATATACATGTGTGTATACACATACACGTATGTGTGTATATATATACACATATACGTATGTGTGTATATATATACACATATACGTATGTGTGTATATATATACACACATACGTATGTGTATACACATACACGTATGTGTGTACACATACGTATGTGTATACACATACACGTATGTGTGTATACACATATACGTATGTGTATATATATACATATACGTATGTGTGTATATATACATATACGTATGTGTGTATATATACACACATATATATATTATATATATAAAACTATATATACACACACACACACACACACATATATATATATAGTTTTATTTACCCATAGTTCCACAGGCTGTACAGGAGGCATGGCTGGGGAGGGAGGCTTTAGGAAGCTTACAATCATGGTGGAAGGCAAAAGGGCAGCAAGCATGTCTTACCATCTTACCATGATGGAGCAGGATACAGAAAGAGAGCAAATGGGAATGTGCTACACACTTTTAAACAACAAGATCTTGTGATAACTAACTACCATGACAGTGCTAGGGGATGTTGATAAACCATTAGAAGCTACCCACATGATTCAATACCAGGGTCCACCTCCAACATTGTAGATCACAATTCAACATGAGATTTGGGTGGGGAGACACAGCCAAACCACATCATTTGACCCCTGGCCCCTGCCAAATTTCATATTTTTATCACATTTCAGAACACAATAATGCCTTCTTAACAGTTTCCAAAGTCTTAGCTCATTTTGGCATTAACTCAAAACTCTCAGTCTAAAGTCTCATCTGAGACAAGTCTCCTCCACCAATAAGGCTCACAAGTGAGCCTGTAAAGCAAAAAAGAGATACAGTGGGGCACAGGAATTGGGTAAATGCTTCCATTCAAAAAGGGAAAAATTGGCTAACACAAAAGGGATATAGACCCCATACAAGTCCAGAACCCAGCAGGTCAGTCATCAAATATTAAAGCTTCAAAATAATCACCTTTGACTTCATGTTTCACATTCAGGGCTTGCTGATGCAAGCAGTGGGCTCCCAAGGCCTTTCAGTTCCTCTGCCCCTGTGGCTTTGCAGGGTACAGCCCATGTGGCTGCTTTCATGGGCTGGTATTGAGTGCCTTCAGCTTTTCCAGGTACACAGTGCAAGCTGTCAGTGGATCTACCATTCTGGGATCTGGAGGATGGTGGCCCTCTTTTCACAGCTCCATGAGGCAGTGCCCCAGTGGGGACTCTGTGTGGGGGCTCCAACCCTACCATTCCTTTCTGCAATGTCCTAGTAGAGATTCCCCATGAGGGCTACAGCCCTGAAGAAGACTTCTGCTTGGACACAGAGGTGTTTTCATACATCCTCTGAAATCCAGGCAGAGACTCCCAAACCTCAACTGTTGCCATTGCAAGCCAAACACCACATGGAAGCTAACAAGGCTTGCAGCTTGCATCCTCTGAAGCAATGGCCTGAGCTGTACCTTGGCTCCTTTTAGCCATGGCTGGAGTCGAAAGTGGCTAGGACACAGGGCACCATATCTTGAGGCTTCCAAGAGCAGCATGGCCCTGGGCCTGGCCTACAAAATCATGTTTTCCTTCTAGGCCTCAAGGCCTTTGATGGGAGGGGATGCCACCAAGGTCTCTGAAACACCCTGGAGGCATATAACCCATTGTCTTGACTGTTAACATACAGCTTCTCTTTACTAATGCAAATTTCAGCAGTTGGCTTGAATTTCTCTTCAGAAAATGGGTTTTGCTTTTCTACCACATGGTATAGCTGCAAATTTTCCAAGCTTTTATGCTTTGCTTTCCTTTTAGATATAAGTTCCAGTTTCAGATAATCTCTTTTTTATGCAAATGAGCATAGGCTTTTAGAAGCAGCCAGGCCACATCTTGAATGCTTTCCTGATTAGAAAATTTTTCCATCAGATACCCTAAATCATCTCTTTCAAGGTCAAAGTTCCACAGATCTCTAGAGCAGGGGCAAAATGCTACCAGTCCCTTTTCTAAAGCATAGCGAGATGACTTTTACTTCAGTTCCCAATAAGTTTCTCATCTCTATTTGAGACCGCCTAAGCCTGGACTTCATTGTCTATATCACTATCAGCATTTTGGTTACAAGCCTTCAACAATTCTCTAAGAAGTTGCAAACTTTTCCTCATCTTCCTGTCTTCTCTGGAGCTCAAACTGTTCCAACCTGTGCCCATTTCCCAGTTCCAAAGTCACTTCCTCATTTTCATGTTTCTTTAAAGCAATGCCCTACTTCTCTACCATTTTTCTTTATTAGTCTGTTCTCACACTGCTATAAAGAACTCCTGAGACTGGGTAATTTATGAAGAAAAATATGTTTAATTGACTCACAGTTCCATAGGCTGTACAGGATGCATGGCTGGGAGGCCTCAGGAAACATACAATCATGGCAGAAGGTGAGGGCACGCAAGCACGTCTTACCATGGCAGCACAAGAAAGAAAAAGAGTGAAGGGGGACGTGCTACAGACTTTTAAACAACCAGATCTTGTGAGAACTCACTCACAAGACAGCACTAGGGGGATGTGTTAAACCATTAGAAACCATCCCCATGATCCAACCACCTCCCACCAGGTGGTCCCACCTCCAACACTGGAGATCACAATTTAACATGAGATTTGGGTGTGGGCACAGTGCCAAACCATATCACACTGCTGTAGATAATGAGACATTTTGCTTATTAAACAATTTTGATTCCAGATAATTCAATAGTTCTAAATTTACTATACGTATCTGAGTAAAATGTAAATATAAGTCAGACACTCATATGAGATTTTACTATTACAATTAGTTTGATTCAATTTTTAACCAAATGAAATAAGAAAACCAGGCAAAAACACCAATTTCATTTGATTTAAGCATATAAGCATATTTTTTACCCAAAATGTTAATTGTTTAACTGTAATTCAGAAAACTTTTAGATATAGCAGAAACAAATAATTAAAATAGTTTAATTAAACCTTGGATAATATAACACCTAAAGAACTTCCCTGGACTTAGACTACTTCATAAATATAGAATAGACAAAGTAATTAATTTGGGGAGACTTATTTTCATGTTTCTTTTATTCCTTTGTTGGCTTAATTTAATTATAGTAAATAATTGTTTAACCTGAAGAAAAAATAGTTACAGGTGGTTTCTCTTTACATGCTGGAATGTAACAGTAAATGAAATACAAAATAGAATGCTATTTTCTATTAGCATTAATAGAAATGCTATTTCTAGCATTTTGTATCTTTAACTATAAGTTTTGCTGTTTTACGTTTTCAACTTTCATTTTGGTTTCATTGTTTGCTGTATTTGTTGCTATTTTGTTTTGAGTGTCAGCAAAATCTCTTTGGGATCTTGCTGACCAAAGCAGAATTAAGAAACCACACAAGCCACCTAGTTAAGCATTTAAAATCCAAGTATCAATGTTCGTAGCAACGGAAGTTGCTAAATGAGCTAAAAAGACGTGTAAGTTATCTTCTAAATTACTGAACTTCTCATTTTCTCTACACAGACAACCACTAGGTGGCGTCTGCCCACTGATATTCTGATGTATCTTGCAGATACACAGGAAGCCAACACACGAATTGTTCCTTGAGAAGTGGATCAATGATGTGATGGTTTGGAGGGTCCAGTTTTTATACTTGCTATGAGGCTTGATATTTCTAATGTACTTCACATTCTCTTGTTGCAAAATACACTCTTTGGGTTCAATTATTACTCTGGAATATTCCCACAACCCCTGTGTTCTTATCTGTCCTATGCAATGTGGCAAAATGCTTATCCAGGTGACTAATATTTACTTTTCAGAGCATTAAAAAAATGTTAAAAGTCAAATAAATTTATTTCAAAACAATTTTCGTTTAAGGACAATGGCAAACATTAGTTAAAAGATCAGTTAAAAAGATAAGAAATCCCTTATATATTTTAAAGTTTATATTCCAAACTTCCCTAAAGTTTTGAAAAAAATAGGCCTTTTTCATATCTTGAAAATTATAGGTATCCAGGTGCTTAAATTTATTTAAACTTGAATTAAATACAATTATTCTAATTACAAAGCATATTGTTTTGCATCAGTATTTATAACACATTACCTTATTTTTTTAATGATTAATACTATCAAAACTTCCCTTGAATGAAGATCATATCATTTTCCATATATCTATTTGTTTACATTTCTATCTATCTACCTATTTCTCTATCTATCTATTCATCGGTTTCTATTGGCAGATAATAGGTTTATATATCAAAGCTAGAGTATTAAAATTAGTGATTTGTGTTTTAATTTTGTAAGCTTCACATACCTGTTTTATTTTACGAAATATCATATGTGGGCCAGGTGCGGTGGCTCATGCCTGTAATCCCAGCATTTTCGGAGGCCAGGAGGGCAGAGACTAGCCTGGCCAACATGGTGAAACCCCATCTCCACTAAAAATACAAAAATTAGCCAGTCACTGTGGCATGCACCTGTAATCCCAGCTACTTGGGAGGTTGAGGCAGGAGAATCACTTGAACTCGGGAGGTGGAGGTTGCAGTGAGCCAAGATCGTGCCACTGATCTCCAGTCTGGGCAACAGAGTGAGACTCAGTCTCAAAAAACAAACAAACAAACAAACAAAAAAACATATGTGATATGGATTGGCTCTGTGTCGCCACCCAAATCTCATCTCAAATTGGAATTCCCATGTGTTGGGAGAGGAGCCTGGTGGGAGATGATTGAACCATGGAAATGGAATAACTACTTGCTGTTTTTTTGATAGTGAGTGACATGAGATCTGGTTGTTAGAAAATGTGTGGCAATCCCGCCTTCCCTCTCTCTCTCCTGCTTTGCCATGGTAAGGTGTGCTTGCTTCCCCTTCGCCTTCCCCCATGATTGTAAGTTTCCTTAGGCTTCCCAGTCATGCTTCCTGTTAAGCCTGCAAAACTGCAATTCAATTAAACCTCTTTTCTTCATAAAATATCAGTCTCAGGTAGTTCTTTATAGCAGTGTGAAAACGGACTAATCCAATATGGTAGTTATTTTGAGAATTCAATGAATACTATCACTTTACTGAGAAAGAACTGATTATAAGGCCAGGACTTGGAGATATATTACAGTCTGGATAAGGAAGTATGATCACTTAACAAGTAGAAAGTATTTGATCGTCTGATATAATTTGGATGCCTCTTCCAAATCTCATGTTGAGATGTAATCCCCAGTGTTGGAGATGGGGCCCAGTAGGTTGTGTTTGAATTATGAGGGTAAATTCCTCATGAACGGCTATTTAGGCCATCCCCTTGGTGATAAGTGAGCTCTTTCTCTGAGTTTAAGGAAGTTCTGGTTATTAAGCAGTGTGTGGTCCCTCCCCACCCATTCTCTTTCTTGCTCTATTCTCATTGTATGATAGGTTTGCTCTGTCTTTGCCTTCTGCCATAATTGGAAGCTTCCTGAGACCTCCCCAGAAGCAGATGCCACTATGCTTCTTGTACAGCCTGCAAAACGATGAGCCAATTAAGCCTCTTTTCTTATAAATTACTTAGTCACAGGTATTTCTTTATAACAATGCAAGAACGGCCTAACACATCGTCTACATGAGAGTGTAAGTCAATGACTTTAAATTTGGTCTTTTTTAACATCTTTTTTTTTTCAGTAATTCTACATCATTTTATATTGGTTATCATAATACTTCTTAAAATTGTTTAAGAAAATTAGGAAATTTGATTACTGGCTATTTTGAGGCATGCTTTTTTATAGTTAGTAGCATAGAATTATGAAAACCTGAAATGCAATTGCGATGACCTTGAAAAGGATGTGTGTTCTGTGATTTTTTTATGTATGTATGAATGTATATATGCATGGATGGATGAATGGAGAGATGAATGAAAAGACAGATAGTTAGATAAGTGGATTTATTTTCTGAACTCCTTTACTAAAGAAGTCTTATTTAAAGAACTGCAGAAATCTTTTTTGAAACACTTTTTCATACAAATCATTATGATTTTCCTAGGAATTTAGTTTATTCTGCTTTTTGTTATTTTGTGAACATTTGTGTATGCAGAACTCTTTCCTCCTGTGTGATGTAAAGCATATATGCTGAAGTTTCAAGAGGTGATAAATGTATTGGCTATTAAATCAAGAATTTCTAATGTAATGCTTTAATAAATACTATAGTACATATGCGGTTATGATTAGTTGCCCTAGATTTATGCTAAATGACTTACTTTTATTATTCTTTATACGAAAGCAGATTTTCCTAAACCATGACTGCATGAAATAGAAAAAAAACATATAGTGTTGTCATATAGTGTTTGTTTTGCAAATCTGAAATTAAAGCAAAGCAGATTTAGGTATTATAAACACATACTTTTTAATCGATATTAAAAACTCACCTTTATTATTATTATTATTATTTTGCGATTTGAAAATTGGTGACTCGCTTTTTCTATTGTTTGCTAAATGTTACTTATTTTAAAATATGCAAATATAGATTGCTTATCTAATTTTATTAAATGCATAGGTTAAATATACATTTGCAGTATTAAATACACATTTGTAATTAAAATATTTATGGGACTATCATTAAAAAAAAGGACAAAAAGTGAGGTAGATTTTATTTCCAGAGTTACAAAAACTACCCATAATTAAGTTGTATCAAGTGTTTATTATAGGCTTGAAAATCCACAAAGTGCTTTTCAGTAAATTATAAAAAAAAATATAATATTTGAAATACTTTGCATTCTTACATTTACTTTATAAAAATGAAAATAGAAACCAAGAGATTTAAGGAAGTTGGCATCCCATTGCTTATTTTTGAGTGAGACTTGGATTTGATCTAAAGCATTTGGACACCAGAGCCCCAAAGGCCTGACTTTCACAAGGAAGGGCTGGGAAACATCAAAAAATTAATTCTTCATGCAACCTAGTCTAACTCTAATATTAAGGGTGTGTGTCACTCCTCAAATTCTTGTTCTCGGACTGGAAGAAATTATTTTTGGCTGCTTTCTCTTATTCCCTGAACTATATTTTTTTATTATTTGGATGCATAGTGAAGGTTCTTTGATGCTCTATTATGAATCTAGAATAATTTTCCTTGGGATAATAATTATCAAAGCATGGGATATGTTAGTATTTAAAATTATGCTTTTCTTCCACAAAAGAAAATGAAGATGGGATTGGGTTAAGCAGGGTATTTGAAGTCACAGTCTTGATCTATACAAAATCAAAAGAATCAAAACCAGAAGTTTTGACAACACACACACACATACACACACACATGCACACATACTAACACAAACATACCTAAATCTACAGAAAACCGATTACATTTACCTTAGAATGTATGCAGTTTTGCATTTATTAAGAATTTCCAGAAGAAAAATTTGTAAGAAAAGTCTAAATTATTATCATGTTGATGTATCTTTTGGCTAGGAAAAACAGATCAAAAATCTAC
Source organism: Homo sapiens (assembly GCF_000001405.40). Taxonomy (NCBI): domain Eukaryota; kingdom Metazoa; phylum Chordata; class Mammalia; order Primates; family Hominidae; genus Homo; species Homo sapiens. The sequence goes on from NC_000004.12 coordinate 64,162,828, forward strand.
TGTACAATTACAAAGGGAATTCATGAAGACATGCCCAGATGCTAATACAAAATACTATATTATTTAATAATCAACACTTAAATATACATGGTAGAAAAATATGATTAATTAAAGAAGAGAATCTGGATAAGTTAAGCTTAAGACAGTTTAAGAATAGTAACTGCAATGAGGGTACATGTGAAGGCATTGTTACAAGGTAATAGTAAGTCTGACTATAAAGACTATAATTTATGGGAATAGAATTTGGGAGATCATATTTTCCAAATCGTATGCCCTATCATTTGTACTGTCATAATTCAACACCCAACAGCAGTGACTTTATCTTTCCACAAATCTACAAGTAGTAAGTTATCATACATACAACATGGAATGTTGATCTTAGACTACATTTTCCCTTGTATGTTTACACAGTACAGTGAAACAGAGCTATCTGTTTGTTTTTAAGCAACTCCTTTAGATAACACAGAGAGTCTCATCACATATGACCATCTTGCTGAACTAACAATGAGATAAATACCATGATCAATATTTGACAATATGCAAATGCAGCAAATGGAACTAGATTCTATGTTGCCAACTGTGTAGGTCTGATGGCAAAAGAAACTATCTTTGTACCTACATTAAAGACAGCATGAGAACTTGCGTTGTCATAATTTAGTTTGTATTATATTTTGACTAAAGCTTTTATTAAGATTTCTGACAATTTAAATAAATGCTAATGGTGATGCGTAGCTATATTCTGTTGTCATATAAGGAAATTTCCTCATAAGGGAAAATTTAGAATTGCAAATAGCATGCTTTATCAAATATCTACTTATTATGATCTTGAAGAGATTACTCATCTGGGAAGTTTTAGAATGAGACGAAATGACTTCACACTACATTTAAAAGCTGAGTTTCTGTCAGTTGGGGAAATACTCCCTTTTCTGGAGGTGTCTTTGAAAGCTAATAGAGTAGATGTAATAGATTAGAAACCCAAGATAGACAGTACTACTGTTCTACAAACTTCCAGTGCCTACCTTTTTTTTCTTTTCTACTTGAAAATAAAGTTTCAACCCTCATGCACAAGTTTAGCTTAAAATATGTCAAACATATTTCAGTTGCACAACTATTTTAAATCCTGTCCTCCCATGGAGGCATGAGATCCCTTGTAAACAATTTAAATTCCTTTGCATAATTCCAACAGGGAGTAATGATTGGAGAAGGGCCTTGTATATCTTCTTAACCAGGTGAAACAAGGAATTCCTTGCAAGAGAATTTTTATTAAAGTTAATAGATTCTAGCAGCTATTAGTAGAGTGAGTTGTCAAAAGTATTTGATATGATCTTATTCAGCAAGCATCCATGGAGGAGATGTATCTCAGGTAGAAAGCAGTTCTAAGTTTGGGGTTGTTAGTAATCTTATGAGGTACTTCCTGAGAAGGGGGTTTCAATCTTTAAAAGTGATACAGCTTAAGATACCTTATAAAGGCCTATTATTGGTAATTACTTGTATTTTCATTTTATCTAAATGTCATAGAGGAAGAAGCCAAGAACATTATGAGCCTATGTTGTATTGGTTTTGTTTGTTTGTTAATAAATCCTGAATGCACGTCAAGAGATAGAGACCATCCTGGCCAACATGGTGAAATCCCATCTCTACTAAAACTACAAAAAATTAGCTGGGTGTGATGGCGTGCACCCGTAGTCTCCAGCTACTCGGGAGGCTGAGGCAGGAGAATCACTTAAATCCAGGAGGCAGAGGTTGCAGTGAGCTGAGGTCGCGCCACTGCATTCCAGCCCAGGCGACAAAACGAGACTCCATCTCCAAATAAATAAATAAATAAAGCCTGAATGAAATTTTCTTGTTTGGGATTGACGATTAACTTTATACTCTTTATGGGAAAATGTAAGGTGTTATATTATTATTATTTTATGTTTTCACAGTTTTCACCTGACATGATTTTTAAAATCTCAACTCTTTTTACCAGTGGTTCACCACCTGGCAGTGATGATCATTAAGAAAAACATACTGATTTATTTTCTTATCTAAAGTATGCAGTGGCAATAGAATTTACCGTATATAATACAATAAAATCATTTAAATATGTTTAACTGCTTTCCAGTAGACTTATTCAAAGACTGACTTCTGGGTCAAAGTTTTTATTTTCAGACAACAAATGCATACCCAGTAGTTTAGGCAGTAAAGGGTTTGTTGAGCAATGCTTGGAAGTTCACAGATTATTTGGATGAGCAGGAGCAACAAAATTTCTGGGAAGTTTTTACCAATGAACATTAGATGTCAGATGACCTGTGGTGAAAGAAAACTTAGGTTACCAAGCCCTTGCGTATACTTTATATTTGACACCAAAGAAACATTTTTTACCAGCATTGAACAAGCCTAAAGAAGCTGGTCTCAATCTGACTGCTTCTACAAGAAAGATACCATATCAGGCATGCTCTCCACAATAGAGCTCTTTTTCCCCCCTAGTTAACAAAGATCTTCTAGGTTATTTGTTAAGTTGATCCGTGGGATAAATGAATAATCAACTACTAGCAAAGAGCTCTGAGAGTGTAGCTATTTGGCTTGCCACTTCTGACCTGCTGTCTAATCTGACAAGCATACAATACCTTCTTGTATCTGTTTGCTAAGTGACTCTATCTGGCTTTACTCCATGCATTTGGGGGTCCATTGCAGAATCTCTCACTTCCATCCCTATTTTCCCGAGGACAGTTGATACAGAGGTTTTCCAGATTGTTGCTGTTTTCCTCACTAGTGCAATTTTCCTTTCCTTTCCTTTCCTGAAGGGAATGTTCTCAGACACATCTCCAGGGATATAATTAAAGAATAGTGAATGATTCACACATTTTTTCAACTTACATATCTCCTAGCATTTGGATTACTTCTCTATATAATTTATCATAATTTATGACATCTCAAATATTTTAGAATAAGCCAACATTAAGTACCAATCAACATTGTCTACCAATCAAATGAACAATTGCTATCATTCCCATCTGTTTCAGCTGTCTCTGATTATGTGTGTACATCTAGCATAAGTTTCTCTACTATAGATTTATTGTAATTCAGTTCTTTATAGGACCATAATCTTATTTCTTTCTACATCTTTTCATGGCTACAAAGAAAAATGTAATTCTTCCAAAGCAGTCTAGAGATTGCACAGTTCTTGGATTCTCCTTTTGTATAAGAACATAAAATGGCAGGCTTGAAATTGTCTTTCTTTAAGGTTTTCATAGCAGTTATATGTACTCAACCAGCTTATTCATTCTTATAATCTTTTTGACCAGAGTCATAATTTATAACAGCAAGTATTCATTCCACAAAATGGATTGCCTTGCTTTCAGTAGAAACATCAGGGTGATCCTTTATCTGTGAAAATTTAAAACAGGTGGAAAAATACTTCACTTACCATGTGGTAAAAACTATAAGAATTATAACTTTTGATGCTAATTTGGATATAACTTCTTCCAAAATTAACCAGATTTCTACTTTTCTCAAAGTCTTTTTGTCTGAAACCAGTCTTGGTACTTTTTATTTACCAACATAATTGGTTTCAGATACTAAAATTAGCTGTTTTAAACAGGAAGGAATTTTCTAAAATGAGATTAAAACAAATTATAAACTAATTCACAAAACTTTTGGCAGAGCTTAAAGAAAGTACCTGGCTGCATTTCTAGGGTGCCATCGAAGGTTGAGCTGTTGTTTAATGCTTGAGATATTTATAGACAGAATCACTTTGCCTTACCAGAGTCAGGAGGCTGCTGTTACTTCCGTTAATCAAGAACCGTGCTTTTCCTATTGCTATTTGTGCAGTTACCTCATTTTTCATTTCTTATTGCTTCTGTCTGAAATAAAATCTCATACTGATACATATAATCATTTGTTTAAAAAGGTTTTTCATGGTAATGAATAGCAAATGCTCACTCTAACATCTATCCAAAAAATACATAAACAATACATATAATTGAATACTTATACAACCAACAATCATGCAATAGTTGTTTCCATTTACTTTGGCATGTTAAATATAACAAATATTTTTATGTCCAGGAAAGGAAACAGAGAGCTGGCCAGGTTGCCATAATGCTATTTAACAAGCTTCACTGTGGGATCTGTAGATATGACACATTAAAGCATAGCAACAATTTCTGTAAAATCTTGAGAAAAATAAGCTATTAAAAGGTGTGTTTGCGTGTATACTCTCTATGTATTTCATTTCAGTGTTTGGTATCATACTACTACCACAAGTTCACCCTCTTACGCTGAGGAAAAAAAATGAAGTTTGAACATCTCTCCAACATTTCCTTTAATTTGAGATGAGTGTAAAATGATTTTTTTCAAATGAGGTCATGGGTAACCTGGTACTGCATCCCTGGAAAAAATGAAAGTGATTGGATTGGTTTCATGCACTTAACTTAAGCATGGCTAAAGATTGGAAAGAGAAGTTGTTGGATTATTTTTTATGGAAAAAGCTTTTTAAGTGACCTGACTCCATAGGGAGGTGTTTTTACAGGCTATTTGCTTTTTCTCCTTTATCATGTGAATACAGAAAATAGGCCAGGAGCTGCAGTGATCATCTTGTACTCAAGAACAAGATATTACTATATGTTTGGAATGACAAGCTAAGAATGGGTGATAAATTGCTCAGGACATTGTTTGCACACAAGTTCCAGGTTGCTTAAGCTTGAACTTACTTTAGAGAAATGAAAAAAAAATCAATATATTTTTAAGCCAGAGATTTCCAGTTCTCTGCTGCTAAGGCTGAATTTTATATTTAAAGTAAATTTTTAAAAAAAGTATATAGGGCCAGGTGTGGTGGCTCATTCCTGTAATCCTAGCACTTTGGAAGCGAAGGATCGTGCAAGTCCAGGTGTTCGAGACCAGTCTAGCAACGTGGCAAAACCAGTCTCTACAAAAAATGCAAAAATTAGCCGGGTATGGTGATGGTCGCCTGCAGTCCCAGCTACAAACAGTGCTGAGGTGGGAAGATCACCTGAGCCCGGGAGATTGAGGCTGGGGTGAGCCTGGATTGTGCCACTGCACTATGGCCTGAGTAACACAGTGAGACTGTCAAAAAAAAGAAAAAAAAAAAGCAATCTCCACACTTAGAATGAAACCAGTAATTGTTTTGTAATTTTGTTTTATTTTATTCTCTTTCTTTTTTATTTTTCACTCTCATGTTGAAAGTGGAAGCTATGGAAGCACAGAGCATTTTTCATTTCATTTTCTCCTCCCCTTGCATCTTCAAGTTTACTTTAATTCAGCACCTCAGGGTTATTAATCATTTTTTATTTCTTCTGTTTAAAAGATAATGAGAAGAGAAATATCTTTGGGCTTTTTTGTTTCAACAATCAGCTAAGCTTTTGAACATATTGGAGCTTGAACTTTCCATGAAGTAAAGTATTTAACGGAATTTAAATGGTCTAATTAAAGAGAGTTATTTGGCATTTTCCAGAGCAGATGAATTTCAGTTATACGAGTATTTCCAAGAAGTCTGGACTGTATGAAGTGCAAACCACATATCTGTTGTTGTTTCTTTTTTCCTCCTTTTCATTCTTTCTTTTTTCTTTCAACCTCATCTACCTCTTATCTTTTAACTTTTATTTTAGATTTGGAGGTACCTGTGAAGATATGTTACATACATAAACTCATGTCACCGGGGTTTGTTGTACAGATTATCTCATTATCCAGGAATTAAGTCCAGTACCCAATAGTTATCTTTTCTGCTCTTCTCTCTCCTCCCACTCTCCACCCTCAAGTAGACTGCAATGTCTGTTGTTTCCTTCCTTTGTGTTTATAAATTCCTTTCATTTAGCTCCCATTTATGAGAACATTCAGCATTTGATTTTCTGTTCCTGTGTTAATTTGCTAAGGATAATAGCCTCCAGCTTTATCCACCTTCCCACGTTCCCATTCTGTAGGTTGTCTGTTTACTGTGTTGATAGTCTCATTTACTGTGTAGAAATTCTTAAATTTAAAAGACATGATCTTGTTCTTTTAATTGCTGCATAGTATTCTGTGGTATATATGTACTGTATTTTCCTTATCGAATCTGTTATTGATGGACATTTGAGTTGATTCCATGTCATTACTACTGTGAATAGTGCTGCAATGAACATTCGCATGCATGTGTCTTTATGACAGAATGATGTATGTTCCTCTGGGTATATACCCAGTAATGGGATTGCTGGGCCCAATGGCCGTTGTGCTCCTAGCTGTTTGAGGAATAGCCACACTGCTTTCCACAATGATTGAACGAGTCAACACTTCCATGAACAGTGTATAAGTGTTCCTTTTTCTCTGCAACCTCACCAGCATCTGTTATTTTTTTACTTTTTACTAGTATAATAGCAATCCTTACTAATGTGAGATGGTATCTTACTGTGGTTTTAATTTGCAGTTTTCTAATGATCAGTGATATTGAGCATTTTTTCATATGCTTATTGGCCACATGTATGTCTTCTTTTCAAAATTGTTTATTCATGACCTTTGCTTACTTGTTAATGAGATTGTTTGTTTTTCTCTTGTGAATTCGTTTAAGTTCCTTATAGATGCTGGATATTAGACCTTTGTCAAATGCATAATTTGCAGATGTTTTCTCCCATTCTGTCGGTTGTCTGTTTACTCTGTTGATAGTCTCTTTTACTGTGTAGAAATTTTTTTGTTTTGTTTTGTTTTGTTTTTTGAGACGGAGTCTCGCTTTGTCGCCCAGGCTGGAGTGCAGTGGCCTGATCTCGGCTCACTGCAAGCTCTGCCTCCCAGGTTCACACCATTCTCCTGCCTCAGCCTCCAGAGTAGCTGGGACTACAGGCGCCCACCACCGCACCCTGCTAATTTTTTGTATTTTTAGTAGAGACGAGGTTTCACCGTGTTAGCCAGGATGGTCTCAATCTCCTGACCTTGTGATCTGCCTGCCTCAGCCTCCCAAAGTGCTGAGATTACAGGCGTGAGCCACTGCGCCTGGCCAGCAATTCTTAAATTTAATTGGATCCCACTTGTCAATCTTTGCTTTTATTCTGATTTCTTTTGGTATCTTTGTCATGAAATTTTTGCTCATTCCTATATCCAGGATGGTATTGCCTAGGTTGTCTTCTAGGGTTTTTATAGTTTATAGTTTTCATAGTTTTGGCTTGTGCCTTTAAGTTGTTCATCCATCTTCAGTTCATTTTTCTATAAACTGAAGAAAGAAGGCATCCAGCTTCAGTCTTCTGTATATGGCTAGCTAGTTATCCTAGCACCACTTCTAAATAAGGAATCATTTCCCCATTTCTTGCTTTTGTCAGCTTTGTCAAAGATCAGGTGGTCTTGACTGGCAACAATGATGAGGTAAAAAGTAAAAGAGTTCCTTTTTTTTCCCTTGGTTCATTTTTCTTACCCCACTGAGAACTTACTTGTCTTTATTCAGTGATGTTTAAGATCTACAAGTAACAGAATTCTCCATGGAAAGTAGAGATGCTTCTACCTCATTTACTCAACTTACATATTTTACCAGGATTTTTTAGTTTTTCAGGTTAGTTGAACCAGTGTGATTTATTCTTCAAGAACAAATGTTCACTTGAAGTACTTTAACAGTCAACACTGTTGAAGCAGAGCTATTTATTATACATAAATCAAATGAGTTTAGCCTATATCCTATAAACTACCAGAGTGCCTCATTAATCCAAATGAATATCAGTGTAAACCAACAGGATACTGATACTTTAAAAAACATGTTTTCATTAACAATTGGCCTATATCATAGAGGATCCTGTCCCCAGGTATAGAGAAGATGTTTAAAACATAAGTATTCCAATGAAAGCTGCAGAAAGCTACTCTATTCTCAGATTATGAGTAATTTTTTGAAAATGTAGAACTGCCAAGAAATGTCATTTTTTACATGAATCTAGATTATCAACCACACACTAAAACTTTACACATTTTAACCAAGTAACAAACCTATCAGAAAAATGAGAATTTGCAAGGTATGTGCTCTTAGGAATTAAAATTTTATGTAAACATCCTAAGATATAATTGGAAAAATTATGACTTTTATTTTATTTATTTATTTATTTTTTGAGATGGAGTCTCACTGTGTCACCCAGGCTGGAGTGCAGTGATGCAGTCTCAGGTCACTACAACCTCTGCCTCCCAGGTTCCAGTGATTCTCCTGCCTCAGCCTCCTGAGTAGCTGGGATTACAGGTATTCACCACCATACCCAGCTAATTTTTGTATTTTTAGCAGAGACGGGGTTTCTCCATGTTGGTCAGGCTGTTCTTGAATCCCAGACCTCAGGTGATCCACCCACCTTGGCCCCCCAAAATGCTGGGATTACAGATGTGAGCCACCACGCCCGGCCAGACTTACATGAAACTGTCACTAAATTTAACATGCATGAAACTGTCACTAAATTACATGGGTACAAACACAGTCTTAAGTACGGATGTAAAATTATACCAAGAAATACCTCATCTGTGTTTGGATACACTACAAAGCACAGAGAATACACATTTTTATTTATATCCTATACAAGATCTATGTGCATAGATGTACAATGCATACACATATACACTCATACACGTGTAATGTTTTGTCTTATACCTTACTTGTTTTCATATAGGATTTAGTGCAATTTATGATAATAGTGAAGATAAAATAATACTTAAACATTGGTAATGGTTGATAAGTATAACTAACATATATGCCTTATAAAACTTTTCCTCTTAAAATATAAAACATAAAAAAAACACTTTTATACCTCTAACTCTACTACTATTATGCATATAAAAATAGAGACTGAAATATAAGCTGATGCCAGAATATCTAAGAATAACACAGAAGAGATAATTCTTATATTTTCCTTAAGAACACAAATGCTGGTTCTCTAATGAAAATTATATATATGGCCTATAATTCTTTTTCAGTTATAGTTTAGCTTCTTTGAAGAGTCTACATAGTTAAGTGTGGTGATTAATACTCTGCAATGGAGATTGTATTACTTAGAGTATCTCTATGGTCCCATGTAATTCTTTTAAAAGGTATAAACCTTAAATACGATTTTGAGTTTGTCTTATGCTGTCTTTTAGCAACTCAATAATAAGTTTTCCTTGCATGATTTTGCCAGTGTAGTAGAAGCTAGAAACCCAGAACATATATTTCTACATAATTCCCATCAGCAGAATTTTAGATTGTATTCCACCAAGAAGAAGCATTAACAAAAGCTTTGGAGGGCATAACAGAAGTAAATGCCATTCTTGTTCATGTGGATGTGGTGAAAAATCACATGGGCCAGGACATACATATGGCAGACATAAGGTTTTGACAGTGACCGTGGGCATTGTCTATCAAAATACTCTCACTAGTGCTGCAGAAGTCTGAGAAAATCAATGGCTAATTCCCATATTAACTAAAAAATTTTGATCTCCCAAAAGCCACTGGCAAGTTTCCTTGACTTGTGCTTCCTCAGCTTTTCCAGTTGTTTTATAAGAGCTGTTTCTAAATTCCTTTCTTAAATATCTTTCTGTTAGATATAACCATAGTGGTCTCTGTCTTCATGATCATAGCAGACTTGTAGAGAAAAAATATGCAAATGATCTACCAATAATACAACATTTTTATAAACAGCAACTTTTAAAATAACATGCTATATTTTAATTTCTTATTGGTCTCATCATTGATGCCATGTTCTACTTCACATCTCAAATATATTTAACTGGGCTATGAATCTATATGCTTATAATTATTCTTTGAGCAAAAATAAAATCATTAGCTGAAGAGCATGAATTATTTTCACTTCTAGGAATCACTTGTGGAATAATCATAACAGATTGTTATAATAATTCTTAATTCACAAGTAGCCTTATTTAAGCATATTCTAACTTTTATGCTTGCAATATGCTAAATAAACAAAATTTTACGTCATATTTTCTTTTTTTTTTTTCACTCTGTCGCCCAGGCTGGAGTGTAGTGGTGCAATCTTGGCTCACTGCAACTTCTGCCTCCAGGGTTCAAGCAGTTCTCCTGCCTCAGCCTCCAGAGTAGCTGGGATTACAAACATGTGCAACCATACCCAGCTAATTTTTGTATTTTTAGTAGAGATGGGGTTTCACCATATTGGTCAGGCTGGTCTCGAACTCCTGGTGATCCACCTGCCTTGGCCTTCCAAAGTTCTGGGATTACAGGCTTGAGCGACTGTGCCTAGACCTTTTTTTTTTTTTTTTTTTTGGAAACAAAGTTTCGCTCTTCTTGCCCAGGCTGGAGTGCAATGGCACCATCTCAGCTGACCGCAACCTCCACCTCCCAGGTTCAAGCGATTCCCCTGCCTCAGCCTTCCGAATAGCTGGGATTACAGGCATGCACCACCACGCCTGGCTAATTTTGTGTTTTTAGTAGAGACAGGGTTTCTCCATGTTGGTCATGCTGGTCTTGAACTTCTGACCTCAGGTGATCCGCCTGCCTTGGCTTTCCAAAGTGCTGGGATTACAGACATGAGCCACTGTGCCCGGCCATGTCATGATTTTCGTACTTTCAGTGTGTAATACATATTTAATTTCCATAGTCACTCTGTAACTGCATCATGGCAAACACAATATTTCTAAAATTATATATTTGGCTCTAATATTATTTATTAAATTAAATATAATTTTTAAAAGAAGTGCCTCTGATGGTGGTGGTGGCCCATCTAGAGCAGCCACTGCGGGGATGCCAGCTGCAGCAGGGGAGGCACAGTCAGGGCTGCACACTCCATGGAGCCAGCGGGAGGCAGGAACAGGTGGGAGCCCTGCCCCCTACTGAGTTGGTGCGGCAGGAGCGCCAGGCTCTGGGGCACAGCTGGATAGCTGCAGCTCCAGACCCAGGCATCCCTGCACTCTTGGGAGACCAGGAAACTCCCCTGGCCCCACTGGCTCAGATGTCTCTGCTCTTACTCCCTGGCCTCTCCCTTGATCCTGGTGCCTGCTCCAATTTTCGAGCAAAGTTGTGGCCAAGCCTGGGTGCTGTTGCAACCCAGCCGGTTGTGCACGCGCTCAGGAAGGCACTGACATACTATCCCCCACCACCACCTCGGCCTCCTCCAGACTTTGGGTGCCAAGGAGCACAAGAGGGATGCTGGAGGGGGCTAATGGCAGCTCAGCACAGGCCTGCAAGTGCTCCTCAGTGCAAACAGACTGAGTGCCTTGGACTGCATGTAGATGGTGGGAGGCAGACAGGTTCCTGGGCAGAAAGGGGTGGGTCCCTGGTGAAACCCCACCTTCAAGCCAGGGATGGCCTGAAACCTGGGGATTGGCTACCAGTTCCCGGTGGAGTCTGTGGCCTGGAGTGCTTTTTTGGGGCTCACCCATGACCACCGATGGATCAATCAGCACACAGTTCCTCCCTTCTGAGCCCATAAAAACCCCAGACTTAGCCAGTCTCACACAGGCACTGGGACTACCAACTGCAGAAAGGAGCTACCCACTTCGGATTTCTGGCGAGCTGTTCTATTGCTCAGTGAAGCTCCTCTCTGCCTTGTTCACCTTCCAGTTGTCCACATATCTCATTCTTCCTGGACATTGGACAATAACTCAGGACCTGCCAAATGATGAGACTGAAAGTGCTGTAACACAAACAGGGCTGAGACATGCCCCCGACTCTCCACTAGGAGGAGAGAAGAGAGAAGGAGAGAAGTGCTGCAGCACTTTCAGGAGCCCAGACCTAGTAGCTCCCCAAGTCAGGGCTGTGACACTTCCTTGGGGCTCTGCGGTTCCTGGTGTCTCCAAGCTTCCAGGCACCACTGCATTCTCTGGCACCCACAATGGAAGCTACTTGTGATACACCTGGTGCAGTCGCAGCCTCGTAGGGAGCCGACGCTTGTACCAGGGCCTAGAGCTGTCCACCCTGCCGCAGCCGGCACGCCTGGCTGTGAGCAGTGGCCAGACCCCACACTCGCTTACACACCCCTCACTGCTCCATGTCTTGCTCACCCTTGGCAGGCATGGAGTCCAAGCCAGTAGAGCGAGCCAAGCACGGCCTGCTGGGCCTAGTGGGTGGAACCAGCACAGCAGCCTGAACAGAACTCAGGCAAAGGTGCCACTGGCCACAGATAAAAAAGTGGTTGGTTTTGAGCTGGAAAAGTGACATGCTAAGGATCTTGTGACCCTACCATCATATTTCCTACTTTGAACTCAAGGAAAAATATGTAAAATTAAAAGCCCAATATTAAAGGTAACTGATTCTGCATTTCTGTTAATATCCACAATTGTTATTTAAAATCTGTTCTAAATTTTTAAATTATTCCTTGACATTGTTCAATTTTATGTTTATAATTAGGCTATACTTTAAATTATTTACTTTGGAGTTCCAGGAAATTTAAATATTACCCAGAAATATGACACTAATAAAAAATAAAGATGCTTTCAGTGAAGTTGGATTATTTAAGACATAGGACTATTTAATTATTCTGGTCTCCTAGATAGCAGCTCAATATATTTGTCATACTTACTGCATCATTCTATGACACATAAAATGTAAGAATTATGATATATATTAAATTGTTTTTGAGCCAATTTTATTTCATTTGACATATTAATAAAAATTCAGGTTAGTATATATATGTTGATTATTTTAAGCAACTTGAATATGTTTCCATTGTTAATATTTTTGTAAAATAATACATTATAAAGGTGTATAGTTCTCTATGTGAACAAGGCATAAGTTCAATGTGAGCATTAAATGTCAAATTGTATCTCTATTTAAATCATATAATTAAATTTCATGGTAAGGTGTTGAAGCATTATTTGAAGATAAATATTAAAATGTTAATGAAACAATTTTCCTTGAAAAGTGTTTAAATACTTAAAAAATAGCATGCTCTTCTTGTCCGTAAATGTGAAACTTAATAAAAATTAGCTAAGCAAAGAACAAATCAAGTTTGAAGTAGATATACTTTATGATCCGATTCTTGTAAAAAATAAACATTTGAACAATTTTCACTCGCACAGTTTGATCACTAAAATGAAAGAAAGCACATTAACTATCACTTGAAAAATTCCTTTTGAATATTTTATACTTTAAAATTGAAAAATGGTAAAATAAGTTCATGTTAATAAAAGATCAGTATGTTGGGAGGATCGCTTGAACCTGGGAAATGGAGGTTGCCATGAGCCAAGATCCCGCCAGTGCACTCCAACCTGGGTGACAGAGCAAGACTCTTGTCTCAAAAGTTAAAAATAAATAAATAAATAAATAAATAACATAATCAAAGGTAATTAGTTCTATGTCTTAGAAATTTAAAAACTGGGCTGGACGCTGTGGCTCACGTTTGTAATCCCAGCGCTTTGGGAAGCCGAGGCGGGCGGATCACAAGGTCAGGAGATTGAGACCATCCTGGCTATCACGGTAAAACCCCGTCTCTACTAAAAATACAAAAAATTAGCCGGGTGCGGTGGTGGGCGCTTGTAGTCCCAGCTACTTGGGAGGCTGAGGCAGGAGAATGGTGTGAACCCAGGAGGTGGAGCTTGCAGTGAGCTGAGATCATGCCACTGCACTCCAGCCTGGGTGAGCGAGACTCCGTCTCAAAAAAAAAAAAAAAAGAAGGAAATTTAAAAACCGAAACAGTTTTAAAGGTAGTTTCACTTTTAATGGCTATTTAGAATGTTGTACTGCTGAAATGAAAATAATATTAAATACAAAAAGATCTTTGTTCTGCTACTGACATTAAACATTTTGGTAAGTGTTTAAATGACAACAAATATACTTCTTTATATGGTTTTGTTTTTGCAATTGGTTTGAAATCTATATATCATTTGTTCGATTATTTATTTTGCAATAATTATATACTATATACTTTTTAAAGTACTGGTAGTATAGCAATAAACAAAGCATGCTAAGTTCTCTGTCCTGATTGGCTTACATTCAAGAAAGACAGAAACTAAGAAAAATAAATACATCAATTATATAGTTAATTGGATAATGTTAAGGGAAATAATAGAAAATAATCAAGAAAGAGGAGTGAGGATTGACACATTAAATAAGTTAGAGATGTCTTTAGAGAGAAAATGGCAATTGCTCAAAGATGTACAGTTGAGGAAGAATGAAAAATTAGATTTGGTCTAAATATCTTTCAGATAGGAAGTTCTGGAAATACTAAAATCTTATTCCAGGGCTGCATGCTATGTTCAAGAAAACCAAAAGTGCCAGTTTCACTGAAGCTAAAGAGAGGGAGAGGTATAAAATATGATGTCACAGAGGATGTTGACTGTGGTCTCTATTTGATTTCTAATTATTACAGTATCTTAGCACTGCTTCTCTTTTATTTCTATATGCATTTCCTAAGTGATCTCATCCAATATCATGCCCTTAAATACCATGTATATTCTACTAATTCTAAAATGTATTACTTGATTCTAACATTTCCACTAACTTCAAATGTTTACATCTGGCTAATTTCTATCGTTATCTATATATCTAATAGGTATCACAAATTTAACAAGAGCAAACCAACACTACTAATTCTCCATCTCAAAAAATATTCTATCAAAACATTTTCCTACTTAAATCATCCTTACATAATAAATGATGTCTTTCATTCATGAACCTAAAGCAAAAACAAAACAACAAGAAAAACAGTAAACATATAACATAAAAAGTCATTTTTGTTTCTTCTTTTCTTTTTAATTTGGCCTAGAAACAATGACATTCCAATAGTAATAAGAACCTTGCATTTTGACTTTGATTTTGCCATAAGAAATTGGAGACCGTGTTGAAATAGACAATTCTTGGGCTATGACAAGAAAAGTGCTGGGTGAAACTGTAATATCTAGTGTCATAAAATAATAAATGCTAAAAAATAAGAGACCATTTTAAAAGAGAAGCTATCTTGCAAGGACTAGACAAATCTGGCACATTTTGAAGAACAAAAGAATAACATAGATAAAGTATTATATTCCATTGAATAGCATATGTATACACAGTCTGCTATTATAGAAAATAAAAAAGAAAGCATAAAAATAGGAAGAAAGGAAGGAAGGAGGAGAGAAGCAGTAAAATATCAAAATGTATGGTAGAATGACAACTAATGAATGCAGAAAAATGCTAGGTTTAGAAAATCAATAAAATTAGTAAAAAAAAGAAGACTCAAGCAAGAATTATCAATTAATGCAAAAATATTCAGTGAAAAAATGAACAGCCTATTTGCAGAATTTCAAATTGGCTTCCTAATAAAATATTATAATTAATTACACAGGGGAAAAGTATAACTTTTCAGTGGAGAATTTTGGTAAACATCACCTCAGCCAAGTGATCAAAATTAACATCAGCAATAGTGGGATAAAGAGACATTATGTGTTTCCCAACATAATTCATTGAGAAAGATAAAATGTCACTTATGTAATATTTCTGTCACATATAAATGATTTCAATTTAATCATGTCAAAACAGTAAGCAAATCTAGATAAAGGGTCATACTACAAAACATATCACCTGTCCTAGAAAATGTTAACCATGAAAGAAAAAGAAAGATATAAAATTTTCCAGATAAAGAAAACAAGTGACAAGATAACTAAATGTGATGAATTATCCTGGGTGGAATTCTGGATCAGAGGAACTATGGCTATACAATACATTTTTTGGGCACTACATGAAACTAGAATATGGATTGTATACTAGATGATAATATTGTATCAATATTACATTTCCTGAAGTTGAAAATTTTGGAGATGTTGTGAATGAGATTGTTTTTTCGCTTAGAAATGTAGTTGTGAAGTAGTTAGTGGTAAAGGGTCACGAAGTATGTAAATTATTCTTTTCGGTTTTTTTTTTTTTTTTTTTTTGAGATTGAGCCTCACACTGCCCCCCGGGCTGAAGTGCAATGGTGGGATCTCAATTCACTGCAACCTCTGCCTCCTGGGTTCACGCAATTCTCCTGCCTCAGCCTCCTGAGTAGCTGGGATTACAGGCACACATCACCACACCCGTCTGATTTTTTGTATTTTTAGTAGAGACGGGGTTTCACTATGTTGGCCAGACTGGACTCAAACTCCTGACTTCGTGATCTGCTTTCCTCAGCCTCCCAAAGTGCTGAGATTACAGGCGTGAGCCACCACTCCCGGCCGTAAATTATTCTTTGTTGATTCAGAAGTGTGTGAGTGTGCAAAGGAAAAAAGACACAAAAATTATAAAATGTTAATAATAGCTGATTCTAGGTAAAGGGTATAGTTAATTAGTAGTCTTTGG
Source organism: Homo sapiens (assembly GCF_000001405.40). Classification (NCBI taxonomy): domain Eukaryota; kingdom Metazoa; phylum Chordata; class Mammalia; order Primates; family Hominidae; genus Homo; species Homo sapiens. The sequence goes on from NC_000004.12 coordinate 64,179,014, forward strand.
TAAAAGATATATGTGAATTTTTGTACTATTTTCAACACTTCTGTAATTTGGAAGTAATCTCAAAATAAAAAAGTTATTTCATGTAAATGAAGATTCAAAACACAAAGGAACTAAATATACCTTTCACCTTAAACAACAGAAAAATTACAAACATGCTTTCCATATTGGATAACACACAAAGTAATGATTCCTGAGAGATGAAAAACAAATGATATGAGCCCAAAGTTTCCTGTATCTTACTGTTTGGAAATAGTCTACAAGTTGCAGTGCCTGTAATTAGCTTCCCTGATACACTTAGTGTTTGAATCCTTTCAGGTTTTAGATCTCGGCTCAAAATTTACCTCCTCAGTGACATCTTCCTTGAACCTTGATTCATGACCATAGTATGGCATTAAATGTTCATAGCATTTATCATGATCAGAAGTCATCTTATTAATTTCTTGATTAATATTTTCATTGTATGTATCCATCCAAATATTGTATTATTGACAGGAAAATTAGCTTTTAAGGCATTTAAGACAACATATTTAATAATTTTTCAGTTTCCTCAATGTCTAGAAAATGCCATAACATAAAATAAATAATAATTATGCATGGAATGGAAATGCAATTAATAAATTCAAGTGATACAAATTCACTTATATAAATGTAGAGATGTTAAAAAGCATCTGAATGATTAATACTTAATATCCCACTTAATCTTCACAGTTACCAATGAGAGAGGGACAATTATCCTTCTCATTTTTCCTATGAAGAAACTAAAAAATAACTAGTTTAAATGTTATCCAATGTCACTACTTACTTAGTAAATAGCAAAGGCAGTCTGCCTTGAATTCTGGTTTGAATCTCAGGTACTTAGCCATTATTTAGTACTATTTTACTATTATGTGTTATAAATATGATGCATTTTTAAATTATCAAGTAAAGTTTGAAAATACAAGGAGATATAAAAACATATTAAACAAAGGAAATTAAAGAAAAATAAGGAATAACACTGTTATGACAAGGCACAGGCAAATTCAGGCCCTATAGTTGAAAATGTTAAGATACAGAGGCTTTCATAATAACAAAGGATATTAAAGACTAAACAGTCAATTGGACGTTAAATGTAATGCAATAAAATGTATAATCCATTAAACAAACATTATATGGACACAAGAGAGGCAAGCTGAAATGTAAGAAATCTTTTCATTTCCTATCAAATAACTCAAAAAAAAGTTAATGAGTAGTTACAACTGCCAAATATGGTGATGACTTTTGAGTACTTGAAGATGAGTAGAGTACTCTTTGTGATTAACTTCTTTGCTTTTCAATATATTGTTATGAGGATCTTAGATTTAAAAAAAAATCTAAGCTATTCAATCTGAGAATATCACACATCTACCTTTGGCTGATTAGATAATATTCTAGAATGGGAAAGAACTAATTTGTAATAACAATTTTAGGGTTCCAAACTATTCCCACTCTTGAGGGGGAAATGTTGGTGGGTTATAGCCAGCTGGTGGTATGATTATGTATTTTATGCAGGAGGAAATATAATTGCATGTGGATATAAATGGGCATCGGATATTGAGGATGAAATTAAAAAGGGGTTATTGAAGTAGCTTGAAATCTTTGCCAATGACAACACTATTTGAGTAAGGCTGTTTAATGCTAAATAACAAGTCAATTTTCATTTATTTGCCTTTGGCAATTACAGTAGTCTGAGGCTTCAAAAATGTAATGAGATTTTGAAGAATCTTTTCCAAGCATTTTTAGTAGACAAAGTATTATTTTGGCAGATTTATGTATCAAGAGTCAGAGAAAATATCTGAGGTATGTCAGGAGTTCTGCTCAAAACTGAATTGTTAAAGGAAAATTTATGTACACATTTGCCCCAAGGTGTGAAACATAGCAGGATTTTAATGATTCTTCTCCTGAAAAATAGGTTAGCAACAATCCCTCACATTCTGGGTAAGGGAAGTTTGCTCTGGTCTTTCTGAGAGTGATATTTTTTATATTTGTCTCTTAGTGGAAAGTGTTAGCACATAAAAAAAACCCTGCAGGAAATAAAGAATAGCAGTGTTTTTTGTTGTTGTTGTTGTTGTTGTTTACACTCCTGTTTCTAGAAAACTTCCAGAGTTTAAAAATTTAAAAAGTATTTTATATCATCAGTCTGAGTATAAAGAACAAGGAAGTTCTTGGGGGGTATAATTACAGCAATTATTTAAAACTGTCTTGGAAAGCCTATTCCTTTATAATTAAGTTGACTTGCCCTGTGTGTCTTGGGAATCAGGGTTGGCAAAAATGAGTCTCTCCAGTTGATAATGCTTTTTCTGATCAGATTATAATGCAAGAGCAGAATAGATGACATGTTTTAGCATACAGGAAAAAAAAGATGTGAATTTCTAAGCAGAATAAAGAGGAAGGTTTATCCCGAAATTTTATGAGCCATGATATATTCTGACCATTTTCTTTTTTTTCTTTTTTTCTTTTTTTTTTTTTTGAGACCAAGTCTCACGCTGTCGCATGGGCTAGAGTACAATGTCATGATCTTGCTCACTGTAACCTTCGCCTCTCAGGTTCACGAGATTCTTCTGCCTCAGCCTCCCGAGTACCTGGGATTACAGGTGCACACAACTGCACCTGGCTAATTTTTTGTATTTTTAATAAAGATGGGGTTTTACTATGTTGGCCAGACTGTCTGATCATTTTCTATAATCTTCAATTTTTATTCTCAAATCAAGGGTAAAATATAATGGCCCATTTATTTTAACAACTACTTTGTGCCAATAACCACATGGAGACTTTTCCACATGATATCCAGCAGAGTTCTGTCAAAAGCATAAGAGAGGTTATGTTATTGGCCGGGCACGGTAGCTCACGCCTGTAATCCCAGCACTTTGGGGGGCTGAGGTGGGCGGATCACAAGGTCAGGAGATCAAGACCATCCTGGCCAACGTGGCGAAACCCTGTCTCTACTAAAAATACAAAAATTAGCTAGGTGTGGTGGCACACACCTGTAGTCCCAGCTACTCGGGAGGCTGAGACAGGAGAATAGCTTGAACCTGGGAGGCAGATGTTGCAGTGAGTCGAGATCACGGCACTGCACTGCACTGCACTCTAGCCTGACAACAGAGGGAGACGCCGTCTCAAAAAAAAAAAAAAAAAAAAGGTTATGTTATTATCGCAATTTTCAACGTAAAGAGAGAAGTTCATATAGAATCAGCAAATTGTTTCATAACTGTAGTAACATTATTAGAGTTTATACCTATTTCTAAGTTTTTTTTGGACACATTGTCCATACAGTTTATTTTTTACAGCATTATGCTTCCTACAGTACATATAAAATGTAACATTGAGTTCTTGCAGAGCTTCAGAAAATGAAACTTTTATAATAGTATACATAATTTAAAATAATTACAACACATTTATTTGATGCATTTATCACCACCTATTGAACTTAGATCGTATTCAGAAAACTCTAAGATTGATCTAGGAAAGGGTATGTATTCCTGTAACTAGTATTTAAAGGCTATGATTTTAACCACAGTAGTGAAGTCACCTTGTTTATGCCCAGGGATTACATTGTAATTAAGAAATCATGAAGAAAAGTTTGATATTTTAGCTTCAAGCTTTCAGTCAATTTTCTTGTTTGGAAGATCTTGAAAGTGGAAGTTTCTCAGGAAACTTGATCCAAAGAGTTAACTATTAAAATGTTTTTCTAGATATATGGAACAAAATATTTTATAAAATAAATAACTTTTGTGAACCAGAAACATTATTAGTGTATAAGTCACTTACCAATATTTAAAAGATGTTAGAAGGATTATGAGGAAAGTTATTGCATTAGTTCATTTCACACTGTTATAAAGAACTAATTGAGTCTGAGTAATTTATGAAGAAAATAGGTTTAATTGACTCACAGTTCTGCAGGCTTAACAAGAAGTATGTCTTGGTGAGTCTCAGTACAATTACAATCATGACAGAAGACAAAGCAGAAGCAAGACATGTCTTCTCATGGCTGAGGGAGAGAGAGAAAGATACTGAGGAGGGTAGTGTCACACACTTTTAAACCATCAGATTTCATGAGAACTCACTCAATATCACAAGAAGAGCATGGGGAAACCTGTCCTCATAATCTAATCACCTACCACCAGGCCCCTCCTTCAACACATGGGGATTACAATTCAACAAGAGATTGCTGTGGAGACACAGAGCCAAACCATATCATTCTGCCCTTGTCACCTCCCAAATCTCATGTTCTTATCAAATTTCAAAACACAATCATACTTACTCAACAATTCCACAGCCTTAACTCATTTCAGCATTAACTCAAAAGTTCAAGTCCAAAGTTTCATCTGAGACAAGGCAAGTCCCTTCCACTGATGAGCCTGTAAATTAAAAAACAAGTTAATTACTTCCAAGATACAATTGAGGTACAGGAAATGCACAAATGTTCTCATTCCAAAAGGGAGAAATCAGCCAAAACAAAGGAGCTACAGGCCTCATGCAAGTCTAAAACCCAGGAGGGAAAGGCATTAAATCTTAAAGCTCTAGAACAATCTCCTTAGACTCCATGTTTCACATTTAGGGCTTGCTGATTCAAGGGGTGGGCTCCCAAGGTCTTCAGCAGCTCTGCCTCTGTGGATCTGCCAGGTACAGCTCCTGCGGCTCCTTTCATGGGCTAGTGTTGAGTGCCTTCAGCTTTTCCAGGTACCCAGTGCCAGCTGTCAGTGTATCTACCATTCTAGGATCTGAAGGATGGTGGCCCTCTACTCATAGCTCCACCAGGCAGTGCACCAGTGGGGACTCTGTGTGGGGGCTCCAACCCCACAATTTCACTCTGCACTGCCCTAGCAGTGGTTCTGCATGAGGGCTCCACCCCTGCAGCAGACTTCTGCTTAGACATACAGGTGCTTCCATATATCCCCTAAAATCTGGACACAGGTTTGCAAATCTCAGTCCTTGCCTTCTGTGCACCTGCATGTCCAACATCATGTGGAAGCTGCCAAGGTTTGGAGCTTCCACTATTTGAAGTAATAGCCTGAGCTGTATGTACCTTGACCCCTTTTAGCCACAGTTGGAGCTGAAGTGGCTGAGATGCAGGACACCATGTTTTGTGGCTGCATAGAGCAGCAGAACCCTGGGCCTGGCCCATGAAACCATTTTTTCCACCTAGGCCTCCAAGCCATTGATGGGAGGGGTTGCTGTAAAGGAGGTCTCTGACATGACATGGAGACCAATTTTCCACCATTGTCTTGGCTATGAACATTTGACTTCCCTGTACTTATGCAAATTTCTGCATCCAGCTAAATTATTCCTAGAAAATTTGTTTTGTTTTTTTTTTTTCTACCACATGGTCTGGTTGCAAATTTTCAAACTTTTGTGCTCTGCTTCCCCTTTAAATATAATTTCTAGTTACATGTAATCTCTTTGTTCATGCATATAAACGTACACTTTTCAAAATAGCCAGGTCACATTGTGAATTCTCTGATGCTTAGAAACTTCTTCTGCCAGATACCCTAAATCATCCATCTCAAGGTCAAAGTACCACAGGTATTTAGAGCAGGGGCACAATGCCACCAGTCTCTTTGCTAAAGCATAGCAAGAGAGACCTTTACTCCAGTTCCCAATAAGTTCCTCATCTCCATCTGAGACTATCTCAGCCTAGACTTTATTGTTCATATCACTATCAGCATTTTGGTCAGAACCATTCAATGGCCAGGCACAGTGGCTTATGCCTGTAATGCCAGCACTTTGGGATGTCAAGGCAGGTGGATCACCTGAAGTCAGAAGTTCAAGACCGGCCTGGCCAACATGGTGAAATCCCATCTCTATAGAAATACAAAAAATTAGTTGGGCATGGTGGCGGGCACCAGTAATCCCAGCTAATTGGGAGGCTGAGGTAGGAGAATCACTTGAACCCAGGAAGTGCAGGTTGCATTGAGCCAAGATTGCACCTTGCACTTCAGCCTGGGTGACAAGAGTGAAACTCCATCTCAAAACAAAACAAAACAGAAAAAAAAATTCAACAATTCTCTAGGAAGTTCCAAACTTTTCTACATCTTCCTGTCTTCTTTTGATTCCTCCAAACTGTTCCAACCTCTGTCTGTTACCCAGTTCCAAGGTCAGTTCCACATTTTCAGGTGTCTTCATAGCAGTGGCCCTCTCTCCAGGTGTTAATTTTCTGCATTAGTCTATTTACACACGGCTATAAAGAGCTCCTTGAGACTGGATAATTTATTAATAAAAGAGGTTTAATTGACTCAGAGTTCTTCAGGCTTAACAGGAAGCATGACTTCAGGGTTTTAGGAAACTTACAATCATAGTGGAAGGTGAGGGGGAAGCAAGGCATGCTTTCCCATGGCAGCAGGAGAGAGAGAATGAAGGGGGAGGTGCCACACACTTTTAAATCATCAGATATCATAAGCACTCATTCACTATCATGAAAACAGCATGGAGAAATCTGTTCCCATAATCCAATCACCTCCACCATGCCCCTCCTTTAACACATAGGAATTACAATTCAACAAAAGATTTGGGTGGGGACACAGCCAAACCGTATCAGTTACTAACAATAAACATAATTTATTTCAAACTAGACTCATTTAAGTAAAGATAAAAATAAAAATATCTTTACTGCTACCCACATTGAATCCAGCAGATATTCAGCATCTGCATCAAATGAATTATATATTACATACTGTGCAATTATTTCACTGCTAGTGAAATGTTCTGCCAAATGTCTGTAAGAAAAAGTGCTGAAACTTGAATTTTAGAATATTTCATCTTAAATATTATGTTTTTATATGAACACACCAGAATAATTTACAATGAAGAAATTAATAGTACTATATACAGTTTTAGAGGAATAACTACATTATCAAATAAGATTAACATAGCTGTAGGTTTTCACCAAGATTCAGACCCAAGTATCCAATTAAAACAGACTCACTGAAAGAGATCCATTGGATTTAGAGTACCTAAAGGCAAAAGACATGAAAATAGAGCTGTGAAGAGTGGAGCTACTGTTACAGTAGGTAGCCAGTCAGGCATTACTTGGCAGAAGAGGGCTCCCCACAACACACACACACACAACAGGAATGTCAGGTGGCAATCAGGTGATGATCAGGCAATAATAATTGGTCACAGCCAGAACAATGGAAAGTGGTTGTCTCCCAATAGATAGAAATCACCTGAAACTGGTGATCAGCAGCTTTCTGACCTCAGGAGTTGGATGAGTGGGCTCAAAAATGCACATTCAGAGGCAAAATGGCAGAGTTTAACTGGTATATGACCTTCCTCTAGGAATGCTAGACTAGTAAGGGAAGAACACTTCAAGTGACCATGCTTAGAACTCCAGTAAAGACACTGCACACGCTCCCTGCCAAGTTTTAGCAGGCCACTGTAAACCAAGACTATTCACAAGAAGACTATAAACAAGTCTTTATTTAAAAGAATATAGTGTTGTCACAGCAACTCTAGAAACTTTTCCTGCAAAAATTGTTAACTATTAGGAAATGACTGGGCATGAACAAGGTGACATGCTTACTGTGGTTAAAATCATAGTGTTTAAATAGTAATGAAATAATGCATTCTCTTGGCTTGGTTAATCTTTGAGTTGTCTGAATGTTACTTTCAAGTGCAATACATCTTATTATATTGGATTAGTCTTATCAAGAAAATATACTTTTTGAACACTAAAATTGAGTAAGAAAATCAGTTTTTGTTCTCAGATTTGATATATATTTTTAAAAATACGCTAATATTTTATAAATATATCATTGCTTCTGACACCATCTAACATTTTACATTTACTCAAATCTCATCAAAGATTAACTGCTCACCTACCATCTCTATTAAGTAAAGCAAAAACTTGAAATGCACTTTTTGGGATAGGCACCCTGGGTGCTTGACTTCCACAATGAGAAGAAATACTTCAGATAGTAGCTACTTTAAAGGGGATGAATACAATTTAGAGAAAACCCAGACCCAAACAATAGCTTAAAATTCACGCTAGCCTTGCTTAGCCTTGATTAGCAAAATGCCAGAGTGGAAATGCCAGGGAAAAAGGGGAAAAAATTATTTTTTTCCCATCAATATGCCACTCTGATTGTGTAATTGTTACAAAACATTTATTTGTAATGAGAAATACCAGTTAGAAGCATGGGCTCTTGACATTGGCCAGTCAGTATAGTATCTTCAGAGAAAATATTGATAATAAAAAAAAAAAACAGAAATTAAATCAGAATCAGTTTGATGAATTAGAATCATAAACCCCCTATGAGTTTGTTCTTTTGTATGCATGTGTTTCTTTTATTTTTGTTTGTTTCTTAACTTGTGCTTTAAAAAAAGTTTATTATTAATTTTTTGTGGGCATAGGCATACATATAGCAGGTGTACATGTTTATAGGGTATATGAGCTATTTTGATACAGGTAAACAATGTGTAAGAATTACTTTTGAGTAAGTGAGGTATATCAGTCACCTCAAGCATTTAGCCTTTGTGTTACAAGCAATCTAATTACACATCTTTTTATTTTAAACTGTACAATTAAATTATTATTGACTACAGTCACCCTGCTGTGTTATTAAATACTAGATCTTATTCATTTTTTTGACTAAATGTTCATAGCCATTGACCATCCCCACTTTCCCCTGCCCTTCCACTATCATTCTTCTCTGGTATTCTGCCCTCTATCTGCATGAGTTCAGTCGCTTTTTTAGCTGCCACAAATTAATGAGAATATGTGAAGTTTGTCTTTCTGTGACTGGCTTATTTCACTTAACATAATAACCTTCGCTTGATCCATATTGTTGCAAATGACAGGATCTTATCCTTTTTTGTGACTGAATAGTACTCCATTGTGTATCTATGCTATATTTTCTCTATCCATTCCTCTGTTGATGGACAGTTAGGTTGCTTCCAACTCTTGGCTACTGTGAATACTACCACAGTAAATGGAAGGGTTTTTTTTGTATTCTAATTTCAATTCTTTTGGGTATAAGCAGTGGGATTGCTGGATTATATAATAGCTCTATTTTTAGTTTTTGAGGAAGCTTCAAATTGTTTTCAATAGCAATTTTCCTATTCAGCATTCCCACCAACAGTGTACAGGAATTTCCTTTTCTCCACATCCTTGCCAGCATTTGTTATTGCCTGTTTTTTGGATAAAAGCCATTTTAATTGGGTGAGGTGACAGGTTGCTGTAGTTTTGACTTGCATTTCTCTGATGATCAATGATGTTGAGCACCTTTTTATATATCTGTTTGCCATTTGAATGTCTTCTTTTGGGAAATGTTTATTCAGATATTTTGCCCATGTTTTAATCAATTATTTGATTTTTCCTGTAGAGTTTTTTGGGCTCCTTATATATTTATTAATTTCTTGTCAGATGGTTAATTTGCAAATATTTTCTTCTGGTCTGTGGATTGTCTCATCATTTTGTTGATTGTTCCCTTTGCTGTTCAGAAGATTTTTAACTTGATTTGATTCTACTTGTCCATTTTTGCTTTGGTTGCCTGTGCTTCTGGGGTATAACTCAATAAACCTTTGCCGAGGCAAATATACTGGAGAGTTTTTCTGATGTTTTCTTTTAGGGGGAGTCATAGTTTGGAGTCGTAGATTTAAATCTTTAATCCACTTTGATTAGATTTTTGTATATGGGGAGAGAGAGGAGTATAGTTTCATTCTGCTGCATATGAATATCAAGTTTTCCCAGCAGCATTTATTAAAGAGAATACCTTTTCCTCTATGTATGCTTTTGGCAACTTTGTCCAAAAAAAAAAGGTCCACTGTAGATGTATAGGTGTTTTTTCTTTCTGAGTTCTCTATTCTGTTCCATTGTTCTATGTATCTGTTTTTATGCCAATATTATGCTGTTTTGGTTACTATAGCTCCATAGTATAATTTGAAGTCAGATAAGGTGATTTCTCCAGTTTTGCTCTTTTACCTTTGGCTATTCTGGCTGTTTTATGGTCTCATATACATTTTAGAATTTTTTCTATTTATGTGAAGAATATCATTGGTATTTTAGTAGGGATTGCATTGAATCTGTAGATTGTTTGGGGGTAGTATGGACATTTTAACAAGATTGATTATTCTAATCCATGAACATGGAATATTCTTCTATTTTTTTGCATCCTTTTGAATTTCTTTCATCAGTGTTATATAGTTTTCCTTATGGAGATATTTTACTTTCTTTAGTTAATCCCTAGGTACTTTATTTTACTTGTAGCTATTGTGAATGCAATTACTTTCTTGATTTTTTTTCCTCAGGTTGTTCACTCTTTTTGTTGTTGTTGTTGTTGTTGTTGTTGTTGTTCTTGTTTTTGTTGAAATGAAGTCTCGCTCTGTCGCCCAGGCTGGAGTGCAGTGGCGCGATCTCAGCTCACTGCAGCCTTAGCCTTCCAGGTTCAAGTGATTCTCCTGCCTCAGTCTGCCAAGTAGCTGGGATTACAGGTGCCCACCACCATGCTCAGCTAATTTTGTATCTTCAGTAGAGATGGGGTTTCACCATGTTGGCCAGGCTGGTCTCAAACTCCTGACCACAGGTGATTCGCCCACCTCGGCCTCCCAAAGTGTGTTCACTCTTGGTATACAGAAATACTACCAAATTTTGTACATTGATTTTGTGTCCTGTAGCTTTACTCAATTTGTTTATCAGTTCTAATAGTTTTGTGCTTGATGTTCTTTAGGTTTGCACCAATATAAGATTATGATATCTGCAAACAAGGATAGTTTGATTTCTTCCTTTCTAATTTGGATGGGTTTACTTCTTTCTCTTGTCTGATTGTCCTAGTTAGGATTTCCAGTACTATATTAAATAATAGTGATAAAAATGGGCATTCTTGTATTGTTCCATATTTTAAATAAAAAGCATTCAGTTTTTGTTCATTCATTAGGATATTAGCTGAGGATACATCATATGTAGCTTCTGTAATGTTGAGGTCTATTTTTTCTAGCCCCAGTTTTTTCAGGGTTTTTATTATAAAGGGATGTTAAATTTTCTAAAGTGCTTTTTTAGCATGAATTTGAATTATCATATTTTTTTTTCTCCCATTCTGCTCACATGATATATTACATTGATGAATTTGCATATATTGAACCATTCTTGCATCCCTGGGATAAATCTCTCTTGGTCATAATGAATAATCTTTTAAATGTATTGTTGAATTTGATTTTCTAATAATTTGTTGAGGATTATTGCAGCAATGTTTATGAGATATATTAGCCTACCATTTCTTTTTTTTTGGTGGCGGTGGGGATAGAGTCTCACTCTGTTGCAAGGCTGCAGTGCAGTGGCACTATCTCTGCTCACTGCACCCTCCGCCTCCCAGGTTCAAGCGATTCTCCTGCCTCAGCCTCCCGAGTAGCTGGGACTACAGGTGAGCGCCATCATGCCGGGCTAATTTTTGTATTTTTAGTAGAGACGGGGTTTCACCATGTTGGCCAGGATGGTCTCAATCTCTTGACCTTGTGATCCACCCGCCTCAGCCTCCCAAAGTGTTGGGATTACAGGCGTGAGCCACCATGCCCGACCCACTTCTATTTTTTTAAATGTGCCTTTGGTTTTTGTATCAGGACAATACTGGCTTCAAATAATTAGTTTGGAAGTATGCCCGTAGCCTTTTTTGGAATCATTCAAGTAGGACTAGTATTAGTTCTTTAAATGTTTGGTTTTCCTCTTTATTGATATGTAGTGCTCATAGCAGCCTCTAATGGTCCTTTTAATTTCTATGATAGCAAATGTATTGTTTCTTTTTTTAATCTCTGATTTAATTTATTTGTGTCTTTCCTCTTATTTTATTTATTAGTCTGGTTAAAGGTTTGTGTTTAGTTTATCTTTAAAAAAAACAACTTTTCAACTTTTCATTTTGTTTGTATTTTGTATAATTTTGTTGCTTTCAATTTCATTTATTTGCACTTGGATGTTTATTATTTCATTTCTACTACTACTCTTTGGTTTGGTTTGCTCTTCCTTTTCCAATTCTTTAAGATGCATTGGTAGGTTGTTGTTTAAAGTTTTTCTTTTTTGTCGATGTAGGCATCAATAGCTATAAGCTTACCTTTTAATGCTTTTGCTGAATCCCATAGGTTTTGATACATTTTGTTTGCATCACCATTTGTGTCAAGAAATATTTTAATTTCCTTCTTAGTTTCTTTATTTATCCACAGGTCATTCAGCAACATACTGTTTAATTACCATTTGTTTATAGTTTCCAAAGTTTCTTTTGTTATTGATTTCTAGCTTTATTCCATTGTAGTCAGAAACAATGCTGGATGTATATTCAGTATGATTTTAGTGCTTTAAGATTTGTTTTGTAACAAAACATATGGACTACTCTTGAGAAGGATCCATGTGCTGATGTGAAGAATGTGTATTCTGAAGCCACTGGATGAAATGTTCTCTAAATATCTATTTGGTCCCTGTGGTCTGTCTACATTGTCAATTAAGTTTGATGTTTCTTTGCTGATTTTCTGTCTGGATCATCTGTCCAATGCTAAAAATCAGGTGTTTTAGTCACTAGCTATTATTGTATTGTGGTCTGTCTCTCTCCTTAGCAATAATAATATTTGCTTTTTAAATCTAAGTGTTCCACTTTTGGGTACATATGTATTTTAAACTCTCATATTCTCTTGCTGAATTGACCCCTGTATCATTATATAATTAACTTCTTTGTCTTTTTTATTTTTTTTTGCCATAAAGTCTGTTTTATCTGACACGAGTATAGCTACTCCTTCTCTCTTTTGGTTTTCATTTATGTGGAATATGTGTTTCTATCTTTTCTTTCAGTCTAAGTGTGTGTTTCTAGGTAAAGTGCATTTCTTGTCAGTAACAGATTGCCATTTTTTAATACATTTAGAAACTCTAGGTATTTTGATTGTACAGTTTAGTATGTTTACATTCAATGTTATCGTTGATAAATAAGAACTTATTTCTGCCATTTTGTTACTTGTTTCCTGGTTGTTTTGTGGTCTTCTCTTTCTTCTTTACTTGCTTCCTGTCTTCCTTTTAGTAAAGATGGTTTTCTCTGGCAGTATGTTTCAATTTCTTGCTTCTTATTTTTTGTGTATCTATTGTATGTTTTTAGATTTGAGGTTACCATGAAGCTTTCAAATAATATAGCCTATTATTTTAAAATAATAACAACACTAATTTTATAAACAAACAAAAAACTAATAACTCTATACTCTAACTTCATCTCCCCGTTTTTTGACTTTATGCTGTTTTTATTTATATTTTATTGTCCTATGTCTTGAAAAGTTGTTGTAGTTATTATTTTTGATTGGTTCATTATTTATTCTTTCTACTTAAGACATGAGGAGTTTCCACAAAATTATAGTTGTTTTTTTCTTCTGCCTTTCTATTTATTTTTACCACTGAGCTTTGTACCCTCAGATAATTTCTCACAGTTCATTAACATCTCTTTGTTTCAGATAAAGTCTCCTTTACTTTTCCATCTGCTTTTTTTCAAGCATGAGTCTCTCCCCATAGCCACCACAGCTGAGAATGTGCTGAGTCTTGCCTGAAGCCAACAACTCTAGAGTCTCATTCAAGGCCCACAGTATACTACCTGGGTAACATTTATTCAGGGTCCAAGGGTTCTCTAGTCAACTTGTGATGGGTCCTGTCAGAACTAGGTCCTTTTCTTCTAAAAAACAGGTTATTCTTGCCCTGGGTGTGTCTGGAAATATAGTCTGGGAGCTAGGGTATTGAAAGGGACACTCAGGACTGATTGATGCCATATCATACTGTGGCTGAACTAGTATCCGAGATGCAAGACAAAGGCCTCTTTAATCTTTCCTCTCCTTTCCTCGAGAGGAAGGAAGTGGTCCCTTTTGGAGAATGAGCTTTATAGCCTAAAATTGGGAGAGAGGTGACACAAGCACTCCCTTAGCCACCTTGGCTGGTATCTCAGTATATTGTAGTCCCTCCAAGTTCACTGGCTCTGAGCTCAGTTCAGCACTAGGACTTGCCAAGGAGTTGCAGTCCTTGAGGCCTTAACTGCCTTTCACATTTATTTAGGGGCCTAGAGCACTTTATCCCATAGCTGTGGGGCTTACCAGAACTCAATTTCCAAACACTGGGATGGGCAATTCACCTCTGACTTGGACAGGTTTAAATTCTCCCTCCACGTGTGGGTGTTAGCTGAGTTTAGCCTGGTTTTGCCTTCTGCTGTAACAGGGTAGCACTGAGTTCAATACAATGTCTTAACAATTGCTGCCCTCTACCTCTCTCAAGTGCACAGATTCTCTCTCTCTGTACCACATAGCCACTGCTGGGGGAGGAGAGGTGACATTGGATATTTGAGAGTGTCTTTCCTACCTTTATCAATGCCTCTTTCAGTGATATAAAGTTAACACTAGGCACCCACAGCACAGAACAGGCAATCCACTTCCTTCTTCAACCATAGTGTCTCTCATCACCTATTAAATGTTAGTGTTTTCTCTCCAAAAATAAAGACCTGCTCAAACTGAATGTTTACTCAATATTTTGGCTTCTTTCCTTAGAAAAGGTGCATCCCAGCTGTATCTAGGTTTTCATCTTTTAATCTTTTGCCTGCTCATAAAATTTTATAAGAACAAAACAAATATTTGCATCTTGTAGCCTTTCATATTTAGTTACAAAAACACTTAATATTTCTTTTGGTTTTGACTTTGTTCTATTTTGTTTCTTTTATCTTTGTTTTTGGAACAGATGCTCAGGCCTATGAGACTTGCCCAGTAGAAAAGTTGTCTCCTTTTCCAAAACAATTCTAAAATTAAGTCGTCCTTACAAGGTAAAATTTACTGCCTGTTTTTCTCATCCCTAGTGTTAGGTATTATAGAAATATAAATAAAGAGTTTTTGATTAGTAGGGATATAGTCTTGTGACAATGCTGGAATTTGTAAGATAAATTAGAGAAATCTTCTAAAATAATAAACTGTTACGTTACAAACATACAATTGGGTCTAAACTTCAAATAAGTAGGTTAGTTTCTATTAAGTTTAAAAATTAAAGAAGTTACTAACTTGCTGTGTACCTCTTAGATTAAATTTGAAAGAATTATACAAATATATTAGAGTTTAATGTCTCTTAATATTTCCACTGAGGAGATAGCAGAAAAAAATTAAGAGTTCACATTTTCCTTTATGTCAAAATGAATAAATTTTGAAGTAAGCAAAACACTTACTTTTAATAAGCCCAAAATATACAATTTAACAGTTTTATATATTTAGTTGCTCTCATATGAATTTAGCAAAGTCTTGAGTTTTTTAACATGCCCATTAATTGAAAGACCTGTATTTCTAGTGAGAAGAACTGAAGTTTCAGTTCTCTCTGGGACATTTTTCATGATTGTTTCTAGTTGAAATCCACAGATTTTTGTTAGCTTGTTCCAATCTATTGTTAGCTAAATATAACCTAATGTACATATGTTTGTGTGTGTTTTCTTTCCTTTTAGTTAGGTAACCACACACTTGTCAGTGACCTGAATGGTAATGTCATATTTCAAAATCATCTGTGTTCTATTGTGGATATTTAAATAAATAAAAATAATGCTTCGATTAAATTGCATTTCCCTTGATGCTTAATTTGATAAGAGAATAATGTGTTTTCTTGGCAATTTATAATTTTGGGTAATATCACTATTTAGTAGAAATACATGATTCTGAATTTCCTGTTGTAGTACAGTATTTTCAGTGTCTAGGGAATAAGTATTGCTCATTATTTAGATTCACTTTATTAACCAGCTCTTTAAATTGTCTTCATATTTTATGAAGTTAAATAAAAGCATTTGAAATATTGGTATTCTTCAGTAGTTTATATGTAGTTATAATTAATATGAGCATTTTTTTTTGGCATGGAGTTTCACACTTGTTGCCCAGGCTGGAGTGCAATGGCGTGATCTCTGCTCACTGCAACCTCTACCTCCCAGGTTCAAGAGATTCTCCTGCCTTAGTCTCCAAAGTAGCTAGGATTACAAGTGTTCACCACCATGCCTGGCTAATTTTGTATTTTTAACAGAGACGGGGTTTGACCATGTTGGCCAGGCTGGTCTCAAACTCCTGACCTCAGGTGATCCACCTGCCACAGCCTCCCAAAGTGCTGGGATTACAGGCATGAGGCACTGTGCCCAGCCTAATATGGGCATTTTATGTGCATCCCATCCATTTTTAAGAACAAAGAACTGCACTCTTCTTGTGTTCTCCATTCATGTAGGGATCCTATGAAATTCAGAGAGTTTTTTCTCCTATTTCCACTATAGATTTGCATGGCAATTAATTTTGAAAGAAAAACAATGTTAACAAAATTGTAGAGGCAATTACATTCACCTCAATTTTTTTTCCCAGTTTATTGTATTATCTAATAGTTATACCATTTAAAGAAAATAAAATATAAAGTTTATTATACTTCATAACAACATTTAACAAAATATCAGAGTAATCCCTTGTATCATTTTGCTAGGTACAAATACTAAAATTTAAAAAATATCAGTATAGGAAACTTCTGGTTTCATCTCTGACATTTAAATAGCTTTGAAGTCAAGACTGAAATACAATGACACAAAAAAACTGGACAAACAAAATCAGTGACTTTGCTTGGACCCATCAGAGGACCAAGGTTGGAGGACAAACTGCCACTCTGAAATCTGATCAGATAGTCATATTCAGAGAGACACAGATGAGACATGTTGACCTTGAGAATAATCTACTGGAGCCATAAAACTGGTAGAAATAATTCAGCAGTAAATTTGTTGAATTACTGGCAGCTAAGTGGGAATTAGCATGACAGTGAGAAACTGCTGAGGGTAAGCAGTGTAAGCTTAAGGAGTTCCCTACACTTTCACAGGCTTTATCTTGAGAAAAACCATCAGATTTCTCAGAGATGGTAAGATCTCGGTAGTGGGTCTGGCAGTAAAGAGGGAAAATAATCATTATGAAATACACCCAGAGTATATTCTTTTAATAGATCTGTTTTCCTATTAAAAAAAGGAATTAGCTAGAGTCTTATCTTAGCTGAAGAAAGGGAGTTTCTCCCTCTCCCGTCTTTCCTAGTCTCCCATCTCCTCTAAGGGGTAGGTGAGTGGGACACAGTAAACAACAATAAGGTTTAAAAAATTAATTGAAAACACATCAGCCGGGGAACAAAGTAAGTCAGTATGGGGGGAAGTTAGTCTATACTACAGGAGAAACACTGAAGGTCAAAGCCCTTTGATACAGGCTAATTTAAACAATTAGATAAGATTTGAAGATTATAAACTACTTGCCTTCATACACCACTTGTATGAAGTGCTGTGCTATCACATCAAAAGTGCTCCAGAACAACTGCAGTGGATTACAGCTAAAAGGAAGTGGGGCACAAGCTTTATTTCAAAAGGAGTACTTACAGATGCCCAAGGAGAAGATATAAAAACAAACACATTAGAGAAATTTATAGCCTCTGGCTCCTATAGCTACATTAAAAAATAAATATAGCACAACTGCTACCCATAGAAATATTAACACTCACAACAAAGGCCTATTTGACTCACTTTCTATACCCAAAACAAGAAGTCCAACTTTCAACAACAAAAAAATTATGAGACATATCAAAAGGCAAAATAAACCAGCAAACATAAAAATACCTAAAAAATAAAATGAAGCATCAAAATCCAGACTTAGATATGATACAGATGTTCAATTGGTCAGACAGGGTATTTAAAATAACCATGATTAATATGTCAATGGTTCTTTGGGGAAAATTATAAAATATGCAAAAACAAATGGGTGATCAAAACTGCAAGAAAGAGTAAAAAAAATTCTACAATAAAAATAAAGTTTATTTTTATGGATTCACTAGTAGCTTGGGCATGGCCAAAGAAAGAATGAGTGGGCTTGAGAATAGGTTAACAGACACTACCTAAGCTGAAATGAAACAGATAAAAAAATGAATGAAAGAATAGCATATTTTGAAGATCTGTGTAAGAATATGTAAAGGCATAACATCTGCATAGTTGGAATACCAAAAAGAAGAGAAAAACAATGCTGAAGAAATATCAGAAATAATAATGACCAATAACTCTTCAAAATTAATGAGAGACAACAAACCAGAGATTAAGGAAATTAAAACATCAAGTAAGACAACAAATGCATACACACATGCATGCCTTTTAGCATATTGTTTTCCAACTTCAGAAAAAGCAATGACAGAGAAAAAATGTAAAAGAAATTGGTAGCAGGAGGAAGTGTTATCACTTGGAAACAAGTCTAACAATTATTGCAGACTTCTTGTCAAAAACTATGCAAGTAAGAAGAGAATGGTGTAAACAATTTAAAGTGTTGGAAAAAAAACTCATAATTCAGTATCCACCAAAATTCTCCTTTAAGACAGACAGAAGAGGATATGAAAACTTAATCAAACGAAAACAATAAATGCATCACCAGGCAGTCCTCCCTTTAAGAAATGCCAAGTTTTTCAGCAGAAGACAAGTAGTATACCAGAAAATTAGTTCTACAAAAAGAGAGAAAGAGGGTCTACAAGGAATAAATGAAAATAAAACATAATCTTTTATTTTCCTTATTCTTATTTGATCTAAAAAGCAATTATTTAAAAGCAATAAAATGAAGACATAGTTGGTTATTACAGCATCTAAATAAATAAAATGAAAGGTAACAGTTTTACGAGAGACAGAAGGAAGAATTGGGGACTGTTTTTAAATAGAGTACCTGTACCGTAGTTTCTGATTTTTTTTTTTTTTTTTTTTTTTTTGAGATGGAGTCTCGCTCTGTCACCTAAGCTGGAGTGCAGTGGCGCTATCTGATCTCGGCTTACTGCAAGCTCTGCCTCCCGGGTTCACACCATTCTCCTGCCTCAGCCTCCTGAGTAGCTGGGACTACAGGTGCCCGCCACCATGCCCAGCTAATTTTTTGTATTTTTAGTAGAGACGGGGTTTCACCATGTTAGCCAGGAGTACCTGTACTATAGAAGCATCATACTCTTACTTGAAGGTATATATAAATTAGTTTATATATATATATATATATATATATATATATACTAAATATTTAAACTAATATTTTAACTAAATATATATATTTAGACTAAATATAGATAGATAGATAGATAGATAGATAGATAGATAGATAGATAGATAGAGGTATATAATTAGTAGGGCAAGACAATAGCAGAGGGGCAGGCAAGACTTTCTACCTTATTCTAGGGGCCAGAATTACCCTAATACAAAAAACAACAAAAAAAAGGGTATCATGAGAAGAAAAAATGACAGACCAATACATCTCATTAACTTAGACATAAAAATACTTAAAATAAATATAAAAAAAGTTTACATTCCATGACTAAATGATAGTCCACTCATGTAAAACTTAATAATTTCAGCATTTGAAACAAATCAATGTAACCTACCATATCAATAGACTAAAGATGAAAAGTCATATGATTTTATGAATTGATTTATAAAAGCGTTTAACAAAATTCCACACCCATTCAAGACAAAAACTCACACAGTATGACTACCCTTGTATGACTTCCTGGAAAAGGTAATATTACACATAAGATTAACTGATCAGTGATTGTTAGGGTTTGGTGCAGGTAGGGGGAACATTCATACATGAAAGATAGGGCATCTTTTAGAGGGCTGTGAAATACTCAATATTATGCTGGTGGATATACATTACTATGCATTTGTCAAAAGCATAGAACTTCATGGCACAAATATTAAACCTTAATATAATCATATATACACACACACACACCTATGTATGTTAACACACACACACATATATAAACTTAAAAGCAAACATTTTTAAAGTTTTTTTAAATATACACATATATATTCTTTTTATTAGAAAATTGATGCACCCCAAGAGACTGTGACAAAACAAAATTATAAGTCTATAAAATACCCTTGCTGAAAAGGGGTGGGAAAATGTACTGACCTCAGTAACTTTGAAAATAGTGGAATCTGTAAAACAAAAGAAAAAATAAACTGCACAAAGCAGTTTGTTTGATTTGTAAAAAAAGTTGTGTGCATCTCTCCCCAACTCCCTGGCTATTTCTCTATGAAAGTATCTTAATTTGGCCCAGTGCGGTGGCTTATGCCTGTAGAGGCTGAGGTGGGCAGATCACGAGGTCAGGAGTTTGAGACCAGCCTGGCCAACAGGATGAAATCCCATCTCTACTAAAAATACAAAAATTAGCTAGGGGTGGTGGTGCACACCTGTAGCTACTTGGGAGGCTGAGGCAGGAGAATCGAAAGTACCTTAAATTTTATTTAAATTATTACTTTTTATGTCATTATATAACTCACATTATGACAATTGAGTGACTAATATTTATATTTTTTATCTAAAGTGGATGATTCATCATTTCTAGATGCTTTGTTTATAAGGTATCTATCATTAATTCATCCAAACTTTTATTTTAGCAGTGCAAATCCCCTCTCAATACATTAAATATGGTAAATGGATGTTTGTTTTCTCTTTCTCTACCCTTCCTCTCTTCCTTCCTTCCTTCTTTCCTTCCTTGCTTTCTTTCCCTTCTTTTCTATGTCTTCCTGTACAAATCTACTGCTGTTCTCAAGGATTTTTGCAATTCTGTCATACTGTTACTTTCTTTCATCATTATATCAGGAATTCTCTTTCCTTCACTTCCTTCACTTCCTTCACTTTCTTTCACTTCGCTTCACATTACAGGGAGTGTTAGTTTCAAAATCCCTGTAATGCCTCTTCTTTGATGTGTTTCTTAGTTATGTGAAAACATATACTTTGGTAAATTCCTGAGAAAGAAAGTATGGGGGTTAAAAGATTTTGGAAACTTTTCATTATTTTTTATAATTAAGGAGATCTTTGTTCTCTTTTAACTCTCAATCAATAATGTGTAAAAAAGGATATCACTTTGCAGCATTTCTCCATTGTCTCTTACTTTCTACAATTATAAGAACATATTTGATGCTATACAAAATTCTATATGTTTTCTCCTCACTTTTTGTATTACAGCACCACAGAAAAACAGAACAAAAAAGGTATAGGGGTATTGAAAGAGATTTTTTTATGAGGCATGAACTTACAGTTATGAAGGCTGAGAAGTTAAAAAGATAATTTTATAATATGAATATGGTATGAGCTAACCTAACCACATTGAATAGTGTTTTGTCAGAGTCATTTGAACCAGAGCAACTCCATTTTGAATAAGAGCTGGGTAAAATGAGACTGAGACCTACTGGGCTGCATTCTAAGTCATAGGATTAATAGGAGGTCTGCACAAGATACAGGTAATAAAGATCTTACTGATAAAACAGGCTGCAGAAAAGAAGCTGGCTAAAACCCATCAATTCATGCTAAGAGACACTCCCACCAACACAATGACAGTTTACATATGCCATGGCAAGGTCAGGAAGTTAAGCCATATGGTCTAAAAAGGGAAGGAACCCACAGTTCCAAGAATTGCTTACCCTTTTCCTGGAAAATTCATGAATAGGCCGGGTGCAGTGACTCATGCCTACAATCCCAGCACTCTGGGAGGCCGAAGAGGGTGCATCACCTGAGGTCAGGAGTTTGAGACCAGCCTAGCCAACATGGTGAAACCCTGTCTCTACTAAAAATACAAAAATTAGCTAGGCGTGGTGGCACATGCCTGTAATCCCAGCTACTCCAGAGGCTGAGTCAGGAGATTCGCTTGAACCCGGGCGGCGGAGGTTGTGGTGAGCTGAGATCATGCCATTGCACTCCAGCCTGGGTGACAGAGCAAGACTCTGTCACACATACACACACACACACACACACACACACACAGAAAAAAAAAAAGAAAGAAAGAAAAGAAAAGAAAATTTATCATCCACCTTTTGTTTAGCATATAATCAGGAAATAATAAATAATTATAAAAATGGGCAACCAGCAGCCCTGGGAGCTGTTCTGCCTTTGGAGTAGCCATTCTTTTATTCCGTTACTTTCTTAATAAACTTGCTTTCACTTTACTCTATGGACTTGCCCCGAATTCTTTCTTGCACGAGATCCAGAAACCCTCTCTTGGGGTCTGAATTGAGAACCCTTTCTGTTAAAAGTTTCACTGCTCAATTAATTACACAGAATACAGATTTACTTATACAGTATTCACTTTTTAAATATAAAATGTGTATATATTTTAAATAATTATAATGTAATTATTTTATTTATCTTTAATATATTTTTGCAAAGTCAAGAACTTATAAATAAAAATAGATAATTAATAAATTTTAAATGGACATTAAAAAAACTAGGTGTTCAAATGACAAAAAAAGTATTTTCTAGTTTATTTTATAATGTGGACTCATATTAACATAAAAGTTACATATCTTATATTTTAAGTATTCATGACTGTACTGCCAAGAAAAAGTTAAGGATGGAGTAATCTTGTTTACTCACTAAGTTTACTAATCATAACAAAAATAATAATGAAAGCTTAACATTAACTTTACAAACTACCCAATGCATAAGGTCAAGCATTCATGTGTGAATTGCTTTTGTTTGGAGACTACTTTAAACCTCAAGATCTTATTTTTTATTTACCCTATTAGAATATGATACTTTGCTTTTTCAGATAAATATTGCATACTATGTTTTTATGCTTTCATTTGTAAACAATTCCTCTTTTCAATTTAAAAACAATTGGGCAAGATATCCAAATTCATAATTAGACACTTATGTGTGTTGGGTGTGTGTGTGTGTGTGTGTGTATATATATATATATAAGTATATATATATGTATATAAATATATACATACATATATCTCCAAACTTGTTAGTCATTATTTTTATAATATTTAACTTAGTAGTAATATTTAAAGAGATAGAAGTATTTTAGAATTACCTAATCTGTAGCATCTGAACTACAGAATATGAATAATGGCCAGATTATGTAACAACACCAATTTTATCTAGCTTATTTTAATACCTTAACATATTTTTGAAGTTTCACAAAATAACATTTGTGAAAAGAGTATTCCAAATGTGCATTTTTTGTTTATAACTGTAGGTTTGTTCCTTTCATATGTTAACAATTTAATTATGTGTCTTCTATGTCTAATTAATTATATATTACAAGTTGACTTTATAATCATTTATTTATAATAATAGCTGCAAATTAATGAGTTCCATAGCAATTTTATATTAATACCTAGAAAGATATTTACATGGAGTGTTTGCTTTAAATACATTGAATGTTGTTGTGTATACTTCCATGGCTATATTTTTTCACATTATTTTTCCCTGATGGCATATTACAAATCTGTAAGTTGACCTTTTGTCACTTCTAAAATATTAAATTTTCTTTCAGCTTATGATTTATATAATTGCATATTTAGTGACAATATGTCAGTATGAATTCCTTCTTGACACTAATAGTGGCTAAATTCCTTGTTTAGTACTGTGTTTTGTCGAGAAAGAGTTAAGACAAAAAAAGTTGCTATATAAAAAATTTAGTAGGTATCATTTCAATTTTTTCCACAGAAAAATTTTACTGTAACATTTGCAATCTTTTTCTAACCTAAGTGAAAAAAAAACTTTCCAAATAGTTACTTTTTAAATAATAATAATAATAGAAATTTAAGGGGCTTGATAGTGATTGAATAGTCACCACTGTTACTTGTGGTTACTCTCTCCTGGTGTTGCTCTCTACTTTTACATCTGCTGCATATTAATTAGCCACATGTTCCCTGGGTTTTTATCAAATTGAATGGAGGAGAATGGGATAATTGTTTTTCTCCAAGAGTGGTAATGCCATCTATTAGCAAAATTAGAATCACACGTAAATATATTATAACAATAAAGACAAAGAGATATCAGTAGAGACTTTACTGCTACCATAACTAGGTGCAGGCATGCATTTGTTTAACACATTGATTTTTTTTAATTCCCTAACATTTCTTTAAGAGGAATTTAACTGAGTATAATACACAAAACCTTTTTCAGGCGTGAAGCTAATAATTCAATACAATGACAAATGGACTCTTAATGTGATTGCATTTCTGTTAGGGATTTCTAAATAATTAAATAAAATTTCACCTAATTGCAAGAACTGCAGTTTGAATTATTGCCAATTCTTGGTTGAGTAACTCTTTTCAGAAGCAGACAGGTGTTTGAATACCTATTAATTAGCACTTAGCATCCTTTAATTTATATATTATTGTTAGTTCCTGCTTAGTTTTATCAAGCAATCTATTAGAGTAGGACCCCCTTTTTAAAAAATATTTGAATAAATAATTTCAAACATGTTAAATGCATTTTCCTGTTTTCCTTTATTCCAACAATAGATATCATTACAGCATAACTAATTGCTTTGATCGTTATAACATATTCATCTCTTCTGTGTTGGTATTATGAAAATAAATATTTGAATCATGTAAAATACGTGTGATTAATGCCTTTGTTATTTTCACACCATTAGTTCATTATCTGTTGCATTCAATCTTTGTTCATGAAAATATAAAGGATTGATTCATATTGTGCTAAGATGTTAATAATATAATACTTTGATTTCTTTTAAAATATAAGAAATCTGGCTGAATGATTATGTGATGGTGGCAACGCATTTCAGAACGAATATGGATAATATTCAAAAACAAAAAGTAAAAAAGAAATCTTAAAGATGCAAACATTTGTAATACTAAATTTTCTAACCAGGATAATCAATGGAGAAAACATAAATTATGTACACATTAGAGTTTTTTGCTTATTTGGTATCTTTTAGCTCACCAGGAATCCATTCACTGATGTATTCAGTAATTGATGTATCTTTATACACTATAGTTAAAACAGGCACAATGGAGAATACCAACTTCTATAGAACAAGTTAAATACAATGGAAATTACAAGCTACAAACTTCTCTTACGTTCATTCTTACTCATGAAAGAAGATTCCTAAGATTACTCACGTTTAAGAAGCATAGAAGCATCCAAGAAGAGTGAAGCCAGAATTTTTATAAAATGTATGTTCTTAAGGATCATCATGGCCACTTTCCAAGTTTTATTGTACTCATTAATCAGTGTGTATATGTATGTGTCTCTGTTTTATAAAATTGTATTAGGAATGTAGGTTAATGTATCCAGCACCACAGTCAAGTTAGAATAAAGCTTCATTAAAACAAAGATCCCTCCTATTGCTCTATCAGAGATACACACCCCTCCCTTCCCTCCTCCTTCCCTAATGCTGAACACTCTAATATAGTCTCATCTTAAAAATTTAGTCTTTTTGAAAATATTATATAAATCATATCATATATGTGAAAGGAAAATAACTCTTGGGACCCTAAAATCACTAAGCCGTGAGAAAAGTCAAGCTAACAAGTATGTCAGGCAAACCTGCTTCCCATTTTATTCTTAAACAAGATTCCTACAAAGATAAGAAGCTACATACCTCCCTCACAATTTGCTCACAGGAAATTCCTTGTGGACAAAGGACAGACAGAACTCAGAGTCATCCCTCTGAGGCTCACCTGAGACAAATGCATATATGATTACTTCCTCTGCCTATTGTTTATGTAAAAATGCAGATTCATGGAGCCAGACTAAATTGTGTATTCAGTGGAAGGCTGATCAAGGACTCAAAAGAATGCCACCTTTACTTTCTTATCTACTTCTACCCTGGAAGCCCCAACTTTGAGTCGTCCACGCCTTTCCAGATCGAACCAATGTACATGTTACACATATTGATTGATGTCTCATGTTTCCCTAAAATGTATAATAGAAAACTGTACCACCGACCATCCTGGGCAAATGCCATCAGGACCTCCTGAGGCTGTGTCACAGGCACATTCTTTACCTTGGCAAAATAAACTTTCTAAGTTGACTGAGACCTGTCTCAGATATTTTGGATTAACATATGAAACCATTTAGAATTGGCATTTTTACTTGATTTAAATCTTAGAGATTCATCCAAGTTTTAATTTACATCAATGGTTTCTTTAATTCCTGAGTAATATCCCCTGGTATCAGTGTAGTGCATTTTCTTTAGTCATTCACTCATTGAAGGATATCTGTGTTGGTTCCAGTTTTGAGATATAAGCATTCATATACAGGTTTTTATGTGAACACGTGTTTCCCTTTTTCTGTGATAATATCAAAAGTTAAATTTGTAGATCTTATGGTAGTTTCATGTTTAGGTTTTTAAAAAACCGTCAAACTGTTTTGCAGAGTGCAGTACCGTTTAATATTCCCACTGGCAATGTTTGAATGACATATTCTCTTCCCATCCTCTTCAAGATTTAATGGTTTCACTATTCTTTTTTTGTTAAGCTATTCTGATAGTTGTGTGGGGTGTCAAATTATGCCTCAGTTCACAGACGTAATGAACTTCCTGTGGTTCAAATGTTAAAAGCAATATCAAGGAGCTGTGGCAAGGTGAGGGAGTAGCCACACTGTGTCTTTGGCAAATGTTGCAAACCTATTTTTCTCCAACCAAGTCAAAAACAGTTCCAGAAAACAATGTCAAAGACAATTGCAGCTGGAAATTCCCCAACTCACCACCAACAGACTACCTGCAACCAGCCAATTAAGGGAGACTGGTGATTTGGCCTTTAAAGGTCTTCTAATCAAGACTCTATCACTCTCCTAACTCTCCCCCTCTTCTTTATGATCTCTAACTCTTCAACCTGCTCCTCCTCAGAGTGCCCTTTCGTTTTTACACTGAAGGCTTCTTGTCCTCAGTCTGCAATCTGAAGTTTGCTTTGGAAAATAAAGTTCTTCTTTTGTTTCCACTGATTTAATTGGTCTTTTATTAACAAATGGTATTGAAACGGGAGCATCCCCAGACCCCCTCGCAGGACGTGCAACAGGGGTGTGGTGTGGCTCTTCTGTTTGGCCACTGTGCGCTCCAACCCTTTATGGGAGAAAGAGCACGCAGACGGGCAGGTGCAGGAGCCAGGGCAAGTGCTTTTGGGCTCGGGCACCATGGTAGCATCTAGGGGTGGGTGCCTGAGGTTCCCAAAGCCCCAGTGGGCATGCTACAGTGCTCTTTTAATTCTGCCACCCACAGATGCCTTAAGCGTCAATCATTTCAGTGCCCCCTTGGGCCCCAGGTTCTTGTCTGGTGTCCAGGAAAAATCAGATCACACAGACAAATTGAAGGATGGTAAACACGGGGAATTTTACTGCCAGATAGAGGTGGCTCTCATTGGGAGGAACGGGGAACTGAAAAGGGATGGAGTAAGATGATCTTCCCCTGGAGTTCCATCATCCCACAGCCAATGTTCCCTCTGATCATCCCCAGCAGAACTCCTCTTGATGTTCAGAAGCTCCTTCTCTGCAGCACTGCTCTGCCGCCCTTCTGCTCCTCTGCTCTTGTTTATCTGCCCATGGAGCCTGGGGTTTGGGGATTATATGGGTATAGGATAGAAGGGCGTGACAGGCCAAAAGGCAACATTTGGCACAAAAACAGGAATGCCTGTTCCCATTTAGGGCCCTGGGTTTCCAGGCTTGGGAACGGGACCTTTGCCAGGCAACCGCCCTCTTCTACCTAGTATCTCCCTGCCTCCTCTCTGAAATACTGAAAAAAAACAGTATTTCAGTTTGGTTTTAATTCACATTCCTCTAATGGTGAAGGATGTTATACATATTTTCATGTGCTTATTTGCCAACTGTGTATTCTCAGTGTAATATGTATTTATATCTTTTTCCCATTTTTAACTGTAATGACTGTTTTTCACTATTGAGTTTTGAAGTTCTTTATATATTAGTCCTTGTCAGATTTGGTAAATATTTTCTCTCAATTTGCACCTTGTCTTTTCATCTTACTTAGAGGATATTTTGCAGAGCAAAAGTTGAAAGTTTTGATGAGGCTCAGCTCACCAATTTTTTATTTTATGAATTATACTTTTCATGTCAAGTTTAACAACTCCTTTCCTAACTTTGACCCAAAGATTATCTATTATTTCCTTTTTATAGTTTCATATCTTACATTTAAGTCTGTGAACCATATTAAATTAATTTTTGTGTGAGGTATAAAGTTTATGCCAATGTTTATTTTCTGGTCTATAGATATCTAATGCTATAGCATTTTTAGTTGAAAGGCTACTCTTCCACCACTGATTATTTTGCTCAGTGTCAAAGATCAGATAGGCATGTTTGTATGAGTCTATTTTAGGGGATTTTCATTCTCTTTTATTGATATGTTGTACCTTTCCCCCTGTTAACACAACACAGTCTTAATTGCTATAGCTATATAAGTTTGGTAGTACTGATGAGTAGTGATTCTTCTAACCTTTGGTCTCCTTTTTCAAAATTGTAGCTATTGTAATGCTTTTATATTTCTATAATATTATGGAATATTTCTGTCTTCTCAAAATTCAGGTATTGAAGCCCTAATTTCAAATATGGTGGTATTTGAAGGTGGAGGTTTTAAGAGATTTTGAGGTTTAGATTAGGTCATGAGAGAGGAGCTCCAAGATGAGGTAGTCTCCTCATAAGAAGAAGAAAATGAATCAGAGCTCTTTCTTTCTCTGCCATATGATTACACCGTAAGAGGGAAGCCATCTGCAAGCCAGGAAGAGAGCCTGCTCTATCTGAATGTATGTGTTTCTCCAAAATTCATATGTTGGAACTTAAACCCCATGGTGGTGGTATCAAAAGGTGGGGCTTTTGGGTGGTAATTAGGGCATGAGGGCCTAATTATCTCATTATTAATGAAATTAATATATTTCAAATAAAACTGGAAGGAAGTAGCTAAGCCCTTTTGCCTTTCTTATTTCCATCATGTGAAGATGCAGCCGTGATGTGTCATCCTGGAGGGACAGAGTGAATCCTCACCAGACCCTGAATCTATTGATGCCTGGCTATTTGATGTCCCAGCTTCCAGAATGTCAGAAATAAATGTCTATTGTTTATAAATTACCCAGTGTGTGGTATTTTGGATAGCAGCACAAATAGACTAAAACAGAAATTGCTACTGAGAAGTGGGGTGTTGCTATAACAAATACTGAAATATGTGAAGGTGGCCTGGGGACTGGGTAACTGTCAACTATTAGAAGGTGGAACACAAAGCACTATTCTGGTGTGAGCTCAGAAGAAGAGGAGAGCTGTAGAGAGAAACTTAATCTTCTTAAAAATAGTGTAAGTGGTCTTGAACAGAATGTTAGTAGAAATATGGACAGTAAAGGCCATTCTGATGAGATTTTAGATAGAAATGGGAAACACATCACCGAAAACTGAGAGAAAACTCAGTGGTTATAGAGTGGCTGAATCGTGTTCTTGACCTAGAGCTTTGTGGAAGGTAGAAGTAAAAATTGATGAACTAGGATATTTGGCAGAAGAAATCTCTAAGCAGTGTTCAGGGTGCTTCATAGGCTTTCTTGATTTATTTTTTGTAGTAAAACAAAATAAGACAGAAACAAACTATGGTGGAATTTGTAATCAAGGGGGAAATAGAATGTAAAGATTTGGAAAATTTCCAGCCTGGTCAGATTATAAAGGATAAAACCCTGTGTTCAGGAGAGAATGCCAAAGGTGTGGCCAATCAAATGTTTGGTGAGATTAGTATGGCTATCAGGAAGCCAGATGCTATTCATCAAGACAATGGAAGAATAATTTTCAGATGACAATTCCATCACAGACCCAGAGTGCCAGTAATTTGCAGGCAGAATGTATTCAAAGGAGGGCCTCAGGGTATCCACGGAAACTTGGGGCTCACTGCCCCATACCACCTCAATCTTCTGTTCCCTTAATTCCCATGCAGCACTACTTGGCCACTCCAGCTGTGGCTTAAGTGGTTCCAGTCGCAACTTGGGCCATTGTCCATCCAGAAGTCACAAGTGGTAACCTTTGGCAGCATCTGCATGATGTCAATTCAGCAGGTGCACAGAGTGTAAGAGCTGTGGAGGCATGGTTACCTTAATCTACATTTCAAAGGAAGCTTTGGAGAGCCTCAGGATCCAGGCAGAGAACTGCCCCAGAGACACAGCCACTGCAAAGATGCCACACTAGGGAAATGCCCGGTGGAGGCATACAGTTTGGCCCACCAAAGAGAGCGCCCACTAGGACAATGACCAGCAGAACCACGGGGTTGTGGCCACCCCAGACAACCCCTACTAGTGAGGGAGAAGAGAAGGAAAAATCAGTTAGGTAGACAGCTAAGGCTAGTCCTCAGAGAGGCAGCCTGCCTGAAAAATCACAGCTACAGGCAACTATAGAACAGCCTGGGGAAAACTCAGACTGCACCTGTGACATAAGGATGCAAGGTCCAGCACAGAGGTCTTTCGTTCTTTGTGTGAGTAACAGTCTCCCAGAAAAAAGTTTTCTCCCCTTTTCAGGCATATACAGGGTGGGTTCTGTAGGAACTTGCACAGGGAAGAGGTGGGGACTTCCCTAAAACAAATCCACAGTTATACAAACAAGAAAAACTGTGCTTTGCGTGCCCACAACTACATAGGTAAGGGGAGTTAGACAACTTTACAGATAAGAGAACTTACTCAAACAGCTATAGAGATGAAAGGAGTTTCCTATAAAAGCTTTTCAATTTGACTGTAAAAATGGCTACCAACTCAGGCTCCCCTGTCTTCTGAGGAGAGCTTTTTTCTTTAGCTTAATAAACTTTTGCTCCAACCTCATCCTTTGCATCCACAGTCCTTAATTTTCTTGGTTGTGAGACAACAAAGCTTGGATAACACTTTAGCCAGTATGGCCATTGACCTTGACCTGTTTCACTAGGGCATGCTTAATAAGTCCTAGAGACAGAGTTGCCACTGAGACACCAAAACAGTAGAGCCACCAGTGTTCAAAACCAGCCTGGGAGAGTCACAAGCACTTCAACCTCTGAAAGCTACTGTTTGGGCTACACCCAGTGAAGCCATGGAGGCAGGATCACCTAGGACCTCAGGGGCCCAAACCCTATCCCAATGTGTCTGGAGGGTGAGACAGGGAGTCAAAGAAGATTTTTCTTCAACCTGAAGATTTAATGTTGGTTGCCTTATTAGATTTTGGAGTTACTGGGCATCTATCACCCCTTTATTCTTTCCTATTTCTCCCCTTTGAAACAAGGATGTCTATTCTATTCCTGTCCCTCCATCATATTTTGAAAGCACATAACTTTTTTTGATTTCATAGACTCATAAATGGAGGGGAAAATTGCCTCAGGATGAATCATACCTTGAGTCTCACCCATATCTGATTTAGATGTTATTAAGATCAGACTTTGTAATTAGACTTTAAAGTTGATGCTGGAATGAGTAAAGTAATTTGGGGATATTGGAATAGAATGAATGTATGTTGTATGTGAAACAATCACAGATTTTATGGGCCAGGGGAACAACATATGTGTTCCTCCAAACTTTCTATGTTGGAACATAAACCACAAGGTGATGGTATTAGTTGGGACCTTTGGGTGGTTATTGAGTCATAAATGGGGTTAATGCTTTTATAAAGGGATTGGAGGGAACAAACAAGAAACTTTGCCCTTCTACCTTCCACCATGTGAGCACACAGCAACAAGTTACCACCTTTGAAGCATTGAGTGAGCTCTCATCAAACACTTAATGTGCCTATGCTTTGATCTTGGACTTCCCAGCCTCCAGAACTGGAGAAATAAATTTCTATTGTTTGTAAATTACCGAGTTTCTGGTAATTTGTTATTACCATGAAGGGACCCAGTAGTTAGTAAGAATTATTCTTGGGAGTGGAGATCTTTCTCATGTTTAATATCTTTTATTTATTGTTTTATTTTTATTTTTTGAAACAGAGTCTCACTCTGTCACCGAGGCTGGAGTACAGTGGTATGATCTCAGCTCACTGCAACCTCTGCTGCCCAGGTTCAAGCAATTCTCATGCTTCAGCCTCCCACTAGCTGGGATTACAGGTGAGCACCACCACACCCGGCTTTTTTTTTTTTTTTTTTTTTTTTTTTGTAGAGATGGGATTTCACCATGTTGGCCAGGCTGGTCTCGAACTCCTGGCCTCAAATGATCTGCCCGCCTTGGCCTCCCAAATTGATAGAATTAGAAGTGTGAACCACTGTGCCCAGTCATGTTTTTATCTTAGGCAGACAGCATTCAGTTTTTTATTATTATGATATTAGATGTAGGGTTTTTGAGAAGTTTCTTAACAAGTTAAGGATGTGCGCCACTATCTCCACTTTTCTGAGCATTTTTATCATAAATTTGTGTCAAATTTTGTTATTTTTTTCTGTATCAATTGATATGATCATTTGGTTTTACTTCTTAAGCCTGTTGATACTGTAAGTTACATAGATTTCCAAATATTAAAACACCTTTGAATATCTGCAATAAATCCCACTTGATGATGGTAAACAATTCATTAAATATATTGCTGGGTTTGATGTGCTGTTGTTAACTTGTTGAAGAATTTTGAGTTTAAATTCATAGACAATATTAATTATTAGTGATTTTAAAACTATACTTTATGTTTCAGTATCAGGGTAATTCTGATCTTATATAGAGTTTAAAAGTATTCTCTTATTTTATATGTTTCTGGAAGATATAGTGTAAAATTGGTGTTAATTAGTTTTAAGAAATCTATTAGATTATTGAGTGATTGGAGATTTTAAGCTATAAATTCAAATTCTTTAAGGTTAATAAGACTTCAGATTATGCATTTTGTCTTTGTGTCACTTTGTGATTGTTGAGGAATGGATCTATACATTCTAAGCTGTTGAATTTATAAGTGCAAGGTTTTTTTCTAGTATTGTAGTATTACCCTTTAACAGCTACAGGATCCTTATGATATATATTATCCACTTTCAATTCTGGTATTGGTGATTTGCTTCTTTACCCTTTTTATTTATTGTTCTCTTGCCAAACATTTATCAATTTTATTGATTTTTTTGGGGAAACAGACTTATTTCCCTGCTTTTCTCTATGTTTAACTGTTTCCAAATTCATTGATTTCCGTTCTTGTCTTTTTTATTTCTTTTTTCTGCTTGCTTTGAGAGCACTTTGCTTTGCTTTCCTCATTTCTTGAGCTAGGGTTTTGATTATTTATGTTAGACATTTTTATTCCTAATTAAGTGTTTTGTGTTATAAATAACCTTCTCAGCACAGTTCAGATGCATTGCACATATGCTACACATTGTATTTAACTTTCATTCAGTTCGATATGCTTTTATTTACTTAAAATATTCTTTTTGTCTCATTTTATTAATAAACGTTTTATACAATTTCCAAGTAATTTGAGACATTCTTTTATCTTTCCGTAATTGATCTTCTGCTTGATTTTGTTACGGTCATAGAACATACTCTATGTGTACTCCATTATTTTGAGTATGTTTATGTTTATTGTAAGGGCTGTCATTTAGAACCCATTGGTTGATTGGATTCAGATAACGCTGTTGATTTTCTCTCTATCACTTCTATCAGTTGCTGAGAGAAGGACAATGATGCTCCCAGTAGTAACTGTGGAAAAGTCTATGCTCCTTTCAGCTTCACATATTTTGAGGCTCTGCTATTTGGGGAATATTCATTTAGAATTACTGTTTTTTGGTGAATTCACCCTTTTATCACAATGTAATGTCCATCTTTGCATCTAGTAATTTTCTTTGCTCTTAGTTTACTTTATCTTGCATTATTATACCCATGCCTTCTTATATAAATTAATGTTTGCATGGTCAATATATTTTCATTATTTTACTTCCTTTTTATTATTATTATTATTACTATTTTGAGACAGAGTCTCGCTCTGTCTCCTAGGCTGGAGTTTCATTGCATGATCTTGGCACACTGCAACCTCCACCTCTTGAGTTCAAACAATTCTCATGCCTCAGCCTCCCAACGAACTAGGATTACAGGTGCACACCACCATGCCCAGCTAATTTTTGTGTTTTTAGTAGAGACAGGGTTTCTCCATGTTGGCCAGGCTGGTCTCAAACTCCTGACCTCAAGTGATCCACCAGCCTTGGCCTCCCAAAGTGCTGGGATTACAGGTATGAGCCACTGTGCCTGGTCCCATTCTTTTACTTTCAGATTACCTATGTCATTGAATTTGAAGTAAGTTTCTGGGAAACAGTTTTGTTGCTGGGTCATTTAGAAAAAAAAATCTCTGCAAATATTTGTCTTACTGGTATAATATTTATATTTTCACATTTTAGATAATTGTGGTAAGTTACAGCTCAAGTCTGTCATTTTGTTTGGGTTTTGTTTTCCCTATGTCCAGTAGATAGTGATAAGTCACATATTTTAATATCCAGAGAGAATCACTAATAAAGGTATGTAAGTTATATTCCCTAAAAATCATTAATGAAGATGAATTCTTAAAAATGTCTCATTAACTCACAGAAAGGCAATAAAAATGAAACAGAAGAATGAGGAAAATGTGATGAAATGTAATCAGCAAAGAGGGTTTGGCTACTCACTGCTTGTAGAACAAAGTCAAAATAACAAGAATGAGGTGTGATAAAAAGAGAACACACTTTGTTATATGCTAGCAAGGATGGAGAATGGGTGGAATTCTTTCCAAAAATTATCACTTTCCAATCTGTGAAGGGAATGCATTAATGTTTAAGGAGAAATGTTAGGAATGCAGGAAAGGCAGCAGGGCTAAAAATGTGAGCACAGCTTCAAGTGGTGTGAACTGCTCTGACAGTTTGTCTTGAATTATTGTTCTATCTGGTGAAGAAGCTGGTACCATCACGGCCTCAACCAGGTTACAAATCAATAGCAGTCAATTTTGCGGTCAATCTCTAGCAGGGAGTGAGTTCTGGCCTTGAAGTAATCTTTTACTGGGGAGGAATTCCAGAGGTGTCTGGTTGGTATCAGGATTCTGCCCCTGAAGCTTCTAAGGAAATGTATGACCAGATAAGTGACCATCATGTGTGCTTAACAAGCATTAAAGTAAATAAACGTGCATAAGACATGGGAGCACAAAGTGGGAAAGGGATGGGAGTGAAGCACACACCCAGACTGCATTTCAAGACAAAAGAAAACACATTTGTAGTTTGTCTCAAAGATACATCTTGAAACTGGGGAGAAAGGAGGAAAAATGTATTTTATGCTGTAAAACACTTTTGTAGTTTATCTTTTTTTTTTTTTTTTTGAGACGGAGTCTCGCTCTGTCGCCCAGGTGGGACTGCGGACTGCAGTGGCGCAATCTCGGCTCACTGCAAGCTCCGCTTCCCGGGTTCACGCCATTCTCCTGCCTCAGCCTCCCGAGTAGCTGGGACTACAGGCGCCCGCCACCGCGCCCGGCTAATTTTTTTTGTATTTTTAGTAGAGACGGGGTTTCACCTTGTTAGCCAGGATGGTCTCGATCTCCTGACCTCATGATCCACCCGCCTCGGCCTCCCAAAGTGCTGGGATTACAGGCGTGAGCCACCGCGCCCGGCCTGTAGTTTATCTTATAGCTACATCTCAAAACTGGGGAGAGGGTAGGAAAGGAAAAAAACAAGATTTAAAATGTGGTTTGAAGCTAAACTGCTTGGTTAAAAAAATAATACCTTACCTCTGCGGTCTTCCACCAAAAATGTATCCCTTCATTCTAATCATGAGAAACACTTCAGACAAATCCTAACTGAAGAAATTTCTGCAAAATACCTAACCAGTACGCCTCAAAACTATGAAGGTCTTTAAAGAATAAAAAGGAAAAGTCAAAAAGTTGTCACAACCAACAAAAGCCTAAGGTGATATAATGAGTAAATATAATGTGGTATCTCGGATGAGATCTTGGAACAGAAAAAGACATCAAATAAGCATCAAATAAGGAAATCTGAATAAATTATACACTTTACTTGATAATAATTTATGGATAAGATTTCATTAATTGCCAGGCACAATGGCTCATGTCTGTGGTCCCAACACTTTTTGAGGCCAAGTAGGGCAGATTTCTTGAGCCCAGGAGTGTGAGGCCAGCCTGGGCAACATGGTGAAACCCCATGTCTACAAACATACAAAAATTAGCTGGGCATGGTGGCACATGCCTATGGTCCCAGCTACTTGGGAGGCTGAGTTTAGAGGGTCATTTGAGACGGGGAAGTAGGAGCTGCAATGAGCTGAGATCATACCACTGCACTCCAGGCCGTGTGACAGTCTGAGTCCTTGTCTAAAAGAAAAAAAAACAAAAACAAAAACAAAAGAATGCATTAATTCTGCCATAAAAATGTAAGATATTAATGCTTGAAGAAACTGGGTGCTGGGTATATGGAATCTTTGTGTACTACCATAAAACTTTTTCTGTAAATATAAAAATGTTCTGAAAATAAACTTTAAAGAAATTTTTAAAAGTTTCTTTTGATTGTAATATGGAGAATGAATTACAGCATGTATAGGGTGGAGACAGGAATTAGCATGCTGTTGCAGTAATTCATGTGGCAGATGATATGACCTTTCCCAGAAAAATGTCAGTAAGGATGAAGGGCTGTTAAACATTTTTCAAAAACATTTAGGAATTAGAGTAAAAATGACTAATTATTGACCTGGGTATAATAGCACAATGTCAAGGAGGCGAGGATTATATAAGTTTCGGTGACAACAAGTAGTGATAACATCACTGGATATATAAAACAGGAAGAGAATTACTGGGAGAGGAACATGAAATGAGTTAGGTTTTAGACAGTTTCCTAGTTTTCATGTACATATATATATATAAATAATAAATGAGGTCTTATGAATCTTCCACATGATTTAAGAAGTAAGTGCATTCAAACATTTTTCTTAACATTAGGCAAGTTAAGCTGAAAAACAAATTAGTGTACTTGGCCAAGGTCTTTGGATTTGTAATGTGTTTACACTAGATTTACCTCTGTCATGAACACAGACTCAAATGATAAAAATTTTTCAAAACTGTTTTTCTCTGTTGAGATGCCTGGCATCAATTGTCTTCCCATTTAAATATACATACATGGTTTCAATTTTTGAAACTTTCAGATAATAAAATAAAAATAATGCAAATGGGATATAATTTTTTAAATTGAGTCTTGCAGACACTGTTTATATTTATTATGGGCTTTATGTGAGACGAAAATAATAAATGATTAAAGTGACAATTGTCTTCCACCTTCCCTCTAGTTTAAGGTGGATAAATCCTGAACTGGAAATAAAACAAATACCTACCTCCAGTAATATAAGGCTGCACACCCCTTGCTACAAAAAATTTGATTTATTTTTTAGAATCTTATTTATTGGTACATAATATATGTACATGTTTTAGGGGTATATGTGATCATTTGATATATTCATATAATGTGATCAAGTCACGGTAATTGAGATATCCATCACCTGAAATATTTGTGTCTTATAAATGCTTGTTATAAATAGAAAAATAGCTAATATTTCAGTACATTTTTTAAAATTGCCACACACACACACACACATACACATACACAGCCTTAAAAATCCAGCTATACTAAATTGCAATGTAAAATCTATTTTAGGAGGAAAACATCTTGAGAATATTATTAGAAGTCACACACATAAGGTACATTTTTCTGACCCAAACAAAATCATCATAAACAAACATAAAATGATTTTATTGTAAATTGAATGACTATTCAATTAATTATTTGAATCTCAATTCATGCTAAATTAGCTTTTGTCATTAGGTATCTCTTGCACAGAATTAGTGAAAATATAAAAAGTGTTATGATGAGAGAAAAAAATAAATAAATAAAACCTAAAGCAGATAATAACATTAAAGGCATGGCTCTCATTTCCTGAGGTTTAAACTATTTTGTTTTACAGTTTTAGGGAAATGTGCAATATCAACTGTGCAACATCAATAATTTCTATGTCATGAGTCTTAGACAATGGACCTGCAGATGTGTTTCTTGATAACACATTTTTTTTTTCTTTAGGGAGTAATAAGTTCTGCTGTGAAGCTGATGTCAGCAAACTCTACAACTTTGATCTTCATAAGGTTATGCTTTTGAAATTAATGGGACAGCTGTATATGAAATCAAAATCAATTTACTATTTTCCACAATGGAGAAAGAATGAATTATCCAATATAAAGTGTGGAGCACTATAACGGCTGCAATCTCATCTCACTATTCTTATGTTTTTTAATAAACTGTTCATGCTTTATTCTTGTAGTTTATGACATCAAAGGGACTCTTCTGTAAAATTACAGCAATAAATTTCACCTTATGCTGGACAGAGTTTACTTCTTTTCTGTCCATCTGTCATCCTGTTTTGCAAATAATCAAGACATGACAAAATTGATTAAAGATTTATCTTGCCTTCATGAAATAGAATAGCTGCCTTACTTAGCTGAAACATGGCAATGTAAAAGCAGAGCTAAGTTTAGACCAAGTTGCTACCATTTAACACCACTCAAAAGACAAGTGATATTCAGGTAAACCTGATGCTGTTGACTTATTATCGCTGAATATTTAATTCCTTGTAGTCCAAGTTAAAGTAGATTTCATTATTTGCCACTGGCATTTGGCAAAAATTGTTAATCAGTTATAAAAAAATGCATTGTTTATTACCATCTGCTGTCACATCTGTTTCACAAATAAATGATTCTAAAGAGAATATGTATAGATTTAATACAGAACAGACATTTCTAGATATATTTTTAAATGTTAAACATTGACTTTTTTCCAAAATATTATACATTTGAATTGTAAAATATTCCTATACATATTTAGGGCCAGGTTTTCTCTACTTCTCCGTTATAACAATACTTAGTTCTCTGTAAGCCTCCCATTCTCATTTTAACTGTTTACTACACACAACCACACACACACACGCACTGCTGACTTCTTTTTCATGCCTGCATATCTTATAACAGTTATGCTTACTCTCTTGCAAATTTCTGTCCTATTTTATATTGTAGAGTTCACCAACAAAGAAAGATTTAATCAACATCCTTCACTCACCTGTCAGCCAGAATGGGTTACAATACCTGCTGTAAATATATGTGGTATACAGCAACTTTTAAAAATAACATGCACTGTTGTACCTGATATGTCTTTGAACCAACTCTTTGTGTAACATAATGCTAAGATACAGAAGAGTAGTTTTCTGTAATTAACTCTGCCAGAGCAAGAAACTAAAAGCCACGGAGTAATGATACACAAGTAAGTCCAGAACTGAATATGCTGAAAACACTCTCTTATTAAGCAGATCTATTAAAAATATAAACAAGAAATTTTATAAATTGGACAATTTTCCCCAGGATTTAAGAGAGGGCAATGCAGTGCTGAGATCTGCCCTCTTTGCATTTTGTCTCTCCTATAGGAACACACCTGCCCCTGCGGCACTACCAAATATTAGCTGTTCCTGAATCTCTACCTATCATATTTCCTAGAGGTTAAGTATGGTCCTCTTTAGTCTTCATTGCTACTTTCAAAACATCTCAGAGGTGAAAAGGTAAGAGCTAAGGTAGGTAACAGTTAAGTGATTCACATTTAGAATGATAATAAAACTTTCTAAATATTATTCATATTTAGAATGATAATAAAACTTTCTAAATATTATTCATATTTAGAATAATATAGAAAGTAATAATTGTAACTCGGTTAATAATATATAAAGGAATAATTCAAATATTATCAAATGCTATTTTTCCCTTTGCAAGAAATCTTAAACACAAAAATAGACAATCATAGCTTTAATCTGCTTTACAAAAAATCCCTGCAATGCCTGTGCTTGTCAACAAATCTGCCTATTGAAAAATTCCAATGAACTCTACTAGTATTCCTCAACGTTTTTAAGGTTTCTTATTGAAATTAACCATTATGTGATATAGTGACTTCTTGTAAGTAATAAAAATGTTTTAATAACATGAATGCTTCAACAGAAATGCTATGGAATTTAAAATTATCTTTTTATGTCTAAATATTCAAAGGCCCTCAAATTAAGAACCAATTTAAAATGTGTAGTTCTCTTGAATGCTTTACAGTAGCAGGAAGTTTTATAAAATGCAGAATGTGAATTGAAGATCCACATGTCTGTAAAACTCATTATGGGAATAGGCATTATGGGAAAAGCAGCGCCTGCTTTTGTTTAAGTTCTGATTTGTGAGTAAGTAAATTTAATCTATTGCACAACTAATCCAGTTACATGCATTTGTATGAAATATAATACATAAAAACTAATTATGGAAAGTTTTGACACAAATATTCCTGTTCTGTTAACCTTTGCCTTTCATTCTCAAGCAAATATGTTGCTGATAGAATGCTTATCAAAAAACATAATGTATCATGAAGTTTGTATAGTAAAAAGAAACTTTACGGTTATTTTTTATTTTTATTTTGAAAAACATTTTAAAAACAAAATAAGGAGATGATAATCTGAACATAATTGACAGGATTATGCACCAGATTAAAAGTAGAGGGGAAAAAGTGAAAAAAAAATACAATAACCCAACGTAAAATTATGGATTGTTCCTAAATATAGTAAGCATTTCTATCCAAATAAAAATTGATGAGCATAACTGTTTTTAAATCCAGCCCTACTCTATACAGGAATCTGAGTTCCTAGAAAATAGAGAAAAGTATGTATAACTGACAGAATTTTAAAGATTAAACAAGACATCCTATTTGTTCAGCCTCGGCTATATATAGTGTTTAAAATGTGCATATGTAATACTTTCCCTTAAATTATTAATTTTCATGTAAAGACATATACATTCTACAAAAATAGGTTGAAGTATGATTTGATAATAAAACGTTTTTCTCAATTTAAATTTAGCACTTTTTTGGGCTAGCATATCATTTTAGATTAAATCAATGATGATATATTTCTAATGACAGCATGTCATCCTGGTTCATTTTTAATATTTTGCAAACATGTTCTTTTAAAAATTTCCAAATGTACATTTGAGGTAGAGATTACAGTGAACCCCCATGAAGTAGAGATTACAACTAACCCCCATGTTAGTGCTTTCTGCTGCAGTAACAAATTATCCACTAATCTCATCCTAATGTCTATATTAGTTTTGACATTCACTCTGAAACCACACTGAGGGATAAAGTTTCCATCTCGGTTTTGAACCAGAATTTGGAAAGAGCATGGCGAAACCACAGGGAATCTCTTCAAGTTTCTCTGCGAAGTGGCACAGCTCAATTTTTCTTACTTTTTTTGGCCAAAGCTGGTGGCCAAAGATGGCCATGTTCAACTCAGTAGGCACAGAAGTACCCTCCCTCAGTGAAGCACTGCAAGTCCTGTGGCAATAGTTGGGATGTATTAATTCTTTTCCATGAAGCACAGTGAATAAATTATAAATTTGTCAGTTGGCTTGCAGAAGGGTGACATTATTTTTTTTTCCTGACAACAGAGTCTTCCTATCCAAGGGCATAGCATTTATTTTCAATTTGTTCAAGTCCACTTTGTGTATCTTGGGAAGTTTTCTCATTTATGTTGCAAAAAACAAACAAACAAACAAACAAGCAAAACATATATATATATACTGTTTAGATAACTTATCTTTTTTATTATTATGTCAGATAGGACTTTTCTCCTATTGAGTTTTGAATTTAAACCATTTTTATTTTATTGTTATTATTAACTTTTTAATGATAACCTATTTTTTAAAGACACCAAGCGGTCTGAGAGGCAATATAAAATGGGCAAAATAAGTAAGTATGTGTTCCTGCTCTTAAGCAGCTCATAATTATAGAAGACATAAGATATATCTGGGTAGTGACACTTCTAATACTACTTAAAATACTAGGTAACAAATATATAAAATGGTTTGACTATGAATGTGATTGATTTAGACATATGTTCCTCCATTGAGCAATTTATTTAATTGAGCTGAGTAGGTTAACACTGTATAGCTCCTTACTGTTCCCTAAATATCTCTCCTGAACCAGAAAATATTATTCAATAATATATATACCCATGTGAAAAAACATTTTTCTCACCAGTGGCATGAAACTTATAGATCTTTTAAATAAATATGAGGTATATACAGGATGCTGTGAAACAGACAAATAATTTATTTAATTCTTTTGTCATAGAGGCTAAAGTTTAATGCAAAATTTTTCATTTTAAATTCTCTTTGGACACAGTGTGGGGAACATCACACACCGGGCCCTGTCGTGGGGCGGGGGGAGGGAGGAGGGATAGCATTAGGAGACATACCTAATGTAAATGATGAGTTAAGGGATGCAGTACATGAACATGGCACATGTATACATATGTAACAAACCTGCACATTGTGCACATGTACCCTAAAACTTAAAGTATAATAAAATAAATAAATAAATAAATTATCTGAA
Organism: Homo sapiens; assembly: GCF_000001405.40. Classification (NCBI taxonomy): domain Eukaryota; kingdom Metazoa; phylum Chordata; class Mammalia; order Primates; family Hominidae; genus Homo; species Homo sapiens. The sequence goes on from NC_000004.12 coordinate 64,221,111, forward strand.
GATAAGAATTCAATAGTATTGGACATTATTAGAGTAGATCTCAATCATTGGCACTAAAGCACCAGTGATTGAGTTCTACTCCAAAAATTACACATGGTTTAACATGCTTCAGTATAGGTGCTTGAACAAAATTATGATTATTGCTATTAAATATTTTGTTAAAAAAATGAAATTCCTTAGCATTTGATCTTAGTTTAATACTTGAGAGCCATAAAAACTACAATCCAGAAGAAAAATTTTGACAATAATAACTACTACTAAATTATAATATATATCAACCACTGTGTTAAGTATTTTATATACATCATCTAATTTTAATTCAATAATATCTTACAAAGTAGGAGTAATTAATTTATGTTGCAGATGATAAATATGAGGCACAGAGAGTCTGTATAATTGATCCAGAGTCAAAATTCCAGAAGAAAGGGCTTCAATTCTGGTCAGCGTCTTCCAAACCAGGAGCTCCTAAACACTATACCATGGTTTAGAAAAAAAAGAACTTACCTTTTAGTGTTAGTTATGTGTTGAATAGTTTGAAAGATGGACTGGAGGTTTGGAAAATGGCTATGAAGAAATAATAATATTTAAGAAATCATGTGGTAACCTGAGTTATTTTCAGTGAGATATTGCTTAAAGCCTTAAAAGTGAGGAAATTTCTGAGATGAACAATATTCAATATTTAAAATTGCGCTTTAGCACTACTATTGTAAACAGATGCCAAGCAGAGATTTTATTTACAAGCAGCATTGTTTTATACAGTCAGAAAGTTAGTTAAAAAATTATCCAAGAAAAATATAAGATAACAACATTCTGGAATTACAAATATCATGTTAACAAATTTTCAAGTGATGTTAATTATTGACACATATAATGAATTAAATGGTGAAATTATAGCAAAAGTAGATATTGACTTCTTTCTTGGTAAATTCCAGTAAGTTATGTTTTTTATATTGATTTGATATGCTTATATTACATAACTAGTATCAAGGAAATAACATTTTTTCTAATTGTGGCTTTCCATTTTAATTTTAGATTATTTGTAACTTGCATGCATGCTTCTGACAATACTGGGTTTATAATTGCAAATATGTAAATAAAACAAAATGTAATCCTATATTTGAATAAAAAGTAAACAGATTGTTAAAGTAGGAGTCTATCACACAATTTTGTTTTTGCTTTAATGACACTAAAAATTAAGAAAAATAAGATGATAAGGCTTTACCTCAAGTCAAATAATATTATTTAAGAAATACAAATAAAAAGTTAAAAAAATTGTGTCAATACTGTACACAAGGTATGATTTCATATACTACAATTTTAACTAAAACATTTTAAAGTGAAGATTTAAAGAGTGATTAAACAACACATACTATAGATAATGTATCAACTTTAAGAATAACACTAAAATAATTAAAAAGTTGGAAAAATTAAGGACTGACCCTTGAATGGCACATGAGAATTATTTTATTTAGCAAAAATTTCAATGAACACATATTCATTGATATCATTTTTGTAGACACTGTTCTAGATATAGATACTAGGAATACCACAGTTAACAAAATGGAAAAGTGATTCCTGCTCCTTTGTCTCTTTTATTGTAATACTATCATTACTACTCCAACACATTTATATCACGCACAAAAAATATCATCCTCATACTTTATTTAAAATCAAATTATGAAACGTGCTCCCCCCATTTTATTCTGTTTTTATTGGCTGTTAATAACTTGTGATCATAAATTGGAAATAACTGAAAAAATCCCGTGTATACTCATGCAATAACCTCCTGAACTGAGAAAGATCAGTAGCCTCTTCTGTAATATTGCGTGTGTGCTAAGCTTAGGCAACTTCTCTTTCCTCTATCCCACTTTAATAAGAGCCAATAAGATGCAGGTAATTGAAGGTCAAATGAAAAGAAAAGAGGAGTGAAAGAACAATGGCGTCACTCTCCACTGCCTTTATGCTATCACAGCATTAAGACAGAATCTGCAATAATCTTTGTAATCATTTTCAAGATTATGCATAAAGATAAATATAATGTAGAACTAATGGCTTCCCTTAAAAATAATAATTAGCTGTGATAGACCTCCATCTTTTGAATACTTCTTTGGTTACAAGGTGATATAAAATTTAATCACAAAAATAATCTAAACACACGGAGTTTTTAACAAAGGAGCCCCAACCTTGACTGACATTCTGCTTTTTCTCTTCTTCCAGAAGAAATTCTACTCTTGAACATCAGTTTTCTCCAGGGGTCTTGGGTGAAGGCTGCTACAATTGAAAAAATAATTTATCTCTCATGGGCTTATTTCCTTCCTAAGCCTGAGGGGAAAAGTAGGAAAGTATTTATTGGCTTTTTCTTACTTGAAAGAAAATTTGGTACAAATTTTAAAAAGATAAAATACCGTTTTTACCAGATCCTGATGACAAGTCAACATTTTCTTATCAAGTATTTTTACTGCAACGTATGTAATTTATGCAAAGGAAAAAATTATAACAATATTTATTAAGGACATTTTCATAAACATAGTGACAATTACTTTACATTTTTCTTATTTCCCAAGTTTAAAGAGCAACAGAGAATATTTTAAGAAATTTCTGTGAAACTGGTTACTTTGTTTTTAATTTTTTTTTATTTTTTGAGATGGAGTTCTGCCCTCGTTGCCCAGGCTGGAGTGCCATGGTGAGATCTCAGCTTACTGCAACCTCCGCCTCCTGAGTTCAAGCGATTCTCCTGCCTCAGCCTCCCGAGTAACTGAGATTACAGCCATGGGCCACCACGCCTGTCTAATTTTGTATTTTTAGTAAAGATGGGTTTCTCCATGTTGGTCAGGCTGGTTTTGAACTCCCGACCTCAGGCAATCTGCCCTCCTCAGCCTCCCAAAGGGCTGGGATTACAGGTGTGAGCTGGCATGCCCGATCTTGTTTTTAAGTTTTAAAAATTTTATTTAACATCAGGATAAAAACTTTTAATCCTGGTTTATAGAAAAAGGGCAGAATAGCCCCTGTTTATTTGTAGTTTTGCTCTCCAGGTTTCAGTTACCCACAATGAACTCTGGTCTAAAAATATTAAGTAAAAAATTTCAGAAATAAAGAATTCATAAGTTTTACATTGTGCACCACTGGGAGCACCATGATGAAATCTCACACAGTCCTATGCCATGTTATTCTGTTCTGCCTGGGACACACATCTTCCCCTTGTCCAGACGTTTATGCTGCATATCCACACTGTATATGCTACCCACCACTTTAGTCATCAGTATCCTCTGCTCCTGTTATTCAACCATCAACATTGTCATAACTTGATAATCCAGGTCACTCAAAGCAGATAATCTGCCTTTTGACATATTGTCACAAGGTCTATAATAGTCTAACACTGTCACCTTACTTCATCTGACCATAGGCAACTGTATTAGTAAGTTTTCACATTGCTATAAAGAAATATCTGAGACAGGGTAATTTATAAACAGAAGAGGTTTAATTGACTCACAGTTCCAGATGGCTGGCGAAACCTCATGAAACTTACAATCATGGCATAAGGTGAAAGGGAAGAGAGGCGTGTCTTTACAAGACAGGAGGAAAGAGAGAGAGCTAGAGAAGGGGAAGTGCCACACTTTTAAATCATTAGATATCATGAGAACTCAATCATCAACAGGAGAACAGCATGGGGGAACCGTCCCCATAATCCAGTCACCTCCCACCAGGCTCCTTCCCCGACATGTGTTGATTACAATTTGAGATGAGATTTGAGTGAGTAAACAGAACCAAACCATCTCAGCATTTTGTTATCTCAGATCATCACAGGAGAAAGGGTGAATACAGTACAGTAAGGTATTTTGAGAGACAGAGAGAAAGAGAGACCACATTCACATAACTTTTATTACACTAGATTGTTATAATTGTTCTATTATTAGTTGTTAACTTCTTAATGTGACTATAAACTTTGTTATAACTATGTATGTATAGGAAAAAACACTATATATAGGGTTAAGTACTATACATGGTTTCAGGCATCCACAGACGGTCTTAGGATATATTCCTTGTAAAAAAGGGAGGCTATTGTATTTCATAATTTGATATTTTACATGATTTTATGTAAATAAAGATAATTTTATTTTTTAATATTATTCATCAACTATGTAAACCAATGATGATTTTACTATAAGCTGGTTACTGTTATTCGCATATTACTCAAGGACACAGTTTTAAATCAATGATAATTTGGGATAGTTTTACCATTGAAGTATTGTGATTATGTACACTTACTTTTGCTTTTAAAACTCATAAGAAGAGTAATGTCTTACATAATATTATACATTTCAATTGCCTTTAAGTCTAGTATTAAAACTTAATTATTAGTGAAAAAGTACTATACAATAAAATAGACGGTTTTACAATTTCTGTTAATATTTTATTCTAAATGTTCAGATATGAAGAATACTGTATGATAAGAAAAAAGATGTTAGGATGAATCCCTGAGAAATAAGGAAATAAAACTCTTTGTCTATATATAATGCTCAAGCTATTGTATCAGACTGTTCATGGTAAAAGGAGAGGTCATTTTCATACGTACTTTCTGACAGAATGAGGACATTCCTGTTATCCCTGATTAGTTCAATAACGTCCCATGGCATTTTCTCCATTGATGCAACATGGCAATGACAGTCTTATTTGCTGTTTACCCTGACCTTCTTTTTCTCCTCTTATTATATCCCTCTCCTTTCATAAACAGATTTAAAGTAATAAGTATGTTCCAAACTCCAAAAATAAAATTCAATGTGTTTCTGTCTTACAATTGAAAAGTAAGATAATTCCCATTAACATTCCCACTTACATTTTGCTTTCAAAATGTGCACTTAAAAAAAAAAAAGAAAAGCTCTGGATTCTTATAAAAATTACTATCCAGTTAGGTAAGACTGGGTTTGAATAACAATTCAATCAGAAATGTACTTTATTTGTATTAAATTTTTGTGTATACAAACTGGATCTATGTCTATTATTTGTGAAATTCAACTATATTTACACAATGTAATCTATAAATAGCAAATAGGCTTTGAAGTATATTTGTAAAAAATATGTGAAATAAATATACAAAATAACATCATGTGTTTTAATTTTCTATTTGCATCATTTGAAATTAATTATCAGGAGTATTAAAAGTAACATTGAAAATCTTATATTTACATAATAAAAGTGAAACCATTGTTTTCACACACAAACAAATACAATAATTGTTGTAGTCTGCTTAGTCCCTGCTTCAGCTAGGTCTAAGTTCTTGTCCCGTGACCAAGAAGAAAGAGGCAAGTGGACACCCGAGAGTGAGTATAATTGAATTTATTAAGCAAAAGGAAAGCTCTTAATAAAGAGAGGGGATGTAAAAGCAGCTTACCAGAAATGGAGCTGAGTTCTTGGTCTTTTAAGAGTTCCAAAGACAAGGAACTCTTCTGTGGGTCCTGCCCAAATGGGAGTGGTAAAATTTCCTCCTAGAGGAATTACATCTGTGCATGCCTGCGATTGGCCAGAATGACTTCATCTTGGTTATTACCCAGGAGTGCCTAAGTTAAAACCATAAGGGTGCTAAAACCACAATGCTAATATCATGCCAATGACTTTATAATGAGCTGGGTCAAGTTAATGACATTTCGGTTGATTTATTGTGTCTGTACCTAAGTTGTGACTGTCCCTTTTGAGCAACATCTTGGCACAAGGGGAAGTTCTTAACCATAGTTCTTCCTATTAGCTGCAGAGGTGGTGTAAGTGCTGTCCCATGGTTGTTCGCATGAACATTGCCTTTCTCTGTCCTTCTCCCTAGACCCTCCTTCTCTATCTGCCTAATCCGCCCCTACCTGCCTCCACTTTCCTTCTCCACTCTGGAGTGATGACACTAACTGCCATTAGGGGATAAGGAGAGATGACCACTCTAGCTTATTCAAGCTGTGAGAGAGTGTTGTTTGTGTGGCAATCAGGGATCCTCCAGAGGGCAGTCTAGAAGGCCTCAGAAAAAGGACTTCATGCATTGTTCCACTTACATGATCCATCTGAAATTTAATGACTAGGTGAAAAGAAACAAATTTTACAAGACGGTTTAATATGCAGGTTCCAAAAAGTAGACCTAACATAATCATTACAGAGATCCTATTAAGGGGAGAAACTATGACATTGAAGGGAGATACCCTTTAATGGCATTCCATATATCTCCAGCTAAATGGATCTTAGTGTCTCTGAGTCATTTAGCACTATGAAATAGCAGGTTGGCTCTAAACTTAACCTCTCCTGAGGGGTTAACATAAAAGCAACAAGAAGTATTTGCTACAGCACATAGCCCTCCTTTTTCTGCTGAGGAAAAATCAAGGGCTATTGTATTATCCATTACCTGGTTAACAAGTGAGTCTAATGATGTTTGAGGGCCTTAAGACCTTGACTAGGATCTTCAGCATTTTGTTCAGTTAAACTTGATGCATTCTGGATTGTATATGCATTGTAAACTATTTCTCTCACCTAGCTGCCTGTGGATGTAACTGCTGTTATTACACCCAAGGCTGTAAGACCTACTCTTTATTTCTGTCAAGTATATTCCTGAAGGGAAGGGACTGTGAGAAGATCCTGGTATATTTGTAGGGAACCTTCCACGGGTAACACCCATCCCAGTGAATACATTCCTCTTACCACTGTGAGGTCTAGGAAATTCAAGGCCCACAATTTTTGCTACTGTTCTGCACAAACGAACCATAGTCCCTGAGGTCCACAAATGGTAGTGGTGTTATTGAGTAAATTCACCCACTTTCATAAGTCCTGGCTGAATGTACAGTTTGGGACATTTGATCCAGTTCATAAAGGACACCAAGAATTGCCAGTCCATGCTCTTGTTTTTTGTAAGGCAAAGTGGTTTGTTAAGTTGCCATCAACTGAATTTGCCCACATATATTGAATGTAGGCATTAACTGTCTAAACTGTTTTGTTCTGACAAGTTTTAATACATCTACTTCCATTAAACATTTGATAAGCAAAATCTGGGAAGGAATCAAAATTGTAAGTAAAGATCCCTGCCCTATGATATACAGTGTTTCATGTTGTTGTTTGTATCCAGGTGGGAACACAAGGTATTGAGGAGTACTAGGGAAATTATCTCTTATCAGGGAGGGTAGGCCCCCTGTCTTTGTACCAGACTAGTAGTTTGAATGGTTGGATTTCTGGAACTGCTCTTACATTTTCAGAAAAGTGTCGGAAACATTTAGGAAAATGGTATTTTTAAATTGTATTTGGCTTCTTAAAGCATTTCTAGTAAATATGCCCGAAGTGCAAGATATACTTCCGGTGGTAAATGTGGTAATAAAAAAGTTTAATTCTTTACTACATGTATAATTTCTGACATTGCAAAGGGGGTCTTTGCTTTCTTGAGTGTGGCCCCCATCCCCAGTGGTAGACTTCTTATAGATTGTATAAACGGAGGGGCTGAAATGAAAGGAATGTAGAAGCACTGTGGCCACCCTGGAGTTTGTGGTGCCTGCTTGTAAGGGTGGTAGACCTTTTAGTGGTCCTTATAATGTATTACTGCCACTTCCCATGGAAGGAAAACTGAGGATAATAGTCTGTAAAATTCCTAGTGGTATTTAAGGGGAGACCCATTAGCTATGAAGAAAGATCTCTCTTTCCAGATAGTGGCATGGGCATAGAGGATTAAGAAAGCACACTTAAGAGTCAATATAAATGTTAACTGCTTTTCCTATGCTTAATTCAAGTACCCTTGTGAGAGTAATTAGCTTAGCTGGTTGAGCGCATGTGCCTGGTGAGAGAGGCAGATTCTTAATAATATCATTCAGGGTGAACTACTGCATATCCTGCTTTACAGAATTTTTTGTCTACAAAGCATTTCCATCCATAAAGAGAATCTAGTCTGGGTTTTCTAAGGGAGTTTCTTTGAGATCCCCCTTGGCCACATAGGTTTGCACCACTAGCTGTGCACAGTCATGCTCAGGCTCTCTAGCTTTTTTGGGGGAGGAAGGTGGCTGGGTTTAGACAGGGACAGGTTTTTAACTGGACCATAGAGCCCTCTAACAGCAGAGCCTGATATTTGAGGAGGCAGCTGTCTGTTAGCCAGAGACTCCTTTTAGAAAGACAGCAGTCCTGCCACATTATTGGTTAAATAACAGGACAGTTATTCCCACAGTTAATTTCATAGCCTCTGGCACCTGCAAGGCTACTGCTGCAAGTGCCCAGAAGCAGGCTGGCCATCCCTTAGCCACCAAATCCAGCTCCTTTCTTAGGAAGTCCATGAGCTGGACCTTGTGCCTGGGTTGGAACTCCCAGGGCCATTCCTTTCATTTCTGATACAAAAAGATTTAATGTCTTCTCTATGGGAAGACTAAGAGCTGGTGCCTTAAGCAAGGCTTGCTTTAATTGGTCAAAGACTCTTTTAGCCTCTGCTTCCTCTCTTTGTCCTGAGCCTCCTCCTGGTCCCTATTGTAAAAGACCAAGTTTGCCACCTTCAGGAGGTCTTCTAAGGTGCTATTTGATCTTATGGACTGTTCTGTAGCTTCCTCCTGATATCAAGAGCTTCCAGAGTAATGAACTTGTCCTTCAAGATTAGCTGTTCCTCAATGAACTGGGAGATAGGGAGGTGTTTTACCAAAGCTTCTCTCAGCTTTTCCAAAAAGGCTGAGGGATTTTCATCTTGTTTCTGGTCTATCATAGATAGCTTGGAGTGATTAAGAGAATTGACCCTGGTTCTTCACAAGCCCTCCAATATACACATTTGAAAGAGTTTCCTTCTCCAATTTCTTATGCTGTCATCATGGTCCCATTTATGGTTCTCCAAGGGCATTGCTACCCTCCCAGTTGGGTAAGGCTCTTTCCCTCCTCTGGCATTGTATGAGACACAAAGTTCATCTCCAAATTTCTCTACTGCTTGTAGGGCTGTCTCTTTGTCAGCAACAGTCAGGGGTTCATTTATGAGTAACACAAAATCTTTCCAGGAGGGTTCAAATAATTGGGTTATATTCTGGAAAGCTTCTATATATTTGTCAGGATCATCTGAAAATCTACTAAGATCTCCTTTAATTTGTTTTAAGTCCTATAGAGGAAAGATAAACTGTATTTTAATATGGCCATATTCAAAAGGCATTGTTCATAAGGGCATGAATAAAGCTGGGTGCCACCTACAATGAAGGTTCCTAGAATGGGGCAAGTTTGAAGGGGGTTTTGGAAGTCCTGGATAAGGTGGGCAGGATGGACCAAGAGAACTAGCTGTAGAAGCTTGTGCCTCTTCTGGAGGCATTTCCAAGTGTTGGTTCCCTGGTCCACTAAGACCATCTCTTTCAGTTCCTCCTGATATAACTTCTAGGAGTGCTGGGTCAGTTCTACAGCATTGACAGAGGTCTTGGTCATCCTGAAAAACAAGGAAGCTTGTACATATGAGACCTAAGAAAATGTGTCCTCACATCTACAGAAAAGGTCCAGCTCCTGAATGACATAACTAATCCTTCCCTCAGGAAGCCAGGGCTGTCTGTCTTCCAGGTGATAAGCTGGTCATAGCCTTGGGAAAAAGAATATAAGACGTTTTCTCCTCAGAGACTGAGGGTCAAAGGAATCCCAGTGTTTCAAGAAGCAGGCTGAAGATCATTTGTTACCCATGGAGAAAATGTGTCCCTTTGTCTCATTAACTCTTTTGGAGTGACTCAGGATAGAGAGAGAGAAAAAAAAGTCATCCCCTTTCTCCTCTTTGCCTCCCTATATCCTTTAGGTCCTGTTGATCTTCGTAGATGTCATCCATGGATGCAAGCATGACCTTCACCCATGGATCCAGAGGAGCTAGTTGCAGGGGTAGACATGCTTACCTCTATGAAGCTCTAGTCCTCCGCTGTTGGTTTCTTCCCCTTTAAGCCTACTTGCCTTTCTAGATTTCCACCTTGGTGCCATGAAGAGACAGAGAATAGCTAAATTTGGGCCACAAGCCTCAGTGGAAGGGGTGTTTTAGTCTAGTTACTAAATTCTTCCCTCATGATGCAGGTCAGAAATTGGGCCAAATCAAGACATCCAAGAAAATGGAAAAGATTAACCTCCAAACATAATTCCCCCTCTTCATTTAAGTACCATTGCAATTGGAAACAAAACAGATTTCTCAAAAGAATGTAAGGATCGGACTGTTTTCCTTCCTTCTGTGGAGACAGCATAGAAGCAAACCTCTCCCTATTTAGGCTTTCTTCTTCCTCCCTATCATGCAGTAAATTTTTCCTTTTACAAATAGGACAAAGGGCTTTGTCTCTGCTGAATGGCCAGAGGAGAGTGTGTAACTGGAAAACAGGGTATGGGGCAGAGGGATGATAGGGCTTCCCAAGGAAAATTGTCTCATCCCATCAGGAGGCCTGAAAAAGATTGAACTGTTAGGCTGTAACTTTGTCTCCAAATACTTCCCAGGCAGAGGTTGGAAAGAGAGGCTATCATCACAATATGCCTCTGAGCAGAAGAAAATTAATTTGTCTCATAGAGCTGCTGCTTAAATTCACTGAATGGTGTTTGATTCTCACACAGAGAAAGAAACAGCCCAGACGGAGAGGAAAGCTATCACTTGGTGTGAAATATTGCTTTATACAGTGCCATGTGGGGTCATCATAAGGAGATGGGGGATCCTTAGACTGAAATCTTGAAATTCTTCTGTCTCAAGGAAATCACAGAAAAGCAAATCTGTGAGTTACATTCCAGGTTACTAAGAAAGTAGCTGATTTTACCAAACAAAATTATATTTCTGAGCTGCAAAACACCTGCAACATTGCATACAAAAACAGGTTAAGAGACATAACAGCTGTGACAGAAAAAAAGAAAATGTGAATAAAAATACTGGAGGTCCTGGTGCTGACACCCTAATGGGCTGTCAGGGACTGGAGTCAGTCCAGGGGCCTTTAGGGAACTCTGAGGTGTAACCTCAGCCTGATACACTCAATGACCTCAGGACCTCCTTCCAGTCCCAGGCAGTGGCTAGACTTCTGTGAAGGGAAACTGGGTTAGAACAGAGCCAATGTTCCCAAGACCTGAGGGCAATTGGGGACTGACAAAGTCCTTCCAAGCAAGCCTGTCCTCTAAGTCTTAAGTTCAGCAGCCATGTTATATGCTCTTAACTGGCCATCAGAGGCATAGTCTTTAATTTGATCTTGAAAGGAAGAAAAACTGAGGACAAAAAGCCTCAGAAATAAAAGTAAAGAAATAGAGGTCTGCTCCTGCTCACACTTCTGACAATCCCTAATGAGCCCTCCAAAAGTTGCTGTTTGCTTAGTCCATAGTTCAGTGACATCTAAGTTCTTGTCCTGCAACCAAGAAGAATGAGGCATGTGGATACCAGAGAGTGAGTAGGGTGGAATTTATTGAGTAAAAGGAAAGCTCTCAGCAAAGAGAAGTTGTCTGAAAGTAGGTTGCCAGAAATGGTGCTTGGTTCTACGTCTTTTATGTGGCAGAGGCCAGGAAGTCTTCTGTCGGTTTTGCCTAAATGAGAGGGGCAAAGTTCCCTCCTGGAGATTTTGCATCTGCACATGCCTGGGGTTGGCCACAGTGACCCCATGTTGGTTATTACCCATGAATGCCTAAGTGATACCCACAAGGGCACTAAAAACACAATGCTAATGTCATGCTAATGACATTATAATAAGCTGGGTTAAGGACATTTAGGTTGATTTATTCAGTCTGCATCTAAGTTGGGAGAGTCCCTTCTGAGCCACATCTTGGCACAAAGGGAAGTTCTAGACTACATTTCTTCCCATTAGCTGCAGAAGTAGTGTAGGTGCTGTCCTGTGTTTTTTCCTGTGAAAATTGCTCTTGTCTGTCCTTCTCCTGAGACCCTCCCTATCTCCTTAACCAGCCCCTAACTGCCTCCTCTCTATGAGGTTGATATTAAATTAGATCATGTCCTCTCATGAAAATGATATTAGAATAATTTTTACCCATACTGTGCTAATTATTGGTATACTCAGAAGACTCACTTTCTTATTAGAATCAATTTTCCACCAAGCCCATATACTTAAAAGGCAAGATAGATAAATGGATGATAGATAGATTGATGTGTTAGTGGTGGTAGTTATCTCCATAGGTGTGCAGCAATCACAATTCTTCCCTCCTCAGATGAAAAAAATGGACTGAGAGGCATATGGCTGAAGGAGAAACTGAGGGAAGTTTTAGAGCAAGAGTGAAAGTTTATTTTAAAAGCTTTAGAGCAGGAATGAAAGGGAGAAAAGGAAGGAAAGTATGCTTGTAAGAGGGCCAAGTGGGCAACTTAAGAGACAAGTATGTGATTTGATCTCTCTATCTGGGATTTTATATGTTGGCGTACTTCCTTGGTCTTGTTTTACTTCTTCCTGCTTCTGAGATCTTATTGGGAAACTGATGATCACCATTTTTAGGTGTTTGCTATCTATTAAGAGACTGTCTTTACCTGGCATCAGCTGTGCCAGTTATTACTTTAGAGAGGTAATCAACAACCACCTGACCATTACCTGATGGTTGCCCAACACTCCTGGTGTGTGTTGGAGGGGAGTTCTCTCTAGCCCTGCTCATAGTTGACTAGCTACCTACCGTAACAAATGGATGAATAGATTGATAGATATATGGATAAAAATAAACATATACTTCATGTAATATCACCCAAAATATTCTCCATATCTGCTTAATATTTCTCAGCAAACTTTGATAGATAAAATTGAAAATAATAAAATTGTGAGTCATCTTGATAAATCAGATAAAAACTTTGACTAGATTAGGAAATAACTCACTGAGAGTGAGGCAAAATAGTTGTTGAAACTTTACATATACAATATAAGTTAAAATTTTGGAAATCTGGAATATTTATATTTTTGACCATTTATATACAATATTCTTATAAAATTATTAATGAAGTCAAAATAAAACAATCTAGCATCATATAACTCAATTTTGGCGTTCTTTATAATTATCAGCTAAAGTTCTTAAAAATATAAACACTGAGTTCTCATTTATGTTATGGTAAATTAGGATTGAATAGGGCCATTCTTACATATTTATTTAGCAAACTTCTCAGATGACTATGTTGCCCACTAAAAATTGAGAAACATCATAATTAACAATGAATTTTATTTGTTTATGTAAATTTATCTATTAAAATTTATATAATTTGGCCGGGCGCGGTGGCTCACGCCTGTAATCCCAGCACTTTGGGAGGCCGAGGCGGGCGGATCACGAGGTCAGGAGATCGAGACCATCCTGGCTAACACGGTGAAACCCCGTCTCTACTAAAAATACAAAAAATTAGCCGGGCGTGGTAGCAGGCGCCTGTAGTCCCAGCTACTCGGGAGGCTGAGGCAGGAGAATGGCGTGAACCCGGGAGGCGGAGCTTGCAGTGAGCCGAGATCACGCCACTGCACTCCAGCCTGGGCGACAGAGCGAGACTCTGTCTCAAAAAAAAAAAAAAATTTATATAATTTATGCACATTTTTATGACAACTGATTATCATTTTAATTATTAACATTTTAATTATGTATTTTACTAGTTATTGGAATTTCAACATTACTCAAAGGAAGACCTCTTTCCGACATAGAAATGGCTGGTAAATATGAAAGTAGGAATTGATATCAAAATGTATCAATAATTACATTAACCCTAAACAAAATTCTATGGCTTGAATGTGAACCCCCCAAGGTTCATATTTTAAAGACTAAATCCTTGCCCCTCAAAGTTCATATTTTAAAGAGTAAATCATTGGATGCAATAGTGTTGGGTGGTAGAAACTGCTAAGATGTGATTGGATCACAAGGGCAGAGCCCTCATGAATGAATTAATATCATTATCAAAGGACAGGTTAAGTTATTACAAGAGCTCTTTGTTATAAAAAGGAGTCTACCTCTTGTTCTCTCTTTTCTGTCTTTCCACCAGGGGATGAATCTCATGCCAATGCCATGGTCTTGGGCTTCCCAGCCTCTAAAACCTAATAAACTTCTGTTAATGATAAATCACACAGTCGCTGGTATTCTGTTATAGCAGCAGAAAATAGACTCAAACCCAGGCAAGACCTGCCTGTGAATCCCAGCACTTTATGCGTCCAAGGTGGGAAGATCACTTGAGGACAGGAGTTCAAGACCAGCCTGGGTAATATTTTAAGATAGCATCTCTACAAAAGAATTAAAAATAAAAAGTCAGCTGAGAATGGTGTCTGTTGTCCCAGCTACTCAGATGGCTGAGACAACTAGGATTGCATGAGCTCAGGAGTTCAAGGCTGCAATGAGCTAGAATCTGAGCCTAGCACTCCAGCCTGAGAGAGAATAAGACACTGTCTTAAAAATAAATAAATAAATAACAAAAATAAAGAATATTTTAAAAAAGAAAATAGTCTAAGACCCAGACTAAATTTTCAAGTTAAAAGATGGAGAGTAACAGACTGGAAAAAATCTAAAATCTGTCATTTATGATGTTTATAAGAGACATCTAAAAGTTTAGCATACAGAAAGCTGGATAGTAAAAGAAAGAAAAATTATTTAGTCTGAAAACACCAACCAAATGAAAGATAATGTTTCTGTATTAACAGAAAACAGTAGATTTTAAACTAAACAAACCTTGTTGAAGACAAATAAAAGACATAAATAGTTTGGTTCTCCAGGAAATTTTATACATTCTAAATTGTACAGACAAAAATAACAAAGTTGCAAATTATATGAAGTTGAAATGCATAGGGGTATAATAAATAAATATGCAATTTCAGTGGAGAACTTCAAAAGAGTTAAGTTTTAAAGTTAAATAAGTTAGAAGACAAGCGGTTAAAAAAGTATAAAATAAATTTGAACAGCAAAATATACAATGCTTATCTAATGGATATTTGTAGAAGATTGTATTCATGCTCACAAACCATTTACAAAAATTTGCCAAATTATTGGCCATAAGGTATAAAAATGTTAAAATATTAAAATTATCCTGAGTACATTGTCTTTAGAAATTTAGGTGGAAATCAATAGCAAATAGCTAGAAATTCCTTACATACTAGTGAATGAAGAAATACATGGCAAAAAGCCATGCCACAAAAGCTATTAAAATAAAAATTAGAAAATGCTTTGAACTCAATAATAAGAATATTTTGCACAGAAATTTGTGGAATAGAACTAAAGTAACGCTTAGATGAACAATTTTAGCATTGAATTCTTATAATAGAAAAAAAAATCTATGAATCCACCTGAGTAAGTTAAAGAGCAGCCAATTAAACACAAATAAACTAAACTGAAGAAAATAATAAGAATAGAAAATAATAAAACAAAAAAATTATTCACTAGAGAAAAATCAACAAAGCCAAACATTGTGCTTTTAAATGCTACTAAAATGTATGAACCTCTGGGAAAAGTAATCAAGAGTAAACAGAGGGAATGGAAAGGCCCAAGCTAAAAATGAACAATGTGATTTTCCTACATAATTTAATTACATTAATAGTCATTTCCTTAAGTAGTCTTTTTCCTTGATAAATGCATTGTGCATCTTTGATTATCTGTTCATATTTGATAATTTTGAAGATATTTTAATAATATTTTTTAAAATTACATTTTATGATTGTTAGTTATATAAAAAACAATGTACTTTTACAGTGCTTTTGCATCTAACAATTCTCTGCAAGTTTCCAAACTTAATTACAAAGATGATATTTTGACTGACTTTTCCTATATATTTAGAAGTTTAGATGAATGAACAAACCAAATCCTGAGAAAATAAAAATTCCTAATTAAAGAAAAAATAATTAAAATTCTCTTAACTATTGAAGTTATTGATTTCATGGTGAAAACATTTTTTACAAAGAAAAATGCAAATTTCAAATGGGTTTACTGGGGAATTCTATCAAACTCTCAAGTAATAAGTATGGCCAATCTTCTATTAAACTCTTCCAGAGCACAGGAGAGAAAAGAAATGAAATGCTCCATAAAAACTCTGACAAATTTTCAATAAAATTTTTAGCAAAAATACATCTCTTAAAAATTAATTCCTAATATTTGTAATTTCTGTCTGCTTATTTTTTCTAAGAGATTTAAAAAATGTTTTCAAAGAAGAAGATATTTGGTTTCAACAGTTTTTCTTTATTGCTTTGATGTCTTACTGATGTCTACGCTGATTTTTATTAGTGCCTTTCTTAGGCTAACTTTGGGGATTTTTGGTTTGCCTTTTCCTAGTTTCTAATAGTGAAAGTTGAAGTCTTCTTTTCTCATATGTGTTTAAAGCTATGAATTTCATTCTAACTACTGCTTTAATGGCAACCCAAAAAACTGATATGTTTCCTTTGTATTTTAACTCACTTTCTATTTTTACTTTTGATTTCTTTTGATCTATGTATTATTTAAATGTGTGTTATTTCATTGAGCAGTGGTTTGTAGTTCTCCTTGAAGAGGTCCTTCACATCCCTTGTAAGTTGGATTCCTAGGTATTTTATTCTCTTTGAAGCAATTGTGAATGGGAGTTCACTCATGATTTGGCTCTCTGTTTGTCTGTTATTGGTGTATAAGAATGCTTGTGATTTTTGTACATTGATTTTGTATCCTGAGACTTTGCTGAAGTTGCTTATCAGCTTAAGGAGATTTTGGGCTGAGACAATGGGGTTTTCTAGATATACAATCATGTCATCTGCAAACAGGGACAATTTGACTTCCTCTTTTCCTAATTGAATACCCTTTATTTCCTTCTCCTGCCTGATTGCCCTGGCCAGAACTTCCAACACTATGTTGAATAGGAGTGGTGAGAGAGGGCATCCGTGTCTTGTGCCAGTTTTCAAAGGGAATGCTTCCAGTTTTTGCCCATTCAGTGTGATATTGGCTGTGGGTTTGTCATAAATAGCTCTTATTATTTTGAGATAAGTCCCATCAATACCTAATTTATTGAGAGTTTTTAGCATGAAGCGTTGTTGAATTTTGTCAAAGGCCTTTTCTGCATCTATTGAGATAGTCATGTGGTTTTTGTCTTTGGTTCTGTTTATATGCTGGATTACATTTATTGATTTGCATATGTTGAACCAGCCTTGCATCACAGGGATGAAGCCCACTTGATTATGGTGGATAAGCCTTTTGATGTGCTGCTGGATTTGGTTTGCCAGTATTTTATTGAGGATTTTTGCATCGATGTTCATCAGGGATATTGGTCTAAAATTCTCTTTTTTTGTTATGTCTCTGCCAGGCTTTGGTATCAGGAGGATGTTGTCCTTCATAAAATGAGTTAGGGAGGATTTCCTCTTTTTCTATTGATCGGAATAGTTTCAGAAGGAATGGTACCAGCTTCTCCTTGTACCTCTGGTAGAATTCGGCTCTGAATCCATCTGGCCATGGACTTTTTTTGGTTGGCAGGCTATTAGTTATTGCCTCAATTTCACAGCCTGTTATTAGTCTATTCAGAGATTCAATTTCTTCCTGGTTTAGTCTTGGGAGGGTGTATGTGTCCAGGAATTCATCCATTTCATCTAGATTTTCTAGTTTATTTGTGTAGAGGTGTTTATAGTATTCTGTGATGGTAGTTTGTATTTCTGTGGGATTGGTGGTGATATCCCCTTTATCATTTTTTATTGCATCTATTTGATTCTTCTCTCTTTTCTTCTTTATTAGTCTTGCTAGCTATCTATCCATTTTGTTGATCTTTTCAAAAAAACAGCTCCTGCATTCATTGATTTTTTTGAAGGGTTTTTTTGTGTGTCAATCTCCTTCAGTTCTGCTCTCATCTTAGTTATTTCTTGCCTTCCGCTAGCTTTTGAATGTTTTTGCTCTAGCTTCTCTAGTTCTTTTAATTGTGATGTGAGGGTGTCAATTTTAGATCTTTCCTGCTTTCTCTTGTGGGCATTTAGTGCTATAAATTTCCCTCTACACACTGCTCTAAATCTGTCCCAGAGATTCTGGTATGTTGTGTCTTTGTTCTCATTTGTTTCAAAGAACATCTTTATTTCTGCCTTCATTTTGTTATGTACCCAGTAGTTATTCAGGAGCAGGTTGTTCAGTTTCCATGTAGTTGAGCGGTTTTGAGTGAGTTTCTTAATCCTGAGTTCTAGTTTGATTGCACTGTGGTCTGAGAGACAGTTTGTTATGATTTCTGTTCTTTTACATTTGCTGAGGAGTGCTTTACTTCCAACTATGTGGTCAATTTTGGAATAAGTGCAGTATGGTGCTGAGAAGAATGTATATTCTCTTGATTTGGAGTGGAGAGCTCTGTAGATGTCTATTAGGTCTGCTTGGTACAGAGCTGAGTTCAGTTCCTGGATATCTTTGTTAATTTTCTGTCTTGTTGATCTGTCTAATGTTGACATTGGGGTGTTAAAGTCTCCCATTATTATTGTGTGGGAGTTTAAGTCTCCTTGTAGGTCACTAAGGACTTGCTTTATGAATCTGGGTGCTCCTGTATTGGGTACATATATATTTAGGATAGTTAGCTCTTCTTGTTGAATTGATCCCTTCCTCCATCCCTTTATTTTGAGCCTATGTGTGTCTCTGCACATGAGATGGGTTTCCTGAATACAGCACACTGCTGGGTCTTGACTCTTTATCGAATTTGCCAGTCTGTGTCTTTTAATTGGAGCATTTAGCCCATTTACATTTAAGGTTAATATTGTTATGTGTGAATTTGATCCTGTCATTATGATGTTAGCTGGTTATTTCGCTCGTTAGTTGATGCAGTTTCTTCCTAGCATCGATGGTCTTTACAATTTGGCATGTTTTTGCAGTGGCTGGTACTGGTTGTTCCTATCCATGTTTAGTGCTTCCTTCAGGAGCTCTTGTAGGGCAGGCCTGGTGGTGACAAAATGAAATAAAAGAGGATACAAACAAATGGAAGAACATTCCATGCTCATGGATAGGAAGAATCAATACTGTGGAAATGGCCTAACTGCCCAAGGTAATTTATAGATTCAATGCCATCCCCATCAAGCTACCAATGACTTTCTTCACAGAATTGGAAAAAACTACTTTAAAGTTCATGTGGAACAAAAAAAGAGCCCGCATTGCCATGTCAATCCTAAGCCAAAAGAACAAAGCTAGAGGCATCACACTACCTGACTTCAAACTATACTACAAGGCTACAGTAACCAAAACAGCATGGTACTGGTACCAAAACATAGATATAGACCAATGGAACAGAACAGAACCCTCAGAAATAATACCACACATCTACAACCATCTGATCTTTGACAAACCTGACAAAAACAAGGAATGGGGAAAGGATTCCCTATTTAACAAATGGTGCCAGGAAAACTGGCTAGGCATATGAAGAAAGCTGAAACTGGATCCCTTCCTTACACCTTATACAAAAATTAATTCAAGATGGATTAAAGACTTAAATGTTAGACCTAAAACCATAAAAACCCTAGAAGAAAACCTAGGCAATACCATTCAGGACATAGGGATGGGCAAGGACTTCATGTCTAAAACACCAAAAGCAATGGCAACAAAAGCCAAAATTGACAAATGGGATCTAATTAAACTAAAGATCTTCTGCACAGCAAAAGAAACTACCATCAGAGTCAACAGGCAACCTACAGAATGGGAGAAAATTTTTGTGATCTACTCATCTGACAAAGAGCTAATATCCAGAATCTACAAAGAACTCAAACAAATTTACAAGAAAAAAACAAACAACCCCATCAAAAAGTGGGTGAAGGATATGAACAGACACTTCTCAAAGGAAGACATTTATGCAGCTAACAGACACATGAAAAAGTGCTCATCATCATGACTGGCCATCAGAGAAATGCAAATCAAAACCACAATGAGACACCATCTCACACCAGTTAGAATGGCGATCATTAAAAAGTCAGGAAACAACAGGTGCTGGCGACGATGTGGAGAAATAGGAACACTCTTACACTGTTGGTGGGACTGTAAACTAGTTCAACCACTGTGGAAGACAGTGTGGTGATTCCTCAGGGCTCTAGAACTAGAAATACCATTTGACCCAGCTATCCCATTACTGGGTATATACACAAAGGATTATAAGTCATGCTGCTATAAAGACACATGCACACGTACGTTTACTGTGACACTATTTACAATAGCAAAGTCTTGGAACCAACCCAAATGTCCATTAATGATAGACTGGATTAAGAAAATGTGGCACATATACACCATGGAATACTATGCAGCCATAAAAAATGATGAGTTCATGTCCTTTGTAGGGGCATCATGAAGCTGGAAACCATCATTCTCAGCAAACTATCGCAAGGACAAAAAAACAAACACCACATGTTCTCACTCATAGGTGGGAATTGAACAATGAGAACACTTGGACACAGGAAGGGGAACATCACACACTGTGGCCTGTTGTGGGGTGGGGGGAGGGGGAGGGATAGCATTAGGAGATATACCTAAAGTCCGAGTTAATGGGTGCAGCACACCAGCATGACACATGTATACATATGTAACAAACCTGCATATTTTGCACATGTACCTAGAACTTAAAATATAATAAAAGAAAATTTTTTAAAAAGTGTGTTGTTTTATTTCTGAATGTAAGATCGCTTATATCTTTCTAATTTCTTATTAAATCTGCTGTGGTCACAGAACAAACTTTTAATTACTTAAATCATTTTGAATTTATTAAAACATGTTTGTTGTTGTTGTTGAGATGGAATCTCACTCCATCGCTCAGGCTGGAGTGCAGTGGCCTGATCGTGCCTCACTGCAACCTCTGACTCCCAGGTTCAACCCAATTCTCCTGTCTCAGCCTCTTGATTAGCTGGAACTACAGGCGCCTGCCACCACGCCCATCTAATTTTTGTATTTTTTTTAATAGAGACAAGGTTTCACCTTGTCGGTCAGGCTGGTCTCGAACTCCAGACCTCAGGTGATCCACCCACCTCTGCCTCTCAAAGTGCTGGGAATACAGGCGTGAGCCACTACACCCTGCCTAGTCTTTGTTAATTTGATAGAAAGGGAAGGCGATGAAAATGGAAGCAGAAGGCAATGAAAGTATAGACGAAAGTACAGAAATTTTATTTGTCTAAGATTACATAATACAGAGTCAGAATATTGGGGTTGTTAGGAAACCCTAGTAAGTTTTTAATTAATTTTAATGAATGGAACTGTGTAAACCTCACAAATGATGAGAAATAAGAGTTTGACTTCATATTGTTGTATTGGTCATAAAGACAAAGTTACATATAGTTTCAGATAGTTTACTGACTGCTATCAAATGTAATTTAAATGGATTTTGCATATATATTATCCATAATATGCTATGTAAAATATTTTCTTTTTTGTTATTTATGGGATTAGCTTTCCTTCACTGTCCTGTAGAAGAAAATATTATCTTTTCCTTAATATTTAATTATTGGTGGTAATATAGCTATATTAGACTTTGGTTTAGTTGATTTTCTTTTGAGATCATTTCATTTTACGTTTTATTCTCATCTCAAAACTTAATTTTCTGAACTATTTTTTTTTCTACTGCATATTAATCTTATGTTTATGGTTACCATGGTAGAAATTTTAGCTGTGGAATTAGATATTCTACCTGAACTTTAAAAAAATTGAATAACTTACTTATACTCATTTACCCATTTCATAACCTCCCTGTATATTGACAAGCAAGAGTATAAAAAGAGCTATGCATTTAATTTTGAATAAACATTATATTGTGTATCCCAGGGGCTAAAATCCAGGAGGAAAATGGCTTTAAAGCAGTTTGTTTCGTATTGTACATATATGTTTTCAGGTTTCATTAAAAACATAAAAGGAGAAAAAAAGAATCAACTATTTCAATCATATTATGAGTGTATTTCCTTGAATTACATATATAATTTTTAGTGGTATTAAGTTTTGCTTCAATTCTCCGTATACTCATATGCCTTCATTCTTTCTTAATAATATACTTAATCTATTTAAGCATTTAATATGCTTAATATATTTTATTTTATGCTTAAACTATATGTCTATTTAGTAAAAGAATGCACCAACCTAGGTATATGACAAAATTCTATTTTCTCACTCCTTGCTTTACTATATTAGCAATATTTTTTTCTTCATGTATTAAAGATGTCAAACATTACTGGCATGTTAAATTTTGCTACCGTGTTCCCATTCTTCTATTTCAGAAAAATGATGTATACTCTCTTCTAAAATAGTATTTTCTTATTGTTTCCATAGACAAGGCCGTGGATCATATTATGTTTTTCCATTTTTCTATGGCTAGTCAGACAGCATATAAACCCATTATGCAAATGAGTAAAAAATGTTTTATAATCAATCCAGTACATTGTGATTTATAATTCACCATTCTGTACTATAAATAAAAACTATAAGACCTGCATTTAGTCCATTTGTAAATTCAGTCAAAGACCACAAGGCTAAAAATTTAATAAGTAATGTAAGCAAAAAATAGCAGGTATGAGTTATTATGTGAAGATGGGGAGATAATAAGTTTAATTTGTCATTCAGTCACTCAAGAATCAAGTTGCACTCCTGACATTTAGGGTATAGCTTCTATAAATTTCCACAGACTCCCATCCTTTTAAATTTAAATTTAATTTAATTTAATTTTTTGTGGGGGATGATAGCTAAAATGATTTCTTTGCCTATAAACAAAATTTTCCTGCAAATACTTGCCAGAACTCAAATATGATTTTCAGGCTATATGAGTCCCTCAAGCTGATTCTTATTTCTTTGAATTTCATTCATGGAATCATGCCTTTATTTTAAATTACACCATGTGACTTTCATTTTGGAGTCTAGGCTTCTCACTGTTTCCTAGATAAAAATATAAAATAAATAGAATCAAAATGGAAATTTTAGCTGTAACAACTCAGGAAAACTATAATAAATCATTTGGAAGTTTTAAAAATCCCTTATTTCTCTCAAATTTTTTATTCAGTAATTATGTACCCATAATCCTCATTTGTTTTGCCTAATGTTTTTCTCTGTATTGAAGTAAAACAATTGATAAATATGTTTTTCAATAACATTTCAGAAATTCATGCAAAACTGAAAAACGATGCTCTGAAAAAAGAAAAATCATGCTCAAATAGCATGTGTGTTGTTATGTCCTTAACAACTGAAAATGAATTTTCTTCATTCAAGGAAACATCCAGCCTTTATAATCTTATTTAAAAAACACTGCAACATGCCTTTAAGTAAAATATTTTTTAAAAGAATGGAGGAATATAGAAACTTAATATGACAGAGTATTACAAAAAAAAGATTCTGCCGTAATTATTTTGAATCTTGGCTTACACAATATATGCCTGGCTGGAGTAAAGAATACATGAAACTAAACATAGTGGTAGATGCCAAGTGAAATAGTTTTTCAATTATAAGCCTTATAATATAAGCTATATTTTGCTTACTTTTAAAAAAACTAAACCATAAGCAATCTCAATGTTCTGTAATCTAAAGTTTCCTTGGAAGTTTATATCATATTGCTACTCATTTGACGTAAAAATATTAGGGACAATTTTATATTTTCTTCTCTATACACATTACTATATTTGGTTATGTTTACATATTTGCAATTACAGTTAGAGATATTATTTAGATTTATATGCATTACATTTCCATATATTTACTTTGAAACAGAGGTATTTTGTTTTTTTTTTTCAACGTATCTCTTCACACACCTCTCTCTTCCCTGACATGTTCTGACCAACTAATCTTGATAACCGTATAATTAAGCATATTCCCTCCTCACTGAAAATATAGTTAGGGGATTTCTGAGAAGGAAGATCATGGGGAATAGTTTTTGAATCTCTAAAAATATACTCACATGCAGCAACAGATCAACTAGGATGGCAAAGCAACATGCGTGCAGATGCACACACAGACACATTCCAGAAACTGTCTAACAAAGTATCCCTATAATCTCCAAATATATCTTGTTGGGGGCAAACCTCCCACTAAAGCATGACTCCTAATACACCATCATGGGATTAGCAACTGCAGTAATAGCAGAGAGAGCCCTAAAACCTGAATCTCAAAAATCTCAAAACAACCACTCACTTGCAGCAGGAGAGGCCTCTATTCTCATTGAAATCTTAAGTAAACAGGTCAGAGGGAAAAAGAAAAATTAACTCTCCCAAGTTAAATGGAATTCAATTGAATACTTAACA
The DNA here is from genome assembly GCF_000001405.40 of Homo sapiens. Classification (NCBI taxonomy): domain Eukaryota; kingdom Metazoa; phylum Chordata; class Mammalia; order Primates; family Hominidae; genus Homo; species Homo sapiens. The sequence continues at coordinate 64,245,158 of NC_000004.12, forward strand.
CCCACAGTGCATCATGGACAGAATATTTTCAAAGAAATTTCACACAATAAGATGCAAATTTTTTCAGTAGAATATTATATAGCAATAAAAATGACCAAACTCCTGCAACAGTAAACAGTATGCTTACAGCCCTCAGAAAAATGTCTGAGCAAATGAAATCAGACACAAAATTATATTCAATATGATCCATCCATTATAAAAAGTTTAAAAGTTGGCAAACCTAATAAATGGTGAAAGAACTTTGAAGAGCGATTTGAGTGGAGAGAATGACATGATACAGGCTTCTGAGAGGCAGATAAATAATAATTTATATCATAATCCATGGAATGGTTATGAGAATATTTTCACTATGTAAAACACCATCAAATGTACACTTATGATTTAATTAAGCTTCGATAGTTTACTTGAAAATAAATGCATGAGATGATAAAACTGAGTCAGTATAGGCATACTTCACTTCATTGGGCTTCATTTTATTGCGTTTTACAGATATTGCATGTTTTACCAGTTGGGGTTTATGGCAACCCTGTGTTGATGTTGAGCAAGTCCATCGACTGCATTTGTGCAACAGCATTTGTCTCTGTGTCACATTTGGATAATTCTCACTATATTTTTAACTTTTTCATTATTGATATCTGTTATGGTGAGCTGTGATCAGCGAGCTTTAATATTGCTATTCTAATTATTGTAATTACATTTAACCAATTTTCTTCAATACCTTTTCTTTCGCATTCATGACTTGGCTGTTTGACACAGGAGACATAGCTTTTGACCTATCTCAGCTTTCAAGATGCCTTCCTCACTAAGCTTAATAATTTCTGAATTTTTATTTAAAATGAGAGACATGCAATTCTTGGTTTCACTTGAACACTTAGAGGCCATTGTAGAGTTATTAATTTGCCTAATTTAAATATTGTTGTCTCTTAGGGAATAGGGAGGCCCAAGTGTAGGAAGACAGATAGAGAAACTGATGGTCAGTTAAAAAATTAGAACAAACACAACATTCATTGATTAAGTTTACCATCTTCTATGGTTGCAGCTAATGCTTTCCCAAAATAATTATAAGTGCTATTCCAGCAAACATATGAATGATAAAAAAGTGAAACAGCATTATTGCTAATATAAAGTTTCAGTGGTCTGGCTAGGAGATCAAACCAGCCACAATATCCCCAATTAAACAATATTGATTATTCCAATTCCTGGATATATAATATGTTTCCCTTTTTTTTTTTTGATGTCCTTTTCAATTTCTTTCATCAGTGTTTTACAGTTTTCATTATAAAGATTCTTCACTTCTTTGGTTCATTCCTATGTATTTAATTTTATGTGTGGATATTATAAATAGGATTACTTTTCATTTTTTTACACTGTTCACTTATAGAAATGCTAGTGATTTTTATATGTTGATTTTGTATACTGAAACTTTACGGAATTTGTTTATCCATTCTAATAGTTTTCCTTTGGAGTCTTTAGGTTTTTCAAAATATAAGATCATATCATCTGCAAACAAGTGTTTTAGTTTTTTCTTTCCCATTTGGATACACTTTGTATCTTTCTCTTGTCTCATTGTTCTAACTATGACTTCCAGTACTATCTTGAATAAAAGTGGTTACAGTGGGCACCCTTTTATTGTTTCAGATCTCATTGGGAAAGCTTTCTCTTTATCCCTATTCAGTATAATACTTGCTGTGAGTCTGTCATATATGGCTTTTATTATGATAGAAGGAAGATATGTCCCTTCTAATCTATAAGATTAATAATTTCTTATTGGCATGACCTAATAGGAAAGTAAACATGGACAATCAATTTATGTAAAATTTGTACTGCTAAGTAATGGAAGAAAAAATAAAGGATTAGTATATGATGCTGGGGAAAATGCCTAAATATAAGGAGAAAATCAAAACAATAAAAACATTATTAAGTCCTTACAGACAATACATGTATATATGTGAAATGCATGTGAATTAAGATAGTAGCCTAAATGTAAAAATAAATACAGTGAAATCTTGAAAATTATTTTTGCAACATAGATGCACCAAGTTGCTTTATAATAATACTGTACTTGCTATGGCAAAAATAAGCCTTTTAATATAGTAGATTTATTTAATAAATAATATAATTTAGCAAATTTTGTGATTTCTATTTATTTAAGGACACAGTAAATAGAGCTAGTGAGCATATGCCTCATACAGAAAATAATTGCAAAGTTTGAAAATGACAAAAGTGCATTATCTAAAATGTCTGAAAAAAGTCAAGTGATGTAAAGGTAACAGAGCACAACCAAATAGAGCATTGGAAACCTTTACAACAAAAGAAAAACAGCAAACTAAAAATAATATAAAACACTGCTCAAACTAATGGGTAATCAGAGAAATGTAAGAATGCAATATCACTTATTAGGCTGAAAAATATTATAAACCACAATTAATGCTGACTGAGAACACACAGCACATAGAGATTTCCTAGAGCACCTCCTAAAGATGTATCTTTAAAAAAAAAATTTTGCCATTTCTTTTAAGGGACATAAAGATAAACTTTAGAGTGAAGAACGATAATAGCTGAAGGTTAAGAGGCAAGAAAGAATTTTAATAAGTAAATAGCATGTCTATTCATACATATTTAAATGAGATGCTGTATAAAAAGATAATAATAAGTTCAATTAATTTGGAAGTTTAAAGGAAGAATTTAATTCCTGGAAAAAAGAGCATGTGAATGAAAGGAACACAATAAAATTAATGGACTCCCAGCTTAGTTATATTACAATATCACCCATCTAGTTTCTCAAGCCAAAAAATTTAAAGTTTTCCTAAACCGCTCTTTTTTTTCTCATACCCAATCCTCTACACCAGGATATTCTATTAACTCTGTCTTCAAAATATATTCAGAACTTGACCAATCTTCACTGTCTTCATTTCCAGCACCTTAGTTTTAGTCACCATCTTTTCTGCTCTGCTTGTCTCATAATTTCTTCCTTCCTCCAATTCTATTCTCAACAGAGTCGGGAGAGTGAGTCCATTAAAATAACAGACAGATTATGTTATGGCTCATTATTTTACTTGAGTAAAATCTGAAATCTTACAGCACAGTCTAGTTCCATGTTTGTTCTTTGGCTTTATTAGCCACTACTTTTACTCAGGTATGATTACTTCACTGCAGCAATGTCAATCACAAAAGGGCCAGGAGTGCTCCCAAATAAGGGAATTTGTATTGGCTCTTCACTCTGACTGAAAATAATATCCATCTGGCTCAGTACCTCTCATCTATGCCATCTGTGCACAAAAGTTGCCTTTCAATGAGGCCAAACCTAATCATGTATATAGCTTTGCAGTTGCAATCTATCAATTCTGCCATGCCAGAAAATGTTAATCATACCCATTACCTCATTTTACCCTGTGCAATTTATCATTTTAATTTACATTTATTTATTTATTTTTTATTTAGTTAGTTAATTATTATGCTGCTCATTTCTCATGTTTTTAAAATGCCAACTCATTGAAACCAGAATTCTTGTTCATTCTTTTCATTCATATTTCCCAGGCACAAGACCAAGGCTCAGGATATAAAAGGTGCCAATACATATTTCTTAAATGACTAAGATTATACTGAATAATTAACACAATTGATCTATTGTAATTATTTTTAAAAATAAAATTAACAACTGAAAACTACAAATTCTTTTTAAGCATACTAAAGATATATAAAGTAAAAGCAAACTGGATCATTAAATAAGTTTCATAAATTTAAATAATTGATATTAACAGATTTTGATAGATGTTAATAATGAACAATAATAAATTTGAACATAATTGTAAATTTGGAAATTTGTAAACATAATTGTAAATACTACATAAAGCAAATAAAGTATAGCAATCAAATTGTAAAAAACCATAAGCTATGCTGAAAGAACTTTATAGTTCTGAATAGTCACATTCTAAAATATCACATGATCCAAAGAAGAAGCAATAGTCACAAATCAAATTTTAAAATAATTTGAGGTGTTCTACACAGAAAATGTACAGCCTTGAGTGATGATATGAAAAAACTAGAAAGGCTAAAAATAAAACAATTATATTTCCTTATTAGGAAGTTAAAAGTTGTAAGAATTATAAAAAGTGGCAAATTTCATTTACAAAGGTTGTTGAACTAATAACATACATTAATTCAACAATGTGACTTTCTTCTCAAAAGAAGGTGTACTCTTTATTTACTCCTCTTGAATCTGGGAAGAAGTGTGTGACTATTTGAAAGTGGCCCAATTGTCCCAAAGAACTGATGTTTACAATTTCCTTTGAAAAAACACAGATACTGACCCTTCCGATCTTAAATGTAACTTGAGAAAGTTACGTTTGTCTTATCTGAGTTCCTTTCTCAGGAAATCCATTCTCCTGCCTCTCAGATAATATCAGTGAACTAAAACTGCATCCAGACAATGAGATGCAAGACCCCTCATTTGTCATAATTGCTTCACTACCTCTCTCTAATTTCTTTTTTCTTCCTGACCACCTGCTTCCTGTTTAGCAATTTCTCTTTTTTACCTCTCTCTAATTCCTGTTTTTCTGCATGTGGCTACATTCCTTCCTTGCTATATAAACCTTTAATTTTAGTTGGTCAGAAAGGTGGGTTTGAGACTGATCCCCTATCCTCTCAGCTGCAGCACCTGAATAAAGCCTTCTTTTCTGCCAATACTCATGGTCTCAGTGGTCGGGTTTCTCTGTGGGCAGAAGTAGGACCTAGACTAAACCCCTGGTGTTTTGGTAATAGATTCATTTTAATAAAGGATGACAGAATGAAGCTAAGTCACTTCTGAAAGTTGTTCATAAAAAGGATAGCACTTCCATGTGACTTCTCATCCTCTTAGGTTAGGTGCTATGTAAGCCCTCAGCTTAATGTAAGATATCCAAATACCATAAAACCTCCATGCTAGACAAAACACATGTAGAGACTATATAAACAAGAGATGTTCCAGAGCTTTAGCTATCCCAGTCTTTAACTTTCTGACTTTTCCCAGCACTAAGCACCAGACTTGTAAATGAATATTTGTTGAGGTGGTTTCATCTCCTGGTTATCCAGCCAAAACATATTATGCCAGATGGAGCAGAGAAAAGTCTTCCCTGCTGTTTCCTTTCCTAATGAATGTCTTACAGAATCTGTGAGCATAATAAACAGTTGCCAAGATGGCCCACACTGGAAATTACCTTTTTCTGAATTCCTCTCTCATGTCTGCACCAAAATAAAAAAGTAAATAAGAGCTGAAAGGTAGAAATAAAGAAGAGGTCATTAGTATCAAAAATCTCAGAAACTAAACAGATTGAGAGAAAGACATAGAGGTTTCCAGTTTTGTCCAAAATCCAGATGATCTTTCAAACTACTGATCCTGGCAGCCAGCAGTGAACCCAACCCAAGAGCCAAGCTCTTCACTCAAGTTGCCTCAAAGATAGCAACTTACATAGATCTGTCCAGCTGTTTTCATTTCATGGTTTTATTTTGAGTGACAGGCATACACAGGTTCCAAAATTTTCCCTAAAACTCAAATCTGCCCAACTACTGCAGTGACTCAGGCTTTTGCTTACATTTTTCTTCCAATAAATAAATGAGGTTGTTGACTTTGTCTTCCAATTCTCATCTTTCTGACTTTCACTTAGTCAATTCTTTCCACATTTGGTCATATAATGTTTTCAATAGTTCTACTGTTCTAATTAAATACTGGATAATACAAGTATAAATGTATCACTTACTATATAAAATATGTATAGCAAATATAAACCTGCTGTTAACTCTCTAGCTAATATTAGAAGATACATAATTGGGTAAGAAAGCTTGAACATAATAAATCCACAAAGCAAACAAGGCATATTTAAGCTTCAGTTATTTTCATACCTATAGATTAGGGATCAGCAATTTTTATGGGGACAAATAGTAAATATTCTATAGTATTTAAAAATGGACCATATGTCTTACAACTACTCAACTCTGCTGATGCAGTGTGAAATTAGTCATGGATAATACATAAATAAATGACTTTGGCTGTGTTCTAATAAAACTTTATTTATAAAGAACAGTTTGTAGACTAGAACAGTCTATAAACTGTATTTTGCTAAATCATGGTCTATAGAATTACAATATCTTCCATGTTAGGCCCTACACTATTTCAACATATAAAATTGCTATGTATAAAATACATATTTTATTATACTTTTCTATCTTAATTATTCATCACTTCTTAATTTCTATCACATATATATTTTCCTTTTGACACTAAGTAACTTAGATACCATGCTTCAGCTTTTCACATACTCAACACATTTTAAATTAATATCTAATTCCACATATCTACTGCCAAATTATTTTGGCTTATGCTCTCACATTCTCTTGTCCATCAGCTAATCATATTATATATCCTCTTGTATTCATGATGGGAATGTGGTAAATGTGTGGGATCTCTTTATGGTAAAGTGAGAAGGGAAATAGTGGCACATGAAATACAAACTGATGGAGTCCCATGGTACTGAAATTTAGTTTGTCAAACAAACTTAAGGATTTATTCCCTTTGCTTCTGCTAATAATATAATACTTAAGGGCTGAAAAACAAGAAGAATAAATGAAACTAGTGTTCAAAGAGCCTGAAGAATTTGTTAAAATTCATATTTTTTGGACTTCACCTTTTTCAGGAGATGAAATCTCAGATTTATCTGGTGACTCTTAAAAGAAAATAAATTACTGTGACATTCCTGAAACATTTGTAATTGTATTTATAGACAGATTTAAAGCCTTCTTTTCATAAAGCTTTGCATTCTGTAGCTGTTGTTGCCTGTTAAAGTCAGAGTAAACACTACTGACAGCCAGCTGTTCCTTTCTTATAACATGTCCAAACTGCTTAAAGTGGATCATTTGTTGGCTTAAATCCACACACATTATGTATGCCACTCAAAACATAAAAATCTTTATCAGCAAATATTACTAATGTGAGTTTTAAATAATATATTTCTCTGAAGTGAGAATTACTCTTGCAGTTATAAAACCCATTTTTTATACAAGAGTTAAAATATTATTAAATATTTATATCACTATGATTTGACTTTGAACAGTGACTGATTAGAGGAATTTTTTCCTTCTTATGACATGGCATTATTAAAAATTTTAAAGCACTATCGGCTACAGAGGTTGGTTGTCTAAGTACATTGAGAACAAATTTTAGACATTTAAGTTAATGTCAGCCTCCTTCCTAAGTAAATAGTAATATTTTCCACTTAGAAATTTATTCAGAAAGTTACTTTGAATTTAAGTTTCAATGAGATACATGGACATGTTTTATCATCCTCAAGTCCCTTAAAATGACATGCCTAATTGGGCATGTAACTGTTTTTCTGGTAGTAAAAATGTATGCGAATATCCATAGATTAAAAAATGGAATCCCAGCACTTTGGGAGGCTGAGGCGGGCGGATCACGAGGTCAGGAGATCGAGACCATCCTGGCTAACACGGTGAAACTCCATCTCTACTAAAAATACAAAAAAAAAAATTAGCTGGGGGCGGTGGCAGGTGCCTGTAGTCCCAGCTACTCGGGAGGCTGAGGCAGGAGAATGGCGTGAACCCGAGAGGCAGAGCTTGCAGTGAGCCGAGATAGCGCCACTGCAGTCCGGCTTGGGCTAAAAGAGCGAGATCCGTCTCAAAAAAAAAAAAAAATGGACCCATGAGTCAAAATAAATATTGATAGAAGAAGAATTGCTATGATATTAGTATGAAAAATATAAATTTCATTTTTTTTTACTTCATGTAACAGTAACAAGGGAACAACAACATGAAGAGTTTTAATTTTATTTTGGTAACTTGAACTTTAAAAATTGTTGTTTTTGAATTGTAAGTCTTTAAATGTTAGACAAACAATGTTCATATCACATGAAGAAAGACATTGAATAGAATTTATGAGAAATAACAGCAGAATCATGTTTTGACATCAATTAATAAATTATATTTTGTGATGAATAAAAGTAATGTAAACCAGAATTTTCTATTATGTTTCTAATAATGACCTGTGATCCTATGGTCCAAGACAGCTGCAAAATTTTTTTTTCAGTGTTGTGATGTCATCAAATTTTCCAAAAGTATGTGCCAAATAGCAACTATCTTTCACTATGCCATTTGTGAAAACCCCAATTAAATTTCTGCTGGTTGCTTAATTTTGTTGTTTAGATGATTTTTCCCTTAAACTGTTATTAAAGCACAAATCCAAGCCTTTGCAGTATGTTCAACTAACAAATTGGTCTGGGCTAGACAGTGGAAAACTAATAGGGCCTATTTCTAATTATCTTTACATAACATTCATGTTAAAATAGAATGCAGTTTCAGAAGAGTGAATAAAAGACGTTTAACCTTTCTGTATCTTTAGTTTTATTATTCGAAAATCTCTTCTAGCTTGAAAATTTTATGATTTCAGTTTCAAGGAAAGTCTAGCAAATGAACCATAAAAGCAATACTGCATTGATCAGGATAACGGATTGAATAGGATATAATGAACATTAGTGATACTTTTATACTCTTGCAGAGAAACCAAGCTATTAAAAACCTAAGGTCAATTTCAGGCATTAGCTACTCATAGATATTTTCACTCCTGCCAGCAGGTAGATTTCTTTAGGCAGAACCTGGACCTGTGTACTTGAATCAATAATGTTATACAATGAATACACTTAGGTACAGTATCTCATGCTAATGAGGCAGACAGCCAATCTTTTCCTCTAGGCTTATTAAATTGACCTGACAACAATACTTGTTAAATATTATAATTGGGTGTATGATCCACTCTTTACTGTCACAGGGCAGGACAAAAATAAAGTTTAGTAGAGATACATTAGAGTGGTGAATCTTCTCAAGTGAAATAAATATGTGAGTATTTCCATAACAAGACAGTCTTTTGAAAAAGAACTACAGTGAAACACTTGGCTGCATATTCAATATTGAAATGTGAAGGGTGTTTTACATATGAAAGTTCATTTTTCTTTTGTTTATATGCTTCATATCAGAAGAATTGATCCCCTCATTTTTCAGTGAAATGGCACAATTAATTCACATTTAGAACCATAATATACAGCTTACAATTATTAACATATTAAAAGCAGGTTGAAGGATGATGATAAGATATTACATCTAACAAAATAATCTGAAAATAAATGAGCAATTAAAATTAAGAAATACAAGCATATAAAACATCCAGAAAAAAATAAATAATGAGATAGAAATAACAACGATGACATCCCATCTTTGTCATTATTTATGGTTAATTAGAATGTGCTTTTAGACCTCATTTGTCAAAATAGCTTTAGAATATTTTTGTCTTAATATTATTCTTTAAGACCTTTGAGCATTATATTTTAACTTTGTGAGGAAGAAGATATGAGTATTGAACATATAAATGACCATATAAACTGAACATATACACTGATTAATGTTTTAAAATCTTACATCTGTTTATATTTTAATAACACATCCAGAATATAAATGCGTAAATTATAGTAACATTTTTATTAGAGAAACTATAGTTATAAATAGGCCTTTGAAAAGATAAATGAATGAAAGGGATATTTCAGTGCTTTTGCTTTTCACTCTAGCATGCATTTCTAGATTTTATGACCTTTTAAGGAAACTGAAAATATTTTAATTATTTTTATAATATCTTTATAGGTGTCTGTTTTGAGACTTTCAGTGAAGAAAACTGAGAAAAATTGCCCATACAATTGCATATTTTAATTCAGATTGCTAAGAGTTGCCTGAGGTTTTGCTGGAAAAAAAAGGAACTTCCTGTTTAAAAACTAATTATTTAGTTCAAAAGCCTCACTTTATATGAGAAAACAGAGGTTCAATAATTGTCTTGTTGTAGAACAAAGTTATTTAACTAAAATGAAAATTCTTCCTTCAAGTTCAGTGTTTTTCCCTAATTTCCAGGTTACATGTAATTAAAAATTTGATGCTTAGGAAGCAGGAAGTGTTATAATGTAAAGTACAATGCCCTATAAATTTTGTTTAAATTACCTTGATGATTTTCACGAGACTAAATTAGCTTGAAATACAAATATATTTGACATAAAATATGTCCTCATTGTTTTCTTATATGGAGAGGAAATTATTTAATTAAACCAGGTGGGATTAGTTGCATGACTTACCAGGTTCTCTTGGCAGAAAAACAGAAGAATACGGAAGTTGAAGTTTGGGGGTTGTAGTGACATTTATTATGTGGTGCATTATGGTGTAGGTTCCAGACATTCTATTTGGTTAATCCAACACTCAATGTTTCAACAAGCAAATTGCAACTTTCTAGCACTATGGGCTCAATAAATACTTTTATTAACACATTGGGGCTACACATCCAGGCAAAATTTCAAAACCAAAAGAAAATGAAAATGAAGCATAAATAAAGGTAATGTTGATCAAATGATTTAGAAACAAACTGTGGGGTTCAAGAGGAAAGATTGAAGCCGACTGGGCTAAAGCCCTAAAAATTTATCAATTGGCAAGCTTAAGTGAGAATAATTAAAAAGTAATTAGTATTATTAAGTACCTATTATATGGCAGGTGCTTTAGGCATATAAATCTGATTTTATTTAATCTAATAATATTACCATAAATTTGATGTTAATTCTCATTTTTATAAATCAAACATTTGAAATTCTGACTTAGAGATTATATGAGCTGATTAAAATCAGAGTACTTAAACTCTCACTCAGGGATCAACTTCCTTTTGATTATGATTTGCATATATCTTGTTTTTATTCTTTCACTTTGAATCTATTTGTATCTTTGGATTTAAAGTGAGTCTCTTGTAGACAGACAGCATACTCCAAGATTACTTTTTAAAATGTGTTCTGCTGATCTCTTTCTTTTGATTGAAGAGGTTAACCCATTTACATTTAAAATAATTACTGATGAGAGGGGACTTCAGTCATTTTTCTATTTGTTTTCCATATTAACTTATAACATTTTTGGCCCTAGTATTTGGCATTACTATCTCTTTTGCATTTGGTTGATATTGAAGTAAAACTAATTTCTTTTTGTGTATTCTATATTGTGTATGTCCCCATGTCTCTTTGTATATATTCTATGTATTATTTGTGGATACCATGGAGATTACATTTAAATTCTAAATTTATAATGCTCTAAATTGATATTATACCATTTTAAGTTCAATAACACATAAAATCTTCTCATTTCATCCTTTGTATTCATTGATGTCACAAATTGCATCTTTGTACATTGGTGTCTCAAATTATAAACTAAAAATTTTTAACATGTCAGTGTCTTACTTATGCAGAAAACAAAACATAAAGTTACAAATCAAAGTCACAATAATATTGGCTTTTAGATTAATACTCTAATAATTTTAATAATGTATTTATCTCTTAAGTTATGTAAAAACAAAAATGTAATTACAAAGCATTGCTACAATAATTGTACTTTTTATAATTATATATTTACATTTATTGAGATTTTTATTTCTATATTTGTCTGTGAGTTGCTGTCTAGTCTCCTTTCATTCCAACTGGCAGGGTTCTAGAATCTCCTACAAGACAGATCTTTTGACAACATACTCTCTCTGCTTTTGTATAGCTGAGAATGTCTTAATTTTTCTCTCACTTTTGAAGAACACTTTTGCTAAATGTAATATTTTTGATTGGTAGGGCTTTTCCCCCCCATCAACACTTTGAATATATCATCCAAATGCCTTTAGTTTTTCAAAGTTTCTAATGAGAAATTCACTGACAATTTTATAGAGGATCCCTTGTGGGTGATGACTCCCTTCTCCCTTGCTTTTTTTTGAGACAGAGTCTCGCTCCATCGCCCAGGCTGGAGTGCAGTGGCACAATCTCCGCTCACTGCAAGCTCCGCCTCCCGGGTTCACGCCATTCTCCTGCCTCAGCCTCCTGAGTAGCTGGGACTACAGGCGCCCACCACCATGCCCAGCTAATGTTTTTTGTATTTTTAGTAGAGACGGGATTTCACCGTGTTCGCCAGGATGGTCTCGATTTCCTGACCTCGTGATCGGCCCACCTCAGCCTCCCAAAGTGCTGGGATTACAGGCGTGAGCCACCCCGCCCGGCCATCCCTTGCTTTTTTAAAAACGTTCTTTCTTTGTCTTTGGCCTTCAAAATTTGATTATAATATGCCTTACTATGGGTCTTTTTGAACTCAACCTGTTTGGAGTTCATTGAGCTTTTTGAATGTTTGTATTCTTGTCTTTTATTATATTTTTGTAATAAATTAATTTTAAATGCTACTGGGTTTTAAATTATATTTCTTTGAAAATTTATAAAATTAAATGTTTACATCTGTCTCTTATTAATATTATTTTGAATTTTAAATGTCTACCTGAGAAACTTTCTGATTCAGCGGATTAAAGGGAGAATTTATCAATCCAGGACCTTAGAGTTTTTAATGCACACATAAGTTGCCAATAAAACAATGTGTGAATTTTACCTTTACATTTTCAGCACCATTTTGGGGGGAAAATATCAGGTTATAATTCCATGAAATACAACAATCAAATGACTTAAAAAATACATAATGCTGATAAACTTTCTGAAATGAAATCTTAGTTTAATCACTGATAGACTAGAACTATATGTAAATGTATTTCTATTTAAATTACTACATCACTGTTTTCTGAATGTAAATGTTGTTTTGGCAAATATATTGGTGTGTAATTTTGATTCAATATGGCCTAATATTTTTAGTTCAATGCCACGTACATGTATTAGTGCTTTGGCACCTTTCAGCAAACTACCTAGTATATTACCAACTCACTAATTTAATTAATTAATCAAATAGCACCACATATGACCATTCTCCTTAGTCAACTTTTCTGATTCTGTAATTGTTTCTGTGTTATAAGTAGTTTACAGATTGTATATGTCAATGATATATTTGAGTGCTCTGAGAAATAGAATTATATTTCCATTTGCAAAGTATTTCTGAAAAATGATGTTCTCAGCATGTCATCATGTTTTATAATGCATTATTCACAAAAGATAGCATAGAAGCAGTGTGATCATCCATTATATTCACTATAACAATGTAAAAATTTAAGATATTTTCTCACATGATATATTTTTATAGTCCACAGGACATAAAACTGCTTGCTTTGATCAGCATTCTCGAATAGCCTATTGTACTTGTCCAGATTTAGTGGCCTTAAATAGACTGAGTTCAAGTAGATGAAAATGATCACTTTTCTAAATACCTACTGAATAACAGTTCAGTTGTCAGTTGTTTAAAATTGAAATTTTCCTCATGTAGCTCTTGCCAGAAAAAAAAAATTGTCTGAATTTTACTATTTATTATAGAGTAAAAACTGATTTTGCCTTAGTAACTTTTATTTCAACATTCCAAGTTAAAAATAAAAGTAGAAGAAGGAAAGAGCCCTAAAACTAAACTCTTATAGTTATGTCATCTATAGATTAAACCCTTGTAGTGTTCTGGAATATTTGCTCATTATTGCAGACACAAAGATCATTAAGACTTAATTCATGCCTTCAACAAATGCACAGTGTACACTATCTACTAAGGCAGACAGATAAGAAGCACATATAATGTTATATATGGTGTATGAACTGCTCTAAAAGTACATTTGAATATAATAAAGTGAGTATATTTGAGAACCCAGAAAAAACAACCACCACCACTTGCCGAAAAGATGAGGCATATAAAGAATCACATTGGGAAAGTTTTATAGAAAACTTGACATTAGTTCACCTTTAAAGATGATTTTGGAGCTTTGTGGTTTTGCTCCTTTGGGGATAAAGACACACACACACACACACACACACACACACACACACACACAAATTTAATTTCTATGATGGCTGGTGAAAGTTAGATTAGACAAATGTCTTCAGTGAACATTTTGAATATTAAAATTTGTCCTCATATATTGCTGCTCAGTTGGCTTAGAGATTGGTATTTCCAGAAGGCAGATTATCTTTTTCACTTATACTTGAATTTATCTTAAATCCATGTTAATTCAGTTGGACATTCTTAATAAATAGTGACAAGTAATTATAATCAGAGTCATAGCATTTAAAAGTATACATGTACTGATTCAACTGTAATAGGACACATTTATTTAAATCAAAGGGGTAGGTTATCAACTCACAGGAGAAAACTGTTATTTACAATAAAATATGTAAAATCGTAAAATAGCCAAAAGAACAAATTGTTTTTATTAATTTTGTTTTGCTATTGCTTTTCGTAACATTTTTTTTTGGATAGTGATGCCATTACATTAATAGAGATTATATATATATTAAAATGCTGAAAGTGCACCAAAAAATTAGTTAATAGAATATTTTCTGGACAAGTGGAGGATAAACTGGGGTGAAATTTGGAAATGTTTCAGTTGATGCAAGTGCCTAGAGTATGAAGAAATGAGAAATTAGGCTCTAATTAAGAGCTGCTGTTGTCATGGAACAACTTTATACACTAACAACAAGTTCTCAATTTCCACCTCAGATTTAAAGCTCAGTTTGGCAGGATAATCTGTAACAATATTGAAAGTGGCCTGAGGCATATAAATAACTTTTTAATTGTGGCATCAAAAGCCAAGATATAATTGCATAGTGGTACCAACTTAGAATGTCATTTTCACTGAACACTCACGGTATGCCTATTGATGGTATTTGTGAACTATGTAGTTTGGGGAATTATTTCAAATGAAGAATTCATGGATACTAATATATTTCCCCCATGAAATTGTAAACACAATTTTGATATGGTTTTGGATAACTATTAAATACACATAAATATTTTAAAACCTAAAATGATTGATTTTGTTTTGTTTTCTTATGTACATTGTAAATAATTTGAGGATAGTTGGAACCAGTTCGCTACTTTGTAACTTACAAAGTGTTACATACCAAAGTAAACAGGTTAGTAATTATAATATGGATGGAGAAACACTTTAAATATGGGAGACATATGTCCAGATTTGATGTGTCTCTTTATCTATCTTGCTTCAATAATGCCTATATCAATCATGAGTTGTTTTAATAATGCTACAAAATGTGAAAGTTATTAAACTAAAGGTAATAGAGTAGAGCAATTTATAACATACCTTTAAAAATAAGTTTTGAGATATATTTTTATAAGTAAAGCTTATTTCGGTCTACTAATTATTGACAATGTGATTTTGGACAAAGGTAACTATTGTACATATCAGGGATTTTCGATACTGACACTATTCGTATCTTTTATTTGATGAAATCACTCCTGTTGGAGAACTGCTGTTGTATACACTCTCTAAACCTCAATATCTTCAACAATTATATGGGAATCTTAAACAGAACTAGGTGGTTGGGAATATAAAATGAAAACACATTGTTCCTGATTGTCAATAAATGTTAGCTATTCATGTTATTTTTATTTTATTTATTTATTTGTTTGTTTGTTTGTTTGTTTGTTTGTTTTGAGACAGAGTATTTCTCTGTTGCCCAGGATGGGGTGCAGTGGTGCGATCTCAGCTCACTGCCACCTCTGTCTCCCAGATTCAAGCAATTCTCCTGCCTCAGCCTCCCTATTTACTGGGATTACAGACATGTGCCACCATGCCCAGTTAATTTTTGTATTTTTATTGGAGGCAGGGTTTCACCATGCTAGCCAGGCTGGTCTTGAGCTCCTGAACTCATGATCCGCCCACCTCGGCCTCCCAAAGTGCTGGGATTACACTGCACATTGCTCATGTTATTTTTATTTTTACAATGTATATTAATATATAGATATGGTTTGCTTATTTGTAAAACACATATATTTAAATTATTGAGATACATATTTCACAAAGGATTACTTTATCAATTATTTATTATTGACATGTTTTTATCTACCAGTTTAAAAAATGTATCAATAGAATTGTGATTATGTTAGATTTTTCTGGGAAATGAAGAAAGAAGAAGACATGATTAACTCAAGTCAGTAGATACAACTGTATGTTTTAAAATAATGGATAAAGCAAAGCCCTAAGAAGAAACAGTATTTATTGTGAAATTTGAAGTCTTTGGATAGTACTATTAAAGAAAGAGATGGCAATTAGATTAATTCAAATAAGTAGTAAATGTGAGGTACCAGCCTTGTAAGTCTCAGCCTTATTTTACCCAGCCCCTTAAAGATGGAGTTGCACTGGTTCAAATGCCTCTGACATTTCCCCCCTCTCTTTTTTAAGAGAAATCTTAATCCTAGGGGTTACAGAGGGATGAATATCCATCTTCTGTAACTTCTTCAGGCTGAATAGGGGCAATGATATTCCTGCCTAACTAGTAGGGTCTATTGTATTCTGGGTAGAGAAGAAAGCATCAATATGTCCAGGACCATTCATAGCTCTGAGTTCTGACAAAAGGTAACATCTAGAAGATTAATAAGTATTTAAATTCAGAAAACTTTATTCCTACACAAAAAGTACAACAGCAATATATTCCACAACAGTAAAGTAAAATTATTCCAAGTAAACTAAATAAGAAGTGCTTTCATGCACTGGGCAACTGTTGGAACCAAGATGTTATAGGGTTGCTAACTGATTCTAATACATGCCAAGAATTAGAATATTAATCCAGATTTTTACATTACTCGTCCATCTTGTTTCTTCTAAGCTGCGGCTAGAGATCACTACTTGTTTACAGGAACAAGCAGTTAATCTAAATTGCAGGAAAAGATTTTAAAACAATGAGAATAGAATGTAATAACAAGTTAACCATAGTTCTTGAAACATAATTATTCTCCATCCAGTTTCCCATTTTTATAAAAGACAAATCACGGTAAGACAAATTTACTTTATTATACTTGGCCTGATGATTTGTATACAATACAGCAAGAATAATTATTTTTCACATAGGCCTTTAAAATTGGCTTCAGTGGAACTCTGTTCCATAGAAGAAATTTCAAACAAGATTTTTTTTTTTTTTTAAGCTGAGACCATCCATGGATTTGGGCCCTCAAATACCTATGAGTTGGGTAAATTCCTCTCCTATTGAGGTTGCAGGATAACTTGGGGCTCCTGGGCCTGTTAGAAAGTGACGTTCTTTACTTACCACACTTCAGAAATGCTGCACGGTAACTCCATAGACAAGGTATGAGACCAGTTTTCCCAAGGGGCTTTTATTGGCTCTATAAATCAAGTTTGATTTCTTAAAGACAGTACGCCATTCCAGTCAAACCCTTGGTAAAATAATCAGTTTCTCCAATTGTGTCTTGTTGCAAAAGAAAACAGTTTCCTGCACTTATGCAAATAACTATATTGACATAAGTTAATAATATGCACAACTAGTTCCAAATTCTGGAAAAATCAGGCAGAGAGAAGCAAATATCCTCCAAATTTTGTTCACAGAAACATACTTTACTCAATTGCTATAAACTGTAAATAGCTCAAAGTAAAAGTTTTCTTGACTTTGACAAACAAAGCAAAGATCAGAAATGTATTAAGCAAAGTCACAAAGATTACTTTAGTCTTCTATTGGTTTGGTTCATGCAGTGAACTCCTGTTCTGCTTGATAGTCATGAACATTTCAGCTTTTCATGAGTCCTGAAATTCTTTTTCTCTATTTTATTGTCACAATTTCCAAAATTATAAGAAACCTGCATTTAAGAATACCTGGTAAAATCCTACAGCTGATTATAACCCACTTTTTGAAGAGGATTAAAACAATTGTCTGTGAATGAGAAAATGTTTTAGGGCATCTACAGTGAAAAACACAATTGACAAAGAATTTTGGTTACCTCTGTGGCAGACAATGATTTCACATGACAATTATAACTATTAATAACATATATAAGTTATGTTAGAATTATAGGAGTTTTCCATAATTTTGAACACATACCAAAAACATATTTATACAAATACAACCCAAAGAAAGCCAAATACCACTTCATATTTGACAATACTTCCTGCATAATTTTTATACCAAATAAGCCAAATTTTATCTTTGCATTAGTGTAGTATTAATGATAAAGCCAATTATTAATAAAAACTTACAGACAAATCTATCCAATTTTAACATCTGGGACCATAAGGTAGTATTTTTCATTAACCTTTTATAACTCTTTACAAATTTTTGTTAAAAAGCAGATCAGTGCTGTAAGAAAAATCTGTTCAATTTATGGAAAAACTGAATACTACCATTTAGCCACTATATTCATACACAAAATTTATTTTGCAAGATTAATCCTTTACACATTGTCCCACAACTTGTTCAAACCTTCAGCTTTATCTTATTTAACTTAAAACAATCCTTTAACCCTTTAATCTAGGCCAAAAAATCATATTCCCATGCCTTCTTATAATTTTTTACCAAAAGCATATTCTATTTTAATTGCACACCTTACATGTAGAACTGTATTTATTTCCAAAGTTTACTAAAGTCACATGAACTAGAAGGCACTATACTTTTTACTTTTCTAACAATATTTGATTTAAGCACCTACTACTTTTAAACCGATTAAAGCTCTTTTATATGTAAAAAATTGCACACATAACACCTATAATACAAAGAAAGACAGAAGATCCTGAAGTTGTAAGATTTTTCATTTGCCAGCTTTTTTCTTTTTAAAGCATGCAGTTTTTATGGTCAAATAAGCAGGCACAGCTGGAAGGCAAAACAGATCCCCAAAATTAAGAGTACTGTTTTTATACCAGATCTTAGATCCCAAAAACAGGGAATCAGCCCATCCCATGGAAGTCTTATCTCTCAGTGCAGGGTGGGAACATCTCCATACTGTCTAGGTGGCCAAGAGCATGCTTCTCTGATCCAAACATGAAGAGCTGAGTATTTCCCTGGAACTGCCATTAGTTGTTCCCAAAAGTATATTTCCTACGTATTTATTACACATCAAAGTTCTCTCATAATGTGAAGTAATTTCTGATACCCCCCAAAGTTAAAAACTTCAGATTATGCAATGCAAAACAGAACAGAGCCTTAGATTTTGAGAGGGACCTATCCACTTTTAATTCCTGGGGATTTATAAAGAAAACAGGTTTT
The DNA here is from genome assembly GCF_000001405.40 of Homo sapiens. Classification (NCBI taxonomy): domain Eukaryota; kingdom Metazoa; phylum Chordata; class Mammalia; order Primates; family Hominidae; genus Homo; species Homo sapiens. Next base: position 64,264,159 of record NC_000004.12, read on the forward strand.
TTTTTTTCCCAAAACAGCGTCTGTGGTTCCACCTCTGTTTTTCTCAAGGAGTCCCAAGCTGTTAAAACTTGAATATTTGCTTCTAATTAAGCTGACTGTTAACCATAACATTCTAAAAAAAAAAAAAGTCAATATTCCTGGCTTTTGAACTTTACCAAATGTAATCTCCCAGGTGCTCAGAGAAAAGAAAATTCAAGATGGTTCTTGGAGGGGAAGAGAATCAACAAATGATAAAGTTCACACAGATATAAACCCAGAAGGGACTCATTCCCTAAGCTAGGAATTGAACCCAGGCCATCATTACAAAATGACAAAGACTTAGCTGCCAAGCTACAGCATTGGTAGTTCCCATTGCTCTTCCTAGGAGGAGCCTAAAGCAGCCAGTTTTGAGCTTGCAAAGGCTTTTAACTGATCAAGATAATTTTTTGAGCTAAATATGACACAAATCCCAAACTTCCTGTTCCCTAGGCAATGGAGACCAAGAGAAAGTACCACCAAGGGGTTACAAGGTCAAGCTCCCAAGGACGTAACTGACCAGTTTGTTGGGCTGTCTTGAACAGCAGGTTTACAGGTGTCCTGTGCCCACATTCTAACCTAAAGTACCTCTCTTTCTGATAGAAAGATACAGAAAGACAAATTCATAGTACAGAGTACAACAGATTCACTACAGCTTAAGAGTAGCCTCACAATTTTTTTTTCCAATAAATCAAAACTTTACAGAGGAGATAAACTGTGATTCTTACCATTCATTTAACCAGTTTGCATAGAGAGAGAAAGAAAGAGAAGGGAGAAAAGCATTGCCTGGGGTGGGGTGAAAAAGGTGAAATGCTCAGGGAGGCCAGAGAAAGATTCACTATTACAGTGACAATGAATTAAAAGTTCAGGCACCTGCTTCTTGGTCGCTAAGGGACGTTTTCCAGCAGTCCCATCAGCTCTCAAGTTTTCCCCTTTTAGGGAGAAAAAGGTCCCAGGGTTTCATAATCCTGCTTATGCCTAATGCTGTCACCCACAGCCAACAGCAAAGAATGCAAGGCAGATTAATTCAAAGAGAATAGTGGTTAACATCCCATAGCACCAGATCAATTCTTAGCAGAGAATGACTTTACTGAGAGAGAGGCCTCTAGCCCCCTAACTCATAGGAAGAACTCTAAACTTCCCAAGTTTTGGGCCTTGAACCCGGGTTTGCTCAAGAGTTCTTGCCTTTTACTGAGAGGAACCTTTAACCCTCTCTGTTTCAGGAGAGACTCTAACTCCCCTAAGTTGGGCCTCTAACCAAATCCCATTCTTTATCTGGGTAAAAAAGCACCCCACTTACACAAAGTTGGCCAATTGGTATGCATAAATGATTCCCTTTTGGCTTTGGGGTCTGTATTACTCTGTTTTCACGCTGCTGACAAAGAAATAGCCAAGAATGGGCAATTTACAAAAGAAGAAGTTTAATGAACTCACAGTTCCATGTGGCTGGGAAGGCCTCACAATTATGGTGGAAGGTGAAAGCCACGTCTCACATAGTGGCAGACAAGAGAAGAATGAGAGTCAAGTGAAAGAGGTTTCCCCTTATAAAACCATCAGATCTCATGAGACTTATTCACTATCATGAGAACAGTATGGGGGAAACCACTCCCATGATTTAATTATCTCCCACAGGGTTACTCCCACAACATGAGAGAATTATGGAAGTTACAACTCAAGATGAGATTTGGATAGGGACACAGCGTCAAACAATATTATTCTGCCCCTGGCCCCTCCCAAATCTCATGGTGTCACATTTCAAAACCAATCAAGCCTTCCCAACAGTCCCCCAAAGGCTTAACTCATCTCAGCATTAACTTAAAGTCCACAGTCCAAAGTCTCATCCAAGACAAGGCAAGTCCCTTCTGCCTATGCGCCTGTAAAATCAAAAGCAAGTTAGTTACTTCTGAGATGCAATAGGGGTACAGGCATTGGGTGAATACAGCTGGACCAAGTGGGAGAAATTGATTAAAACAAAGGGGTTACAAGCTCCATGAAAGTCTGAAATCCAGCAGGGCAGTCAAATCTTAAATTTCCAAAATAATCTTCTTTGACTCCATGTCTTTCATCTGGGTCATGCTGATGCAAGAGGTGGGTTCCCATGGTGTTGGGCAGCTCCACCCCTGTGGCTTTGCAGAGTACAGCCTCCCTCCTGTGTGCTTTCACAGGCTGGCACTGAGTGTCTGTCTTTTCCAGGTGCATGGTGCAAGCTAAGGTACATCTACTTTTCTGGGGTCTCAAGGACAGTAGCCCTCTTCTCACAGCTGCAGTAGACAGAGCCCCAGCAGACACTCTGTGTTGGTGTGCCCACCCCGCATTTCCCTTTCCCACTTCCCTAGTAGAGGTTCTCCATGAGTGCTCCACCCCTGCAGCAAACTATTGCCTGGACAACAAGGCATTTCCATACGTCTTCAAAATCCAGGCAGAGGTTCCCAAAACTCAGTTTTTGATTTACATGCACTCACAGGCTAAACACCACATGGAGGCTGCCAAGCCTTGGGGCTTGCACTCTCTGAAGCTATGGCTTGAGCTGTACCTTGACCACTTTTAGTCATGGCTAGAGTGGCTGAGACACAGGGCACCAAGTCCCTAGGCTGCACACAGCCCAGAGACACTTGACCCCATCCAAGAAACCATTTTTTCTCCTAGACCTCCAGGCATGTGTTGGGAGGGGCTGCCACAAAGATCTCTGACATGCCCTGGAGACATTTTCCCGTTTGTTTTGGTGATTAACATTCAGCTCCTCTTCACGTATGCAAATTTCTGCAGCTGACTTGAATTACTCCTAAGGAAATGCAACTTCATTTTCTATTGCATTGTCAGGCTGCAAATTTTCTGAACTTTTGTGCTCTGTTACCCTTTTAAAACTGAATGCCTTTAGCAGCACCCAAATCAACTCTTGAACCCTTTGCTGCTTAGAAATTTCTTCTGCCAGATACCCTAAATCATCTCTCTCAAGTTCAGTGTTCCACAAGTCTCTAGGGCAGGGGCAAAATGCTGCCAGTTTCTTTTCTAAATCATAATAAGAGTCACCTTTGCTTCAGTTCCCAACAAGTTCCTCATCTCCATCTGAGACCACCTCAGCCTGGATTTCATTGTCCATATCATTATCAGCATTTTAGTCAAAGGCACTCAACAAGTCTCTAGGGAGTTCCTAACTTCCCCACATTTTTCTATCTTCTTCTGAGCCCTCCAAACTGTTCCAGCCTCTGCCTGGTACTCAGTTCCAAAGTCACTTCCATGTTTTCAGGTGTCTTTTCAGCAGCACCTCACTCCCAGTACCAATTTACTGTATTAGTCTGTTTTCACACTGGTGATAAAGACATAGCTGAGACTGGGCAATTTACAAAAGAAAGAGATTTAATGGACTCACATTTCCACATGGCTGGGGAGGCATCACAATCATGGTGGAAGGTGAAAGGCATGTCTCATATGGTGGCCAACAAAATAAAAATGAGAGTCAAGTGAAAGGGCTTATAAGACTGTCAGATCTCATGAGACTTTTTCACTATCATAAGAACATTATGGGGGAAACCACCCCTATGATTCAGTTATCTCCCACTAGGTCATTCCCACAATACAAGGGAATTGTGAGAGCTACAATTCTAGATGAGATTTGGATGGGGACACATCCAAACTATATCAGGGTCTCTTGAGTATTGTTTTTTTTGGGGAGGTTGTCAGAAAGATGTTACTGGAAAAGGGTCCTGGTCCAGGCCTCAAAAAAGGGTTCTTGGATTTCACCCAAGAGATAATTCAGGGTGAGTTTTTGGAGTAAAGTTAAAGCAAGTTTATTAAAAAGTAAAGAAATAAAAGAATGGCTACTCCATAGGCAGAGCGGCCCCAAGAACTGCTGGTTGCCCATTTTTATGGTTATTTCTTGGTTATTTCTTCATTACATGCTAAACAAGCAGTGGAATATTCATGCCTCCCATTTTTAAACCATATTTAAACCAGAGATCACTCTCATCACCGTCTTGGTTTTGGTGGGTTTTGGACAGCTTCTTTACTGCAACCAGTTTTATCAGCAAGGTCTTTATGACCTGTATTTTGTGCTGAATTCCTATCTCATCCTGTGACCTAGAATGCCTAACTAAGAATGCAGCCCAGTATTATGTCTTAGCTTTATTTTACACAGCCTTTATTCAAGATGGGGTTTCTCTGGTTTAAACACCTCTGACAAATGCATGATATATCAAAACTTATGGGATGAAACAAAAGCTGTGTTTAGTAGAATATTTATTATTAAATAAAAAATCATAAATGTAAAAAATTAATGATTATTTGTGCTTCATACCAAGAAAGTTAGGGGGGAAAAAAAGAAAAAAAAAACAGCAAATAAACCCTAAAGAAAACAAAGGGAAAGAAAGGAGATAGTGAAATAGTAGAGACCAATGGGGTAGAAAAATCAAATATGTCACATACAACAATTAAAAATACTATGCATAGCTATATGAACAATACTAATCTCACATGCTTTGAAAGAAAAAAGGAGAAAATAAATACAGGAGCAAATGCTTTATTGTGTTTTTTGCAGCACAAAAATTTCAAAATTAATCTATAATATACTATTAGAAGTCACATTCATTTTTGAAGGATTTTAATGACTGCAAGGTAGCAAGAGGCACGGGACTCTTTAGGATGCTGGAAATTTTTTGTTTCTGAAATAGTCTGGATAGGCTTAGATTATAAAAAATATTTTATAATGTTAGTGGAAAAACAAACTCTTTAAATATTTCTAAGAGGTTTATTCTGAGCCAATGTGAGTGACCATTTTCAGGGAACAGTCTCAAGAGGTTCTGAGAAAGTGTGTGTGAGGCACTCTGGTTACAATTTGGTTTTATAAATTGTAGAAAAACAGAAATTGTAGGTAAAATAATAAATCAATACATGGAAGGTGTGCATTGGTTCAGCCTAAAGAAGGGGAATATGTTGAAGTGGGGGCTTACAGGTCATAGATTGATTCAAAGATTCTGATTGGTAATTGGTTAACAGAAATAAGCTTTATGTAAAGACTTGAAGTCAGTAGAAAGAAATGCTTGAGTTAAGATAAGGGGAGTTAGGGAGGCCAAAGCCCTTCTTATGCAGATGAAGTGCCATAAAGCCATCAAGCTCTCTATTAATCTCTCCTAGATCCAGGAAAAACATAGAAAGGGAAGACCTGGCTGCAATAATGGAGATTCTCTACTAACCCAATTTTCTCCCCCAGAAGAGGACCTTGTAGGACTTTTCAAAGTATGTCAAAAAGATATACTCTAGGGTAAAATATTTTTATTTCCCTCAAGGTCTGCTGTCATTGATGCTATACCAGAGTCAGGTTAGAAAGCAAGCCACATTACACCAGAATAATTTTAAAAATTTTTTTAATGAAATTGTATGGTTTTTAGGGTGTGACTTAACCCTTGCCATGCATGGCCTTAGGATTTGTTTATAAATAGGTACCTTATTTCCATAAATAGTCTGTTTTGTCCATCTTATTATTTCTACATTGATGTAAACTCCAAAAGGGAGGGAGGATAACGAGGCATGTCTGGGGACCCTTTTTCCATCAGGCCAGGAATTCAGTTTTTCAAGTCACTCTGAGGTCCTTGAGGCCAGGAGAGGACCTGTTCAGTCAGTTAGGGATCCTGAGAATTGTATTTTTGGTGTACAATATTTATAAAAATATATAATATTTGATATGTATTTTATATATGAAGCTGAATTTTTTTTTTTTTTTTGAGACAGAGTCTTGTTCTGTCACCAAGCTGGAGTGCAGTGGTGCGATCTCGGCTTACTGCAACCTCTGCCTCCGGGGTTCAAGTGATTCTTCTGCCTCAGCCTCCCGAATAACTGGGACTACATGTGCGCACCACCACGCACAGCTAATTTTTATTTTTAGTAGAGACAGGGTTTCACCATGTTGCCCAGGATGGTCTCAATTTCTTGACCTCGTGATCCACCGGCCTTGGCCTCCCAAAGTGCTAGGATTACAGGTATGAGCCGCTGTGCCCAGCCATGAAGGTGAATTTTAATATATTTTTTAAAACTCTTAAAGAATGCTTAAATTGTAGAGTGAAGAACATGTGTAGAAACTTAGCTGTATAAAATAACATGAAGAGTCCAATACATATTACGTTGATCTGTATTTCTTGAACACAGGAAGTATGAGAAAATATGTTTGAAGATAATACCGGGGGAAAAATACAGGAGACAGTTCATAGAGTCTGGTGGGTTTAATAATTTTTTTCAAACCTTATAGTGGAATAGATTATATTTTTACATGGAAATTCTAGAAAGCATAGAACAGTAGAAAGAAAAAATATATTTTTAATACTCCCAGCCCCAAACAATTATATAGTTTTGGTTATGTATTTTGTGTTATTCTCTTTTTTACATTATAAAATTAATATAAATAACCCTGCTTTTTTTTTTCTTTGGTAGTATTATGGTACATAGTCAGGCAGACATGAGCAGGGCAGGAGAGCCAAATCCCCCAGGAGCATCAGGCAACTATCAGGTGATGGTCAGGCAGTTGTTAAAACTGTCTGTCTAAAATAATAGTTAGTTGCAGCCAGTGCCAGGGAAAGGCAGTCTCCCAATAGATAGCAACATCAAAACTGGTGATTAGCAGCTTCCTGATAAGGTCTCAGGAGCTGGGCGAGTGCACTTGAGCATGCTTACTAACAAAAAAAATGGGAGCGTTCAACTGCTATATGATCTCCTCCTAGAAACACTCAACAGGTGAGAACAGAACACCTCAAGTGATTTTATATTAAATAAATATTTTTCATAGAATTTAAACATTGGCTTTATAATATATAATTTTAGAAGTAATGAAAATTGACAACTATTTAAATCTACAATTATTTCTATAAAAATAGAGAAAAAGTATTATAAGTTATCTAAACATCTTGCTTTACAGATAAGAAAACTCATGTCTAAACAGGTAAACATACTTATCCAGTGTCAGATAGTTTAGGATAAACCGGTTATATTTCCTAAATAACTTATTTTCTGAGACCCTTACCTTCTTCTTAAAGTAAAAGTACTTAGATTTAAAAGAAAATCTTATTTGAATTATATATCCAACTGTACTCTATTGTATGAGTCAATATAGGTGATTAGATAAAGCATAACAATTTTTTCTACTTGGAGACTCTGAGGAAGTTTGAGAAAGCTTTTGGAAAATGAACCATCTGAAGAATTGGTAGTAAGTAGATCATTGATGGAGGAAGAAGGAATTGTGAGTATTAGTTTATCAAAGAAATGAAAGCGGCTGGAGGCAAATTGCTAGGCAAATAGGGGCAGGTTTCCCGTGAAACCCCACCTTCTGGCTGGAGACAGCCTGAAATCTGAACCCCAGGCTGCCAGTTCCACGTAGAATCCACACCCACAGTGAAAATTTCCTTGATGCCTGTTAGCCAGTCAAATGATGCTTTTTCCAGGCCCACTCATGGACCACTCAGCACACACTTCTTCCTGCCCGTAGACCAATGAGCATGTACCTCATTCTGAGCCCATAAAAACCCCCAGACACAACCAGACTGGGACAGACATCAGGAGCGCCCCCCAGCGGGTAGGAGCTACCCACTTTGGGTCTCTTCTCTGCTAAGAGCTGTTCTGTCACTGGGTAAAAGTCTTCTGCCACGCTCACCCTCCAGTTGTTGGTGTAACCTCATTCTTTCTGGATGTGGACAAGAGCTTGGGCCCCACCGAATGGCAGAGGCTGAAAAAGCTGTAACACTCTCCTGGCCTTCTTGCTGAACTGTGGGCAGGCCTGCAAAGGGCTGTAACACATTCCTGGCCAGCTTGCCAAGCTGTGGGTGGTGACACCATCCCGATCATCGGACTGTGAAAGTGAAAGTGAAGAGCGCCAACACTTCTGGGGGCCCAACTTCATCAGGATTCCCCAAGCCGGAGCTTGTGGCCACACCATGTGATGGGAAGTGATGGCAGGGGTGAGATAACCAGGGAGTTCTAGGTGGGAGCAAGGTGGCAGGACTAAAAAAGCCATTATAATCTTAGTCATTTGAGAAATATTTATTGGCACCTTTTATATCCTAAGCCTTGGTCTATGTTCCTGGGAAATATGAATGAAAAGAATGAACAACAATACGATTTCAATGAGTTAGCATTTTAAAAACACGAGACATGATCAGCATAATAATTAACCAACTAACTAACTAACTAACTAAATAAATAAATAAATAAATAAATGTAATTTTAAAATGATAAATTCCTCAGATGCCGGCTGTGGAAATGAGAGAGCTGTAGCACCCCGCCCCCCTTGGGGTTCTGCAGTTGCTGGCGTCTCCAACTTTTTTGTGTGCCACCACGTTCCCCACATTCCCCTCATCCAGACCCCAGCGCCTGCAGCAGAAACTGCTTGCTGTACGCCTGGTCCAGCCGCAGCCTTATACAAAACTGGCACCTGTGTAGGCACCTGGAGCTGCCTGCTGCACCACAACAGCCAGAGCGCCTTGTTGTGCGCAGTGGCTGGATCCTACACTTGCTCGCTTAACACCCCTCGTAGCCCCACACTTGGCTCACTCTCACCAGGCCTGGGTTCCGGGCTGTTAGCGGGAGCCAAATGCAAGCTACTGGTCCGAGTTGGGGCAACAAGCTCTGCAGGTGCGAACAAAACTCAAGCAGAGGCACCACCAGCCACACAGGTTTCTGGCTGGCAAGAAGTGACACCCAAAGTATCCTGTGACAGAAACGACTCTCGTTTACAAGCTGACAGAACAATGGGATAAACCAGAAATTATGTACTGGGATTATTGAGAGTATTTCTTATATTTTTAATAGTTTTATTTCTGGCAACAGACTACGGGATTTCATTTCCCAAACACATGGTATGAAAATGTCTTCTATATTCTCAATAAAATCAATAATTATGCATTTGTTTTGTAAATATTTCTGAACGACTTTTTTTCTCACATTTCAAGAACCATTAGCAAACTAAAGTTAAAAACCCAAATCCCATTTTAGCAGGAACTTTTATCTCAGGAAATGCTGCTGTGTATTTTCACAATCAAACCTCCTCTGAAGGAGGCCTAATTAGAGGCTTCATTATGCACCTGGTGAAAATTAACTTTTAAGCAGCCTTTAAAATAAGTTTTTAAATTATCATTATGCAAAAACTGCAAAAATACCTGTAATTGTATTTACAAAGCAAAATTGTTATAATCACCTCTAACATTCAGGAGCAACCTCAGGATTTTAAATTTTTTAATAAAAATTAAAATAGAAACCCTCATTATTGATTCATGAACCTTTTTTTATGAGCACAAATGTTATCATTGACATTTGTCAACTGCTAAAATTTAACATGTACTGAATGCTAGTTCCTTAAAATTGAACTTAAATATCTTGGAAATATGTTTAATTACTGGAATAAAGGTAAAGGTCATATATAAAATATTTAAATATTATTATGAATTTTACTATTTTCTTAGGGTTAGATTTTGGAAATAGTATTTTAAGAGAGAAATAAAATTGAACATACACATTTTAAAAATGAGACTATTTTCATTTTGTATGCTTCATTTAAGGAGTAATGTTGCTTAAAATTGATCTGTGTGTGTGTCTGAGTCAGAGAGTAACATTTTTTTCCACCAGTGTTGCTAACAAACAAAATGCACTGCAGTCTATTTTGAGCCACAGTTAGCCAAAAACTAAAAATGCACATATATAGTCAAACAGAATTCTTTTTTTTTTTTTTTTTTTCAAGACCAAGTTTCCCTCTTGTTGCCCAGGCTGGAGTACAATGGCACGATCTCGGCTCACTGCAACCTCCGCCTCCCGGATTCAAATGATTCTCCTGCCTCAGCCTCCTGAGTAGCTGGGATTACAGGCATGTGCCACCATGCCTGGCTAATTTTGTATTTTTAGTAGAGACGGCGTTTCTCCATGTTTGTCAGGCTGGTCTCGAACTCCTGACCTCAGGTGATCCACCCGCCTCAGCCTCCTGAGTAGCTGGGATTACAGGCATGCGCCACCATGCCTGGCTAATTTTGTATTTTTAGTAGAGACGGCATTTCTCCATGTTTGTCAGGCTGGTCTCGAACTCCTGACCTCAGGTGATCCACCCTCCTCAGCCTCCCAAAATGCTGGGATTACAGGGGTGAGCCACCATGCCCAGCCCAGAATGCATTTTAAAAGTAACAACTAGAGGTAGAAAAAGTAGAAACTGGAGGTAGAAGGGTTAGGCACTGGAAGCAGTTATGCGGTAATTGATGTGTAGCTGCAGCTGATGCATCTCTTTGTTTTGTTTTGTTTTTCTCTCTCCAGCTATTTTTTATGAAAATACTGGGAAAGACAAAGATGTGGCATTTTAAAAACACTGGGTTTTTTTTGACAAATTGTTTTGGGATAGAGAATTAAACAATTTTTCCAAAAGTAACTACTAGAATAATAATTAAATTAAAGGAACTGTTGATTTTTTAAATATTGTTATCAAAATCTAGTATTAGAAAACTCTGAGGTTATCAAATCTCATATTTCTTACTATGCTCATAAATTTAAATATTTAAATTACTGGGTACTAGTCTTAAACTCCAAATGGGATGTGCAAAGCTATAGTTTGGCAAGAGACCTCCTGTTATGATATTTTCCCACTTTTGCTTGAGATTATTATCAATCTTTGCTTTAAGTGAGATTCATTTCCCAACCGGGTCCAGTCTTTATTTCAGCAGTTTCATCTTCCTTAAGACCCTCTGAACTGACCTATCTTTGGATATGTACAAGAATTACTAAACACCAAGAAAACCAATGGATAATCTGTGAAGATATCATGGGGCATGAATTTACAGAACTATGCATTTATCTGAAGAAAGACTTATAACCAGTAATGGTGTATTTTTAGTTTTTAGAGTTTTGTTTGCTTTGTTTTGTTTTAATAAATGACATATTCGGCAAAAGTTATAGAAAAGAAGAGCAAATACATTCTAAGAAATTATAATAGAGAAAGGGCCTTAGGGAAGACTGAAAATGGGAATCAGATTCATAATTCCATGATTTTTAAAGAAGCATTTACAGGTTGAGGTTGTCAATCCCTTTATATCCCATGTAACCCAAAGAATAAAAGAACAACATATGGATACAACTTAATATTGCTTTTAATACACATATTCTAATTGATTTTAATTAATTCTACTAATTTTTTTTCTAAACATTTATATATCTTTTTTTCATATTAAAACTGTTTAGGATATGTAAGCCAGGCAGTCTTTGATTCCTGTGTTTAAAAAATGAACTGATTTCTACATTACAATAATGGAAATTGTTGATTTGATTCTAATTCAAGGTTTACAGTGTCCTGAAGGAAGAGGACAATTTATGGTTTGGGAGGTAAAAGCATGCATACCAAATTAGTTTGATGGCAATTATAATTGTATTTCTTTAGGCACAATTACTGAAAAACACTTGTTAAGGACATTTGTCATCTAACAATTATAAATTTGGCAACAGTTACAACAAAACAACAAAAGCTCCAGAATGTTTAAAAGAAATACAGGAAGCAGAGGCATACTTTCAAGTGTCAAAAAGAAATATGGGATGGTTTGAGGAAAGCAAAAGTCTTCTTGTGATGAGGCTGACTAAAATGTCTCTCATAATGGGAAAAGTTTCACTCTCAGACTTGTTAATTTTATTTCATGTTCGAAGACATGCTTATTATAAAGAATATTTAATTTAAGGTTTAACAGTAATTAAGCAAGCAAATATGCAATATTTCAATTAAAGTTGAACTTGTTTTGTCTCTTAAACAAGCGAACTATCTAAAAAGTAGAGGCTGCCTTGTAACTGTTTCCTCTCTCACCAATTGCTACATCTGACTCTCAATCTCATAAACAAATCCATCAATATATAGAGTATAAAATTTGCATGTGAAATGGAGGTATTTTAGAAATGTTCTCCAGTTAATATGGCTTATAATAGCATCAAATGCATGCCTTTCACAGACGGCAAAACTTCTTGGCCAAACCCTGTATTGCTTTTATGAAAATATCAAATATATACATACCTTATTAAATTAGAAATGAGGCCTATACGTCTCAAAGCATAGAATTTAACAGTTGCTAATATTGTCATAATATTTTTCTTGACCTAAAAATAACAACTGTTGAAAATACACACACAAGAATTTTAGAATTTGAGAATATATCTTTTATTTATAGGATGAGAGTGTTAACTCTGAGAGAACATGGTATAATGAAACATATTAAAGACAGCATATTACTTCAATAAGTAACTGTGGTAGTAATGTTATTGTTAATTTGTATAATGTGTGTATATATTTTTCTGCATTTAAATTTTTCATTAATGTTTTTCCTATGAATATGATCAAATTATGACATCTATCATAAATAAATGTCATATTTTATTTATTTTAATTTTATATTCAAATGTTTTATTTTTCATCTTCTTTCCCCACCAAACACACTGATATGTAAATGTAATTGAGACACTTACAACTAATCTATGCAGTGTTGAATGCTGCTCCTGCAAAATACTCCATAAGCTAAAATTAAGTTACTTAGATATGTGGCAAAAAACCATGAATATGTGAGATTATATAGATTTGTTTTATATTAAAATAAATGCACAATATTTTAGCCAGCAATGCAAACTTATTATTTACATAAATCTTATATATTAATTTAGAGTATCATTAAAGTTTGTAAGTGTGCACATTTACACACATACCCATATACATATGCATATGTGTACATACTTATGTATAGTAACTCCTAAAACCTGTAAATGAAGGTTAGGTTTTAAAGGCTAAAAATGTGTACATGGCTGCTACAGGATTATACCTGTAGCATTAATATTGACAACAAGATGGTGTAAATTTGTCAGGCTTTTTCTTTTGATGTCTTAGGCAGTGAGACCACCTGGAAATAAAAATGAGAAATAAATTTAAAAAACACATTTCATAATTAAGATATCCTTTAACTAAGGTATGTCTGCCAACAGTAAGGGAATAACTGATACAAAAAAAGTATGATGGAGCAACTGGCATAAGGGAGTGTAGTATAATGGGAAAAAAAATGTCTGTCATATAGGTACCCCATACTTAAAGTCCTTCTTCTAGTCCTACAAGAATGTGCAAACTTCCTAGGTTACTATTTGTCAGGATCGAGTTACAAAAACAGAAACTATTCTTAGTCTTTCAAAAAAGGGACATTTATCACAAGTAGTTGATCATATAGCTGCATTAGGTATATATGATTTACTGCATTGACATTTCTTTTTAAGATCATTAAATGATATCATACAATTTAGCTGAATAGATATTAGGGAGTGAGAATTTTATTGTTGTTATTGTTTTCTCCTTAGAAATTTTAATAGTATGCTTTGGGAATTATAAGGCTTTTAAAGGGGCTTTTTGTTATTTCTTTAGTGGCCACATATGTTAGTAATAAACAGCCCCTACCCAGTGTATATAGACCTGCTTTACAATATATTGTCACATATATATAGTTGTATATGTGTATATAGTTGTATATGTATATATTGTCATATATGCATATAATCTAAGAGCTTTAATGAACATATTTTATAACATATGTATAATCTGAGAATTGAAAATACTCCATAGACTAACAAATCTAAAAATCACAATTTAAAAATGAAGAAACTGAAAATTTTTTTAAATATTTTAAATAATGTGTACTTTGATTTATATAGGTCATCTCTTTGTGAAGTATATATGCATGCTCACATAGAAACTCATACACACACACACATGCACATAGGCTTTCATAGAAGATAGGTATTTAAAGATGTAAAAATAGAACAAATTTTTTCCACTCTGAATGTGCCCAAATTACCAATGTACTTTTGCTTTGCAAGTGCATACAATCCATTTGAAATATGCATATATTTGTGTATGTGTATATATATGTGTATATATATACACATATACACACGTACACACATATTTTGAAATATATTTCAGAAGATGTATAAATATAATTTACATACAAATATAATCTATATATTTCAAAATATATATTTAGAATGATTTTCAAATAATCTACAGAAAATATTTTAATTGTAAATTTCAGTATGATAACATACAATGTCTGTATTATTAACAAATAAGTACACAACTAAATAAAAATGTTACACTTTTAATATAGCTATAATTTCCGCAAGAATTTGAACTAATGACATAATACCTATGACACATCTCACTAACAGATTGAACAATAAAAGAATTAAATTATTGTCAAAATAATGAGATTCAAGTAATTTAAATGTCAAAACTTTAAAAAATATTTACTTTAAAAATCAGATACTTTTTAAATTAAATTTTATTTTTTGAGCGACATAAGAATTGAACATATTTGGGAGATACATAATAATGTTTCAATACATATAATTTATAGTGGTCAGATCAGAGAAATTAGAGTATCCATGGTTTCAAATATTTATCATTTCTTTTTGTTGGGGACAAAATCTCCTTTTAGCTATTTGAAACTAAATGGAATATAATGTTCTTAACTATAGTCGTCCTACAGTGGTATAGAACACCAGAAATTATTCCTCCTACCAAGCTGTAACTTTGTATCCTTTAACAAATCTCTCTCTAGTCTCCCTTTGCTGCAGCTTTCCCAGCCTGTAGTATCCTCTGTTTTATTTTTTACTTCTATGATATCAATTTTTTTAGCTTCCACATATAAGTAATAACATGCAATGTTTAACTTTCTGTTCCTGGCTTGTTTCACTTAACATATGCCCTCCAATTCCATCCATGTTGTCCTGAATGACAGGAATTCAGTTTTTATGGCTGCATAGTATTCTATTGTGTATATATACCACATTTTCTTTATCCATTCATCTGTTGTTGGACACCTAGGTTGCTCCTATATCTTGGCTATTGTGAATAGTGCTGCAGTAAACATAGGGTTCAAATGTCTCTTTAATATACAGATTTCCTTTTTCCAGTAATGGTATTGCTGGATCATATGATAGTTCTATTTGTAATTTTTGAAGAAAGTCCATGTTGTTCTCCACATGGCTGCTCTAGTTTACATTCCCACCAGCAGTGTCTAAGAGTTCTTTTTTTTTTCCCGCATCTTCACCAATATGTTATTTTTATTTTATTTTGAGACAGTCTCACTCTGTCACCCAGGCTGGAGTGCCTTGGTTTAATCATGGCTCTCTGTAGCCTTGAACGCCTGAGCTGGAGCAACCTCGAGTAGCTGGGACTACCTACTGGCATGTGCCACCACGCCCAGCTAATTTTTACTTTTTAAAATTTTTTTGTAGAGACAGAGTCTCAATATGCTTTTTAGAGACAGAGTCTCAATATGTTGCCCAGATCTCAAACTTCTGAACTCAAGCAATTCCCCTGCCTTGGCCTGTCAAAGTGTTAGGATTACAGATATGAACCACCACGGCTGTCATATTTTTTGTCTTTTTGAAAATAGTCACCTTAATTAGGATGAGATGATATCTCATTGTGGTTTTGATTTGCATTTCTGTATGAATAGTTAATGTTGAGCATTTTAAAAATATACTTATTGACCATGTATATGTCTTCCTTTGGGAAATGTCTGTTCAGATCGCTTTTTCATTTGTTAATCAGATTTTTTTTTTTGCTGTGGTATTTTGTCTTATGCAAATAGTATTGTGAAGTATTAATGAAGTAAGACAATTTTATTCAAGGACCAATCCCATGCAAATACATTCAGAGCTGTTCTTAGTTAATTGCATTTATAATTTATACTTTTTATTACCATGTGCATTTCTCTAAATTTAGTGAAATTTTACTATTTTATATTTTTACTCAGTGTATATACTGTTGCTCATGAATTGTTGGAGTATAATAGTTAACTATCCTTAACTAAGTCTTATTTATTGAATTTATATGTTGCTGTTTTCTATAGGAGATAAGATTCTTTTTTTACAATATGAATGGAATCATTGCTGATTTTCTATGAATATATGAATTGAATTTTCTCAGATAAATCTTATGTTTCTTTTGTGCCCACAAAGACATCTGGATACTCATCAGAAGTGTAAAAATTCCAACTAGAAGAAAAAAGAAATAATTATTATTTCTTTCTTATTTCTATGAAATGTTATATTAGGAAAAGGATCCCTAGCATGTTTAGCTTTTAAGATGTTTCTCAAATGTTGCATAATTTCTTATCAATTTTCATTATTCATACCCATTCCCAAGCAATAGCCAATCAATATCGCATGAATGAGTAAACACAGAAAATACATTAAAAATTAAAAATGAATCTACATATTTTATATACCACTGCCACAAAATATTCCCAAATAAGGATTTATTTTTGTACTTAAAAATTTTCAATAATAGTTGCCTGTATGCATATAATATTCCTCTACATGCACATAATATAATAAACCACATTAATTGTGATTCAAAACTTTTGTACAATATAACAAAATGGATAAAATGGACATTACATATGTCCCTTCTACTATATGGAAATCATGCAATTCAACTTCTTAGTGTGTGTTAAAATGCTCAGTATTCAAGATGAACTCTCATACAACCCAACTCTTCCTTTGAAGACAAAACACATACACATGCCTGTGCACATGCACAAGAAGTTTCAAGCGAAATGCGTTGTTATCAAAACTTCTTCTAAACAAAACTTCATTGCTTAATAAATACATTTGGATTACAATCCCTGGCTTGGATTAAGCAACAATTATACAGAGACAAAGAGCAAAAGTACTTCAATATATTTTAATACTGCTAAAAATCAAACTCAGTATGAAACTATGAAATCCTTTTACAATCATGCTATACTTTAGTACTATAATAACTTTTTCTCAGAAACCATTTATCTTAAAGATGCATTTATTTTGATTAATTATCAGTATATCTAGGTCTTACCTGGCAGTGTTTGTGTCATGACTGTGAAACTAATCCATGATCCAATCTGTTATATTAAAACTTAAATTAGCACATACATAAATGGAATCTAGTAATTTGTTCATTTGTGGCTTTAACAGGTAATTTTAAGGCTTAAAATATTAGAAAACTTATAGATAGGAATACATTTTCAAGAAATAATAATTTAATTTTTACATATAAAGTCATAAGCAATCTCATTAAATGGGATCATATTTATAAGAAAATGAAAGACATTGTTTAATATTTGAAAAAATTGTGATTGAAATGTTCTATTTTGTTATACCATGATCTGTGGATAAGACCTCTATATTTTTCCTGTATATATTAATTTATAATACATGTAAATACATAAGCACATGCATTTAGTATATCATGAATAGGATTCAAGCATTTACATACATAAATAACATACCTCATAGGTGTAGTTAGGACATGAAACCAGGAAAAACATCCATGTGAAGGGGTTATAATTTGGACTTGGGAAACAGGCATTGTTTCCTTTTTCAAAGGAAAGTAAAATGTCAATGATGCTACACATTGCAAATCTGATCATATGCTTATTATATAATACTAAGTTCCCCAAAATAACTGTGTACCACATGAAATGTCATCACGTATTTATAGTAACCTATTTTGCAAATTACTCAGAAGAGACCCAGCTTTAAATGTTATAACCTTTTGACTCAAATAAAATAGCTGTCATTTTCATACCATGTCTACAGCTATGTTGCTGTAACACTGCAGAGTACATAAGGATAATCAATTCTTTAAGATCTTAAATATATATAAATTATTTTTACATTATAATGATTGAAATAGTACTACATGCTGAAATTATAAAGTGTGTTTTAACATTTGCCCACCTCTTCACATTCCCCTTTACTATCAAAGAAGATACATTTGTTTGAGATTATTAAATACCTCAAAAATCCCTGTATTAAATTGGTGAAAGTCATAAGGAATTTTATAAAGATGTCATTTATACCAGAAAAGTATGCACACCTCTAATAAAAGGATTACACTGAATATCAGTATAGTTAATATTCTGAGATACCACGTTTCTGTTCAGCAGTCAGGATTGATAGTTACATCTCTCATTATACTTCACATATTGTCACTTTATTTTTGTTAATTATTTTCCCCTTTCACTTGTTTTTAAGAAACATTTTAGATAACAAATTTTTAATGATTTCAGGTTGAACTTGGAGCTGTGACATTTGTAAAAGTAAATATGAATTATAAAATTACTGTTTTATTCTCCATACCAAGATTTAATCAGATAACAAATCAGCTAAACTCTTTTACTTATAACTCTGAAGTCATAATAAAATGTCAGTGTGTTGTTTTCAAAATTGTAACAATTGCTGAAATATCAAAGTTAAAAATTATGCTAAGTATTGTGCAGATTTTACAACTGTTCATAAAAATAAATATGTAGGCCTTTTGTTATTACTGATTTTTTACAGCATTTTTGTAGACACCTTTGTGTAATGTCCTATATTAATAAAAAAAAGATAATTGAGGAATCTACCCAAGTTATAGTTACTGAATTTCAGAGGCAGAAGTTTCAGGAAATAGTCTGCTTTAGAGCCTGTAGTTTATGAGTGTTCAGCCCCTAGAGGTGTGGAATGATCAAGGGTCTACAAATCTACATTTTTTCCAGACCTAGTTTGTCGATTAAATAATGGATATGCCTTATGACACAGAAAAATATATGTATATAGATAATATTGTTTCAAGTATACACAGTTGCTGTTAACTGTAATATTAAATAAGTTTAGGAGTTACTAATTTAATACTTACATTCTTCATAAATGTTCTCTCAACCTATAGTTATTATAATAGAGCTTCTATTAAATTAAAGTCAGGAGGTTTTTTACATTAAAATGCTGCCCCACCAGATTCTTCTTTAGGCATATAAGGTTTATTCTATTTCTTCAGGGAGTGCTACTGGCAGAGAAACTTCAACTTTCAGTACTCCCTATAGTTGGAAGAAACCTCACCCAAGGTCACACTCACTGATTTAGCTTTACTACGGTATTTGATCAATATTGAAAATTGATTAACTCAATTCAGAAGAACATGGATTGTTCATCCCAGTTTTAGAATGTCCCATGCAATCATTGGAGACTTGTTGAGACTATATCGCTCTCAATTTCCTACCTAAATATGATTTATTTCTTCTATCCAGAAAACTACTCCTTAACAATCCTCCTGAGTATTAATCTCCATCCTGGCATTTGCAATCCAGAAAACCCAGCTTACATAGTTGGCACCAGGAATGGCCCAAAAAGCAGATGTTGGAATGGCATTTTAGAGTTGAATGACTTACCAAAAGGCCTGCAATGAGTACTCCATAGCTGATGGTAGGTTCAGACAGACAGCTAATGGTACAGGGTAGCAATCCAAGTGTAAAAATCTTTTACTACTGGTATATTGTTATGTTATAGTGGTTGAAAACAATATTCTATCTGGTCTAATATTACAAGTGGGACTGAATGGCTCAACAAACACATCTAAAACAAACTGCTAATTGGCAATTAAAAGCCAGTTGTGAAAGTTAGAGGTCCACCTAGATAGTATGCAAAGAGGCTCGAAGAGGGCAGAAAAAGCTAAGGAACAGGTCCAGGTCTTAACTGCAAAAGTAGTCAAACTCTAAAGAATGTACAACTCCAATCCAATGCAGATCTGTTAAGTCAAGTTTGTTTACCACAAAATCTTGGAATATCTAGGTTTTCATAAATTCCTTGAGCCTGCAGAGGTGGCCCACTCTTCCCTATGAAAGTTGAGCACATCCTTCCTTAAAAGCAACACAGAAGGCACTACACTGCAAGAATACCCCCCTTGAAGATCTCCCCTATCTTTTCTTCTAGCCACTACAACTAGGGTTATATCACAATATAAACTACCTGAGGCTGTTCTGGGGCTGACAGAGAACAAAAAAGATAATGCCCCAAAGGAGCTGCAGAACCTACCCAGCATGAACCAACAAATTATAGGAGAATACACATGGGGTTGGAATCTGAGGGTGTTTGAAAAGAGGGGTAAAGTATAAAATTGAATAAAGATTTGTTTATGTTTTTGGAGCACTGTCCTGGAATATAGGAGTAAATATCCCTCTAAGATTGTACAAACACACTAATGATATGCACCTGGAAGCATGAACAAAGCAATGGCCCACAATAAGCAAAGAAGAAATGTTAGAATTTCCATGGCAGGCTGGGAAAGAAGGTGCTAAGTGCCTTAGAGAAATAGGAATCCTAGAGCAGATAGTCTACGCAAGGTTGAAAAGAGAGTGCTTCTTTCTATGCAAGGAATTTTTACCCTCGTTTCGTGTTCTCAGGTTTCTTCTCATGTTCCATGGGAGAACCAATAGGATGCACCACTTTTCAAAAATACAGGGAATATGGTAGTGAAAGGAACACCATCATCACTAAGATTCGCATTGGCTCTTTGCTGTATCAGGCTTACTGTAAGTGAAATCATCTTAGAACTGAGATGACTAGTAGTGAACGGGATTAAAGGACCCTTCCTCACACCACTCCCTAGAAAATCAAGGCAGTTCCAATTACAGTACTTAATTGTTCATGAGCCAAAATGAATGGCCTGTTCATAGGAGGCTTGACCCACAGAAAGTTATGTTTGGCTAGTAGAACACAATGTCTCTAGAAGCTAGATAGTTGGATACCCAACAATGCTATTGCTAAATTTAGACAAACAAAATAAATTATAGATGAATAGTTAAGAGACTTGAGACAGCTGGTGCAATGTCAGATCTACTATTCCTTTCCCAGTATTGGAACGTGAATCAGTTCTAAGACTCTAAACTCACTGAGGGAAGAATAGTCTGGGAGGAAAGATATTGTAACACCAAAACAAATGCACATGATAATGATTTCAGTGATCTTTACTAAAAGGACTTCATTGATTCAGGGAACCATATACTAGAAAAAGTGGCATTTTCACATTTTAAGGACTGTTAGACAAAGTGGGTTCACAAAGGTAATTTATCCAGATCATAAATAAATAATAATTGGAATATATATACTTTGTAGTTTGCACAATATGTACATTTGAAGCTTTCTTTCAACTGTCATACCCTCTGAGAAAATGGTCTTCACTAAAGGGAACTGCCTTACAAGGTCTTTTTCTTCCCCAGGTAGACTCATATCCAACTTATCTGTCTCCAGTCATTCCAACTCTTGACACCTCTACAGGGTTATCCTAGCTTCAGATACCCAATAGAGTTGACTGAGTCCATTCTTGTGACTACATCACAGCTCAACTTCCCCTTTGGCATGGTTCTCATTCCTTGCCTCTTTTCCATAATTCCTAACAAACTTCTTTTATACAAATTTCTGCCACCTGAGAACATGACTCATGACATTTTGTACAATCAATATTAAATGGTTCCCTTCTAGACATAACCATGCCTAAAGCACATCTAATAGATATTACAACAAACTCCAATTAATATGTTAGTGAGGGAATAAAAATTCAAGACTAGGAGACACCAGTTTAGAGCTGACACAGGAACTGATAAAGATTTTATGTAAAGAAAAATAATGCATTGAGTATGTAGCTATTAAAAATTCATAATCAAAAGATGAGAGTTCACTTTGAGAAAAGATCTGGGACTTTATAGATCAGAACCCTGAATAGGGAGAAATTGAATACAATTATCTGAAATTAGTTGAGGCCAGAGGTTGTCATCTTGGAAGACATTGTTTCCAAGAAAGAAAATGATGCCCAGAGAAGTTTGCTCAGAGAGGGAAGGCATCATGTGGAAGCTTAAAAGGGAAGGGAAAGAAGGAAGCATGTTCTGGGATTCAAGGAATTTGGAAAACAAGGATGTTAGAGGATGAGAAGACACGATGAAAAACCTCCTCTGTTTCCAGAACACACTTTGTTTTTTAGAGATTTCAGTAACCTCATCTGTAAAAAACTATGTTATTTTTCTTCAAAGTCAATTCACACATTTAATAATAAATGTAAATCAATCAGCATTTACATGATGCTTCTGTGTGAATAAACTAGAAAGTGTTTTCATTTGCAGACAAAAACTAACCCCCCACAAGGAAAACAAAACAAAATTTACAGAACACACACACACACAATTACCAAAGAATGTATCCTTAAGAAATCCCAAAACTGAAAATAGATATGGAAAAAAAACAAGAAGATATAATACAAAATAAGAGTTGATTGTACTCAAGAAATTGTGGACAAGGAAGAAACTTTCCCAGTAATATGAAATATATTTTCATTTGCTTAAGAATGTAATATTCAACAGAACAGAGGATATTAAGCAGATAAAAAGAATAGCCAAAAAAGGGACAAAGATAGTCAAAGAGAAAGTGATAGAGAAGCTAGAGACAGAAGAAGGAACATAGGTACAGTGTAACCCCCCTATACTCCACAATGTAATAAAACTAATTTTAAAATTGTAATTTGAGGAAATTTTTTAGAACGTAAAAAAAAAAAACATGGATTAACCTACTAGAAGAGTACCTAGTGATCTGGGGAAATTGGTTGGGAATCATCAACCCTTAGACACTCCCTCAAAATTCATAGACTTTTATAATAAAAAAGTCACCTGCACATCGAAGCAAAAAAACCATCATTTGACAAAGGAGAGAGAATTAGGTTGGCATCTGATTCCTCAAGAGCAATATACAAAGCAAGATAAAGAGTGAACATTAAAAGAGGGGGGCCTTCTTACATGAACAATTTCAAAATTACTGGATGACTTAAAATTTTCATTTTCAAATGATGACACTATATTTCGAATAAATGAAGAAGCTTGAGTTGATTACATTGCTAGTCACCTAGATAAGACTAAAATTTGTGATATTTCTAACTTTGGCAATGCTAGCATTTTATTAGATTATATTGTGTTTCGCTTCTCTACTAAAAAAATTTAGACCCTCAGATATTTTTCACTTGTGATTCACATGCATCCAAAGAAAATTCAATGTATCTGTGAATTTGGATCAGATAAAAATGGCATTCAATCTCTTAATGAAATATAGGCTTCACTCCACTGCAAATGAGGACCACAAACTACAACAGCATTGGCCTTACATGTAATTTTTTTTCACCAAGATAAAGCACAGATATTTTTAACTCACAGTACACTTCTTTTTAAATCTGCATATACATAATTTATCACCAATACTCAAAAAGTTGAGTACTCATCACAATATTATGTAATGTGTAATAACAAACATATGCTTATATTATAGCTTTTTCATATATTCACCATTGTTCTAATAAAATAATTTTCCCTTGTAATTATATGTATTTTATTTTACAGAACAACTATTCTGGAAAATGTTTTATATGTTTCACTAGCCTGCCAGAAGCGTGGAAGGCAAGGAAATGTTAAGAAATTCAAGTTGATGTTGAATGTTTATCATTTCTATTTGAATTTACAATAAAATTATATATTATATAGGGTTAGCAGTTGGGAATCCCTACATGTAATTGAGCCTAAATGAGATGACTGATTTACCAAAAATATCTTTAAATAATGGAGACTCTGTAAACTTTTTCAAATATACAGGTGAGTATAGAAGTAACTGAGTTTTTGCATTGTTGAAATTTGCTGTTTTATAATGGAATACATTATTAAATAAATGTGGTTATGTTATACAACATTTTAATGGGCATTTCTCACTTTATGTTTTTTGCTAATGACTTATTACTTGCTGGTATTTTATGTTTATTTTAGTCTATGGAAATGATGTTAGACAAAAAGCAAATTGGAGCAATTTTCTTAATTGAGTTCAAAATGGGCCATGGGCCAGGCACGGTGGCTCATGTCTGTAATCCCAGCACTTTGGGAGGCCGAGGCAGGCAGATCACCTGAGGTCAGGAGTTTGAGACCAGCCTGGCCAACATGGCGAAACCCTGTCTCTACTAAAAATACAAAATTAGCTGGGCATGGTGGTGTGCACCTGTAATCCCAGCTACTCAGGAGGCTGAGGCAGGAGAATCGCTTGAAACCGCTTAAAGGCAGAAGTTGCAGTGAGCCAAGATCACACCACTGCACTCCAGCCTGGGCTACAAGAGCGAGACTCCATCTTAAAAAAAAAAAAAAGAAAAGAAATACAAAATGGGTCATGAAGCAGTGGAGACAACTCACAACATCAACAAGACATTTGGCCCAAGAACCGCTAATGAACACACAATGCAGTGGTGGTTTAAGAAGTTTTGTGAGAGCCTTGAAGATGAGGAGCATAGTGACCGGCTATCAGAAGTTGACATTGACAAATTGAGATGAATCATCAAAGCTGATCCTCTTAACAACTACAGGAGAAGTTGCTGAAGAACTCAACATCGACCGTTCTACAGTCCTCAGGCATTTGAAGCAAATTGGAGAGGTGAAAAAGCTCGATAAGTCAGTTCCTCATAAGCTGATCGAAAATATATATATATAAAAGTCATTTTGAAGTGTTGTCTTTTCTTATTCTATGTAAGAACAATGAACCATTTCTTGCTCGGAATTTAACGTGCAACAAAAAGTGGATTTTATATAACTGGTGATGACCAGCTCAGTGGTTGGACTGAGAAGAAGCTCCAAAGCACTTCCCAAAGCCAAACTTGCCCTCCCAAAAAAAGGTCATGGTCACTGTTTGGTGGTCTGCTGCCAGTCTGATCCACCACAGCTTTCTGAATCCTAGCAAAACCAGTATATTTGAGAAATATGTTCAGCAAACCAATGAGATGCATTGAAAACTGCAATGTCTGCAGCCAACATTGGTCAACAGAAAGGACCCAATTCTTCTCCATGACAGTGTCTGACTGCCCATCACACAACCAATTCTTTAAAAGTTGAATGAATTGGATTACAAAGTTTTGCCTCATCCACCATATTCGCCTGACCTCTCACTAACTGACTACCACTTCTTCAAGCATCTGGACAACGTTTTGCAGGGAAGATGCTTCCACGATCAGCAGGGGGTAGAAAATGCTTTTCAAGAGTTTGTTGAATTCTGAAGCATGGATTTTTATACTACAAGAATAAACTACTTTTCATTGGCAAAAATGTGTTGATTATAATGGTTCCTATTTTGATTAATAAAGATGTGTATGAGACTAGCTATAATGATTTAAAATTCATAGTTCAAAACCACAGTTACTTTTGCACCAACCTAAATATACTACTAACTTTGAAATGTTCTCCCAGGCATTGATATTTCAGTGCCATTGTATTTTTCAATGAAAGATTACCATCATTACAAAAAGAAAAACTAAAGGTAATTTGAAATAGTAGGACTTTATCAAATATTGTACAAGTGGGATCAATATTGAGAGTTTAGTAATTTGGATATTCATCAAGTGATTTTGTACTGCTTTTGTTCTTATTCATTAGTTCATTTATTTACATATTTAAGTGATATTGTTGTTTAGTGTGTGTGGGGAGGGTGATAGCGTGCATGCACACTTCATTTTAGAGAAATCATTACTAGAGAATAAGACTTGGTTCAAATATTTGGAAAAACTAGACATAAAAGGGAAAAAATGTGGCACATGTATTTCCAACTATTGATATTTTGATTTTTAAAGATTTTTTGAAGTAAGATTATAAAAATAATTGTTAACATAATTCACTCTAAAGAAAAGAAAAAGAAAAAAGAACTAACCTGTGTGATTGGGATGAGACAACATTACATTGATGAAATGATTCCCAGCTTCACAAATCTGCAAAACATTTTAAACACTTTCAGTGTGATACACCTCTGCCTATTTTTTAAAAAAACATATTCTAGAGTTATATAAAATCTGTGTTGTACATTAATCCCAAAGATTCAAAAGATATATATTTTATTCTAATCATAAAGAGAAATTTTTTTTAATTATAACAATGAAAGAAGTTCTTGCTGGCATATATTGAATAAAAAGTCACAACAAGTTGGAAATTCTGAAGATATTTTTCACGCTGTTTGATAATCAAGTTTAAACTGTCTTGTTAATCGGCTTTGTACTTGTTACTATGGGGAGACTTCCAGATCATACAGAGACAACTCTTGCTGAAGACATATTTGGCATAGCTTCGTATTAATCTCAGTTCATTAACAGTAAAAATATTTCTAGTGAAATGGTGATTGTTTGATTTCCAGCTAGTTTCAGCTCAGTTTGGAAAACCTACTGTGAGCAGTGCTGCCACACAAAGAAACCTGCTGCTTCTCTGTCATCATGACCTCTTGATCATATGCACTCTACTAGTTGTCCCTGTTAATAGGCCATTATGTCCCTCCAAGATCAAAGGCTTACCACCATCGCCTGAGACTAATAATGTTCCCAGTTTGCAACATGTGTCCTGTGAGGGTAAGACCTTTCCTTTGTCTGTCATATATACCTCATCTGATTTAACATAAGCTATGTATTTGACATATAAATACTATGTTACTGATAACAGAACATGTTATTCAAAATTGTTATTGTTTGAAGTCATTCAACTTGTAATATATCCCAAAAGTTGAGCACCCATTAAACTCAGTGCCTTTAATGTTATTAATCTCATAAAATATATCGGATTTTGTTCTTTTCAACCATTTCTGTATGCATTTTTCATATATAATAATAGTTCTATGGACTTTAATTTCTGGATGTTTCTCACAATAAATAACTGGTATATATTTCAACACTTTCTAAATTTTAGGAAAAAATAGATTGAAAGAGAAAATTTAAATCCATTTTCATCATCTAGAACTGTTAGGTAAAAATGCTATTTAAAATAATCATCTTCAATAAATTAATTCACCCAGGACATAATGTAAACAAATACACCAAATATATTAAATCTGTATTTAAAGATCCAGAAAACAATACAAATACAAATTTTGTACCAACATAACTACACAAAATAATTATCGAAAAGGCTTTTGGTTTCTTAAGTTATCATTAGAAAGACAAAGTGGAATTTTGAATTTTCAGGTAATACTTTTTAAGTTGAAATTTTTACATGCAAATGTGGATAAGTGTGTGGGCTTTTGTGGCATGAACCTGCATTCACATGCCACATATTTAATTTACTATGTATGAGAGATTTAGTGAATTTCACATTTGGAATTTCATTTCTTCACCTAAATGCAAATATTAACTTCTGTCTCTAGAGAATTCATGACAATTGAGTAAAGTCAAGTACCCTACACAGCCTATTTGCTCAATAAAATTATTGTGATAATTTTAGTTATCAATTTAATCAATAAAAACTTCCACAGATTATCCTACAGTAATCTCACTTCTCTAGACTTCATTCTAACAAATCGTTAGCACTACAAAACCCATAATTACTAAACTAATGGTTTGTTACATTTCTGTTTAGTCTTCGTATCTTTTGTACATCTTTCAACTTAGACAGCTTGTCATATTCGTTTTCCATCACTCACAGTGCCAAACACAAAAATAGAAAATATTATAAAATATTTATTAAAAAGCAAGTTGTTACCAAAATTTGTGAAAAAATAAGTTTTAGAAATTATAATTCTTCTGATGAAACGTATTTGTTTTGAGATTATTAATATTTTCATACTCATTCAAACATCAAAATATTTTCTTCTTCCTGCTTATTTATCACAACAAAACTAAATATTGGAACGTCAATTGTTTAACCAAATAATGAGCCATGAAAAAAATAGCATATAGGTTTAGTTAGAGCCTGGATAGATTTATAATAACACCAAATTTTTCATTAGGTGAAACTGTCCCTAGAAGAAAATATAATTACATACTAAAACAAAAAATATGAGAGAGAAAGGTAGAAAAAAAGTGGTAAAGAAGCCAGCTTTTCCATTTTGCTATCTACTGATGAAATGCTTACATGGTAAGAGTGGGGAGAAAAAACAACTATATCTCTATGCTTAGAGATTCTTAAATATTAATTTGGCAACTTCTTAAGGATTTTAAAGAGCAATAATAACTAGTAATTTCCATTTTAAGCACTGGCTTTTACACCTTCAGGTGAATCCAATACAGTTTGCGATGCTAACTGAATTAGATAAAACTGGTGATATAATTTCCTTTTAGGTAAAGGCTGAGTAAGATCAAGAAGCTCAGTCAGTGCTGTAAAACTCAATGCATTGTTCTATTACTGATTATAATTGCAGAGCCAATTAAATGTGAAACACCGGAATATTTCTCAGCATGACATATATTTCTCCTGGATTGATGTTTATCTAAATATGTCTTCATTTGGCATACAGTAAGTTTAAAAAGAAATTTAATAAACAAAGTTTGGGGCAGATGCTATGAAGAAGTTTGATTTTACATTATTAAAAGTTAAAATTATCTTACATAATAAAACATGAGATGCTACGTATTACCTATGTGTGTCCCTTATGTGACACAGATGTTCAAGATATTCTAGACAATAAACACATAGTAACGTAATAAAAATACTAAGAAAACATTGCCCAGATAAATTTAGAAAGAAATAGTACTTGAACACTACATGTAAGAAGCAGCATCATTTTCCTACATTATTATAGTATAACAAATTAAGAATATTAAATGACTTAATCATTCACAATTAAAAATTTTTAATAATTGTACTTTTAGTCAAAAAGTTTAACCTATCAAATAAAAATGTTTACATTTTCTAAACACACTCACAGAACTATAAGCAACCCAGGGACATTGCCAGAACTGCTTCTGTTGTCAAGAACAAGATGGCCTAGATTTATTTCATAAAAAGTAACCAGGTGCTTTTTGCTCTACAATGTGATTATATTTAACACTAATAAGGTGTACACTAAAATAGTTAAGATGGTAAATAATATGTAATGTTCTTTTTCCCCATAATTAGTAAAAAATCCACTAGGTGCTAGTGTTTTAAGTAATAATGAACTTTAGGATGATGTTTGATAAATAAAAAAAATTTAAATGAACCTTACATTTTTATGCGCAGGCGTGGCTTAAAGCAAATTTAAAAATATTTATTTGTACTTATATCATATAATCTTTATTGAGTAATTTGAATACTTCTTGCTTCAAACTAGTATTCATTTGAATAATAGCAGAATGTTAACGAACGAATAATCCATTCTATTATCTAGAGTTATCGTCATAAGGATAAATACAAAATAAATTGTCAACTAATACGATATTGAAGAATCAGTGTCTACACACAAAAATAATCTTTTGCTTAAATAAATACTTTGGTCAAGAAAGTAAATAAAAACACTTACTTTTTCAGGACCCTCTATACTCTCATTTCTCTGACCTATTAATTTTATTTTTAATCAGTACTTCCAAATATTTAACAATGTTCAGTGTAGGGCAGTATCAAATTAATAACCTACAAAGGACTTTTGTTAATGTATATTATTGTAAGTGATGTATTATGCAGCATACCGTGCTCTACAATTTTTTTAAAAAAATACACCCTGTTAAATCTCACTCTCAGGTTGAAAGACACAATTGAATTATAATATATGGGATTTCAGCAATAAAGTTGCTCATCTTTTACTGTTAAGCATTGTGTCTTGGTCAGTAACCCGCTGTCATTGTGGAATGATACCAATTACCAATGACTAAAGCAAGGGGTCGAGGGAGGACAGCTTGCAATGATCCACTTTTACAATATTTAAATATTGTTAATTTTTTACAGGCCTCATCAAGTTGATCATTCTCTTCCTTAAAGAAATGAAAATGATGTATCAATAGAACAAAACTCACACGTCCTAATATAGAATTGGTAGCCATCAATTAGTCAGGCTCTGTCATTTTGTGTTAGTAAAATCCTTCTGGTTTCCACAATAAAAATAATTAATCCTTATACTGTGATCTCATAATATTTTCATAAGAATGAAAATGATGTTTTATCTTTTAATGTAACTGTTCTCACTTTTATATGCATTGATATTGTTAATATCATTATTAATTTTTGGCAGGTGCTACATATATATATATAAAATATATATATATATATTTTTTGGAGACGGAATCTTGCTCTGATACTCAGGCTGGAGTGCAGTGGCATGATCTTGGCTCACTACAACCTCTGCCTCCCGGGCTCAAGCAATTTTCCTGCCTCAGCCTCCCGAGTAACTGGGATTACAGGTGCATGCCACCACGCCCAGCTAATTTTTGTATTTTTAGTAGAGACGGGGTTTCACCATGTTGGCCAGACTGTTCTCAAACTCCTGACCTCAAGTGAACCACCTGCCTCAGCCTCGCAAAGAGCTGGGATTACAGGTGTGAGCCACAGCGCCCAGCCGGCAGGTGCAATATCTTATAATTTTATCATTGGAGCAATAAGTAATAGTCATTTTATTAATTTAATTGAAATGTAGACATTGCTAAAATGTTCCTAACACTAACGCTTTTCATCTTTTTCCTTTGCCAAACATTTATTCACTGAAAGAAAATAGGTTATGATGCGTCTTTGGCAAAGCATACTTGTATTTTCCTGTTATAGCTAGACATCAAAATATGCCGTAATAGGTACCGACGAAGAAACATGTTGTAATAATATACTCATGGTTTGCTTACAAAGGTGTTTGTTTCTCTAATAAACACTTGCTTTCACGGACAAAAAAAAAGTGTCTGATGAATCTTCAAGAAAGCATGCTTACATATCTTCTAAAACTGGAATTGTAAATCTGTGTAGTATGAACCAATGTACAAAGAACCGTGGTAATAACATATGCTCAGTTTGTTTAGTTTCAGTTATTATTATTTTATCTATAGCAACAATAATAGTAATAATAATAATTATATCTGTTTTATTTATTTTACCTGAATCAATATTTCAAAAATAAGGACAATTGTAGCTAAATATATTATTACAAAGTTTCACTTAGGAAATTTATTAACTATTCTGATCTTGGACAATTTAATTTCTACTTTAATAGATAATGCATATCCACATAGAATTAAGTGCTTTTGACAATATAAGCCAGTATCACAATGCTTCAGCATTCATAAACATTTTATCTTATTATAATTTATATTACTGTGTTCATAAAATTATAAACCTTTTTTCAATTTGTACTTTCTGCACTTTTATTATGAAGCTCCTTCATACACATTTCTATCTTTTATACAGACATAAAGATAACATGTATTGTGCTTTAAAAGAAATACATTTAGTGTAAATTTTGGGTTTAACCAAAAATACATGTACTAACCAATATATTTTCAGTTTTCAAAATAAATAATGGTAAGACTCTAAATAAAAGTTCAGATATTGCATTTATATTATTACATAATGTGAAATATGTATTAATATTTTAATATATTTTATGAACTTATTTTTTGCATGAAACAATTATTTTATTGCAAAAATTTTGATATAGGAGATGTTATTATCAATCAATAAAAATAATTCAAATCATTTGATTTTGGAATTTGCTTAAGGCTTAAAATTATTTCATCTCTACTATGATGGTCCATTTCATTATCACAACCTTGGAAATATCAGAATTATTTTTTAATTTATAGAGCTCTCATGCAATATTGTATAACATAAAAATATGAAAATATAGCATAAAAATAGCACCATAAAGTGAATATCTTCAGAAAGAAAGTTAGTTTACATACACTAACTCTGAAGTAAATGATGTTTGAAAACATTCATGATTTTTTCACAGGAGTTCTTTTTACATTAGATTCGATATCACATATTCTAACAAGTGAAATCTCTATAGTTTTATAATCACTGCTGATTTTGATTTAAATCATTACTCTTATATTTCTGCAGTTTGGAGTAAGTTAGTCGTAGCTCAAAATAGACAATTATTATAAATTATAATGAAATGAGTGAAGCACAATATTGCCATTAATTTTATATCTTTAATTAGTCAACTAGTTTGCAAAATAAATTTTTAATAAGTAGTGATCCCCAAAAATTTAAGTATAAAAATTGATTCCTGTGTATGTTATTCTTTATATCAGATGCTTCAGGAAATTTGAGATGAGAGCAAAATGGCAAATGATGAAAACACACAGAGTACTAGACTTTGTTTTCAGTCAATAAGTATAAATCCTTTTATTGGTACCTATCAATGGTAGGTAAGTGATCAGAAAATTTGTCATAACCAAATCTCAGTAGACTGCTGAAAATGAAAGCACTGAACTTTGGCACCCTTTTTTCTTTCATGCATCTTATCCATAAATGCCAAATTTCATAAGCAGTTTCTTGGCCTTTCTGTGGTTTATATAGTAGGGACTTGCTCTCCTGTTTTAAAAGCTATGATACATTGTTCCCAGCGCCCTCTTCACTAATCAATGACCACTTCTGTACCCGAGGTTCTTTTCAGCTAAATATTACAAAAAGAGGTATACCTACTTGATAAAAGCATATTTTTTTTTCTTCTCCAAGACCATTTGCATTTTAGGAATAATTTTAAAACACCTAAGTGACTGAATAACTAATGACAACACTGAAGACACAGAGGCAAAACTAGGGAAAATAGTTATTTTAATTACTTTGTAAGCCATATCTTATATGCTATTATCAATTTCTTCCACTTCCTTCATTTTTGAAGACATTAAGAAAGGCTAGAAAAAGAGTTCCTTTTTGGTAAAATCCTCATTCTGCAAAGAATTGGCAAACTTTAATTGCTTCTGGAGAGTAAAAATAAAGTTAAGGGTACAAAAAGATAAAGAAAATAGGAAGGTTCTTTAGGTAAAGTATATTTTGTTTCACAATTGTGATTTTGGTATTTTTATTTGTTGGCTTTTGGGTGGAATTGGATTCAGAGGATGAGGTGGGGTCATGGAAATATAAAGAGACTAAATTATAAAATTTATTCACAATATTTACATCAGACAATAAGATTGCATCTAAAATTTGTGTGGAAAGTTATTCTGATGTCTTCATAAATTTGCCTGTATTTGATTCTCCTTAATTTTTCCTGTAGATTTGTGATACCCGAACATATCTGAGGATCAAATTGTGTTGAAAGTTAGAAAGAATTTAAACCAAGGGAGAGGTGATAGACTATTTCTTTGGATATAATAGAGATAGAAAAAACCTCACCAAAATGGAAGAATTTTCCACCAAATAGGAACCTGATTTTACAACATATTATGTATACATTGTAAATTATTTTGTTTTCCTTACAATTTATTTTGCTTAATATGTTAGAAAACTCAGAATAGTAGTAGAAAAAACAAGAGGGAGATGAAAATAAATTAATAACCATTAACAGTCTACAAAATAGATTAATCTGACATGGGTAATCGAGAATTAACTACAACTCTATTCAACATGGTTCTTCTATTATCTTCTTACTAGGTGATAATCTGATTTTACATAACGACAGGAACAAAATCAATTTAAATGAATAATACTTTCTTCATCTTATATTAAAAGAGTACATAGGTCAAAAATAAGAATAAGTTTTGTTAATATAACGTTTTATCAGCAAAAAAATAGCATTTACAATTAAGATAAGTCTTTTCTGGTTGAATTGCATATTATATAAGATCGATCCATTAATTTCTCCTTTGTTTCTTCTGTACAATATGGATTGTACTATCTACTGTTAGTTTATGTTACAATAAACAGTACATAGTAGAATATAATTTCAAATGCATTGGACTTGACATATGCTGACTATTCTTTCCAAATCATTTGCACATATAGTACTTATAATAACTTTCAAACATACATACATATATATTCAGTTATTATAAATTGAAGAATAGACTTTAAATTGCAGAATATTATGCTTTCAATGAATAGCAGACCTCTTTATGTTTATATGCAAACTCAATCAACTGGTTATTGTTATTATGTCTTATATTGGATTCAGTTTCCTAACACTAATATCTTACTATCATATATTATTTGTGAAAGTTAAATATGTCTTAACAGTAAACACTACTAAGAAATTTCAGGACTAACAGGTCTTCTTTATTTCTTATGACAATTTATGTGTGTAAAAGAGTCACAGTGGTCATTCTATCTTATTTCTAAATTTGGTTTTCTATGGAATATAACTACATTCAATTTTTTTACTTTTAAGAAAGGTTTTCACCTATGCTTAATATTATGCTATGTATAATTAAAAGCACAGGTTTTAATTATATTACTTTCAATATTTAAAAAATATTTAAATCTAAAGATTATATAAATTTAAAGTTTATCAAATTGTTAAATGTGTGATTGAAACAGACAATGCTTGCTATGTGCTTAAATGTGCAATTAAAGTTATCACATTTACCTACTTCATCTCTATTGGACATAGTCTATTACACCATCTATCAGTGTTTGTCTAATTTAGCATCTTTGGGTTTATTAATTTTTGCCTGGGGCTGTATGAAATATACTTGATTAACAAAGTGATATGTGAAGACGAAAAACCAGTAGCTTTATAAGAAAGCAGAATTTTTAAGTCTCTGGGGAAAAAAAGTATAATTGCAAGCTATTAGAATTTTGCTTATGTCTAATTATGCCTCTTAACATTTTATGAAAAATATTATAACATATTTATAGTAACATAACTTTTTTAAATAAAAGAAATGACTTATTAAAAGTTTTATTTTATAGTATTATCATACACATTTGAAAAGAAGGAATAAATACATACATAGCCATATTATATTTGAGAAAAGGGAAGAAATTAATAATATTACATGAAAAGGGAGTTGTCTTAATTACACAGAAAAAAATTATAACCCACAATTTTTTTGAAAAAGTGGACAACATCATAAGGAGGAGAAAAAGTAGACTAATAATCAGATATTAATCTAAAACATACTGAAATTACTAACAAATAGGTGGTTATTATTTTGTTTATCCATGAATTTATTCTTCTCTTCCCTCAGATTTACTGAGTAGTTAATATCAGAACATTAGTCTTAATACAACAGGGGTTGTAGTACGCTGTATACAACATTAAATAACGCTGTTACAACACGTGAATCACAGAATTCCTCTCCTTGAACAGTATGCACAATTGGAAAATTACAAGGCTGTGATATATTTTCAACATATTGTTGAAGAAATTCCAAATACATAAATAATCTGTGCTATCTATTCAAACAAGTAATGAGTTCTTGCTAGGCCAAACTATATGCTGAAAAGACAAAAAAAAAGATCTCTCCTTTTCAAAGCCAACACAGTGGAGGACGTTCTTACCTAAACTCTTAACTAAAGATATGTAGAGAGAGAGGAAGCAAGAGAGGGTCATGTGAGAGCTCCTTACAAAGTGTGGCAGGTGATTTATGACCTGTATTAAAATGGTTAGAAATAAGTTGTTGAACACAAACTTTGCAAGAAATATGAACTTGTAGATGAATCATAGGAGTTAACTAATTTATCAATGACAGGGATGAAAGGAGAACATGAACACAGATGAAAGCAAGGAGTTAAAGAGCTTATAAGCACTTAAAAAAAGTGTCAAATGAAATAATTAATGCATTTTAGAAATAATCAAGAGTCTTGTGTACCCAGATTGATTTCCACACAATTTTATCTACATATATGTTTATTTACATATAACAATCTAAAGAAATTGAATGAGAACAGTTTAGAAAGAGCCAGGTTTCATTAAAAAGGCTAACTCTGAGTTCATCTTGAATTAGTTAAATTAACAATTATGCCAAAGTGTTTTTGGGGTGTTTGTCTGTAAGATTTGCAAAAAATTTTTGCTCTTTATAGGTTGGTAAATGTGCACACAGTAGCATCAGTGAGTATAAATTTTTCAAATATTTATTGTATTTCAAATAATTCTAATCAACCTTTAGAGATGACTACAACATTTTGATTATAAAATTTAGAGAGCTAAAGACTTGATTATAGAAAGTTATATGATTTACTTCATTTTATATCATTATGTATATTATATAAATATATATCATATTTTCTACATGACAAATCTTCAGATACAGTCTGTTTTTCTTAATAATACCAAAATTAGAGCGTGAATAGCAAAATATATATATGATACATACCAGAAAATTGATAGCAGATACTGTGATTTGCCTGTTTCCAAATGCTGGAGAGTAGAAAAAGAATATGTCATGCAGATACTCATAGTTTGGATTGTCAAATATATAGACATAATTCAGGCAGTATTTATTGGGTATAAATTCTATAATCAATAGAACTGTCTAGTATGTAATTCACCTTTTGGGATGATACTTTTGCAATCTAAAGTGTTGACTTTTTTTTCACATGTACTTTTGTTATTAACATAATGATATTTAAATTACAAATGGAATATATTATTAATTTGTATTATTAAACTCCTTGAAGGCAGATTTAGAATTTGTCCCATTTTAAAAGCACACTTAAGTATGGCCAAGCATATAATGGCACCACAAAATAACTCTCATTTTTAATGTTTAACAATAAAAAGGAAAATGCTGATTATAGTCATTTGTTTTCTACATTGATGTTTTGTCACAGGTAGAATTATAAGTATTTTATATTTTTATTATAACAAATATATGATGTATTACTTGCCTGACCTTAAAATAAAAAAAAATATAGGTTAAGTTCCAAAGGGCAGATAAAGAGTAATGTAGAAAACACCATTTAAAGCAATGTTCTAAAGGCAGGGTTGCTCACTGTGGAAAAGTTGGAATATTCAATAATAATAAAAATAGAATTATTTGATAAACCTATCATCATATTTATTAACAGTTGCATTCCTATCTTCTCATTTTATGTATGTGAGCATGTAAATTGTATTTATATAAACACATTTGCATCTACACATAAAAATATTATCCCTTATTTTAAAATGTGCGTTTTTCACCTAACAATATATTTAAAGATTTCTCAATAGTATTAAACACTCATTGTCATAACGGTAATTGAATCTTCATAATAATGCAAGACATGGCTAGCTCTTAAAACATTAATCATAGAATGGCTGAAAAGGTCACTTTAATTTTATGTGTGATAAATAATACTGCTTTGAACATCTTTACGTATAAATCTTTTACTAAATTTTGTTTTCTTGAGCTAGAAATTTAAAAGCATATTTTAGTTAAAGGTTACATAAATATTTTGCATAGATATATATTCATAGAATATATATATACAAACCATATGTACATGAATTGGAAGTCTTGTTTTTATGAAGTTTATATATCTAATAGTAAAATAAAAAATATTAGCAGAGAACATTTAGGAAATAGAGAAAAGTAGTAAGGGAAAAGAAAATGGACTAAAATCTCATCAACCTTAGAAAACCAGTGAATATTATTATTTTCCCCTTTGACATATTCATATATGTTGTACATTTTTATAATATTTGATATAACAATTTTGTAACTTACTTTTCTCTTAATGTTGTACCAATTTTGCCATATAATTAAACATTCTGCTTTTGCCAAATCACAGTTGGTTGCTATGCATCTGTATCAGCCATAATTCTTTTATTTATACCTACTATTCAATGTAACTTTACTCATTCAACTATAGTTATCAAGAATTCGCATGACAGGCACTGAACTTTGCGCTTGTGAGAAAGTACACACAAAGCCAAAGTCAATCTTAATTGAACTTATAGTCTGACCCAGAAAAGTACTAATCACATGATAACAAACGGAAGTTTGTTAAAATTGATAAGTGCTACTATACAGATCTATGTAGTATTTAATAAAATAACTGAAAAGGATATCTTGTAATCTGGGAGGATCAGGGAGGATTCTTCTGAGTACACAATTAAGCTTTGATTTATAAAAATGAATGCACATTAGTATAGAGAAGAGAGGGTTCAAAGCACATTAGGCAGAGTACAGTAAACATATGCCTTATTCTTATTTTTAAATGAAAATGAATAATGATGTGATAAAAACAAGTATCGAGTGAAGAGTCTAATATTTTTCATATTTATTTCCAAAAAAACAAAGTTATAGGTAGTGCGAAGAGAAAAAACTTTCTATTTACATTAGTCATTATAACACTTATTAAAATGTTTAATAATATTTTATAATCTGTATAATGTTTCACATTTAGATAGGTAAAAATAACCTAATAGGCCATTATTCTTTGATTATGTTGATAGTAGACATTTATATATTAAGATTTTTGAACATATACATTCTGATTTGGGTATATTAAAATGTTCCTGCCATTGGGCAGTTTTACAATTTTGATAATCTATTTCATTTAGTTGTATTTAACTATTATTCAAGAAGTATGGAAAATAAACTCTAGTAGAATATGTGATGGAAATATGTATACAACATGCTGTTTTTCAATTAAGTTAGCTTTTGTGTATTAATATACAGATGCTATTAACTTTATGCAGCCAAATTTGATGAGAATAGATTGTGGTGAAAATTGTGATAAAAGTCAAACACTGTTACCACAGAGAATTCTGAAAGGAGTGGGAAAAAGACCAGTTAGCATAGAGAGCAAAGAAGAGCAGTGTCAACTATGACGAAAAAACAACAACAGAAAACCAGAGAAAATAATAATCATGGCAGTAATGCAAGAAAAAAATCCTGAATTAAAGACTTAATTATGTATGTTGAAGGAGCATACCTTATATAAAGTGAAAGTACAGAATATGTGATTAAAGATTAAACAGGTAAAGTCCAAAAGTCCAGTAACTTTTTTTTCTAATTTTGAGGGTAAAATGAGGGAAACTATGTTGTAAGCATGCATAATTTAATGAAAATTTTCAAGAGGAACAATATAAAAATTGGATCAATTGTCTGTTTTGTAATCTTAAGCAGATGGGTTTAATGTGGCAAAGTAAGATATATTAAAACAAAAATTAAAAGAATTACTGATTTGTTTAATTGAAGTGTTTCATTTCATCTTCCTTAAATATGATTATTTATTAAGATTATACCTGCTTTGCTGAAAACAGCTTTAATATATACTATTTCCTTTTTTGTTACCTTGTCATAGTTGCTCTTTAATTATTATTATATCTTTTACTGTTAAAATAATTTAGGAAGTGTTTTTAAATATCACCTCATTTTGTTTTTAAGAATTTTTTTGTGCTTATATTGTATTTTTAAGGTTTATTTTATCTCACCTAAAGATAATGTAGTTTGTGCTATTTGTGCTTTGTGAGTACAGAATTGAATATTTATGATGCAATATATAAGCAATTTCTAAAATTAAAATAAATCTATTAATTATAATCAAAGTTTTGAAATGGGAAAATATTCTATTAAAGACTTAGAAAGTGATAAGAAATGAAAGGGAAGTTTTTTTGCAGCATAAATATAGAAAATAGTGAAATTTTACAGAAAAAAAACAATAAATGGCATAAGCATGGAACAAATTAGAGAGAGTCTCTGGGTCCTGTTATTTGTCAACAATGTGTGTTAGGTATCCTAAGCCCATATAACTAATAGTTTAAGAAATAGGAGTCTCTACTACCTGGATCAAAACTCAAGATAAAGATGATATGCTCATTTTTGTGAAGGGGATCTCCATGATGATGTCTATACAGAATTTATGTAACTGACTGGCTGTGGATTGGCTAACCTCTTGCACAGTTTACTGTTATCTGTATCTATGCTATAGATTATTTTCCAGTTATTTGCTGAGTAAATTTGGAAAATCTGCCTACATTTTCTAAAGTTTAGATATTCATCTGTAAAGTGGGAATACAAACAGTATAATTTTCATGAGGATTCAATGAGATAAAATGTGCCAACCATTTAGCATTTACCTAATAGGAAGCCTTAATAAAAGTTAATTTATGCTTTCTCTATTAAAGGAAAAAGCAGCTTATTCTATCATATACTGTTGTAGAAGTCACATTATTATTTAGCATGATTTAACTAAAGCATAATAGCTGTATCTCATGTATATTACAACCATGTTAAGTGTGGACTTCCTAGACAAGATATTCATTTTCCACTTGTCATAAGTATTAAAATGCTATAATATGTTTTCACAGAATTTGAGTCCTAATTGTATCTTATGCATTTAAAGATCTTGAGCATAGTGAAATTATCTTTTCATGGCATCATTTTTCTAGCCTTCAATGGGGAATATTAAAGCCACAAAATAATGTTTTTAATTAAAAATAAATAGCATATTTACAGTTATTAACAAATAGTCAGTTTTCAATAAATGTTTTACATATATTAACAAAATTAACTACTATTATTATTTTGTAACCAATATGGCAATGAAGCATTTTTCAGAAGTGTATCTTATTAACATAGTCTGGAGCAATACTTCTATGTGCTAACGTTGTAAAGGTAATAAGTACATCTTATAAAATATTTGAAAAATCAGAAGATATAGGAAATTTTCACTTTCAATATTCATAGTTAATTGTTAGTATTAAGACCAGCTGAAGTTTTAATCATTAAAATCAATGACTCTTCACTTCCCAGACTGAACTTGTTGGTTTTGGCAAAGACCCTGAACATTGTAATTCTCTATATTACAACTTCAGCCAAGAAATAAAGGAAGTTTAAGTTATTTTCTAAAATTTAAAAATAAAGTTTGAATATACCATTTATTTTAAACTTTGTAAACACCAGAAATAGCCCACAAAAATAATTGTCAAATAAATGAGAAATCATTTAATTGTTGAGCTTTACATTGTGTGCCTTATGTGCTACAGTAAGAGCTGAAGAGAGAAAAGTCCACATTGAAGGAAGAAATGAAATTCCTTGATCAGGGCAAACTTTTTCCTTGAAGATTAAGAACCAAGGAATTAGGTTTCATCCAGTGTACATTCAACCAAATGTTTCATCTGAGTCAAGAGCCATGATATTTTAGTAAATCAAATCATAAATAGAAACTGATAAGTCACAGAAAAATTGGCCCTATTTTTTGTTGAATTATATTTAAAAGAATAATTAAATGTTTATCATTTACTTGTAAAATATCTGATAGCTGATTAGTATATGATTGTATAATTATACAATAATTTTATCTTTAATTGTTGTTTTTTCATTTTATTAGCTGTTTTTTTGGAGGTTTACAACCTACTAATATTTTTGGTGGTTCGTGTAGAAACAAAATAAATAAAAATATATGAGTCAAATTGGTCTTGTAGGCCTACATAAACATTTAAAGAAATATGATATGAAAGCAATTTAAAATGAATTGTTTCATTTTTTACTTATTCCTTTATGTATGTCATTTAGAATAGAGTTTTTAGGTTGGTCCTTTAGTATACGGTTAGTTAAGAAGAAACCCTACATACATGGTGGTGTATATAGTGGATGATTAATGTAGTAGGCAATCCAAGAAGTAAATCCCCAGTAAAAGGCACAACTCTGCAAACAAAACAAAACAAAATAAAAGTTAGGAAAAATATGTAATATATATTTCAATTGTGACATACATTTATATTACATGCATGTCACAATTTGAAACCACCACATACATTTATATTAGACACTGCAGCATTTATATGTAAAATGGTACAAATTGTCTAAGCTAAATAAACAGAATATTACTTTGCCCAATGTAATAGTGAGAGAGGAACCAGGTAGGGGCTGGTTAGGCAGGCAGAGAGGGAGGGTCTCAGAAGAGGGCCAACACCTGTGGGACTGTGCCTGCACTGCCCCTGTTATGGAGTTAGCAGGACAAAATATGGTTAAGAATTTCTTGTTATACCAAGATGTTTGCTCAAAAGGGACTTTCCAGCCACCTGCAGAGGCACAGACAAGGACTGAGGATGTCCTAAAACAATCCTGACCACATTATAATGCTATTAGCATTGTGCTTTAACCCTCCCTGCTCCATGGGTTTCACTTAGGCACTCATGAGTAATAACCAAGATGGAGTAGCTATAGCCAAACCCAGGCATGCACAGATGCAACACCCCCAGGGGGAATTTTACCACTCCCCTTAGGGTAGAACCCACAAAAGACTTCCTTGTCTTTGCCACATAAAAGACTGAGGACTCAGACCCATTTCTTACAACCCTCTTCATGTCCCTTGTTGCTGCTGAGAGCATTTCTATTGCTTAATAAATGCTACTCTGCCTTACACACTCTCCAGTGTCCATGTTCCTTATTCTTCTTGGTCGTGGGACAATAACTCAGACCTCACTAAACTAAGGAATAAGGAGACTGCAACATTTTGGGGGATTGCTCAGGATCATGGGAAGGGTGAGTAAGGGCAGACTTCTTTTACTTTCATTTCCAAGAGCTCTTGCCTCTCTTTATTATATGAAACCAAACAAAACACTGGGCCTCTGTCAGTCAGTTAAGAGTGAATAGCATGGCTGTTGCTCCTACAAGACTCAAAAGACAAGCTTACCAATGAGGACTTTGTCAAAACCTCTTCATCCGTGGGTGTTGGGAATGTTTATTCTGTTCCAAAACAGTTTCCCTTCATGGAGCTCTAGCCGTTGTGTGGGACTTAGAAGGATATCCTGGGGCAACTGAAGGTATCTGGCTGAGGCTAGATCTTGGTGTTACGCAAAGGCCTTTGGACTGGCTCCAGTCCCTGACACCCCATTAGGGTGTTGGATAAAGATTTCCAGTATTTTATATCACATTTTCTTTCTTTTGAGACTATCATCGTTGCTCTCCCTTCTTTATATTCAATGTTATGTATGTTTTTGCAACCAGGAGAGATAATATTATTGGGAAAATTGAGTAGCTTGCTTACTCATCAGAAGTGTAACCCAGAACAATGTTGCTTTTACCTGTTCTTAGAACAAGGGATATATAAAGATTTAGAGAGTTTCCTTTCTCCAGTCAAGGAGACCCACTGGCACTGTAAAGGAGGCTATTTCTCCCTGGGTGACTATTCTCCTCTCCATCTAGGCTGCTTCTTATTTCCATGAGAGAAGTCAGCACTGCTCAGCAAGCATTGAAGTGTGCACTATGTGAGAAATCAATTTTCTTCTCCTAGGAGGCTTATTTTGAGGGATGCTCACCAAGCCCCAAACTCCTCTCTTTCAAACCTCTGTCTGAAAAGAATTTGGACACAAAGTTACAGGCTAACATTCCAAACTTTGCCAAGGTGCCTGACAAGGCAAAGATTTGTTTCTGTGGAGAGCTCTATAGGTCCTATGTCTGGGGGAGCCCTAATTCCCTGGTTACTAGCACACAGAATTAGCCAAGCCAACCCCTATATTTTCAAAGACACCTATTCTTCCTCCAAGTTTAACAACCCCTGGGCAGGAAGAAGGGGCTAGTTTTGGAGGTCAGTCACTTTCATTTCCTTGAATGCTATGATCTGGCTCTGTCCATTACCTATCAGTGAAGGGATGCTTTTTAAAGATTTAAGGACACCCCCCCTTCATTAATGTTTCTTGCCCCAGTTCAATTACTTCAAGGTATTTTCCAAGTTTCAAGTGGGAAGCTTTGGGTATGAAGCTCAAAAGAAGAAATAGATCTGTGGGACCCCAAAGGTGGTCAACACTGGAGAGCTGGGGTGCAGCATAGGTAAGTGTGACTATTCCTACCTTCCAGCCCTCCTGGTCTGTTGTTGGAGGTCACACTTGCATCCACAGGTGACACCTATAAAGGTTGCTGGGACCCAGAGGATACAAGGACGAGGAGAGGAGAAAGGAGATGCTTTTTCTCTCTCTCTCCCCATCCAAGTTCACCCTAAAAGTGGAAGACAGACTAAGGGATGCCTTTTCTCCCCTCTCTTTCCATATGTGTAACAATCCATCTTCAGCCTGCACTCCCCTTAAGAACAACCTGGATCACTGGGACTCCTTTTACCCTCAGACCCTAATGTTCACTCTGGGCAAGCCCCAACATCACTCATTTATAGAGGCCTTCCAGAATTTAACCCATGTATATAAAGTGTTCTAAAAGGATGATATGTTACTCTTAAATCAAACTCTGACCACTGCTGAGAAACAAGCAGCATTGCAAGCAGTAAAGAAATTTGGATATGAGCTTCATATCTCACATAATACCAGAGACAAGGGAAGGCCTTATCCAGTTGGAAAGACAGCAGTACCGTTGAATGACCTAAATAGGCTTCTAATGATAATATGGGAAGATGGAGGAGAAAACACTTTCAAATGTGCATACTGGAGGACTTACGAAGTACTAGAATTAGGACCACATGAGAATCCCTCTGCCTTTCTGGAACAACACCCTCTCACAGCCTGAAAAAGCCAGAGCAGTTATCTCCCCGTTCCACCTAATGGCAGTTAGGGTTAACACTCCAGAGTGGGGAATGAGAGAGGAGGTAGGTAGGGGCTGATTAGGCAGATAGAGATAGAAGGTCTTGCAAGAGGGACAATGCCTACAAGAACACACCTGAACCACCCATTATGTAGCTGGCAGAAGGAAATGTGGTTAAGAATTTCCTCTTATACCAAGATGCTTACTCAGAAGAAACTCTCCAGCCACCTGCGCAGGTACAGACAAGAACTGAGATGCATACTAAATTGATCCTGATCCTGAACTCATAGTGCCATTAGCATTGTGGCTTCAGCTTCCCCCCTCCACAGGCTTTCGTTAGGCACTCATAAGTA
Source organism: Homo sapiens (assembly GCF_000001405.40). NCBI lineage: Eukaryota > Metazoa > Chordata > Mammalia > Primates > Hominidae > Homo > Homo sapiens. The sequence goes on from NC_000004.12 coordinate 64,308,418, forward strand.
ATAGCCAAGATGAAGTATCTATGGCCAACCGCAGGCATGTGCCGATGCAACAACCCCAGGGGGATCTCTACCCCTCCCCTTAGGGTGTAAGCCACAGAAGGCTTCCTTGTCTTTCCCACATAAAAGGCCCAGAATTTATCCGAATTTATCCCCATTTCTGGCAATCTTCTTCAGGTACCCTCTAGCTGCTGAGAGCTTTTATGTTGTTTAATAAATCCTACTCTGCCCTAATCACTGTCTAGTGGCCATGTGTCTTAATTCTTCTTGGTTGTGAGACGAGAACTCAGACCTCACTAAACTAAGGCATAAGGAGATGGTAACAGAAGCATTTTACAAATACTATTTTGATATCACTAAGAAAATGCATTTCTTTGCTCCACTTGTACTAATATTAATGGATATTTGTGATATATGTCAAGTTAACAGAATATTTTAGAAAAATTTGGTGAGAATTATTTTGTAAGTAGTAAATATAAATGAATTACTAAAAATAAAACATAAATTATCAATTGCATAAGATACACTAATATTTTTCTAACAATTAGTGAATTTAAAAAATAAATTATTTGATAATTGGTAGTAACACATGTTGATTGACTGGAATGGAAATGGCTCGGATTTAGGAGTTGTAGTCTATAATGGTGATCTTGAACTGATTTGATTGATTGTAATATCTTCTATTAAAAAAGCAGTCCTAAATAACTTCTGAGGTCTCAGAATTTCAGTTTACTGCTTTACTGCAATGACAACAATAGAATGGCTGTTCTGTTGCGATATTACAAAGCAGATATTTGACAAAAAACAGGACACTTTTTTTACAGACAAACCTTTTTCTGAAAATAGACTTTAAATTGAAAAACAAAATTTAGCTTAAATTGAAAATTGAGTTTCAACATGTTGTCTAATGTACTTTCCCATGTCAATATTTTACATATTTTTTCATGTTTTGGTAGTTATTTGATAGTTCATAACTGTTGCTTTCACAATTTCTAGAAGAGCAAACACACTAGCATCATATTGACAACTGCCATAATAATGGAATATAGTATCACCATTTTAATCCCACACAGATGTATATTTGTAGGAACGTTCTTATATCATATTCTGCTCTTCAAGTGGCACTCAAATAATCTGAATTCAGTGCTTAGTATTACCAAAATTAAAAGATTCCTAGGAGTATCTAGCTTGTCTTGTAATATGAGGTAATGACAAATCTTTCTACAGGGTTAAGTTCAAATTAAATATATCACGCAAAAAGAATGACATTTTAGGAAAAGAATGTTTAAGTATGCTTATGCAATTAAACGTGAAAATCTAAGTTTCGGAAGGAAACAATGATTAAATATTTTGCAAAGGATCCAACATATAAAATGTCTCAATCATTATTAAAAACACAAAGCATCCTCACCATTATCAAATTTTTCAAAGGTGTGTGTCCTGCAGAAACTTTGTGAACAAATAAGGTTTCCAAAAGGTATCGGATGTAGTGTATACAATGACAGAAGCAAGCCAAGCTGGAAAAAAAAATAAAACATAAACATGAAAATCCTTTTGAAGTTCTGGCTTGCCTCATGCATGATACATTTTAATTTTTTTAGTTTAATATGCTAGCTATTGGGAAACATTGTTTCTGGTAGCTAAAACACAAATACTTGCTTTAATATTTTATTTTCACAATTTTCTAAATTTAGTAATAAAAGTAGCTGTTATAAGAGTCTCTATAAATTTACTTCTGATGACATTAGAAATATTTTATAATACCAGTCATAAACTGTTATGCTCACACCTGTCCCAGGAGTGGGTATAAATATAATAATTGCAAATATGTTCATATCGAAATACTTCGACTGAAACAGACAATTTACAAGTTTTAAAAATATCCAAAGCCTAGTTGGAATGTATTTGACATTTTATAATAGTCAGAATAACTTTTTAATTGTCTGGTTGTCCTTTAGCAAGTACTAAGATTGAGAAAATTTAAATTGCATTTTCTGTGCAGTAATAATGTAGTTTTGTGCTTTGTTTTTGTTTTGTTTGTTTTTTCCTATCTAATTTTGTCCCTTTGTGTGTTTGTTTGTGTTGCTGTACTCTAAGTTACCACCTCTTCTTATCATTTTTATATAATTACTATCTTAAAAGTAAACAAAAATGTGATTGATTTACAGCAGTATATTTTTCTGGATATACTATAAACAATGTATTTTTCATGAAGATTTGTACCTATTTTGTTACATATAAAAATGTGAAATCTCAAAAACTTTGGTTGCTATTAAAAAATTCAATACGGATCAAAGATGACCTACTTTTTGTGCGTTGTTTTTGTTTTTAGAGACAGGATCTTGCTGTGTTGTCCAGGCTGCAGTGCAGTGGCATGATCTCTCAGTCTTAAACTCTCAGGCTCCAGCAATCCTCCCACCTCAGCTTCCTGAGTAACTAGACTACAGGACCACACCGCCATGCCCGGCTAATTTTTTTGTATTTTTTGTAGAAATGGGTTAAACCTTGTTGCCCAGGCTAGTCTCAAACTCCTGGGCTCACATAATCAACTTGCCTGGGGTTCCCCAACTGCTAGGATTACAGGCATGAGACACCACATCCGACTGATGACATACTTTAACCAGTAAAGGTTGAGCATAAAAATCAGCATATCATTTACTCTATATAATAATAAAATTAGACATTGAGTTTATTTATACGTTTGGGAGTTGATTTTAGTGGAAATGATTTCTGGTACGAGTAGGGTGACTTTAGGAAAAACAAATAATTAAATAAACACTAACCTGGTTAAGTCAGCAGCAAATTTATCATTATTCATTAATTCGTAAAAACAAAACTGTGAACCTATTATGTAACATAAATGTATTATGTGGTGCAGATACCTATAAGTATAATGGCAGACAAATTCTGAAAAAGGTGAGAGAGCAAGCATCATGAATGTCTGGGGGAAGAGCTCTCTAGAAAGTCAGACAAACAAAAGCAGAAGTCCAGATACAAGAAGCTGCCTTGTGAGCACACAGGGTAGTTAAGGAAATTGGTATCTCTCCTCATTTTATTGTTCTTTTGTAGATGTAGTTACAAAAACCCTTGAGTAATAAAATTTTTTTGTTTTATAAAAAAGCAGCAATGTAGCAGAGCCCTAAGTGAGAAATTTTGGTTCAAGCTATGATTTCTCTATATTAGTACATTCATTTATTTTATATTATACCATGAGAGCATAGAAACCTCCATAGAATGTACAGCTAGAGACTTAGTTTATATATATGCCATCATGCACATCACTGCTAACTCATCAAGTCTGATTTTATTTCAAAATATTATTATTCTATTTAATGATGTTTAACTTCCAAACACTGATTAGTTTTTGTGGATTGCTAAATTAACTGTAAAACCATAAATAGGTGTGAATCCAATTCTTTTTCCCAACCAAAGTATTGATAAAATCTTATTTATTTTAAATCAAGTAAGGTTCAGGATATGAGGGCACAGCACAGAAAAGCACAGCTTCAACTTTACAAATAGCAAGGGAGGCATGGCGCTACACCAGGTTTCTGGTTTCTGTTGAAGAAGATAAGGAAATGTTCAGGTAACAGGTTCATAAGATACTTGACGCAGATACAGTTCCTATGGGAGATGTACCTTTAGTCCCCGTGTGCGGAGGTTTCTAAGTGATCTGAAGAACTTTGTGGTGGTTCGGTCACATATAGAAATCTGCCTTCTACATGAACTTAGCAGAAATTTCTTTTGACATTATAATATGATTCAAAGCAATTTTGGAGACAACATTTTAATGTGTTTCAATTGGATGTGGAATTTAAGAATTCATCTTAAAACAACATCATCCTGAAAATTAGGTGACAGAAGCCCTGTGATTATTTTCTAAATCTAGATACCTAAATCTAGGTACCTAAAACTAGATACCTAAATTTCAAAAGTAGTTTGTGTATCTGCTGTGGAATTACTTTATATAAACTTTACATATTTGTTATTTGGGAATAATGTGGCACAAATACATTCATCACTGAGATACTACCAAACATGCTGTATTTCTGTTTAAGAATAGTAAGGCTGGTGCAGTGGTGCATGCCTATAATCCAGGCACTTTGCGAGACTGAGGCAGGAGGATCCCTTGAGCCCAGGAGTTCAAGAACAGCCTGGGCAACATAATGAGACTTCATCTCTAAAATTTTTTTTTAAGCATTAGCTGGTTGTGATGGTGTGTACACCTATAGTCTCAGCTACTTAGGGGGCTGAGGTGGTAAAATGGCTTGAGCCCTGAAGAGTGAGGCTGCAGTGAGCCATAATTTGAGCCACCGCACTCTAGCCTGGGCTACAGAGCAAGACCCTCTCTCAAAAAAAAAAAAAATGTAAATATGAGTCAATTCCTTTGAGAATGACACTAAAGAAAACTTTTTTCATGCTCTGCTACGTATCTGGTATATGTTACATATTTAGCCTAAAAAAAGAACGCTTTTAGGTTCTCCTTCCAATCTCTTTATCCCAGCCGCTTTTAAAAATAATTGGTCATTCCTTTCACTTACGAAAATGTGAAGAAGTACCTTCCGCCATAATTGTAAGTTTCTTGAGGCCTCCCCAGCCTTGCGGAACTGTGAGTCAATTAAATCTTTTTTTCTTTATAAATTACTCAGTCTTGGGTATTTCTTCATAGCAACATGAGAACGAACTAACACAGTAGCTAATCAGGACAAGAAAGGAGGTCAGTGTGGCTGGAGTACTGTAATTAAAGGTAGGCAAAACTTGATTCGAGGTAAGAAAGTTAGGATGAAATTAGTTCTTTATCTTTTAGTATCCATATGACCTAAATACTTACAATTTGCTTCTTAATTCACTTGGAGTTTATTTAATGCATAAAATTTGTTCAGGTCTTTTTTTTTTTCAACAAATTTCCCTCCCCAGATCCCACTATAGCATCCTGAATAAATATTCTCTTTCAATTTAATTTGGCATATATTTCTTACAGAGAGACAGAGAGAGAAAGATTATTTTCACAATATGCTAAACACCACAATTATATAGAATACTTTGTTTATTGCCTTACTCCTTTTTTTTTTTTTTTTTTTTTTTGAGACGGAGTCTTTCTCTGTCCCCCAGGCCGGAGTGCAGTGGTGCGATCTCAGCTCACTGCAAGCTCCACCTCCCGGGTTCACACCATTCTCCTGCCTCAGCCTCCCGAGTAGCTGGGACTACAGGCACCCGCCACCACGCCTGGCTAATTTTTTGTATTTTTAGTAGAGACGGGGTTTCACCGTGTTAGCCAGGATGGTCTCGATCTCCTGACCTTGTGATCCACCCGCCTAGGCCTCCCAAAGTGCTGGGATTGCAGGCGTGAGCCACCAGCACGGCTGCCTTACTCTTTTTTTGTCATACTTCAAAATGGTATTTAATTTTGGATTTTGACTTATAAAAAGTAACTTGTGGCCGGGCGTGGTGGCTCATGCCTGTAATCCCAGCACTTTGGGAAGCCGAGGCGGGCGGATCACGAGGTCAGGAGATCAAGACCACCCTGGCTAACACGGTGAAATCCCGTCTCCACTAAAAATACAAAAAAAAAAAAAAAAAAAAAAATTAGCTGAGCATTGTGGCAAGCACCTGTAGTCCCAGCTACTCGGGAGGCTGAGGCAGGAGAATAGTGTGAACCCGGGAGGCGGAGCGTGCAGTGAGCCGAGATCAGGCCACTGCACTCCAGCCTGGGTGACAGAGCGAAACTCTGTCTCAAAAAATAATACCAATAATAAAATAAAATAAAAATAAAAATAAATAAAAAGTAACTTGTAAACTTTTTTCTTCCTGTTCATTACTTAGGTCATTATTTCTTTCCTATGTAACATTGCCAAATAAATAAATATATTTTTAGGGAAGCATTTGTATTTTATATCCTATACATGGTCTTTCAATTTTGTAATTGTAAACTTCTTTTGACTACGTTTCTGAATTTCGCAGTTGCTCTTGACAGCTGTGATCATTGGTAAATTACCTCTATTTTAAGGTATACCTAATAGTTCTTAGTTTACAAATTTGGAAGCTGGTGTACATACACTATGTGTGGTTATCTAAAATACATTTCCATAAAATGATATCCACTTCAATCGCGTTTAGTAACAACCTTTATTAATATTTTACCTGCTTACTAGTTCATCCCCTCCTTAACGTGTATGGTGTGTGTGTGTGTGTGTGTGTGTGTGTGTGTGTGTGTGTGTGTGTGTATCACTTACTGTACCACTGGGTGGCGTAATCTTCTAGCACTCTCTTTTCCATCATATATACATGGGATCCTCAAATAAAAGAGGAGGTATATTAGCAGAGGTCCTGTGTATTCAGCCAAAAACACCTGAAAATAAAACATGATTTAGATTAAACGATAAAAATAGATGTTTTTAAGGTTCATTTGTGTCTATGAGTATTAGCCTACTGCATAAATTGGTGAAACAGGTAGATTTTTTGTAACTAGATTAAGTGATATTGCAAATAACGACTTCCTTGGAAGAACCAGGGGGAGAAAGCCTAATATATGTATAGTTAATTTGGAATAAAAATAAATATTGAACCTAATAAACTGGTTTCTTTCTTCAGATATAGTAAAAAGGAGATTTTATTTTAATAAACTAACCATTATTAATATATTTTTCTGTGTATTTGCCCAGTCCAATACACACTTAATCTTCTGTATAAACTGTCCCTGTCAATAAATTGAATGAGCTAGAGTATCTTTTTTCTTTTTCTTTTTCTTATTCTTTTCTTCCCTACCCTACCCTCCATGGGCCTGTCAGCTTGAATCCATTGATTTGACTCTAATTCAAATGGAAACAATTCAGTTTTCTCTATTAGAAATTTTATATTTTAATTCTAATGAGTCTGGTTGTATGGTTAAAATAATTAACTTTTGAGTGCTTGAGCTGAGTGGGGGTAACCATATTTGAACTATAGAGAGACACTAACAATATTTGGAAAGGTAATTGAAAAAAGACGAAGTGATTGCAAAAGATTAATTGGCTAACTGGTCTAAATTTGATAGCTGTTTGATTTTTTAGTGCTAAAATCATGTTAAATTTCCTCTGAAGTATTTAGACAGATAAGGGAAAGTAATTTACTTTGGAGTTTTCAAAGAGAAAAAAATACAACTTAACAATAATAAATTTGACTACCATTAACTATTTTGTCTTCATCTGCTACCATTTTTTTTTAAGAAACAATTTGAATCTGCATGTTTTGCTCAAAAATGCAGTTAGCTGTCCACATTGGTTAGAAATCATGTTCACAGCTCTGTTGAGAAGATTGTTAGAATGAATAATACATATGCATGGTTTCATATATATTCATATGCATATATGTGTGTAATTAAAAGTTTTATATACATACATAATTACACACAAATACATAAATAGTAATTTACATATGGAGGTTTCTTCAGTTATAATTCTGTCTTTTAGAAATATATATATATTTTCTCATGTACCAAGAAAGATTTGTGTGTGAGAAGTAAAAACAATGCAACTTCTGATCAAGTCAATATAAAAAGCAATCTCATTTGAGAGACTGTAGTAATTTATGGCTTACAAAATACCCCATTATTCTATAGAAAATGTTTGCCACTTGTGAATGTGTAATGATAGAATGCCAAAACTCTGGAATAATGATGAGGGTAATTGTTTTAGTACAATAAAATGTTTAAAATAGTTATTTCAACACCAATTGATCTAGTGAAGTCAAATTTGAGCAAATTCTCTAAGAATATATCAGGAATATAAAATGTTGTGTACAATAGTTAACTTGGACCAAGTGTCAATCTTTATTAACTTAATAAAAATGCTAACACAGATCTGAAGTTTCTTCGCATGAGAGGAAATTAAACTATAATCTTATCTCAATCATCTCTCAAAAATAATTCAAGAGAGCCTACTAGTATATAAAATATGTTTTAGAAGGCTTAATATTTTATAAAGAATATTTTTCTGCTAGAATATGGAGGGTTATGAATAATATGTCCTGAAAGCACTAGAGAATGATAAGTAACTTTTGGACAATGCATTTAAAAAAATTATTTCAGTGCAAATAGAAGAAAGGGGAAAAGACGATTTATTAAACTTAGAAAGTAATCAGAAAATAGTTCAAGATGAAGAAAATAAGGGCTAGATAGACACATATTAATATGGTCTTCTGAAAATGGAACTGGTCTTTTCTACTAAAGGGAAATAAAACAAAATCAAAACCAAATACAATCAAGTAAACAGATAAGCAGTCATATACAAACCAAGTACATCGCAAGAACTTACAGACTAGAAACTCCCCTATAATACAGAATTATACTGAAGACTATATTCTAAAGAGGCAGATACACCTTTTTCTTATTTTGAAGACAAACACTATATTGAAATTTCAATTTATTTCTATTATCAAATAGTATTTATAGCTCCTCTTTCAAAAAGTTAACTGTATTAAACTAATCTTCTGTTTTGAATACAAAATTCATTGTTTGTACTAGGCAAGCAAGGAAATTGAGAGTCTTTGAAACCTCAGTGGAATCTTCAACGTGATATATGTACAAATTGAAAAAGGTAATAATCGGCCAGGCGCTGTGGCTCTCGCCTGTAATCCCAGCACTTTGGGAGGCCGAGGCGGGCGGATGACAAGGTCAGGAGATCGAGACCATCCTGGCTAACACGGTGAAACCCCGTCTCTACTAAAAATATAAAAAATTAGCCGGGCGTGGTGGCAGGTGCCTGGAATCCCAGCTACTCGGGAGGCTGAGGCAGAAGAATGGCGTGAACCTGGGAGGCGGAGCTTGCAGTGAGCCAAGATCATGGCCACTGCACTCCAGCCTGGGAGACAGAGCGAGACTCCGTCTCCAAAAAAAAAGAAAAAAAGAAAAAGGTAATAATCTGCTTAAAAAATACATTGAAACATGGCTGCAACTGTGAATTGGTGAGAGCCCATGTGCTTAAACTGTGCTTAATGCATTTCGTTTTATCTTGAAAAAAAAAAATGAGTGCTATCATTATTAGGGCATTGTTGGATTTACTGTCTCTTTTTCTAAAATTGCTATCAGCAGTTAAAAAAATGTATATTTCAGAATTGTTGAAAACAAAATAAAGTAGTTTTAACCTTAATCTCCTGAAGATAAGGGTGTTGCATAAAGTTTTGGGAGCATTTATCACTTGTAATACAGTAAGATCACTTTGTACTTAATGAATACTGTTGAAGTTAGTATCCTGCTAGATAAAGATTGTGGTTTTTTTGTAGTTTGACAGATAAATAACATATAATGGAGATTTCTATTCTATATAATTCAAACACAGAATACTAATGAGTCTAGTGAGAAAAACTGATCAAAATATTTTTAAAAAGCCTTTTTCAGCCTTCAGAGATTTAATGTCATTGAGGAATTAGAAGGTCAAAAATGTTGAAATGGGGGATCCAGAGAAGAGATTGAACCTTGCATAAGAAGCCTCATATGAGCCTGATAAGAACAGATTTTTGATGGGGCCTGGGAATAAAAAAACAAAAACAGTTGTTCATCATCTCCAAAGGATGAAGGTGGCCTCATAAAACTGTCTCCACAGATTCTAAAGCTCAACCTAAAATCATTTCAGTCATTGATTTGATCAAGATGACTTGGATCCAATAATACAGTTCATTCATTTAGAAGATGGTAACTTATATTTGAAAGAAGATAAAAATCACCGTAAGTCTCAGCTATCATTAAAATTTTTCACATACATTTTCTGTACTTAGAAATATGCAGGTATACAAAGACCAAACAGACTGTGAGCAAAACCAAGAGAAATAGCAAAAATAAAAATAAAAAAATTAAAGATGCACATAACAGGAATATCAGACACAAACTTTAACAAAAACTATCTCTTATGTGTTAAATGAAAGATAAGGTTGAGATTTTCAGATATGTAAAAACTTTGAAAAGAAAAATATTGAAATGTAATGTAAAATTTAAAAGAAGAATTTAAAGAGAATAATGGACAAGAAATAGTTGAATAGATAATGGTAGCTAATTTTTCAAATTATATGCATGTGTGTGTGTGCGCATGAACACATGAAACCACCAACTCAGATAAAACTAAAGCAAGGTAAATAAAAATATGATAATAATTGTGCATATCATAGTCAAATTGCCGATAACAAAACCAAACAAGAATTGTTTAGAAAAGACACATTACTTTCAAAGGAGTAAAGCTGACTTTTCAACAGAAACAATGGAATTCAGAAATTAAAAAAATAAAATATTGTGAAGTCAAGAAAAGAGAACTGCCAACATAAACTTATTTTTATGTAAAAATATTCTTTAACAATAAAAGTTAATAAGGACATGTTAAGATAAACAAGAATGGAGATAATTCATCAATGACAGAACTACAATAAAACACTAAAGATGTTCTTCAGGGAGAAGGAGACAGATGTAAGTTCAGCATTAGAAGAAATAACTAAATCGCAGCAAAAAGGTTAAGTCTAAAGGATAAAGTATTTGTTAGATAAAATTTTAGTAATGTATTTGGATTTAAGATATATGGAAAATTATATTGTACCAAAACCATGAAAATGAGTCAGGAGGTGCTCAAATGTAAAGTCATTCAATGTCATATTCAATATTTATGAAATATTTTTACCTTAGTAAAATCAAATGTAAAAATGTATATTAGCATTTAATATCTCAAGGGTTCACTCTGTAATCTCTTTGGTAACCCCTAGAATTAGTAAAATAGAAGATATAAATACCAAAATAACACAAAGGTAATAGAAAAGACAGCATGACAATTAATTCAAAATAAGGTAAGAAAAAAAGAGAAATAAGGGTTATAGAACACGTGAGACAAATTGAAGAAAATTAGATTTAGACATTAAAAATGTGAAATTTACAATAAAAATAGGGTATCATTACAGTGTAAAACATAAAACTACTAAACTCATAAGAAAATGCAGGAGAGAACTCCAGGACCTACAACTAAGTTGAAGGATTCTTATATATGAAAGTAAAAGCATAATCTTTAAAAGAAAACCTTGATAAATTAGACTGCATTAAAATTGAAAACAATTCTTTCAGTGAAAAGTTCTGCTAAGATGATGAAAAGACAAGTTAAAGAAGGAGAGAAAATATTTCCAAACCACATATACAAGGACTCGTATCTACATTACATAAAGAATTCTCAAGACTCAACACTGTATCCCAGATAAATTTTTTAAAAAGTTCATACAAATACCCCTAATATTCATTGCAGCTTTATTTGTTAATAGCAAAATACTAAAAACCACCCAAATGTAATTCAAAGAGTAAGTGGTTAAACAAAGTCCATTACATCCATATAACTGAATACTACTCACCAATGTAAAGGAACCAATTATTGATACAAACAAAAATCAGGATGGATTTCAAGGACACTATGCTTACAGAAAAATTAACATCAATCTCAAAATATTGTCTGAATCCTTTTATAGAGCATTTTCCACATGACAAAAATATGGAGATGAAGAACACATCAGTGGTTACTCCAGGATAGGAAAAAGTGTATGTAAGTATGCAAAGATAAAAGGAAGAAGTTCCTTCTTAAGGATGAAGCAATTCTCTATCTTGACATTGGTGTTAGATACATGAACTTATACAAGGGATAAATTGTATAGAATTACACATTAACTCATACATACATGAATTAATACAAAAATGGTGAAAACTGCATAACTTTAATTAATTAACAGTCTTCATATAATGAGAATTGTTATATTTTCATATTAATCTTTTATCCTAAGTTTTTTAGTAAGTTAAATGAGGCAAGATTTTACTCAATATTTTGTAACACACTGTTAGTTGGAGAAAAATATTAAAATCTTAATTTTAACCTTGCTAAATTAGATTATTTCCCTATTATATTATTTATTATAGGAACAAATTTTCATATTTTTCAATGAACAAGAATGTCATATGTGGTAAAACATTACTTTTGTTGCATAATTTAGTTGATCTGAAATGGGTGTAATTGCAATGTAATGTGTATATTTTTAGCATTTAATAGAACTGACTCATTTGGAGCAAAAAGATGTGTGATCCATGGGGTTGATGTAGAAATATCCAGCCTATTTGCAGAGTTCTCTTTGTCACATAGATGATTTTCCTCTCAAACAAGCTATAATTTTCTAGTACAATTGTCAAATAATTCCACTATAGTGTGTTTTCTTCTCAGTGCTTATCCAAGTGATGAAGCTGAAATTTCTAATGATTTAATGGTTTAATGCTGCTCACCCTGACACAATTTCTGTAAACAGAGTTCCCTTTTCGTTGTAAATGTGGACAAAGACCCTGTGAATATTTTAACCTTTGAAGACCAAACACTCTTTTCTAAAATCTCTTTAAGCAAAGGTCTGTAGACATCACATTTAAGTACAGTATTAAAACTTTATTTGCAAATGCATGCATCGTCTATAGGTTGTTTTCTAAACATTAAAATGTGCTTCACAAGAATTCATAAGGTTCTAAACTCAATCTTTAGTGGTACAAGTTAGTACTCAAAAGCTCAATATACTTTGGAAAATAAATCAACTATTTTTTTTCATTTGATATTCATTTATTTGTTTGTTCAAAAAATATTTATTGAGCTCCTTACTGTACTGCAAACACGACCATAGAACATTGGCAGCTTCTTTTCTCACCTTTGTGGGCATATATACTACTAATTTCTTAAAGTTTTTCACACAGAAAATATTTTCTTAATGAAAACATAAAATAGAACTCATTAATTACATGGGAAATATATCTTAAAAAGAAAGACTGTTAGAAAATATTCACAGATGTAGCAATATTTTAATTAATAAATTTAAAATTAAATTTGTGTTAGATTAAAATTAACAAATATTAATGTATAAATTATCATACATTTGTAAAACTTACAAAAATTGGTTGTTTAATTGTAAAGAAACAGCTCAAATCACTATGAATGGTAATGTTGATTGATTGTTAATTGTGGCAAAAAGAAAAGTCATTTTGAATAGAAAAATATTAAAAGTAATCACAAATATGGAGTGGAATGTAAATGCAAAGAAAAACTTTCATAGTTTAAATAATACAAATAACAGAAGTTTAATGTAATTGAAAGAAAAGGAGCTCATTATTCTTTGTATATCAAAACTGTTTATTAATTTTTCACTGCCTCTGTTACTAAATATCATATTAACATTTCCTCTTGCTGTTGAAGCTATTCCATTGATTTATTCTATTACCCATGAGTGTTTCAATACTGTGCACTAGTACCAAGTATTTTCACTGCCTCTTAACCCTCTATGTCTTTTCAATGTCGTCCTCATTCATCTAATGCCATTTTCAAATACCATGATTTTAACACCTGCTATTTTCCTCCAAAAAGAGCCAAAATAATATTTTCACAGGCTGAAGGAAGTTTACTTTTTCATGGTCAGTTGCCAAAAGTTTGTTTCTCTGCCTGAGAACCTCCTTTTTAACTGGATATTCTATACTCTTCTCTCCAGTGTCAAAAGAATCTGTGATGTTCCTAGATTACTAGAAGGAAAAGGTAAAGAGATACCATGTAAATAACAAAGCATAGGTGGAGCAGATGAAACCAGCCCAATAGTCCCATAGACAGTTATTTTTGGATAAATGTAGAAATTGACCCCTATTACTGTTAAAGTTTGAAACTTGTATCTGTTCTACCTAAGCTCATTCCTCAGGAGAGAACCTTCAGCTCTCTCAAAAGAGTATCAAAGAACTGAAATTCATCAGATCACCCCACCAGATGCCTCCTTGTCCCTCCCTAGTACATGTTTTCTTACACATTGTTACATTTCTTCCCTGCTATATAAACCCCTAGTTTTAGTCAGTCAGGCAGATGGATGTGAGACTGAGCTCCCATCTCCTCAGGGGCAGCTTCCAACTGAAGCCTTCTTCCTTGGCAATACTTGTCATCACCATCATTGGCTTTCTGTGCAGTGAGCAGCAGGACCTAGACCGAACCTCTGGTATTTTGGTAACAAAGTTGAAGCTCCCAGTAATAGAGTGGGTTGACTTTAAAAAAAAAAAAAAAAAAAAAAGGAACTTATCTTCCTTTTTCAAAACTGTGGTTTTTCTATTGCTCCAATACTTGAGTAGAACTTTGGCCACTCGTCATAGTAAGAATAGAAAATTAAAAATACCTTTCACTACATTTTGTTTCGCTATGAGTTTATTTGATAGAATTAATCTGTCAATAAATTATTTAGAGCAAAATATGAGAAATGTATATTACATTTCAAATTAACACTTACTGTGGTCCAACTGACTTGTTGACCTAGGTCTGTAGCATACAGTGTGACAATGGAGGAAGCTGCAATACTTTGAATGGTAATGTAGTCCTTCAAAAAAGGCCCGCCTAAAATAAAAATAACAAGAAAATTTTATTTTAATACAATTTCTTAGCATAACGATAAAGAATTTCTTAGTGTAAAATCAGTAAAAGCTAAAGATTAATTTAATATGGAAATTACAATGTACAAGAAATCTTCAAAGTAAAACAAAATGTGAACAATGCCATTTTATAACATATATCTAGCAACTCTTCAAATGCACAGTGGTTTCCCAATACCATCTACCCAAAATTTAGACTACCATTAGTTACTATCCTATTATTTCTGAGAACATGTTATATTAGGACCTAAACAAATAACATACAGGAATTTTTTTAAAGTGTAATTTTAGGACAGGTGTGAAGGCTCACATCTGTAATCTCAAAACTTTGTCGAGCTGAGGTGAGCAGATCGCTTGAGCCCAGGAGTTCCATCTTGGTGACATGACAAAACCCTGTCTCTACAAAAAAACAGAAAAAAATTAGCCAGGCATGGTGCTGTGTGCCTGTAGTCCCAGCAATTCAGGAGGCTGAGGTGGGAGGATTGCTTGAGCCAGGGAGGTCAAGGCTACAGTGAACTGTGATCGCTTCACTGTACTCCAGTCTGGGCGACAAAGAGACCCTGCCTCAAAATGAAAACAAAACAAAACAACAAAAAGTGTAATTTTGAGTGTTAGTAGAACTACACCTCAACTACTTTCTAAATGATTTTATAAGAGCATAAATTAGTGGTGGATAGATGAATGGTCCCTCCAAAGCACCGGGAGAATGGTGTAATTTATCTTTTTAAAATATATTCTGGATGCTGTGTGAAAAATAGAAAGAAGGGAAGCAAGGTGATTATTTAGGAGACATTTAAAATTAATCCAGCTGGAGCTGATGTTTGTTGAGATTAAGGTGGTACTGGTGAGAATGTTAAAATGTATCAGTTGTAAATATATTTGGAACATAGCCTAGATTCAACTTCTTGATCAGCTGATTGAAAGGAGAAGATTCAGTGAGGTAAAGACAGTTAGATTTTTGGCCCGAGTACTTAAATGCATTGTAATGTCATTAACTGACATGAAGAAGACTACAGAAAAAGCAAGATCTGAGGGTAAAATTAAGAGTCCTTAAGGTATTTTAAGTGTGTGGTATCTCTTAGACATTCAAGAAAGAACTGACAAATAGGCAGCAGGGTAGAAGTGTGTGTAGATATTTGAAAGTCATTAACATTTAAAACCGTGGGGCTTCATGAGATTGTTTGTGTATTCAGCATGGAAAGAAAGGAATGAAAACACACTAAGGTTTCCAGTATTACAGACTTTAGACATAGTAAGACAAAGATATAACAAAGGTTACTTAAAGGAGCTACTCATAAGATAGAGGTAAAATAAACATAATTGACTCCATTCTTAAAAATAACCATCAGACAAGTCTGGAATGTGTATATGGGAAGATATGTAAAAAAATATCTTTTTAAGCACTATTTATAATAAAATATTTGAAAAACACTTAAATGTTATTTAATAAGGTAAGAGATAAATATTTTGTTTTATTTAAAGAAATGTATACCAAGCAGGAAGAAAAATGAGTAGACTAGAGCTCAAATACCAAAATGGATTAATCTCTCAAATATAATCCTATTATTGTTGTTATTATTATTGTTATACTTAACATATGTTATTTGTGATTTATATTATCTACATCATTAAAAGGCATCATTCCAGTCTCTATTTTTGAAATAAATAAAAAAAGTTAATTTGCATCTACCATTAGATGATCTTTCAGAATCCAAGATATCTGCTTATATTTATAATTAAAGGTCTTTTAAAAGGAAACAAAAAATATACAATTATTGTATATTACATTTGAAGGCAGAAATTTGATAAATCCACTTTTAACAGCCAGATAATTTAGGTGGTCATGTTAATGTATATGGTTCTCTGGGTACTTTATTGAAAACAATTTCATAGTTATATTTTAGAAATTTCATGTAAATTGATTACTATTTGTAAAATACATACATATATATACATATATAATTACATATAATTTGGTATTGCTTTGAAAATGTGAATGTAGTCCTGTGTTTACCTAAGAACACATGTGTGGTAGGCAGATTTCTTAGATAATCCTCAGGATTTCTGCTACCTGTATAATCCCTGAGGTTCTGCATATGATATAGGCTATTACTCTGTTGATTAAATTATATTGCATGGCTTTAAAAAATGAGATTATCTAGGTAGTCCTGATTTATTGCATGAGTTTTTATAATGTGTGTGCAGAAATCAGAGACAGAGGAATTCAGAGATCCAGTGCATTGGGAAGATTCACTGTGCTATTGCTGGCTTGAAGATGGAGAAGGTCAACGTCAAGGATACAGGTGGCCTTTGAGAAAAGACAGCCACCTCTAGGAAGTGACAGCCAGCAAGAACACAGGAACTTCTTCCATGCAACTGCAAAGACCAAACAAACAGACAAACAAACATAAAATGCAAAAGGGTGCTCTCACCATTATTCCATCTGCGATGAGCACCCTTTCTGCAGAAAGTAATAATTGCCTTGCTGAGAGAATTAAATTTATGTTTGAGTGCTATTTCTTTGGAGCACCAGGGAACAAGCATTTCCAACACAAACTCTTCCAATAACACAAAAGAAGATGGAAGTGGCTTTTTGTCAAGAGTCTTCACATGAGAATTCAGTTCAGTCAACACTCTGATTCCAGTCTTATACAATCCTAATCAGAGAATCAAGCCATAATATGGCTTCAATCTAATAAATGATAGTTTTTTTATACTGCTAAATTTGTGTAAATTTGTTACATAGCAATACAAAACTTTCACAATATGGATCAAGGTGAAGGCTTTGATATCAAAATTGTCAGTAGTATTAAGACAATTATGTATAAGAACAAGAAAATGTTAAAAAGGACAAAAAATTCAGCTGGCTTTGTATCACTTGAAAGTGTGCTGAAAATATGTTTCCAATATACATCTATTAGCACCCTTAGAAAAGGGGTTAGTTTCTACCCTTCTATCATGCTTGCCAACTTCAAAGAACAGATCATTGGCATTCTATTTTTAAAATGTGGTCCCATGAATATGAGATTTTGAAAAAATGACTTGATAAAATCTAGATGTATCAATAATCATAGCGTTCAGACTCAAGAAAAAGGGACCATTGTCCTTGGCTTTCCATGATTATGTCCCTTATCAAAGGGAGAGGAATATATAGGGCCAAGAGGACAGGAAATACCTAACTAGATCCCATGACATATCTTTCTAGATCATGCTTCAGCCACTTAAGGGCCCTGAATTTCCTGACCAAATTAACACAAGCACAACCTGGTCTTTGGATATTCCCTCCCAAGTATGGGCCTGGAACTGGGGTACACAACAAACCTAGTGGTTTGTCAAGACTATTGTATAAAGGATGTGGATGGAGCTTTGATGTATTGCTTGGAAACAGTGATGGAAAAAAATCTATTTTTTCTATGTAGAAATCCAATCATTTTAAACATTAGAAATTTTCCCAGTCCTTCCAGGACATTATAAAGCATATTAATAAAGGTAGGAATATACAAAATATTTTACTTACCAGATTATATGACAGATTTATTGTAAAAATTGCTGAAATTCTTCCCCATATGCACACCATATACAGTATGACCTTGTAGTTCTTCTCAGTGATAGCTGTTCTCATATTCCCACCCCTTGAATATGGGCTAACTAGTGACTTGCAGGACAAGTGATCATTTGCTATTTCCAAACCTGGGCTTCAACAATTCTTTAGTACCTCTGCTCATTTTTATACCTCTACTCCCAGCTTGTGAGTAGTCCAAACTATTTTGCTGAGGGGTGAGAGACCACATTGAACAAAGGGAATTTCATGAAAGTTGTGGTTATTGTAGACCAATCATTCCCTAACAGCCCAGCAGCTCACTGCAGCTGCATGCATGAACCTATCCAAGTTCAGCTAAATATAGCACAGCTCAGCAGAGACACAGAGCTAAAGAACTGGTTAAAATTTTACCCATGAAAATCAATGCTTCTATTTTATTTGTGTTTTAAAGGTTTCTTTTGTGTGAGGAAACTATAGAAGTCTCTAATATTCATATAAGATCAATGATTCTAGTACGTATATTTTGGGAGCAAATGTATAAATATTAAGACCCTGCTTTGTTTTGGTATTGCCTTTTTTTCTTCTTAATATTAATAGTTATGACTAAGATTGATGGAGCAACTAGCCTGTGCCAATCATCATATGCATTATAAACATATAAACACTAACACTTTAAAAATGATTTAAGTGGTTTTTTTAGTTCTGCCATATAAAAGAAGACCATGTAGGCAAGTAAGTATGAGAGGGTCAATCAAATGTAGAAATCTGAATCAATCCAAATGAGCTTTGGATTTTGATTTCTTTGCACCATATCTCACTAAATCAGTTGACTTTTTTTTCAAATACATCATTACAGTTCTTTTTAAGGACACTGCGACAACTATATTTTACTCATCTCACACCCCATCCTGGTACACTCAACTAGGTAAATAAATTTGGGAGAAAAGGAATATGTCATATTCACCAGAACACTGAACTAACAGAAATTTATCAGTCTCTTAATAGTGTCCTTCAAATGGAAGTTACATTTGACAATGTTGTCTGTGACACTCTTTGAGGCTTCTTTGTGTAAGAGTCAATTTCATTTCATATATGTCAACATCCATGTATTGAAAGGCACTTATGTGCTGACATGTGCTAGGCCCTATGAAGGCAAAAGTAGATGAGACAATAATTTGTCTTTCTTAAACTCTAGGTAGGTGGGAATTTGTCTTGAACATTTGAGCAAAAATAAATTTGAGAGAATCAGAAAAGTGTGGCTCCTAGAAATCTTGCATATTTCTTTGTTTTGAACATACAGTTCTCAGAGAACGATTAAATGTTTAAGACAGCAATGAAAACACTCGTAACAGTTTCGAGAGACTCAAAGAAATAATCATTTGTCTTTAAGTGCATGTAATACCTAAGAGAGGGCAACCTAAATATTAGGAAAAGCAATAGAAAAAAAATTCAACTCATTATTTATGAAAAATTGGGAGATTGAAATTCCTTAAGAGGTACCTCCTATAGATTTACTATTAAAGGCTTTTTCATTCTATCCTGAAAAAAAGTACATGCTACCCACAGCTTTCATTAAAATTTTAAACTCCAAATTTAAAATAAAGTTGATGTAGTGTCAGCAACAGTAATTATTGGTAGGAGCCATTTTTAAGTGCATTTATTGATAAATTTCTTGAGATCATAGGGTTTAAAAATCTGAGAAATTTGAGGTTTAATAGTGGGCATAATGCTTCTTCTCCAAATTCATTAGTTTTGTTCCTTATGTCACTTATTCTGCTTTATAACAGCAAAAAGAAAAAGAAAAAATTGAAAAAGCTAAGCATTAACCTTAAGAATATATTATGGAGCAGTAGAATGAGAAGGTGACCAGTTAAAGCTTCACAGACGACCAGTTAAAGCTTCACAAACAAAAATATTTTAGTTTCAGAATCTGCTTCTAAAACTCACAGACAGTGAATATGTAAAAAATACCTATTTGAGACTAAATTATTCATTTATAAAAGTGGAGCTCTAGTTTGTTGGGCGAATCAATTAAATAATACTAATATTTGTATATTTGCAAAGTGATAAGTGAATGTCAGCTTTTGAAAATAGAAAAGGGATTATAAATTAAATAAACACATCAGTGAAAAATGCTTCTTACCACATTCTAGCTGCAGACCAACTCGAGAAGGGTACCACTTTGGACCTATTCAATGAAAAATAACATTTAATTGTCAGAAAAAGTGTAACTATAGCTTATAAAACTAACTGTTTCCATGGGAAGACCATTTAGATCTAGGAAGTAAATAAAATGGGTTATCTAGTGTCAGAAATAGAAATAGTGGTTACCTTTTGTAGGGTACTGACCAGCAATGACGGATAGTGACTGAGAGAAAGCATGAGGAAAGCTTTAAAAGTGGTAAGTTTCTGCTTTTTGATTTTGGGACTTGTTATATAGGTGTGTTCAGGTTTTGGACATGCATCAGGTAGTATGAGCTATGACTTGTGCACTTCAGTCTATGTAAGTTTTTCATCAATAAAAAGCTTGAAAATATTTTATTTAAAATTGGGAACTTTAATCTCATTTCAAATTCATCTAATATTTGCACCTGAAATTGGGTTATTTTCTCTATCAAGAGTAAATACTAAGATGTCTATCAGAATTATATGTATCATTGACTTTTAATATTATGAGTTTATTGGTCATAGCAGAAGCATCACTTGAAATTTTCTTTTTGTACTACCGTTAGGAATAAAGAGAGCACTAAATAATTCTGTCGCTATAGAAAAATCAAATCATCTTTATTATACACTGCCATAATGAAGAGTTGATTCACAATTATCAGAATATAACTTTATCTTAAAATAAATTCTATACTATCGTTTTAAAGTCTCCATTAAAAGTTTACTTCTTAACTTTGAGATTAAACTTTAAACAAATTTACCACACGTATAATAAATTTTTAAAAGAGTATTTTTAAAGGAATTTTCCACAATTATCTTCTTTTTTTTCAATACATTCATGGGAGAAAGCAGAGATGACTCAGGACTAGAAAGGGATGAGAGTGCTTCATGGAAATGAGAAACCATGGACAGAGCCTCTATTAATAGGTAATATATTACTAGTTGAAAGAAAAGAGGAAGTTCGGATGAAAAATATATGTGGGTAATTTTAAGAATATATTGTATGTTTTACCTTCTAAAGTCTATTATGTGTGGGTATTGTAAATGCATACACTGACGTAAATTTAACTATCTAGAAAATATGTTATTTTCCTAAAACTAGTAAATCAAAACATAAAACATAGCTGAGAGATGCTACTTAGAGATAATTAGCTCCGTGACTTTCTATAGCCAAGTAATTTTATTTGGTTAAAAATTATATTGCTTTGATTACAACTTTTCAATGCATTTACAATAATAATAAATAAATACCCCAAATATAGCCGTGATATTAAAAGTCAAATTAATATACTCAATTATTAGTACTTTTTAAATAATAAATATTTGTAAGATTGAATATAGTACAATAAATGTTGAAAGGCCACAGAATGATACATAAAACTCTTATTCTATTTTATAAGGGAAAACTGAGGGTTCTACTTTACTATTTTATTGTACTATTTACTGTACTATTTACTGTACAGTAAAATAGTACTATTTTACTGTACTATTGAGGAAAGAGAAAAAGGAGAAACTAAAAATGAAGAAAAAATCAGAGAAACATCTATCATGGCTTAAAGTAACCAAAATATGTTTATATGCTACCTAAAATAATAAAGTCATAATGTGCTGCTTAGCAACACCTGATTATGCATTGAATGCAACAATGTTAGAAGAACCGTGAAGTGTCTGGTAGTCTTAACAAATTTACAGAAATAAAACCTGCCAATTTATTTTCTGAAATATGAACACTAAAATGAATTGAATGTTGACTCTTGTAATTCTAAGACCTTACAAAACTCCTGTTTGGAACTGAACATTAGCGACCTCTTAAGGATACTTAATGATTGACAGGATATATATGGTCATTGCACATGTGGAAATTTAACTCAATATTGATCAAAAGTTCAAATGTTGATAGCCCATAGGGTGGTGTTAACATTATAATAGGAGTAAAATATATCTCAAGTAAAAAAGATGTTAATTAATGTTAAACTTTAATTAATCAGCTGAGCGTGGTGGTTCACACCTGTAATCACAACACTTTGGGAGGCCAAGACAGGAAGAATACTTGACCCTTGGAGTTCAAGACTAGCCTGGGCAATATAATGAGACTGTCTCTACCACAAATAAAAGTTTAATTAATCACAAAACTTTATCCCATAGAAAGAAATAACAAAGGTGAATATCACTGAATTCATATTAGACTATAGCTGATCCTCCCCCCAAATAAAGTGATTAATGGGAGAAAACATTCTAGTTGTCAAGAAAAACAGAATTATATTTGTTATTAACTAAATTTGAAGCATGCAGTCAATACAATAAGAATGGCAGTTCTATTCTAAACAAATACCACATCCTAAAGATGAACATATTTTATTTCTGGCAATATAGACACGCATATAACTATTATTCTTAGATAAAATATAACTTTTATGCATAGAGATCACAAGACAAAAAAGGAAAACCCAATTATAGGAAATAATCAAGAACCTGAGAAATAATTCAGTAAGTTTTGGGGTTTACACAATTTCTTTGGTTTTCTTGCACATTGGGAATCTATATAAAGCCCTAGGCCAGTACTAGTGTTGGTATTGATTCCTATGCACAGATACACATATTTAATTAAAAGAGAGAACTAGAAAGAAATTCACCTCCAGTACAGGTAAAATATGTCAATCTCTGCCTGTTCAAAGATAGAAAATATATATCCCCTGAGAATTTGTAAACAGCCACTGGTGCCATATTAGGTTTTGATGCTTAAGTATATATTATAATATTACTGTCAGGTTTTTGGAACACTCTCATTGAAACTTTAGTTGTGTTCCACTAATGGTGATCTCAAGCTGTAATACTTCTGGGACATCTGGCCCTAGAAAAAATAACCCACTGGAGGACTATGCATTCAGTTTAGGTAACATAGCTTAAAACCCTCAAGTAGGTAAACTTACAATTTAAGTTTTAAAAATCATATAAAAACTAATCCACCATCAGACAGTGTCCAGGGACATGATAAATAATAAGATTAACTCAAGAGAACATCACAAATATGGAATCTCATAGAAAGTCACCTAAATCACTTAAAGATGATTGGAAGATTTAAAATAAAGAATCAAAAATATTAGAAAAACATGGTAGTGCAAAAACCTACAGGATTTTTTGAGAAAAGATCAAATAAAATTTATTGAAATAAAACCTTTTGTACCTTATGATTAAAATGTAATGGAATGATAGTGTAGTCATGCAGAACAAACAGAAGAATTAGTCAATGAAAGGATGAGCCTGAAGAACCTACTCAGAAAGCAGAAAGATAAAGGGATTCAGAAAATATGAAAGATAGATTAAAAGAAATAGGGACCAAAATTAAATGATATAACATGTTCACAGGCATCCACAATAATAAGCAAAAAAAGTCCATTAATTGCAATGACAAACTACATATTCCATCTCATCCATCCCTCCTGCTGAGAACAACTGAAAAAGTATGAGAAAATATTTTATCAAAATCTCCACAGAGTGGTTAAGAAAAATAAAAAGAATTAGGGAACCAAGATCTGGGAGACAGGAGAAGCTCAGAAAGCTGAGTCTAGCAACTACCCTTAGCCACATTCCCCTAAGGGTATCTGTTTATATTGGAAGAAGAAGCTAAGAGGCGAGGAAGCTGAGCAGGGCTTTTCACACACCTATGAGCCTAATGGGACAAAAATCAAACTTTATGCACAAAGAGAAGCCCTGGTAAAAGTCCGCAATTTCAGTAGTTACCCTTAAATAAGGATGAATCAGAAATCAATCAATTCTTAAAGGAAACTAAGCTCAATTTTGAGTCATCTCCATCCCTGTTTGAATTAAAGTGATCTGTAACCTCCAAAGTCCAGCCTTACTGCTGGCAGAGGCAAATATAAATCTTCTCTGGAAGGAGATCGCTTCTTTATTCAGACCCTATAATTATCTCTAAATTTTTTCATATATAATACCAGGCCTCAATAAAATAGAACGAAGAATGCTAGAAGACAAGACATGATGAAAAACCAGGGGGAAATTAAAAAGGTATTATAGAGATTCACCAACAATTCAGATAAAGTTTTCATACACAATTAAGAATAACTATGATTGATATAAACATAAAATACAAGACAGAATTATTTGGAAATCTAGAAACTACGGAAAGAAACACAGACATTTTGGAACTGCAAAGTATAGTAAGTGGGTTTATGAGATATCATTTAATGGTAGAGAGAAAAATAGTGAACTGGAAGTTGGAAGAAAATATCCCAACTAAAGCAAAGAGAGATAAATATGTGGAACGGGAAAGGTGTAGGATATATACATGATGAGCAATGAAAAAGTACATCATTCTAATATATGTGAAACTGAAGTGTGAGAATAAAAAAGTTAAAGAAAAGTGAAAAAGCTATATATTGAATGATATGATGGCTGAGAGTTTTCCAATACTGGCAAAATATATCAAGATAAATATTAAAGAATTACTGTAAATAACTATATAGATATATAAAATAAAATGTACACATACACATATATTGATATATAATTAAAGACATATGATGACAAGATCTATATACTGAATATATATGTAATGAAAACCAGATGTAAGTATATAATTGCTAAACCATTTGAAACAATAATAGAAAAATATTTTTAAAAAACAGATTAAAAAACAAAAAATGTCATAAATATTACCAACAAATTAATGGCAATTAAATTAATAGAAGAGTTCTAAAGAGCAATATAAGATATTGGCCAAATAGCTTTTAAATGAAACACTATTGAAAGAAAATGTAAAATAAGGACAAGTTTAATTTGACTAACAAGTCTTACTGTCAATAGAACACGTCTTTCCGTCATTAGATTAACATCTAAAGGACCAATTTGAGAAAAAGAAGTTGATTTCAAGAGAAAGCGATGAGATGATGAAATAAATAAAACAATATTGAGCAAAATTCTGGCATGCATATGGATAATTCTATACAAAAAAGCAGAATATCTTATAATTTGATTATATACAATGTGATTATAATACTACTAATAATGTATGTGCATATGCAAAAAATATATACAACCATAATGTACAAAATGGGAAGTATTCTTTGACTTTAAACCATCCTGCAAATTTAGGAAGAATGCACAAAACAAAATTAAGGAATAGGAAGTATTAGTTGGGGAATGGAATGCTAAATAGGAAGTGTCATGGCATGAGAGAATGTCCTGGCCGGGCGCGGTGGCTCACGCCTGTAATCCCAGCACTTTGGGAGGCCGAGGCGGGTGGATCATGAGGTCAGGAGATCGAGACCATCCTGGCTAACAAGGTGAAACCCCGTCTCTACTAAAAATACAAAAAAAAAATTAGCCGGGCGCGGTGGCGGGCGCCTGTAGTCCCAGCTACTCGGGAGGCTGAGGCAGGAGAATGGCGTGAACCCGGGAGGCGGAGCTTGCAGTGAGCCGAGATTGCGCCACTGCAGTCCGCAGTCCGGCCTGGGCGACAGAGCGAGACTCCGTCTCAAAAAAAAAAAAAAAAAAAGAAAAAGAGAGAATGTCCTGTGTAAATTGCATTGTCACTTTGAATATGTTATTTTATTAGAATTGTTATACTCCTTCTAAACAGTGGAAGCCTACAGACCTAAGAAAAGGGGCAGGCACATGAATTCTTGTCTTTCTTCTTAAGTAATAAACATCAAATATTACCCAAAATTCTTCCTTGATGTGCTAAAGATATTGGCTGCTGATTTAATATTGTTAAATTAGCTGGGTTTATTTTGTTAAAAAAGATTCATTTAGTACAATACTTCACTGGGATTAAATAGACCATTTTATTCTCTGTAAACCATTTCTTTGCAGTCTTGTAAATGCTACCTACATAATTAAGTGATCAAGCCAGAATGAAACCAAGGATGCCAGTGAGACATTTAATGGTTTAGTATGAGATGTATGATAGTGTTTATCTATCTGAAAAATGAGAAAACTATTTCCGCTCTCATTCTCAACAACTAAAAGTGTTTAACACTGAAACCAGCACCAATCAATGTCTATAATTTTGCTGACCTTGAAAAACAATGCAACTGCTAAAGAGTTTACTTTTACAAAGATAGAGTGCACTAACACAATATAATCAGCAACTGCAGAAAAAAGTTTCTATAGGAAAACAAAGACATGCTTCTGGAAATGGAAAATTTTAAAGCTGCACAAAATCTCTGAATTATACAATAAAAAATAGGATGAAGGAAGGATGCATAAAGCAACAAGCTGGTTGCCTGTGATACGAAGCACAAAGCAAGAATTAAGTGGGGCAGGAAGACAGATTGCAACCAAACTATTTATTTATGCTCACTGGTTAAAATTTGTAACCAGTGTGCTCACTGAATTACCCAACATCATCTAAGGAAGAAGCAAGATTGGTCATCATAACTATGTCCCCATTTACATTAGATACTATCCGCTGTGCAAGTCTCCCAGAGGACCCTTTAACTCAGTGACAGTCCTCCCAATTTTACTTTGCAGAAACAGTAATCAGACCTGATTGTCCACCTCTTCATACCTTCTCAGATTTTCCAACATACTTTAAGGCAGGGGTCTCCAACCCCTGGGCCACAGACCAGTCCTGGTCCCTGGCCTATTAGGAACCTGGCTGCACAGCACATGGTGAGTGGTGGGCATGTGAGCAAAGCCTCATCGGTGTTTACAGCCATTCCCCATTACTCACATTACCGTCTGAGCTCTGGCTCCTTGTCAGATAAGTGGCAGCATTAGATTCTCATAGCAGCACCTACCCTATTGTGGACTGTGCATGTGAGGAATCTAGGTTGCATGCTCCTTATGAGAATCTAATGCCTAATGGTCACTATCTCCTATCACCCCAAGAGGACACTGTCTAGTTTTAGGAAAACAAGTTCAGGGCTGCCACTGATTCTACATTTTGGTGAGCTACATAATTATTACATTATATATTACAATGTCATAATGATAGAAGTAAAGTGCAAAATAAATGTAATGTGCTTGAATCACCGTGAAACCACTCCCTACATCCCCTGTGTGTGGAGAAATTGCCTTCCATGAAACTGGTCTCTGGTGCCAAAAAGGTTGGGGACTGCTGCTTTAGGGCACTCATGATCTGTCTTCTAAATCATCAAATTCCACTCCAAAGAGTCCTTCATTGTCCTGCTATGATATAAAACTTTTCTTCCTCTTCTTCAACTAGTATTTATATTTCATAATAAATTTACATGATTGTATGTCAGAAAGAGTATTAGGAGTCCTTTTTCTTATTAAATGCTGCTTCAAAAATATTTGTTTTCTTGATTTGCATATGTTGAACCAGCCTTGCATCCCAGGGATGAAACCCACTTGATCATGGTGGATAAGCCTTTTGATGTGCTGCTGGATTCGGTTTGCCAGTATTTTATTGAGAATTTTTGCATCGATGTTCATCATGGATATTGGTCTTTTTTTTTGGTTGTTGTGTCTCTGCCAGCCTTTGGTATCAGGATGACGCTGGCCTCATAAAATGAGTTAGGGAGGATTCTCTCTTTTTCTATTGATTGGAATAGTTTCGGAAGGAATGGTACCAGCTCCTCTTTGTACCTCTGGTAGAATTCAGCTGTGAATCCGTCTGGTCCTGGACTTTTTTTGGTTGGTAAGCTGTTAATTATTGCCTCAATTTCAGAGCCTGTTATTGGTCTATTCAGAGATTCAACTTCTTCCTGGTTTAGTCTTGAGAGGGTGTATGTGTCCAGGAATTTATCCATTTCTTCTAGATTTTCTAGTTTATTTGCGTAGAGGTGTTTATAGTATTCTCTGATGGTAGTTTGTATTTCTGTGGGATTGGTGGTGATATCCCCTTTATCATTTTTTATTGCATCTATTTGAATCTTCTCTCTTCTTTATTAGTCTTGCTAGTGGTCTATCAATTTTGTTGATCTTTTCAAAAAAACAGCTCCTGGATACATTGATTTTTTGAAGGGTTTTTTGTGTCTCTATCTCCTTCAGTTCTGCTCTAATCTTAGTTATTTCTTGCCTTCTGCTAGCTTTTGAATGTGTTTGCTCTTGCTTCTCTAGCTCTTTCAATTGTGATGTTAGGGTGTCAATTTTAGAACTTTCCCGCTTTCTCTTGTGGGCATTTAGTGCTATAAATTTCCCTCTACACACTGCTTTAAATGTGTCCCAGAGATTCTGGTATGTTGTGTCTTTGTTCTCACTGGTTTCAAAGAACATCTTTATTTCTGCCTTCATTTTGTTATGTACCCAGTAGTCATTGAGGAGCAGGTTGTTCAGTTTCCATATAGTTGAGCAGTTTTGAGTGAGTTTCTTAATCCTGAGTTCTAGTTTGATTGCACTGTGGTCTGAGAGACAGTTTGTTATAATTTCTGTTCTTTTACATTTGCTGAGGAGTGCTTTACATCCAACTATGTGGTCAATTCTGGAATAGGTGTGGTGTGGTGCTGAGAAGAATGTATATTCTGTTGATTTGGGGTGGAGAGTTCTGTAGCTGTCTATTAGGTCCGCTTGGTGCAGAGCTGAATTCAATTCCTGGATATCCTTGTTAATTTTCTGTCTCATTGATCTGTCTAATGTTGACAGTGGGGTGTTAAAGTCTCCCATATGCAAATCAATCAACATAATCCAGCATATAAATACAATCAAAGACAAAAACCACATGATTATCTCAATAGATACAGAAAAGGCCTTTGACAAAATTCAGCAGCCCTTCATGCTAAAAACTCTCAATAAATTAGGTATTGATGGGACGTATCTCAAAATAATAAGAGCTATTTATGACAAACCCACAGCCAATATCATACTAAATGGGCAAAAACTGGAAGCATTCCCTTTGAAAACTGGCACAAGACAGGAATGCCCTCTCTCACCACTCCTATTCAACATAGTGTTGGAAGTTCTGGCCAGGGCAATTAGGCAGGAGAAAGAAATAAAGGGTATTCAATTAGGAAAAGAGGAAGTCAAACTGTCCCTGTTTGCAGATGACATGATTGTATATCTAGAAAACCCCATCATCTCAGCCCAAAATCTCCTTAAGCTGATAAGCAACTTCAGCAAAGTCTCAGGATACGAAATCAGTAAGCAAAAATCACAAGCATTCTTATACACCAATAACAGACAAACGGAGAGCCAAATCATGAGTGAACTCCCATTCACAATTGCTTCAAAGAGAATAAAATACCTAGGAATCCAACTTACAAGGGATATGAAGGACCTCTTCAAGGAGAACTACAAACCACTGCTCAATGAAATAAAAGAGGAGAGGGCACAAACAAATAGAAGAACATTCCATGCTCATGGATAGGAAGAATCAATATCGTGAAATGGCCATACTGCCCAAGGTCATTTATAGATTCAATGCCATCCCCATCAAGCAATCAATGACTTTCTTCACAGAATTGGAAAAAACTACCTTAAAGTTCATATGGAGCCAAAAAAGAACCCACATTGCCAAGACAATCCTAAGCCAAAAGAACAAAGCTGGAGGCATCATGCTACCTGACTTCAAACAATACTATAAGGCTACAATAACCAAAACAGCATGGTACTGGTACCAAAAGAGAGATATAGACCAATGGAACAGAACAGAGCCCTCAGAAATAATACCACACATCTACAACTATCTGATCTTTGACAAACCTGACAAAAACAAGAAATAGGGAAAGGATTCCCTATTTAACAAATGGTGCTGGGAAAACTGGCTAGCCATATGTAGAAAGCTGAAACTGGATCCCTTCCTTACACCTTATACAAAAATTAATTCAAGATGGATTAAAGACTTACATGTTAGACCTAAAACCATAAAATACCTAGAAGAAAACCTAGGCAATACCATTCAGGACATAGGCATGGGCAAAGACTTCATCTCTAAAACACCAAAAGCAATGGCAACAAAAGCCAAAATTGACAAATGGGATCTAATTAAACTCAAGAGCTTCTGCACAGCAAAATAAACTACCATCAGAGTCAACCGGCAACCTACAGAATGGGAGAAAATTTTTGCAATCTGCTCATCTGACAAAGGGCTTATATCCAGAATCTACAAAGAACTCAAACAAATTTACATGAAAAAAACAAACAACCCCATCAAAAAGTGGGCAAAGGATATGAACAGATACTTCTCAAAAGAAGACATTTATGCATTCAACAGACACATGATAAAATGTTCATCATCACTGACCATCAGAGAAATGCAAATCAAAACCACAATGAAATATCATCTCACACCAGTTAGAATGGAGATCATTAAAAAGTCAGGAAACAACAGGTGCTGGAGAGGATGTGGAGTAATAGGAACACTTTTACACTGTTGGTAGGACTGTAAACTAGTTCAACCATTGTGGAAGACAGTGGGGCGATTCCTCAGGGATCTAGAACTAGAAATACCATTTGACCCAGCCATCCCATTACTGGGTATATACCCAAAGGAATATAAATCATGCTGCTATGAAGACACATGCACATGTATGTTTATTGCGGCACTAGTCACAATAGCAAAGACTTGGAACCAAGCCAAATGTCCAACAATGATAGACTGGATTAAGAAAATGTGGCACATATACACCATGGAATACTATGTAGCCATAAAAAATGATGAGTTCATGTCCTTTGTAGGGACATGGATGAAGCTGGAAACCATCATTCTCAGCAAACTATCACAATGGCAAAAAACCAAACACCACATGTTCTCACTCATAGGTGGGAATTGAACAATGAGAACACTTGGACACAGGAAGGGGAACATCACACTCTGGGGCCTGTTGTGGGGTGGGGGGAGGGGGGAGGGACAGCATTAGGAGATATACCTAATGTGAATGACGTAAATGATGAGTTAATTGGTGCAGCACACCAACATGGCACATGTATACATATGTAAGAAACCTGCATGTTTTGCACATGTACCCTAGAACTTAAAGTATAATAAAAATATATATATATATATGGAAAAATATTTGTTTTCCATTTTCCTTGTGGAATGCATATCACTAGACTTTACTATCTAATATTATTTCTTCTAATTGCTATGTCTAATGTTCTTTCCACCTAAATCACTGATCATATTAGCATAGCACATCCTCTCCTCCACTATTTACTTATCAATGTTGATGATTTTAACATCACTTTAATTTTCTGCCCTTTAGGTCCTTGATCTACTCAAATCTGAAGATTCTCTGCTCTGCAACTCTTTCCCCGCGTCTTATACTAAGAAATGCACTACCCCCAAACTAGAGATTTCAAATATCTTACTTCTTATAATCACCATCTCTCCTTTCTGCTTATTTACACTAATAATTCTCTCTAAAACATTCCTTGATTTTCCAAGAATTATTCTACTATTTTCACGATCATAAATTCCTCATTTCTCCTAAATTTCATGCTATTCTGGACTAAATTATAGGATCCATAACAAATCACAACCTGAGGAACGTACCTACTTTACTTTGCCCTCTTCTCTCTTGGTCTCACTATGAGCAACCGTAAACCTCGTTTTACTCAACTATTTGACTTTCTGAGTTACTGAATTACTCTATACAGAGATAATTTTCCTGATACTGATGGCAGCATCAGGTCATCTGTAGAGGCTGTTGCCATCATGCCAGCTGCAGTAGGGAGGTGAAGCCAGGACTGCATGCTCCATGGAGCTGGCAGAAGCCAGGAAAAAGCGGGAGATTCACCCCTTATAAGTAGGGGCAGGAGTTCCCTGGGTTCTACTGCAGCCATCCAAACTGTGGCTGCAGACCCCAGCCTCTCACTCCATGGAGCAGGCATGACAATCACCCCACCGAACACAGCTGCAGCCACCCAAATCATGGCTGCAGGCCCAGGAATCCCTGAACTCTCAGAGGTCTAGGGAGGCCCCGCTGCCTTCACAGGGTTGAAAGTGTCTGCTCCAGCTGTCTGGCTTCTCTCTGCTCTCAGTGCCCACTCCAATTTCAGAGCAAAGTTGGGACCAAGCCCAGGCACTGTGACAGCCCTACCGGGTTTGTGCACACTTGGAGCAGTGCTGACACACCAGCCCCCTGCTGCCTGCTGCTCTAGCCCCCTCTGGACTTTGGGCACTGACAAGCAAGGGAGGAAAGCCATAGGGGTACTAAGGGCAGCTTGGCACTGGCATGTAGATGCCCCTTGGCATGAACAGCC
The DNA here is from genome assembly GCF_000001405.40 of Homo sapiens. Classification (NCBI taxonomy): domain Eukaryota; kingdom Metazoa; phylum Chordata; class Mammalia; order Primates; family Hominidae; genus Homo; species Homo sapiens. Next base: position 64,340,661 of record NC_000004.12, read on the forward strand.
TGGGCACCATAAACAGCAGTAGGAAGCAGACAGGCTCCTGGGCAGAGGGGGCCAGTTCCTGGTGAGGCCTCATCTTCAGGCCGTGAAGTGCCTGAAGGATGGGGACCCAGCTGCCAGTCTCACAGACTGGGATGTGAACTTGTGGTGTCTTTTCTGGGCCCTCCCTTGGCTGCCTATGGACCAATCAGAGTACACTTCCTTCCATCTGAAGCCCATAAAGGCCCCAGGCTCAGGCAGAGCTGAGGAGAGGCGGGAACTACCAGCTGCAGAGAGGAACAACCCACTCCAGGGCCTCCTTTTTGCTGAGAGCTTGGAAGACAGCAGGATGACCTGCTTGCAGTGGAGAACAACCCATTGCAGGACCTCCTCTCTGCTGAGAGCTGCAGAGATGATGGGACAACCTGCCCATGGAGAGGAGCTTCCCACTCTAGGGTCTCCTCTCTGCTAAGAGCTGAACACTTGTTGGGAGACCCTGGTGGCAGAAAGGAGCTTCTCCCTATAGGTTTTCTCTGAGCTGTTCTATTGCTCAGTCCAAGCTCTTCTTCATCTTGCCCACCCTCCACTTGTCTTCATACCTCATTCTTGCTGTTTGTGGGACAAGAACTCAGGATCCACCAAACAGCAAGGCTAAAAGAGCTATAACAAAAATGGAGCTAAAGGCCAGGCAAGGTGGCTGACACCTGTAATCTCAGCACTTTGGGAGGTTGGGGTGTGTGGATCACCTGAGATCAGGATTTGAGACCAGCCTAACCAACATGGCAAAAACCCATCTCTACTAAAAATACAAAAATTAGCTGGGGGTGGTGGCACATTCCTGTAATCTCAGCTACTTGGGAGGCTGAGGCAGGAGAATCATTTGAACCTGGGAGGTGGAGGTGAGGTTTCAGTGAGCTGAGATCACATCATTGCACTCCAGCCTGGGCGACAAGAGTAAAACTCCATCTAAAAAAAAAATGGGGCTAAAACATCCCCCTTGCTTGCCACGTTGCAGGTGAAGAGAAGGAGAGAAAAGCTGCAGCCTTTCAGGGAGCCCAGACCTGGGAGCTTCCAGAGCCAGGCCTGTGACTCCCTCTTTGGGCCCCTGTGGTTGCTGGCATTTCTAAGCTTCTGGGTGCTATCACACTCCCTGGTGACAGCTGGGGAAGCAGCTTGTGGTGTGCCTGGTCCAGCTGCAGCCTCACAGAGAGCTAACACCCATGCTGGCACCTGGAGGTGTCTACCCTGTGGCAGGAGCCAGCATGTCTGACTGTGGAGTGGCCTGATCCAACACTCACTCACACACCCTTTGTCACTCCACACCTGACTTCAGTTTCCCTTCGAGGTGTGGGATCCGGGCCAGTAGCATGAGCTCAGTGCAACCTGCCAGGCCGAGTGGGCAGAATGAGCCCAGCAGGCCCAAGGAAAACTCAGGCAAAGGCATCACTAGCCACAAGTTTCCAGCCAGAAAAGCAACACCCTAAAAATCTCATAAAAATACTGCCAGATGGAGCAGATCCTAGTATTTTCTGCCTGTTATTGTTTCCCCACTTCCCTGTTTTTGGTCTTTATATCTGAAATTACTTATGTCTATTAAGATTTTTAGTGTACATTTCTCATTACTGTTGTGAAATCTCCATGAGAACAAGTACTCTGGATCATTTTGATCACCACTAGTATATGCAGTGATTGGAGGACTGCATGACACTGAAGAATGTGTGATGTGATTTTATAATATTTAAATAGATGCATGGCCTTTTTTAGAAGAAGACTTGGTAGTAGTTTTATATATATATATGTGTGTGTGTGTGTGTATGTGTGTGTGTTTATTTATATTTATATATACCATGATTTTAGTTAAATGTGAGACTGTTACTTATAATCCTTTCCCTATCTGAAGAGAAGGTGATTACTGCTTAACCACCAAAGTCTGTCCACATTCACTGTGTTTAAAATCTGAAATTATACTCTGTTGTTGTTTTACTATTCTCAGGTAAATGATTTCCATGAATCTTAGTGTTCTCATCTGTGAAACAAACAATAAAAACAAAAATAAATGGAGGCCACAAAAGTATCTATCTATTCAGGACACTGTGAGGAATAAATGTAATAATATGTCAAATTACAAAAAAATTATTAAGAACTCATTAAATATACTATTAAATTATAGTTTTAAAGCAACATTAAAAACTTTTGGTCTTTTGTATAGGTGGAAGCATTTCTGCTAAAACATGATATATGCATTCCTGAGACACGTTTTCTGAAAAAATAACACTATGAAAATACAAGGTTATAAAAACATAAAGTTAGGGAAAGATTAGTTAAAATCTTTACAACTCTGTGTTGTGATCACTAACAAAACCAGCAATAGTCATAATAAAAAATAATAGTACAGTTAAAATTATGTTTCTAATAAAAAATTCAACAGAAAATATAGTTCGCCTTCTTTAAAAAAGGGGGAATAAAGGGTGATGAAAATGTGTGTAAGAATGAGTTTCCAGTGCTTAAATTAACAAAGATAAAGGGAAATTAGACAAAATACATTTCTAAGACAGAGCACCTGGCCAAAGGAGCTTGGTAAGAAATAGATATTGTGATACAGTGTATATTAATAGCTTATATCTCTCCGTGTTTATGTTGTATAGTTTGTGCTCAGCTAGTGTTACTTGGTGGTGCAAAATGATACCGTGCTCAAAGAAAGGTTTATAAACAATTGTAAATTCCACATCATACTGATACCATTACCCTATTTACCAATTTTGCATGAGTTAATTAAAGTTATAGAGACAAATAAAGCAAACTATATAACCAAGTAAACATATTCTTACAGTCAAATGTAGTTGTTGCTCAACAGGAAAGAAATCAAAGAAACATTTATCATGATATCCCTCAAAGCATTAAATGGATATTTATTTACTGTCACTAAGATAAACATGCACACACACACAGACACACACACACACACACACTTACTTAAAACATTCTTTCCAGGCAAATTTAATGCTTTAACAAAAATCAATTCTGGTAAATAGAATTTTATTCATCTCATTCAACCTTGTTATGGGGAAAATACTTTCTTGCTACAAATTATTCAACAGTTAGGTTTCTACTCATGGAAGAATGATTTTCTTTCAAAATCTTGCTGGTTGATTGCTGATACATCAGTTTGTCAAAAGATTAACCTCAATTACACACTTTAGAGCCACGGAGAGAAAAAAATAAAGTATGAACAAAATGTCATGGCTTGTGGAGAACATTTTAACCTGCTTTCATTTGTAATCTATAGAAAGCTTTTTAAAAAAATACCAGAAAACATAAAATTTTAAAAAAAATAAATATTAATAGATGAGAGGAAGGGGTCTATCCCCACCCTCCCCCACAGTAATCTGTGTATAAATATCTGTGAAATGTATAAGTGAATCCAATGCAAACCAGCTAGGTTACCATTTGCATTGATTTGTTTTTCAATTGTCAGCATTTAGAAGAGGAAGTAATAGGACAAAATCATAGGAAAAAACTCATATATATATATACTCACACATATACATATATTATAGCTCCATATGTAACATATTTATACATATAAGATGATACAAATATAATCTCTATTTATATCTCTATATAACCTATGTCTATATCTATCTATAAGATTCTATATCTATACATCTATCAAATTTTATTGATATATGGTAGATAGATAGATATAAAGACATGATATTTGATGTTATATTTTTTTAGTTTTGATATAGGAGTCTGAAATTCCTGGTGCATTTTTGAGAAGCTCTGTCTTGTGAAAAAAACACAATTTAGGACATTTTATATAAATTATGGAAAAGGTAGCATCTGGAGTTATTTGCATTCAGATTGGAAAGTAGAATGAGGTGAGAGACTTTACACTTGCTTACTATTCAAATGCACAAACATTAATGGTGAATGTTGAAAATGGTGCCTGACATTTAATTTAAATTTAAAACAAAGTGTAATTTAAAATTAAGGTGTAATTTAAAACAAAGCTCCTATGTGAAATGTAATGGCTTTAAGGCTTTGAATGAAACTACATGCTACCAACCATAGCTCTCAGCAAAGAGGAATTGGTAAGAGAAAACAGAAAAACAAAATGACAATCTGAAAACGTTTCAGATAGATTTTTATTCTCCATCTTGTTTTTTGTTTGTTTGTCTGTTTTTGTTGTCTTAAACAATAAGACATTTATTATTTCACACACCAGGCCAATGTGAGTCAGGTAGCTCTTGACTGAGTGACATGGAGGTTAAATCAATCCATCACAAGTCAAGTGAGATTAACATTGTCCATAAAGAAGTTAAAGGTTTTCTGGCCATCAGAGAAATGCAAATCAAAACCACAATGAGATACCATCTCACACCAGTTAGAATGGCGATCATTAAAAAGTCAGGAAACAACAAGTGCTGGAGAGGATGTGGAGAAATAGGAACACTTTTACACTGTTGGTGGGACTGTAAACTAGTTCAACCATTGTGGAAGTCAGTGTGGCAATTCCTCAGGGATCTAGAAATACCATTTGACCCAGCCATCCCATTACTGGGTATATACCCAAAGGAATATAAATCATGCTGCTATAAAGACACATGCACACGTGTGTTTATTGCGGCACTATTCACAATAGCAAAGACTTAGAACCAACCCAAATGTCCAACAATGATAGACTGGATTAAGAAAATGTGGCACATATACACCATGGAATAATATGCAGCCATAAAAATGATGAGTTCATGTCCTTTGTAGGGACATGGATGAAGCTGGAAACCATCATTCTCAGCAAACTATCACAACGGCAAAAAACCAAACACCACATGTTCTCACCCATAGGTGGGAATTGAACAATGAGAACACATGGACACAGGAAGAGGAACATCACACACCGGGGCCTGTTGTGGGGTGGGGGGAGGGGGGAGGGATAGCATTAGGAGATATACCTAATGTTAAATGATGAGTTAATAGGTGCAGCACACCAACATGGCACATGTATACATATGTAACTAACCTGCATGTTGTGCACATGTACCCTAAAACTTAAAGTATAATAATAAAAAAAAAGAAGTTAAAGGTTTTCTAAGTCACAAGCAGACCCCAGTTAAGGTCCTGTTGAACCTAATGCCTTTCTCCTGTGTGGATTAACTGATATAGAAGAACTGTATGGTTGCAGGTAATCTTTTCCACTTTGACTACACATTGTAACATCTTCTTCCACTGTAATAAGACTAACCCAACACTGATGGGTGCCTCAACAGCAAAAAAAAAAAAAAAAAAAAAAAACATTTATCATATCCCTCAAAGTATTAAGTGGATTTTTATTTACTGCCACTAAGATAAATATGCACACAGAAGCACACACACAAGAATATAAACACAACACACACAAACACACACAGGCTTACTTAAAACATTCTTTCCAGACAAATTTACTCTTTAATAAAAATAATGAATTCTAGTAAATATAATTTTATTCATCTCATTAGATGTTGTTATGGGAAAAATACTTTCTTGCTACGAAATATTCAAAAGTCATCTTTCAACTCATGAAAGAAGCATCTGTGGCTTTTCCAGGTGTACATTGCAAGCTGTCAGTGGATCTACCATTCTGGGATCTGGAGGATGGTGGCTGTTTTCTCACAGCCCCACTAGGCAGTGCCCCAGTGAGTACTTTGTGTGGTGGCTCCGACCCCACATTTCCCCTCTGCACTATTCTAGAAGAGGTTCTTCTTGAGAGCTCTGCTCCTACAGCCGACTTCTGTCTAGACATCCGGGGGTTTCCATACCTCCTCTGAAATCTAGGTGGAGGTTCCCAAACCTCAGTTCTTGACTTCTGTGTACCTGCAGGCTCAACACCACGTGCAAGCTGCCAAGCCTAGGGGCTTGCGCCCTCTGAAGCCTAAGCTGTACATTGGCCCCTTTTAGTGATGACTGGAACTGGAGCAGCTGAGACACAAGGCAACAAGTCCTGAGACTGCACAGATCAGGGGGCCCCTGGGCCAGGCCCACAGAACCATTTTTTCCTCCTAGGTTTCCAGACCTGTGACAGAAGCTGCTGCTGTGAAGGTCTCTGAGGTGCCCTGGAGAATTGTCCCCATTGTCTTGGTGATTAAGTGTGGCTTTCCCTGAACATGAGTGGCCTGGTACTGCAGCACTGGACTGCAAGTTTCTCCTAGTCTCCTGGATATGAAGGACTTTTTTCATATGTTTGCTTTTAGGTTCTTTACAAACTAAACCCTGTCCTTACTTCTGAAAAATTTATCGCTACTGTTTTGCTTCTCGTTCTGGTGAAAATTTTGCTGAACTTGAAGCCTGTTCTGTGTGTGCCTACGTCTGTACAGTTTCTACCCAGAATTGTGTTATTTGACATTCAGTCAGGTGAAAAACATCCTTTAAGTCAAGGACAGGTATCTCACAAGAGTGGGCCATATAAATGCACGGATCTGCCTTTACAATCCTGAATTGTGACATTCTTACATAAATAGCCTGTTCAAAAAGTTGCCTCTTCATCCTCCACTCAATGTCATTAATGCAGTGAGGCCATAGTGCAAAATAATCCATCATTCCAACATGATACAGGAATCTTTGAGTCACATAAAAGAACACTGACTTATCTGGAAAAAAGTAAATGGCCATATCCTCAAATACCACACAGCCCTTCCTAGAGTTCATAGGCATTTCTGTGGCATGGGAATGTGTCCAGCTGCCCATGTGACAACTTTATTCTGGGACATCTCAAAATCAATGTGTTCATAAATTTAATGCCTAATGGCCTTAAAATCTACTCCTTTATAACTTCCTGTATTAGTTCATTTTCACACAACTGTAAAGATACTACCCAAGACAGGCAATTTATAAGGAAAGAGGTTTCGTTGACTCACAGTTCTGCATGGCTGGGGAGGCCTCAGGAAACTTACAATCATGGTGCAAGGCAAAGGGGAAGCAGGCACCTTCTTCACAAGGTTGCAGGAGAGAGAAAAATAAAGCACACGGGAAATTGCCATTTATAAAGCCATCATGTGTCATCACAACTCATTCACTATCATAAGAACAGCAAGGAGGAAACGGCCCCCATGATCCAGTAACCTCCTCTCTCTGTATGTGGGGATTACAGGTCCCTCCCTTGACATGCAGGGATTATAATTGAGATGAGGTTTGGGTTGGGACACAGAGCCAAACCATATCATTTACCCCATGGCGCCTCCCAAATCTAATGTCTTTTCACATTAAAACCAATCATGACTTTCCAACAGTCCTCTGGCATTTTGACGACAACCAGTCAGCAAGTCTCTAGGAAGTTTCAAACTTTCTCACATCTTCCTGTCTTCTTCTGAGCCTCTAGACTGTGTCAACTTCTACTCACTACCCAGTTCCAAAGTTGCTTCCACATTTTCATGTTATGTTTATAGCAGTGCCCCACTCCGGGTACCAATTTACCGTAGTAGTCTGTTTTCATACTGCTATAAAACACTACCCAAGACTGGGTAATTTATGAACAAAGGAGCTTTCATTGAGTCATGGTTCCACATGGCTGAGGAGGTCTCAGGAAAGATATAATCATGGCGGAAGGCAAAGACGAAGCAAGGACCTTCTTCACAAGGTGACAGAAGAGAGAGAAAAATAAAGCACAGAGGAAACTGCCATTTATGAAACCATCAGATCTTGCGAGAATTCACTCACTATCAGGAGAACAGCATGGTTTCAAGAAAGCACCCCCAGGATCCTATCACCTCCCGCCCTCAACATGTGAGGACTACAATTCAAGGCAAGATTTGTGTGGGTACACAGAGCCAAACCATATAACTTCACCATTGCCATTCTTCCAGATATTCTGGTAGGTAAATGTGGAAAGTTATTTCACCCTTTATTTTTGATCCTACCTCGGTTCCACATCTAATGCAGCAGGAATTCTTTTTTCCGGTGCTGTCATTTTGATCTACCCAGAATCTGATCACTTCTGTCTCATCTACTGACATCAAAGTGGTCTGTACCCCACTTTAGTCTCCTAGAGTCTGTTCTAGCATATTTCTTACTGTGTCCCTGCTTCCACTATCTTTCCCAATAATGGTCCATTCTTTGTCTGAGCAATCTTTGGGGTTTTTAAAAAATTGTAGCTCAGAACATGTCTCATCCTATATACAATTTTTCATGGTTCCCGGTGAGATTGACCACTCTACATCCTGAGAAAGTGATGTTGTAGTCAGGGAAAATATCCAATGTCCACTGCGCAGGTAATGGCATGGAAGAGATCCCTCCTCTTTGTTCCAGTTACCTCAGTCCTGAGAACATCTTGGATTCTTCAGGATACAATGTCTGGTGCCTCCAATCAGGAGAACAGATTCAAGAGAAAACAAAATTTCAAAACTCCATCTTGTGTTTAAATGTAATTCCTTTACTAGAGGCTTTTTGGAAATTACAAAAAAAAAAAAAACCTAAAATTTTCATAAATTTTTTTTAATAAAATGTGAAAATAATTTATAAAAAACGTTTTTTTTTTTTTTCAGATGGAGTTTCACTCTTGTTGCCCAGGCTGTAGTGCAATGGAATGATATCGGCTCACCACAACCTCTGCCTCCTGGGTTCAAGCAATTCTCCTGCCTCAACCTCCCGAGTAGCTGGCATTACAGGCACGCACCCCTACACCAGGCTAATTTTTGTATTTTTAGTAGAGATGGGGTTTCTCCATGTAGGCCAGGCTGGTCTCAAACTCCTGACTTCGTGATCTACCCACCGCGGCCTCCCAAAGTGCTAGGATTATAGGTGTGAGCCACCTCCCCCAGCCTATAAAAACCTTTTAAGAATAAGCATATCAGGGTCCCATTGCTTTGATCTTGCTTTGAAATATGGAAGAGTTTGATTACCCTGAGTGAAAATCCAAAATCCTTGAAGACATTATTCCTGAAGATGAACCTAGATTCTAAGCTTTAACACAATTGCAAATGCTGTGTAATGTGAATGAATTATGACTCAGGGCATAGTTTTAAATATTAATATTACTTAGCATATAGTGATTGAATATAGTTAATTTAATTGAGAACTATGGAGTAAGTCTTAGGAATATATCACATTATGTTGTGGTGCACAGCCAGGCCTTGAAGAGATAATACAGGAATTCGACCCATGAATTGAATTCCAACATTTCCAGAAGGGCAATTTCATTATAGAAATAAGTTGACTATACATCAAAAATAATAATGGAATTTATAGGTGAAGAGTAATAGTGTGGTTGAAAACAAAAAGACTACTTACCAACTTAAGCAGACACTAATTCAATTCTCAATTATATTTTTTCAGAGTTGATTTCTCAGATAATAAATGCACTGCTTATGAGAAATTATAAAATACTTAACATTATTTAATGATTCATGTTTAATGAATATGGAGTGTGCTTTTCTGCATTTTAACATAAGGAAAGAATCAACATCTGTCTGTTGACAGAAGCAGTGCTGGGCATTTACTTAAATAAAAAGTTATCAATGTCCCACAAAACTGTACCTTAATGTATGGCTAAACTGAGTCAGAACACATCTTTTTAGTTTCAATTTATCCTGTGAAAACATTGTCATTGATTTATTTTCTCAACAAGAGAAATAATTGCCAAAATAGTAGCATTTTCATACTTTATTTAGCTTACAATGTTGTTGTCATTGTGATGCTTTCAGAAAAATGTCCTGTGGATCTCAGCTCTGGATGAAGTAGATAGAATAATGCAACCTATTTCCCTTAATAAAAGTTCAAATTACATAACTAGGTGTGAAGGTTAATTTTATCTGATGAATTGGCTGGGTGACAATTCCCAAATATTTGGTCAAACATGATTCTGGATGTTTCTATGAAGGTGTTTTTTGAATGAGATTAACATTTTATTATATTTTATTCTTGGCAAGTTTTTATTGACTAATATTAAGATTATATAATTTAAGAGATTAATATTTAAATAGGTGGACTTTGAATAAAGCAGATTGCCATTTGGAATGTGGTGGAGCCATATCCAATTAATTGAAAGCCTCACTTGATAAAGACTGATCTCCTTTGAAGAAGAAGAAAATTTGCCAGCGGACTGCCTTTTAACTCGAACAGCAATTTTTCCCTGAGTCTCCAGTCTGCCCGCCTATCCCATCAGGACGTGCCAAGCCTCCACAATCACATGAGCCACCCTCCACATTCTTTTGGTTCTGTTTCTCTAGAAACTCCAACTAATTTAATAAATATGGTAATATAGTCAAGTTGTGTGAAAAGTTTTATAGAAATCAGTGATTTTAACTAATCAGTTTCAATAGTTAACCTTTTAAGCTGATAATTTATGTAAGTACCCCCAAGTAAAATATGGGTTATGGTGGATAACACCAAAGGAGGAACTGGAGATCATTATAAAAAGTGAAAAAAGCCAGACACAGAGGATGACTTTCACAGTTCTCACTCATATTTAGAAACTAAATAAGTTGATCTCATGCAAGTAGAGAGTAGAAAGATACCAGAGGTTGAGAAGGGTGATTGGATGGGAAAGGGGCATGAAGAGAGATTGGTTAATGGATATGAATATACAATTAGACATCAGGTATAAGTTCTAATGTTTGATTGCAGAATAGAGTGACTGTAGTCAAAAACTGTGTATTGTATATTTCAAAGTAGCTAGAAAAGGGAACTTTTTTTTTGGCAGAGTCTCACTTTGTCACTGAGTCTGGTGTGCAGTGGCATGAGGATGGCTCACTTCAGCCTTGAGCTCAAGCAATCCTCCTGTCTCAGCCTCTGAAGTAGCTGGGAAGGAGACACATACCACCACACTTAGCTAATTTTTAAATTTTTAGAAGGATGAGGTCTCACTATATTGCCAAGGCTGGTCTCAACTCCTGGACTTAAGTGATCCTCCCACCTCAGCCTCCCAAAGTTCTGGGATTACAAGAGTGAGTCACTGTGCCCAGCCAAAGGGACAACTTTAAATTTTCCCAATATATATTAATAGAAATGATAAATAAGGTGATGTATACTATAAATACCCTGACTTGACCATTACAAATTCTATGCATGTAACAAAATACCACGTGTACTCCATGAATATGTAAATTATTATGAATTGATAAAAAAGATTTTAAAACATTGTACATGACAAACATTTTTAATAAAAAGCGTGGCAGTCTAATTGCATAGTAAATGGTATATGTTATTTATGGAGGGCATTTGTGAACTACACTTTATAAATTAGTCTAATTCAGTATAGAGCAAAATATGCCTAATACCAATCCATTGAATGCCTTAAATCTTACTAATTAATCTGCTCAAAGCACTGACATCAGATCCTTAATGCAAAATAAGCATTTATGTTAAGCATTTGGATCAAGGCCTACCTAGCCCTGAAAAGAAAAATTGAACTAATATTGATTGCCATATCATTTTCCAATTCTTAAGTTAAAACTATTTTTGTTCAAATTCTAAGACAAATATTTAAAGAAATATTGATGAATGGTGTTAGAAGCTAGCTGTTTCCTGATGTCAAGAATAATAAAGTGAAATACACAGTTTATTACTTCAAATACCTGAGTCTACCAATAACAGACACACAAAAAATTCAAAGTACAATATTAGTGCATTGATGAATAGGCTGTACAAGCACCAAGGCACATCAACAATTTCTCTTGAAGAAACTAGGATAAGAAATTAATATTGAACAGAGTCTTGAGTCATCATTAAAAAACAATTATTGTATTCCAAATCTGTCCTGAGAGAGGAATAGATAGATAGATAAGTGGATAGATAGATTAGACAGATACATAGATAGAGATAGTATCTAAATTTTACAGGAAGCCTGCATGATTCATAATAATATTGCTTTTCTCCAATGAAGATGCTGAGCTCAATAATTTCAATTACTTTTTCACCAAGTAAGAACAGTAAAGGGCAGAAAATTTTATTGTTACATGTATCACCAATATCTTATGTAGATGTTAATTTGTATGTGAATTCTGGCTAACTTATATGTCTTTATTTTTTAACTATAGCATTACTTCCTCTATAGTAAAATTGAAGCTGCTTTAAAAGCATGTATATGCTCATGCACATACATATCCAAACATTCACACACACCACATGTAAGCACTTCTATGTGTTTAGGCATATGCATAAGAAAATATCAGATTCAAAGTATGTTCTTGTCTTCGATGCTCATTATTTACAGTATAGATGACAAATATATCTCTAAAAAAAGTATAACTTGTTTTGACAACTTTTTTCTAATTTTATTTATTTATTATTGTTTTTACAGATGGAGTCTCATTCTGCTACCCAGGCTGGTGAACATTTTGAGCTCAAGTGATACTCCTGCCTCAGCCTCCTGAGTAGCTTGGATTACAGGCACAAGCCACTGCACCCAATTCAATACTTTGTTTCTAAATCACAAATTTTTATACTACTGGACTAGTTGTATTTTTCTAATGATGAGCCATAATAATTATATGGTAAATACAGGTAAATAGTGTATAACTATTTTTCTTTAGTAAATTACAGTTTAACAGTGGGGAAAGCTGAGAAGTGAAGATATAAACACAGAATAAGAAGTTCTCAGAGAGTAATAAATACCATGCTGTTAAAGTAAAAATCGAAAAATTCAACATAGTTAATACACAGTGTGCATATATTTTGAGGGCTGATATATCATAAGGAGCTTCAACTTGATGCTAGAGGTACTAAAGAATGGATAAAATAAGAGAACAGAGCAATACATGAATAAGGCATCCAACAGGAGACTATTATAGGTATACAGATTAAAAGGTATAAAGACTTGAACTGTGGTTGTTATAATTAAGGTAATGTACTGATTGCAGATATAGTATGGTATAAAGTTGATAAACTGAGTGGATAATTGGATATAGAATGTAAGAGAGACAGTGGTGTTTATAATGATACACAGGTTTGAAGATGGAGTATTTGAATTAAATTAGTATTCGTTGAATAAGGAAAGAGAAGAACAAGCTCAAGAAAACATGCTGAAGTTGAAGTATCTGCAAGATACTAATATATAAGATATCGAGATGCCATACTGACAGATTAATGTACAGTGGAAAGTTCTGGGAATCAGTTAGTTTTGATTTCATTTTTCAGTTATTTTACACCATGATATTTTTTAAACCATGCAAATGTTTGAGAGCACACCAGAAATAAAAAAAAGTAGAATTAAAGGGGAAGATTGTTGAAGATGGAATCTAGGCAATCCCAACATATAAGAGACCAAAAAACGATAAAAAGCCCTCAAAGAAGTCTGAAAATGAGAGGCCAGGAGAGACAAACTATATACTACAAATCAAGTGAGAAGAGACAGCTAAAATCAAACAATAAAACAAACAAACAAAATGAGTCAAAGAAAGGAATGGTATGCCACGTCAAATGCAGTTGAAAGTTCAAACTAGACATGCTCAAATACGGATTTATACTTTAGCACAAAAGAAAGTGCTGATGACCTTAGAAAGGTCATTGGCATACTGACAAAGAACACCATTTTGAAGTGAGTGTTAAATGATAGATAGGAGAGGAAGTGATGACATTGCTATCAGTGGTTTGTAAGTTGGAAAAATTTTGATAAAAGAACAATTTGAAAGGTAGAATTTGAAGTTGTAGAAAAAACAAGATCAAAGGAGGAAATATTCTAGGATATGGAGAGGGAAATCATAGCACAAATAGATAATCATGTACAGAATAATTTGCTTACCCTTTAAAAGTAGAGAAACAGAGGATGGTAAGTAATATAAGAGAGGAGAATGAAATTCCTGATGAACTAGGAGACAAATCTCTCTTTTACAGCAGGACAAGTAGCTTGAATAACATGACAGATTTCTAGAAAATTTTTCCAAAATTGCCCAAAATAGGAGAAGTAGATAATCTTAAAGATATTGGTGAAAGCTCTAAGTGATATAGCAGAGAATGAACAAATTCGCTGGAGGGGCATGATTGTTGTGATTTTCTTTAATAGAGCTCTAGTGAAGGAGTTTTTATGACAGAGAAAGAATAAGGTTAGATGGAATGGGGTCTGAGGTTTGCACGGTAAACCCAAGCATCTGTATTGACCAACTAGTAATAGAGCAGTTGATAAAATATAAAATAAACTAAGCTAGGTGATAAATCTGAAGAAGGAAACCTTCTAGGCAATGTATGTCTATGAGCTCTAGAAACCAGGAGTCCTGGAGCCAGAGAATGAGACAATTAGAATGATAGATGATCAACTGGCTTTGTTCAGAGTTTCAAATAATAAAATTCAGTTTTAACTAGTGAAAAGAATCATGGTGTGGATAAGTAAGTAAACTATTTTCCTTTAGTAAAAAGAACCATGATATGGATAAGTGAGTAAGTAAAGTAGAGTGGAAGTGAATATTTCAGGAAAGCTAGTAGTTATGAGATTAGCATACTTGATATATCATCATTTTAGAATTATAATTTCACTTATTTTCATTGTAAAATCAAAGCTTAGACTGGGGAAATCTTTAAGCTGCATTTCAGAGGCCTCAAAGGAAACAGAGAAAAGTTGGATAGGTCATTATAAAACAAAGAAGAATGAAAAGTAATATACTAGAATGACATGAATCTCATAGTAGGTGAAGTTTTTATGTGAGTGAAAACTTAATGTGTTAAAAATTAAAACGAAATTAGATGAATAATGTACTGTAGATTGTCAGAAAATATGTACATTTCACCCTAAAAACATTCGGTCAACATGAAGATGTTGCTATGGAATTTTCTACCTAAAATATTTTTCTATATTAACTTTTGTACTCTCCAAATTAAAAAAAAAATTACATTAGAAATGACCAACATAGGTTTTAGACTCAAGAGATTATGTAAAAGGGAATTAAGAAGTTGTATTATTAAGAATAAGTTAAAACAGGCCGGGCACCGTGGCTCACGCCTGTAATCCCAGCACTTTGGGAGGCCAAGGTGGGCAGATGACGATGTCAGGAGATCGAGACCATCCTGGCGAACACAGTGAAACCGAGTCTCTACTAAAAATCCAAAAAAAAAATTAGCCGGGCATGGTGTCAGGCACCTGTAGTCCCAGCTACTTGGGAGGCTGAGAATGGCGTGAAGCTGGGAGGCGGAGCTTGCAGTGAGCCGAGACTGCACTACTGCACTCCAGCCTGGGCAACAGAGTGAGACTCTGTCTCAAAAAAAAAAAAGAATAAGTTAAAACATTAATTATAAAAATATTTTAAAAATATATACATGGTATGGAGTTTCTGAAAACAATTGTAGGGAAAAGAAAGAGAGATCAGGCTGTTACTGTGTCTATGTAGAAAGGAAAGACATAAGAAATTCCATTTTGACCTGTACCCTGAACAATTGCTTTGCCTTGAGATGCTGTTAATCTGTAACTTTGCCCCAACCTTGAGCTCACAAAAACATGTGTTGTATGGAATCAAGGTTTAAGGGATCTAGGGCTGTGCAGGATGTGCCTTGTTAACAAAATGTTTACAAGCAGTATGCTTGGTAAAAGTCATCGCCATTCTCTAATCTCGATAAACCAGGGGCACAATGCACTGCAGAAAGCTGCAGAGACCTCTGCCCTGGAAAGCCGGGTATTGTCCAAGGTTTCTCCCCATGTGATAGTCTGAAATATGGCCTCCTGGGATGCGAAAGACCTGACCGTCCCCCAGCCCAACACCCATGAAGAGTCTCTGCTGAGGAGGATTAGTAAAAGAGGAAAGCCTCTTGCAGTTGAGATAGAGGAAGGCCACTGTCTCTTGCCTGCCCCTGGGAACTGAATGTCTCGGTATAAAACCTGATTGTACATTTGTTCAATTCTGAGATAGGAGAAAAACCGCCCTGTGGTGGGAGGCAGGACATGTCGGCAGCAATGCTGCTTTGTTATTCTTTACTCCACTGAGATGTTTAGGCGGAGAGAAACATGAATCTGGCCTACATGCATATCCAGGCATAGTACCTCCCCTTGAACTTATTGTGACACAGATTCCTTTGCTCACATGCTTTCTCGCTGACCTTCTCCCTATTATCACCCTGCTCTCCTACCGCATTCCTCTTGCTGAGATAGTGAAAATAGTAATAAAAACTGAGGGAACTCAGAGACCAATGCGTTAGCAGGTCCTCCATATGCTAGGTGGCGGTCCTCTGGGCCCATTTTTCTTTCTCCATACTTTGTCCCTGTGTCTTATTTATTTTCTCAGTCTCTCATCCCACCTGATGAGAATTACCCACAGGTGTGGAGGGGCTGGGCTCCTTCAACAATGAGTGTTCATTAAAGAAAGTTGGATGGAGGAGATTAATTTACAGATGCATTTGATAATTTTCTAAAACCAGATTATCTCTATACTTTCTCAACTCTATAGTAGAAAAGGTAAATATTTTAATTATATGTTTATTTTATGACAATGTTCTACCATGTAATTACACACACAAATACATATAAACTAGCACCCATAACTGAGACCTATATATTAAAATGCAGATAGTTCTTATATAATGCCATATAATATCACCCTCCTATGCGTTAAATGATACTATGACTAAAAGCTCTGTCAATGTAAATGTATTATAAGAATAAATTACCACATTTCAAGATGTGAAAAACAGTACTCATTAAAATAAGTCATGGAAAGATAAGAATTGTATACAGCATCATATTGGATAACTATTAAAAATGAAATATAACTGTATTATATAAATATTTGGACTATAATACTGACAAAATAATACAGTCCTGAGAATGTTTGGTATTCAAGTTTACCCTGAAAAATAAATAGAAGAGATGTCAAGAAGTTATCTGATCACAATTTAATTATCAGGTAAAAAAATGGACAAATCATGTTACAAAATAAATGATCGTGGAAACAATTTTTAAAGTAGAATTAATTCTCTGATATTCAGATATTATTTTGAAAACAAAGAAATTAATATAAGTTTATCTGAAAGCTGTCACACAAATTCATTAACAATTATAATAAAATTTAAAACTATGAAAAGAAAAGTTAAAATAAAAATTATGAGAATTTTATTCATTCTTTATGCCAAAATAAATTATAGATACTCAGATATTTTATGTAGAAAATAAAACTAGAAATTACAAGCACAAATTCTATTTTAAAAATTAGATGAAAAATAATTATTTCTAAATAAGCCATACAAAACCCAAAATATAAAATATGTAATAGATAAATTTCGATGTTTGAAATTCATTTTTTTCAGAAGAAATAGAGGAGGAAAGTATCTGTTACATGTATATTAATTCATAAGGACATTATATATTAGGAAGAAAAATGAAAGCATCCAAATGAAGAAGAATGTGGGTAAAGACCATGAACATGTGATTTCTACAAAAACTAAATATAAATAATAAGTGTGAAAAAATGTATTCACTACTAATCCAAAATAGAGTCTAATACTAAATGAAGTCTCTTTTCTGCTCACCAATTATTAAAAATTACTAGGTCTGTGAATATCCAGTATTATTGAAAAAACGAAAAAAAAAAGACATTCTGAATTATCATTTTCGGTCTGTAAATTAGGAGATAAAATTCAGCGATGTATGCTAAACGTTAAAATGAGCTTATTTATGACAGCATTTATTTTGCCTCATTCTTACAAATATGACTGAAGAAGTTCACAAGGATAAATGAGCATAGCGAATATTTTAATGTATGATATGTCATAAATGTTTAGGAAATATTTTTCAACATCTAAAAAATATTGTTAAATAAATAAATAATCATCGTATTGCCTTCTTATGGAGGCAGTTAGAATTTATATCTACAGGATGTATATTGCACATCAAGCAAAAGTATATTTCCAGTAATATTATTTGGATCAATATATATTTATGTGGAAATACATATAGAAATATTTTGATAGGAAAAGGTATTGGAGAACAATAGGTAAAATTTGTGTCTATCAGAAGAGATGGGTCATCATATTAATGAAAATGCTAGCAGTAAGTGTATAATACTTTATTCTTTGTAATTTGTATTTTGGGAAAAGTATCTGGTATATATATCTTATTATATTGAAAACTGAAGCTATTATTATCTTTCAAAAATAAACTCATTGTATTGAATCTGATGCCTTCCCAACATAACATACACAAATTGAATTTTAAAAATTGTTTTTATAAATGAGGCATTGACGCAATATTATTTTTGGAATAACAGAAATTATTGAGATACAATATAGCACGTCTGAAATTAGCAATAAGATTCAGTATATTTTCAAAAGATTTATCACAGGAGGAATCTAAGTAACTTTGAATATGTCCTCTTTTAGGAAACGTGAAAAATAAATGATATTTTAAATCAACTATATTGATGAGAATATCCATAAGGACCAATAATTTATGATATTTTCTTGCAATAATGAAGTATTATTAATAAAGCATTTTAAAAGCTCATGTATTTATTTTTAGATTGTTTATATGGAATTCCATTGTGATGCTTTTTATGGTTTTCTGAAAATTTTTTTAAAGAGAAAAAAAGATTCTCTAGCATTTTTATATTACTCCTCATACACTAATCCTGTTAATGCATGCAATTAAATCAGAAACACCGGCTGTTGAAAGAAAAAGTATGTGTGCTTATTAAAGTTTGAGAGTCTTTCTTTGATTATAGTAACAATATTTTTATTACCTGTGTGTGTTTGTGGGTATATTTTTTAAAATTCTTATTATTGAGAACATTCTTTAGAATATGATGACTACTTTTTCTCACCATCCAGATATCTATCTCCCGTTGAATTGTAAATGCCATTATACTGTGGCATATTCAAATAGAATAAATGATTCTGCTATAAATAGACTATATTTTCAAATAGTTATTGCATTTGTAATGTGTTGCTCACATTCAAATATTGCTAACCCAACCGTCTAGATGCTTGATGATTATTAAAAAAAAAAGTCCATAATATCAGGCTTGGAAAACATCACCATGTCATGAAAGATGAATCAAAATAACATTGACATTGCACAGCAGTACATAGTTTTAATGCTGTGCCATAATGAGAAACAAAACCATTCATAGAATCACATTTCATGCACTTCAAGAATGATTAGCTATGACAGTTTTATTACATGAACCTTGACTGGCAAAATGGCTCTCCCTTAATAAGAGTTTGATCTCCTGCAATTTTACAATCATATATCACATAGGTAAATAGAATCTCACCATTTATATGAGTATCCGACGACATTAATATATAGCAATATAAATTTGACTAGTATTTTAAAGTAGTAACAGTGAAAACAGGTTCATTTGCAATGCCAAATACAGCCTGAATAGTATATGTGTTACTTTTTATTGACGCACAAAGAAAATACAGGCTTAAGTAAGAAATTTAAGTGATGTACTTAAAAGACCTTTTAGTGAAACTGTCAAGAATCATAGAGACAAGAAAATTGTATTCTTCTATATATCTTTAGCTGAACTTCAAAACAGAAAACGAGAAATCGTAAGTAACCATATGTTCAAAGTATGATTTATTCGTACAGTTTTTGATTGATAATATGTCTTACATCAGATATATTTGAAATGTAGATTCCTCCCAAAATAGTATTATCTCAGTATGTTTGCAGCTCTTGATAATCTAATGGGATAATGGGAGATAAATTCAGTGGGAGATACCCACTTAATTTTTTTAAATGTCAGATAGTCACTTGAGGCAAATGAATCATTATTTTATCTGCAATTTTAAAGTTGAGTAATAATTTCTTCAGAATTACTTTTTCTAAGATTTGACAATTCTTTTCATTAATATATTCAAGTTGTTGAACTATTTTGAAGTATGTTTCAGCAAAGGTAAAATGAAAATATACAGACAAACTTTAAAATCAAGAGAACATCTGTTAGCATAAAGAGTAAGATTAGATAACATTAACTTAAAATAAAATTGTGGGGAACAGCCAAGATGGCTGACTAGACGGAGTCAGGAAGAACTTCTCTCACCAAGACAGACCAGACCATCAAGTAGATTAGCACACTATAAACAGATCTTCAGAAAGAAGGAAGTCATTGAGTATGGACAGAGGGAGGACACAGATCCTGGGTTAAAAGGGGAAGGAACTGGGAACTCTTCATGGGGTGGCCAAGCATTGGGACTCATTCCTGGCCCTGAATGGCTCCTGGGGAAAGGGTGAGTGCAATAGGTGTGGAATGGCCTACTCTCACTATGGAGTTCTGGAATCCCAGCGGTGAGAGACTGTATACTGTCCATGGACATCTGAGCTGGCAGATAGAACTTCCTGGGGAATTGGCAGAGACAGAACTCCAGCCTGCATAGGGCGCAGAAGGTTTGGTGCAGGAACAGGCACAGTGGAGCACAGCCATGGTCACCCAACCCACAAGGCTCAACATACTCCACTAGGTGGCTTTAGCCTTTGTTATCTGCTGGACTAGACAGAGCGGGGTGGCCTTCCCCATGTGACAGGGCCAGTCTGATCTAAGCAGCCCTTTGTCTGTCAGCCTCTCCCAGGGTCTCAGCATGACTGCACCCACTTGCAGCACAGCCTCAGCTTGTCAGTGGTCACTGCCATAGCTTTCACCAGCTGACCCTGACTATCCACCAGAGTGCTTTTGCAGACAGACCTCTGCCAGCATACACCCACACACGGCAGTCCTCCACCAGTGCACACTTGCCTGCAGCCTTCCACCTGCCACTTTAGTGACTTATACGCATACACAGAACACCTACCTGATGAACCTGTCATCATCCCACCAATGTACACGTGTGTGTATATCTACAGGTGTGCCCATATGCATGGACCGTCTGCCGCCACCTATCCAAATGTGCAAGGGCCCACTTCTACTCTACTGAAAAATTTTTCATGCAGCCCCCATTGGAGTGTGGTTGCCAGAAGATTGGGAACATCTTGGACCCTCCAGCACAGTACACACTTAACCTTGAGAGGTCAAAGAACAAAGCTGCAGGCCTGGGCCCAGCCCTCCAGTGTTAAAACATGCAGCCCAGGAGTGCTGAGCTAAACCTACACTGCCTGAAAGCAACCAGAAAGAAAACCAATAGACTAAACCCAACTTATTCCATAGCCAAACCCTCAAGGTCACCAAAGAACACAAAAGCAAAATTCCCTATCTGAGAGACAACTTCAAAGATTAAGGAAATATCAGCCCACACAGATGAGAAAGAACCAGTGCAAGAACTCTGACAACTTTAAAAGCCAGAGTAACTTCATACCTCCAAAAACCTGCACTAACTCCCCAGCAATAGTTCTTAACCAAGTAAATGGCTGAAATCACAGACATAGAATTCAGAATCTGGATAGAAAGGAGGCTCATCAAGATACAGCAGAAGGTTAAAATCCAATCCAAGAAAAACTAAAATGGTGCATGTATTAAAAGATGACATAGCCATTTTAAGAAAATAACAAATTGAGCTTCTGGTAATAAAAAATTCACTACAGGAATTTCAAAATGCAATAGAAAGCATTCATAATATAATTGACCAAGCTGAGAAAAGAATCTCGGAGCTTGAAGACTGCTCATTTAAATCAACACAGGCAGACAAAAATAAAGAAAAAGAATTTTTAAATATGAGCAAAACCTCAGAAATGTGAGAATATGTAAAGAGACCAAACCTACAACTTATTGGAATCCCTGAAAGAGATGAAGTGATGGAGCAACTTGAAAAACATATTTGAGGATTCTGTCCACAAAAATTTCCCCAACCTTTCTAGAAAGGTCCACATGCAAATTCAGGAAACTCAGAGAACCACTGAGGGATGCTATGAAAAACAACCATCCCCAAGACTTACAGTCATCAGATTCTTCAAAGTCAAGCAAAAGAAAAAAATAAATAAATAAAGGCAGTTACAGGAAAGAGGCAGGTCACATTGAAAGATAACCCCATCAGGCTAACACCAGACCTTTCAGCACAGATTATACAAACCAGGAGGGATTGGGGCCCATATTCAGCACCATTAAAAAAAGAAATTCCAACCAAGAATTTAATATCCAGTCAATTGAGCTTCATAAACAAAAAATAAAACTTTTTTCAGAGAAGTAAATGCTATGAGAATTTCTTACCACCAGACTGCCTTACAAAAAGTTCTTAAGGGAGTGCTAAACATGGAAATGAAAGACCATAACCTGCCACCACCAAAAATACACTCAAGTACATAGTACATTGACTCTAAAAACAAGTGTACAATCAAGTGTACATAACAACCAGTTAACAACATGAAGACAGGATTATATCCTTAAATATCTATATTAACCTCAATGTAAATGGTCTAAATACCCATTAAAAATCACAGTGGCAAGTTGGGTAAAGAAGCAAGACCAAACTGTAGGCTATGTTCAAGAGACCCATCTCATATAAAAAGATAGTCATAGGATTAAAATAAATGAATGGAGACAGATATATCAGGCACATAAAAAAAAAAAAAGAAGTGGTTGCTAGTCTAATTTTAGGCAAAATAAACTTTAAAACAACAACTATCAAAAAGTACAAAGGAGGACATTACGTAATGATAAAGCATTCAATTCAAAAAGACTTAACTATCCTAAATATATATTCACCCAACACTGTAAATACCAGATTAATAAAACAAGTTCTTAGAGGTTTATGAAGAGACTTAGATAACCACAAAATAATAGTGGGAAACTTCAACACCCAACTGACAGTGTTAGGCAGATCATCAAGGGAGAAAACTAACAAAGATATTCATGACCTAAAATCGACACTTTAAGAAATTGTTTGAAGTGCTCGTTCCCCGGTGCCATAAAGAAATGGCACTTCAACATAAAGTTAATTTACTTAGCATAAATTTAATTTACTTCCTGCAGAAAGGGTACACTACCCACTAGTTTTGCCACGAGAGTACACCCAACAAAGGAGACAGGGTCATTTATAACCTGACGTGTCCACCCTACTGCTGTGTCTGGTTTCCATTGGCTGGAACAGGAACTCACATTCTGTATTTGTCCCGATTGGCTAGCAACTTAGAACTTTTTAAAAGAGGAGAACAAAGGAAGTAGGAAGTAACTTATGGAATGCTGAGAAAGGTAAAAACATTTTTAAATAAAGAAGAGGAACAGGCTATAACCTAATGCTTGCTTGGACCAGTATAAGCATGTCAGGGCAAATATTTAGGCTAAAGTGTGGGAGCTAAGAATATAACGTACATTGATTTCTTTATTATGGCTAGCAGATATTTAAGAATGTTAGCACAGGTATTTGAATAAATTTTGCTTCTAAGAGAAGTTACTGTTTATTCCTAATTAGATGGGGAGGAAAGTCTTTGAAGAGGAACCTCTACTTTACTTTTTACAAAATGAACCTAACAGATATCTACATAATACTGCACCCCTAAAAATATACATTATTATTTTCACACCACACGTAATCTAAGATCAACCACGTACTTGGCCATGAAGCAATTCTCAACAAATTATGAAAAACTGAAATTATTCCAGTTACACTCAGAGCACAGCAAAATAAAAATAGAAATCAACACTAAGAAGATCTCTCAGAGCCATATATCTACGTAGAAATTAAACAATCTGCTCCTGAATAACTTTTGGGTAAATAATAAAATTAGGGCAGAAATTTAAAAAAAAATCTTCAAAACTAGTGAAAACAAAGATACAACATACCAGAATCTCTAGGCCACAACTAAAGCAGTGTTAACAGGAAAGTTTATAGCAAAACATCTATATTAAGAAGTTGGTAAGCTCTCATATTAACAACGTCACATCTAGAGGAACATCTAGAGAAAAGTAGTAGCAAACCATCCAAAGCTAGTAGGCAGAAAGAAATATCAAAAATCACAGCTGAACCGAATGAAATTGATATGTTAAAAACCACATAAAAGATCAATGAAACCAAAAGTTTATTTTTTAAAATAATAAATAAGATTGATAGATGGCTAGCTAGATAATGAAGAACAAAAGAGAGAAGTTCCAAACAAACATGAGCAGAAATGATATAGATAACATTACCCCAAAGAAATACAAAAAGAAACTCAGAGACTATTACAAACACCTATGTGCACAGAAACTAGAACACCTAGAAGAAATCGATAAATTCCTGGAAACATACAGCCTCCCCAGATTGAAATTGAAAAAAATAAATTGAAATCCTGTACAGACCAATAATAAAATCCAAAATTGAATCAGGAATACAAAACCTACCAACCAGAAAAAGCCCTAGCCAGACAGAATTGCAGCCAAACTCTACCAGACTTTCAAAACGAACTGGCACCAGTGCTACTAAAACTATTTTTTTTTCATTGAGGAAGAAGGACTCCTCCCTAACTCATTCTATGAGGCCAGCATTATTCCGATACCAAAATCTGGCAGAGACATAACAAAATAAGAAAACCTGAGGACAATAACCCCGATGAAGATATGTTCAAAATTGTCGACAAAACAGTAACAAACTGAATTCAGCAGCACATCAGAATTGGCCATAATAAAATAAGCTTCACAGGATATTGAACAGGTGGTTCAAGGTACACAAGTCAATAAATGCAATTTATCATATAAACAGAACTAAAACCAAAACTCACATGATCATCTCAATAGATGCAAAAAGGCTTTTCGTTAAATTCAGTATTGCTTCATGTTAAAAAAAAAAAAGCTATACATAAAAGGAACATACCTCAAAATAATGAAAACCATGTTTGCCAACATTGTACTAAACAGGTGAAACCTGGAAGCATTCCACCCGATACCGTAAACAAGACAAAGAGTCCGACTTTTACCATTCCTATTCAACACAGTACTGGAAGTCCTAGCCAGAGCAATTAGGCAAAATAAAGGAAAAAAGGCATCTAAATAGGAAGAGAGGAAGTCAAACTATCTCTCTTCATAGAGGATATGATTCTGTATCCGGAAAACTCCATAGTCTGGGCTCAAAGGCTCCTAGAATTAATAAACCACCTCAGCAAATTTTACAATACAAAACCAATGTACAATAATCAGTAACATTTCTACACACCAATAGTACTAAAGCTGAGAGCCAAAACAAAAATACAATCTCATTCACAATAGCAACAAAAATATAAATACCTGGGACTATAGCTAATCAGAGAGGTAGATGATGTCTACAATAAGAATTACAAAACACTGCTGAAGGCAATTAGAGATGACACCAAGAAACAAAAAAAAATTACATGCTCATGTATAAAAAGAATCAATATTGTTAAAATGGCCATACAGACCAAAGCGATGTACAGACTCAATGTTATTCATGTCAAACTACCAATGACATGTTTTCACAGAATTAGAATAATAAAACTATTCTAAAATTTATGTAAAACCAATAAAGATCCCAAACAGCCAAAGGAATCCTAAGCAAACAAATAAAGCTGGAAGCATCACATTACCTAACTTCAAACTCTACTACAAGGCAATAGTAATCAAAACAGTATGGTACTAGTACAAAAACAGACACATAGATCAATGGAACAGAATAGGGAGCCCAGAAAAAAAGCCACACAAATACAATAATCTGATCTTTGGCAAAGTGGTCAATAACAAGGAATGAAGAAAAGGACTCCCCATTCAATAAACGGCACATGGATAACTGGCTAGCTACATGCAGAAGATTGAAACTGGGCATCCTTCTTGCACTATACACAAAATTCAGCTTGATTTGGTGAATTAAATACTTAAATGTAAAGATGGATTAAAGACTGAAATGTAAAACCCAGACTGTAAAAACTCTGGAAGACAAGATAGGGTAATACCATTCCAGACACAGGAACCGGGAAAGATTTCATGACAAAGATGCCAAAAGCAATTGCAACAAAAGCAATGATTAACAAATCTGATCTAATTAAACTAAAGAGCTTCTGCAAAGCAAAAGAAACTATCAATGAAGTGAATGAACAACCTACAGAATGGGAGAAAATATTTGCAAACTATGCATCTGACAAAGGTCTAGTATCCAGCTCCTAGCAGGAACTTAAACAATTGAATAAGCATATAACAAACGACTGCATTAAAAATGGGAAAATAACGTTAATAGACATGTAAAAGATGATACACATGCATATGAAAAAAGCTCAGTGTCACTAATCATTAGAGAGATGCAAATCAAAACCACAATGAATTAACAATCTCACACCAGTCAAAATGGCTATTGTTAAAAAGTCACCATATAACAGATGTTGGCAAGTTGTAGAGAACAGGGGACACTTATACACTATTGGTGGTGGTGTAAATTGGTTCAGTCACAGTTGGAGATTTCCCAATGAATTTACAACAGAACTATCGTTTGGCCCAGCAATACCGTTACTATGTATATGCCTGAAGGAATATGTCATTCTACCAAAGAGACACATGTACTCATGTTCACTGCAGCACTATTCACAATAGCAAAGTTATGAAATCAACCTAGAAGCTCATCAACAGTGGACTGGTTAAAGAAAATATGGTACATATAATGCCATGGAGTACTATGCAGCCATAAAAAAGAATAAAATTATGTCCTTTGCATCAACATGGATGGAGCTGGAGGCCATTATCATGTGTAAATTAACATAGGAACAGAAAACCAAATACTGTGTGTTCTCACTTATAAGTGGGAGCAAAGCACTAAGTACACATGGATACTAAGAGAGGAACAATAGACACTGGAGCCTGCTTGAGGGTGGAGGTTTGAAGGAGGGTGAGGGTCAGAAAACTACCTATTCGTTACTATGTTCACAACATGGGTAATAAAATCATTTGTACACCAACCCCAACAACAAGCAATTTACTCATGTAACAAACCTGCACATGCACCCCCTGAACCTAAAAGTTGAATAAAATAATAAAATAAAATTCTTATAATTTTAAAACTAATGCAATCATTAATACATTCCAGAATGTCTTTCAATTTGTGCATGTATGTGGGCAAAAAACCAACACAAAATACAAATACAAAAAGTGTCATATATCACATAAAATTCTCATCACTTATATGAATATCTAATGACATTAAATATACAGCGAAATAAATTTGACCAGTATTTTATTGCAATCACACTGAGTAGTCAATTTTTAATGCCGAATAAGAAATTTTTTGTTACCAAATAATAATGACCTTCAAAATCATAATGATCTTTTGTCTAAAATTGAAGAATAATAACAGTATATGGTATAAAATTGTTTAAGAATGTATGTAGTATGCTAAATAAAGAGTAGAAATTTTTAAAATTTTTTCAGTTGTAAATTGGTAAAATATGATTCACAAAAATGCTTTCACTCTTGCTGAAATATTTATTTCAATTCCACGGAAGATGCTGATGTATCTCTTTTGTTATGCTCAACTGTGGGAAGGGAGTTCATAATTTAGTTTCTTTGTCTCCAGTGGGCACATTTGTTAGGATTTCCTCCATAACCAGGGCATCAACACTACCAGGTTTTATTAACCTGGTAGTGTTAATCTCAATCTTGAAAGCCACATATACTATGAAAAAGCTGGTGATATTGCTGCCCAATAATAAAAGGGCTTATTGGACCTTCCTGACTAAAGTTCCTAGAAGGTTCTTAGAATGTCCACTTGTGTATATAGCTTTCATAAAATGTAACCATGTCTGTTACCAAAAAATGTTACCATGTTACCAAAAAATGAATTCATGAATAATTTGGCAAATTACCCTATTTCTCCATCTAAAATGTTGACAAGGCTCATAACTGTTTGTTTGTTTGTTTTCTTTTTTTGTTTGTTTGTTTGTTTGTTTGAGACAGAGTCTTGCTGTTGTCGCCCAGGCTGGAGTGCAATGGCATGATCTTGGCTCACTGCAACCTCTGCCTACCAGATTCAAGCGATTCTCCTGCCTCAGCCTCCTGAGTAGCTGGGATTACAGGCGCACGCCACCACACCCAGCTAATTTTTGTATTTTTAGTAGAGACGGGGTTTCGCCCTGTTGACCAGGCTGGTCTCAAACTCCTGACCTCATGATCCGCCCGCCTTGGCCTCCGAAAGTGCTGGGATTACAGGCATGAGCCACTGTGCCCAGCCCTCATAATTGTTTTTTAACCCAACAAACTAGAGGGAGAATCTTAGGTACTTTTTGAGGTAGCAGTAGAGGAAATTTTATTTTTTTAAAGTATTCTGCCACTTTTTTCATTGGGTGCATTTATCATTTTTCTGGCTTTTTTTGTTAAGAGTTCAGGGAATTCCACAGCCTTGTCCAGGGGACTGCTTCCAAATTGCTCAGAGAACACTCATTATTTTCTACTATATGTGATAAATCCTCCTGCTCTGCTATCTTTGTCCTGAGTTAGTTACTATCCTTGAACCTTTCAAAGTTTAGCATTATTTGTATCCCCCAGCATTTTGGCAAAGATTTATATGCATTCCAACTGTCACAATAAATTATATACCCTTTCTTGTGGCTGAAACTACAATTGTCCTGCTAATTTCATTGTTTCTTACCTTGCTTTGTTCCCCATGGTTCTTTCTGGGAACTGCTTAGACAAGTAGTCTGATAGATAATAAACATCACTAAAACTTTGTATGGTGTTTTCAACTAATAGATAACACGAAAGTCATGGGCAAAATGATTTTGCTTTTTTTGTTCAGAAATGTTTATGACACAGAGTCAGTGTACAAATTATGCTTCAGCTGTTAATCATTCATTGACTCTTTCAATTTATATATTACTATTTTTAGAACAATCTCAAAGGAGAATATTTCGTTAGCAATTTTAAGCCATATTTTCACTCTTCCTCTATATTCATATTAGCTGTTGTTTTTATTAATAATTTAGTAGTTTTTTTACACTGCCATATGACCTTAGACAGGGATTTCAGTTATTGTAACCAATTGTGAACTATGTTCAGATTTACTGTGTTATTATTCATTACATAATTTCTAAAATGAACTTTGTAGTTTTCTATTTGAAAATAAGGATTAATAAATAACCTTTCTCAAGTAAAATAACTGGGTACTACGGGGACTTCTG
Source organism: Homo sapiens (assembly GCF_000001405.40). Classification (NCBI taxonomy): domain Eukaryota; kingdom Metazoa; phylum Chordata; class Mammalia; order Primates; family Hominidae; genus Homo; species Homo sapiens. The sequence continues at coordinate 64,369,540 of NC_000004.12, forward strand.
CCTGAAGAAATTAATGAGATTTTTTCAGGCAAATAGAGGGAATGGAGGTTAGTGGTCATAGTACAGGGTACAGAGTCACACTGCCTGAGATTAAATTCCATCTTTGTCACTTATTAGCTGCGTGACCTGGGGCAAGTTATATAATATTTCTTTAAAGATTTTTATCTGAAAGATAAAAATTATAATTGTACCTAAATGATCATAGTATTGTCACAATTATTTTAAAACTGTGCTACAATAGAAATATTTTAGGTCCGTGGCACATAATAAATTTTGAAAAAAGTTAATTGTTTTTATTAGTAGTATTATAAATGTTAATGCAAAGTAGAGTAGGACATGTAGTGATGTTATAAGACATTGTATTTGACAACAAGTGCTACACATTGTGATTAACTATAATATTTAAATTATATAGAAAAAATGAGAGTACAGATTGAAAGAGTGAGGAAAATTTTCTTAGCCCAAAGGCATATATATCTTGATAATTAAGTGGAGGGTTTTAAACAGAGAAAGATGATTCTTACTGGTATAAAAAAAGATGTGAACAAACATGGAGAAAGGTATAGGAATACTTTGCATAAGAGACAATTTAAACTTAAAGAAAAATGTTTTAAAGGTAGTTCAAATGGTCAAGAAACCAAGAAATACCGATGCTATAACATTGGTAGAAAATAAGAAATTTAACAAATAGAAATTCATTTGAAGAGGAAATATGGATGTTAAGTATGAGAAGACAATTTTTTGGAGATAAACTTTGTAGGTTTTAGAAATAGATTCTCCAAAAAAAAAGTAGATTTCACCAGGCGAAGAATGCCAGTGAAAGCTAAGAGAGTTGTTTCTGAGGGATAATATTTGATAAGCACAGGAGGCTAATAATTTCTCAGAGACATTTAGATTTGAGAAAAGAAGGAAAAGCAATAACAAAATAAATTTCACAAGCAGAAAGTTTTTTTCATATCTTTACCTTTTCATTATTATCTCCAGTTATTATCTTAAATGCAAATAATTTTTATCAATTTGACTAATATGTTACTAGTCCACACAAAATCAGTGAGTAGAAAAATTCCAGTAATATCATCCTAATTTCATAAGGGTGTTATTTCTGATGGTTCCCTCTATTTAATCTTTAGTTATCCTAAACAATTTTGATAATATAGAAAGAAATGTGATCTAGAAACCCTAAAAAGTATTTACTACTTAAAAATTGCCAAAACATGTAATAAAACTTTTATCTCAAGTAAGGATCCATGATATTTATGATGAATTATCCAGAAAGAAAACTATTAATCATGTGCTTAGTAATATGCTAATCTAAACTAAAATATCACATAGTTCATACTGTACATTTTGTATGAGCTTTGAAGTAAGCTTTGAAAATATGTTTTGATATAATTTTGAAAATATTTAATAAAGGGCATGATTTGCTGCTGCATGAAAATTGAACCTCATTCAATATTTTCACACACTATTTTTTTCACCCAACTTCAAGCCTGTGATTTTAATTGTAATTGTGGTGTTTACCCACATTGAATAATCACAGAAGTGGTCATCCATTATAACTGATGGATGGCTGTAGAAACTGTATATGCTATTTGGAGTGCCATTTAGGGCATCTTATCTTGTGAAAACAAAGCACTTTTAACTACAAACCCAGTAATAATAATACATAATTATTTTTACATTAATTATATTGTAATTTACATTGTAAATTATAAATTCAATTCAATAATAAAATACAATTACCTTATCATTATAATTAATTAAATTATAATTATAACTAAATTGTAAAACAATCACAATTACAATTAATTACATTTAATCAAAACCAAATAATTATAATAAACAATTAAATAATAAATAATTAGAAATAATTTTACAAACAGTTTTTATACAAAATGCTACCTTTACACATGTTCATACAGTGGTATTTCCGAATCTCTGTTAGAGATTTCCTGGCTTACAATAATTCGTGCTGCAGTTCCTATAGAACATATTAAGCAGACCTTCGCTTTATCAATTTTTCAAAGTATTTACATAAATATATATTTTATTTTATTAATGCAAAATATCACATTCATCTGCTTTTCTGTGGAAACCCAGACTATAGGAATTTTTCACTTTTCTTTGCAGGCAGAAACATTTTTCTCATTCCTGCTCCAGCTAGCCACTTTATAAAATCAACTGTTCTGTCCCGTCATGCTTATTGAAGTTCGTTTCTACTTACATCTATATCTAGATAAGATACTGCCCAATTTATGAGTAGCTAATAACCACCAATTATGTCCTTAAGTGTAATTTGCTATGATTTTATTTTTCAACATGTTCTAATAAAGTCATATTTTATCCCAAGAGAAAAGTGGGTTACTTGTTGAATTGGGTGACGATAGAAATAGAGTGGTATTACTCTGCTAGAATAAATAATAGAGACACACAGTAGTTTTTAAAATATCTTTAAAATGTTAAAAAATATTTACACAGTTTTGGTCAGAGTGTCACTGGGACTAATAATTCTTTATTTTTCAGCTAGGTTTTTAAAATAATGTACAATTCCTCTATGGAATACTTGTGAGCAGATGAACATGAATAGAGCATGATATAAAGGTACATTAGCGTGAAAATTTCTTAAGCTCTCTAGAAGAGACTTGAAGATGCAAACAAGAACAATAATTACAAGTGTTAAGAAACAAATAGATCAAGATAAAGAAAGACCAACTGAGGATTTGCAGCTGGGGACATTTCATGCATTTTAGCTGCATTAAATGAGAAAAGCATAAGAAATGAGTGAAATTATTTGTTTGTATGTGTATGCATAGATCTAATTTGTAGTTTTATATGCTTCTGTTTTCATGAAAAACATTCCTCTCTCCTTGCCTTAGCAGCTAACACATGAAGAGTGGTTTTCTCTCTTTCTATTTCTTCACCAGTCTGATTACTGTGGCATTACTAGAGTAAACTAAGAGATTATTCTTATAACAAAGCAGAACTTAAAAATTACAAACCTTGGAAGAACATTAAGATTGTCACTGTATAGAAAAGACATATTACAGTAAAAAAAGTTCTAAAATAAAACAAAGAAAAATGTAAAGCTGATAAGTCTGAGAAAACGTAGGAAGACAAAATATCAGGATTAATCAAAACGAGAACAAAAGATAGAGATAAAAGACATATAACAAGAATTCTGCCTTCAGGAAATAATGTCTTCTGATAACATATTTTTTTTTTCTTCCCAAGATTAAATTCCCATTCCAGGGCCTGAAAACAAACAATGTCAGAAATGTCATAAAAATTAATTTGGTGTCAAAAAGTAAAGTTTTTTAAAACCTGACAAATGTGGCTTTGTAAGTATATGATTAATCTCTTTGGTATATATTTATGTACTTTAATAAGTATCCAATGTTATCTAGTTTTAAAATATGCTAAAAATATAAGATCCTAAGGCAATTAAGAGAGAAGTTCTTTTTACTAATGTCCATATGTTTACAGATTTTTCAGGATTAGCAATGTTTTTCAATGTCTTTCAAAAATTGGCAAATACATTCTTTTAAATACTTTATATAATGTAATGCAGCAAAAAGTGTTTTTGTGTGTCTTCAATTTGTAAAACCTAAAGATCAATAAAATTTTGAAATACACTATGATATATGGGAAAATGCTGAAATATTATTTTTATATTTTAGATGATTGAAATAATATTAAAATAAAGATAATTTTGAAAAAGTGAAAAAAGTCACTATTTAAGTAAAGCTGTTAAAGATTAGTACTTACAAAGGAAAATAAAATAATAGCTATCAATAATTCTTGCCCTGATATAACTATTGAAACTAACTATACTATTGTCATATTGTCAGCTATCTACTTTTGCAACAGGACATTTCTAGGATTTTTTGTAAGCTGCTTACTTAACTTCAGTTTCCTAAGTATTAGAAGCAGGCTCTAAATCACATAAATAGAAAACGCGTTCCTTTAAAAGTTTAAGATTTCAAGTAATTGTTATGTCTATTAGTTGACATAAATTATTATAAAAATAATACTTTTTTGTCAGGGTGACTGCACATTCTTTTACACATAAACTCGACTTTGATTCATGTACCCATTTTCCAACAATAGAAATAAGACTTTGTTATTATTGTTTTACATACAATCTTCTTGTTACACCTTTCTACTTTATATTAAAAAGTCATTTTCAAATGTCTTCCTACTTACTACTGTAATCTAAACTGTCTGGAGACACTTTATTAGATAGAATTGGTCTAAGTCAGTGTAATGCCACAAAGGTGGCAATTCAATTACTAGCTTAATGAGATCCATGTTTTATGCTAAGATAGAAATAACTATTAAAATAAATTTATTTTAAGTAGAAATACACCAAAAATACTTATATATACTATATACACTATATATATACTATACATACACACTATATGTATACAGTATATAGTAGATATATATATATCTACTATACTATAGTATAGTATATAGTAGATACATATATATATATGTATATAGTAGATACATATATATATATATATATATATATATATATTTATCTTTTTGGTTTTGTTCTTTGTCCCTTATTATAGTGCTCTTCTGGCACTGTTCAACATAACCAATTCCTATATGACTTTATAGCAAAATAAAAAATATCACCTTCCTCAAGAATTTTAAACTGAGTAAGCATATTTCAAGCAATTGTATTCCTTCCTGCATAGGCTTTCCATTTCATTACGAATTTTAAATAGATTGTACTCAAATGTTTATAAATTTTAGGTACATTCACCATTTGCAATTTATTTCTATATTCTTTTTTTTCTTTATGGGAAGGTTTTTATTCATAGATTCTTTTTTAATGTTTTCTTTTTTTTTCCAGAAATTCTTTTTATTATTATTATACTTTAAGTTTTAGGGTACATGTGCACAATGTGCAGGTTTGTTACATATGTATACATGTGCCATGTTGGTGTGCTGCACCCATTAACCCGTCATTTAGAATTAGGTATATCTCCTAATGCTATCCCTCCCCGCTCCCCCCACCCCACCACAGGCCCCGGTGTGTGATGTTCCCCTTCCTGTGTCCATGTGTTCTCATTGTTCAATTCCCACCTATGAGTGAGAACATGCGGTGTTTGGTTTTTTGTCCTTGCAATAGTTTGCTGAGAATGATGGTTTCCAGCTTCATCCATGTCCCTACAAAGGACATGAACTCATCCTTTTTTATGGCTGCATAGTATTCCATGGTGTGTATGTGCCACATTTTCTTAATCCAGTCTATCTTTGTTGGACATTTGGTTTGGTTGAAATTCTTTGCTATTGTGAATAGTGCCACAATAAACATACATGTGCATGTGTCTTTATAACATATAGAAAGTTTCCTGTTATAATAAAATTAAGTTTAAATATAAATTAAAAACAACTTTGTGAAGAAAAATTGGAAATGCTGGAGATTAAAGGATCAATTAGAGTTAAATGCTAGAATATTTATGCCAAAGAAATATTAAGCAAACTATTGTTCCTGAGCTCCTTGTAGAACTATGGTTTTCATACACTCTAACATATATTGCACTTATAGAAAAATTTAAACCTATTTGAAAATAAAACATTATGATGTAAATTCTAAATAATATATAAAACTTACATGCTTTGTGAAACTTTTGCTTAACATCATGAATAGTAGATGATTGTGTCACCTGAAAAGGAAAAGAAAATAGAGTTATTTTTAAAAACTGTTAATTTGTTTTCTATCCATTTAAGAAAAAAAAGTTTAAATATATCATAAAATTCTTACACAATAAGAATTTTTGCTTCATTTATCTTTTTAGTGATTACTATTTTGACAAGCTTGAAATGTTGCAATCAGTAACAATATAATTTTTTAAAAAAATTTGTTTGTATACAACAGTAATAGCTTTATTACATTAATTCAATCCAATTTGTATCCCTAAGATATATTTTTGAATTTTCTTTGTCCAAAATAGTCAATGTATTTTTCCACATCTCATAAAACTATCAATTAAAAATATGTCTTAATGCACAGGAATGTAAAAGAATGTATAGCAATAGTACCCGAGGATGTGAAGTTAATTTATATGGACAAATGAGAGAAATGTTTACCTCAGAATTTTATGAGACAAAAGTCACCTTAAGTCCCCTACTGACATTATTTAAATCCCCAAATAAAAGTACTAAAGGTCCATTAAAATGCATGTGAGATATATTTTTTGGATTCCTTAAGTACATAGTAATTTGATAAAATATTTGGTACTAAATTACTAAAACAAACTCTATAAATTAAAAAATGAATAAAATATTTTTTATTCATCTAAATTTAAAAATTATTGAGGACTAAAGTTCCATGCAAATACTTCAAGCCATCGCAATACTTTTTTTTCTGAATTTGTCTCAAAAGACATTTTATGATAATTCAAGAAAATATATTTCCTTTCCCTGAATAAGCATACGATACTAGTGAAATTTATTATAATCATATGTCTACATGATTTATTTATGCTACACTAAAATCCCCTTATAACTGTTTTGAAAGGGTTAAATAAAAAATGCATAAAATGTTGGTGCATAATAGTCCATAAGAATTGTTACATTACATTTGATGTTTTATTATACACTGAAAGTATAACAACAAATACATTTATTTTAACATATTTCGCCTTCTACTTAACAGGATTGTGACTAAGCATTCAGTATACTGTTCAGAACTTTTTTTATGATTTCCTGTGTGTATATGATTTACTAAATAAGACAGTTATAAGATTTAAGCCCTAAAAAGTAACAGGTATTTCAATTTGTGTTATGCTATTAATAGCAAAATGATCCTAAAACATTCTGTGTATATAAAGTTATAAATATTTCATGGCAATGCTCTTCTCTGAAAGATGTTAGAAAAAAATTTAAAAACAGTTTATATAGAGAGTAATATATATTTATATACTTGTGCATATATTTTAATTTTGGTTATTAACCTTTAATATTTAAATTTAATTTTTAAAATATTGTTTTAACAGTGTCCGTTGTTTTATCTCAATGTTTCTTATTCATTCAGCACCTTTATATGTTGCTTTCTCTGACAGAGTGGAGTAAAGGCCACGTGATATTCCCCAGAGTAACAAATATTTGTCCATTAGTTGTATCAAGGGCCATGTAATTTTAAATAAAAAATAATTTTCATAATCAATAATCCCTCGATTTGAGTTTGATATGTGTTCCTCTCACACTTTATGAGGGCACATTATCTTGTATTATGCATTGGTTGTTTAATCTATATGGAGCTGAGGATAATGACCTAGTGTTACTTTTGTTTTGTTTTATCATGTAGTACACCACAGAGCATATAATAAGCTTTAATTAACTTTTGTAGAAGTCAAAAATAAAGCTGTGAGTGCAAACACGTAAAACCAGAGTAAGATCAAAGTTTCTTAATCTGATATGCAAAAGCTGTATGCCATTCTCCACGCCAGAATAATGCAATAGACAAACTTCTAATTTGATATATGCTTTTTTCTTTCAATTTGCTTATTTTCAAGACTAACATTGTTTTCCTGAACGAAACCTTCATGTGGAATAGGGATGTATTATACACTCTTAACATTTCTAAAAATTTTCATTTGACTTTCACTTGTTAGAAAAGTGCTGATTTTGAATAAATTCTTGAGAACTGCCCTTTCTGCAGTAATTTTGGACAAAATAAATCAGAAAGAAATTAACTACTAAATGATTGAGACATATATTCAATTAGCCACAGGATTGTACTTGATCTGCTCTTTTCAGTCCTTTAGTTGTACTGAAAGCACAAAGAGAGGAAAATATGATAATTAGCTGAGCATATAAGAGCTTCTGATGACTAAATTGATGTCTCAGTGGCTTCATCAGGGAGTTTAGTTATCATAACTTCCACTTTTTAGTCAGTTTTACAACATCTTAAAAAGGATAAACTATCATCGTGATAATTTATTCATTTCCATAATTATACAGATGGGAGTTATCTGAAACCCTACATTTGAAACCTTAATATTCCCTTCATTAATGTTTCTTCCTCTTAAAAGAAAATGAATCTTAAAATAGTGAGTAGGCAAGGCAAATGATGTTAGTTAAACCAAGAATTTACTTCTAAATTTTAACTGATTATAATTAAAATTTGAGTTATAATTACTTTATCCTACATTTAAGTTGATGAAAACAAAAAAGCTTTTTCGTTCAAGCATTTAATCTGGAATTTGTTTGAATTTGCCCAATATGCATTTACTACAGTTTTTCACAGAAACCTTTTTTTGTAATATTGCTTCTTTTTAAAACCGTATTTTAGCCACTTTCACAGTAAATTCTTAAGATGAACAGCTGTCTCCAAAATACTGCTCATCCTGATTACAGCAATAAAAATTAAAGTATAAGAAAAAACAGCAACCACTTGACATTCATTTGATGAGGTTTTTGTAGTATAAAAACCTAAATTTGTCACTAAACTTTATTAAAACAAAGAACTTGTCTAAAAGTAAAAGTACAGAAATAAAACCAAAGTAAAAGATGAACTGATATAAATAATTAGATATAGTGGTGTGAAAATGCAGACACAGATACACAGAGAAGTACAAAATGCCAAATGCAGGTTTCCTACGTAAACAGAGCTGTTTTTGAAGACACAAGGAAGAAAATTGCCGAAAGAATCACATGTTAAGCTTGATTAATTCAGGAAAATGGAAAAAAATAGGTCTGAGAATTTCCATTAGAAGATTTTAGGCCAGACTTGGTGGCTCAGGCTTGTAGAATAAACACTTTTGGAAACCAAGGCAGAAGGATCACTTGAGCCCAGGGCTTCAAGACGAGCCTGGGCAACATGGCGGAAATCCCATCTCTCCAAAAGAAAAAAAAATTAGCAGGGCATGGAGGGGTGTGTCTGTAGTCCCAGCTATGCTGGAACCTGGGTGACAGAGGGAGACCCTGTCTCAAACAAACAAACAAACAAAGATAAATAAGGTAGTAGATTAGCAAATAGAATGTATATTTGCATATTTTATTCAGAATGGACAAGGATTTTCTCAGTAAGCAAATGTTATTTTACTAATAAGTAACCTTCAGATTGCTCAGATAAGTAGATAATCTATAGAAAATAATTTTTATACAATCAAAATGTGTTCAGTATTTTGTAGAATAGCAAGAATTTTCACTATGAATAAAATTGACAGCGCACAGTGAATCTCAAGAAATATGAGTTTTAACAAGGTTTAAATGTTTAAATTTTAACTGAATTATACTATGGTTTCTCTTCAGATCATATAAATTTTTCGCCTTTTAAATTTAACTGAATTTTATTTATCTAAGAAATTGAAATGTTTTATATTGTATCAATTTTGTTTATAAACTAAATTATTTAAAATTAGTTCTTTGTTAAGTAAAACTATATGTATATACATATATATGTATGCATACACACATATCCTGTTTTTGTATCATACAAAATGTTTCTTTTTATATTGCAATAACAATTTGGTTAATATCAATTATGCCGTTTCTATTGAAAAAAATGTAAAAATTAACATATAAATTGATTTTGTCAAAGTATTTACCAAAGAAAGTTTTTATCTGAATAATGCTCTTTTATATGAAAAATTTTATTTCTAGGAAATTATGTGTAAATTTTATTTAGAAGTACAGCCTAAAACATTACTGGTCTTTTATTTATGCAAACACACACACACACATACACACACACACACACACACACACACACACACACACACACTTGACCCTTGAACAATGCAGAGGTGCCAACCCACCATGTAGTCATATTTTAAAACAATTTTTATTGATATCTAATAACTATACATATTTACGGGGTGCATGTGCTATATTGATATGTACATGAAATGTGAAATGATCAAAACAGTATTTAGAATATCCATCACCTTAAACACTTACCATTTATTTGTGTTGGAAGCATTTCAAATCCTTTCTTCTAGCTATTTTGAAATATACAATATATGTTAATTGTTAATTATAGTCACCCTACTATGCTGTCACACAGTAGAAGCTACTTCTGTTATCTAACTCTATGTTTCTACCCATTAACTAACCCCTCTTCATTCCTTCACTGTTGTTCCCAGCCTCTGCTAAATATTATACTCTGTACCTTCATGAGATTAACTTTTTAAAGTGTTAAACTTCTTTTTAAACCCCCACACATGAATGAGAACATGCAGTATTTGTCTTTCAATGCCTGGCGTTTTTCAGTTAATATAATGACTTCTAGTTCCATCTATGTTGCTGCAAATAGTTGATTCTATAGCTTGGTTATTGTGAATAGTGTTGCAATAATCATGAGGATGCAGGTATCCCTTTGATATACTGATTTGTTTTCCATTGGATAAATACCCAGGGTGGAAGTCTGGAATTTATAAAAATTCTATTTTTGTTTTCTGAGACACTCTCTATTGTTTTCCATAATGTCTGTACTAATTTCATTTCCACTGATAGTGTATAAGAATTTCCTTTGATCTGCAGCCTCACCAGCATTTGTTTTGCCTTTGTCTTTCCATAATAGCCATTCATACCAGGGTAAGTTAATATCTAATTGTAGCTTTGATTTGTATTTCCCTTATGTTAGTGATGTTGACCACTTTGTTATATATCTGTTGGCCATTTGTATGTCTTCTTTAGAGAAATATCTACTCAGATTATTTGCCCAATTTTCCATGGAATGATTTGTTTGCTTGTTTTTATGCTTCTGGGAATTGAGGTATTTTAGTTGCTTATTTAGTTCTGAATATTAGTCCCTCGTCAGAGGAATAGTGTGCAAATATTTTCTTCCACTCTTTTGCCTCTTCACTCTGTTATTTCCTGTGTTATGCAGAAGCTGATTATTTTAATATGTTCCCATTTGTGTATTTTTGTTTTTGCTACCTATACTTTTGAGGTCTTAGTTATGAATTTTTTGCCTAATGTTCTGAATCTTTTCTCCTATGTTTTCTTTTAGCAGTTTATGGTTTGGGGTCTTAGCATATAAGTTTCCAATCAATTTTCAGTTGAGTTTTAGTGTTTGATAAAAGATGGGGTCTAATCACATTCTTCTGCATATAGATATCCAGTATTTTTAGCATCATTTATTAAAGAAGTTGTCTTTTCTTCAATGTATATTGTTGGCATCTTTGAAGACAATCAGTTGACTATAAATGCAAGGATTTATATCTGGGTTCTATGTTCCATAGGTCTATTTCTATTCTTGTACCAATGCAATGCTGTTTTGGTTACTATAGCTTTGAAGTATATTGTAAGTCAGGAAGTGTGATGCCTCCAGCTTTGTTTCTTTTTGCTCAGTATTGCTTTGTCTATACACGGTCTTTTGTGGTTCCATATAGATTTTAAGATTGTTTTTCTATTTTGTAAAGAACGTCATTGGTGTTTTGATAGGGAATGTATTGAATTTGTAGATTGCTTTGGGTGGGGTGGTGTGGATATTTTAACAATATTAATTCTTCTAATCCATTAGCATCAGATGTCTTTCCATTTGTTTGTGTCCTCTTCAATTTCTTTCATCAGAGTTTTGCAGTTTTCCTTGTAAAGTTCTTTCCCCTTCCTGGTTAAATTTATTCAATTTTTTTTGGTACCTATTGTAAATGAGATAAAATTATTGATTTAGTTTTCAGCCAGTTTCTCATTGGTGTATAAAAATGCTACTGATTTTCATATGTTGATTTTGTATTCTGAAAGTTTACTGAATTTATTTATCAGTTCTAAAATATTTTTGGTGGTGTTTTCATGTTATTACATATATAAGATTATGTCATCTACAAAGGACAACTTAACTTCCACATTTCCAATTTGGATGCCCTTTTTTTTTTTCTTCTTTTTCTTTCCTGATTGCTCTGAATAGGATTTCCTGTACTATGTTGAATAAGAATGGGTATCCTTGTCTTGTTCCAGTTCTTAGATAAAAGGCTGTCGTTTTCTTCCCCATTCAGAATGATGTCAGCTGAAGGTTTGTCATATATGCCCTTTATGTTGAGGTATGTTCATTACATACCTAATTTGTTGAGAGGTTTCTTTTTTTTAATCATAAAGGGATTGTGCATTGTATTAAATGTTTTATCTGTATCTATTACAGTAATCATATGCATTTTATCCTTCAATCTGTTGATATGATATATCATATTTATTGATTTGCATATATTGAAGTATACATTTATTCCTGGAATAAATCCTACTAAATCATAGGGTATTATCTTTTTGATGTGTTGTAAGATTTTATTTGCTAGGACTTTTCTGAAGATGTTTGTGTCTTTGTTCATCAGGAATATTGGCCTGTAGTACTATTTGCGTGTGTGTGTGTGTGCACGCAAGTGCACGTGTGTGTGGGGGGATGTGTGCATGTGTGATCATATGGTTTGGTTTCAGGATAAAGCTGGACAATGGAATGTTATGAAGAATTCCTTTCTTTTAGAATTTTTGGAATAGTATGAGAAAAATTATCATTAGTTCTTATTTACAAGTTTGATGGAATTCACCAGTATAGCAACTCAGTGCTGGGCTTTTCTTTGTTGAGAGATGTTTTATTACTGATTCAGTTTTGTTACTCATTATTGGTCTTCAAACTTTCTACTTCTTTCTGACCCAATATTAGTAGGTTGTGTACGTCCAGAGGAAATTTCTGTATATATATATATATATATATATATATATATATATATATATATAGTATTATGTATATATAATATATATTATGTTATATATTATATATTATATTATATTATATATTATACATTATATTATATATTATATCTATATTATATATATATACACACACATACACACACACTTACACACACATACACACACACTATATAGTGTTGTTAGGTGTTTGTTGTTAGTGTATATATATTTAGAATTGTTATATCCTCTTGCTGGATTGGCCTTTTCATCATTATATAATGACCTTCTTTGTCTCTTTTTAAGTTTTTTATTTTCAAATTTAACTAACTTAGCTAATCCTGTCTTCTTTTGGTTTTCGTTTGTATGGAATATCTTTTCATCTCTTCATTTTCAGTCTATATATGTTTTTACAGATAAAATGAGTTTCTTGTAGGCAACACATAGTTGGGTCAAGTTTGTAACCTAATCAGCCAATTTGTATCTTATAAATGAAAAATTTAATCTCTTTATATTGTAGGTTGTTATTTATAGGATACAACTTATTCCTGTGATTTTTATAACTGTTATTCTATTATTTTGTATGTCCTTTGATCCTTTCTTTTTTTTCTTACTATCATTGCAGTTTGGTGGTTTTCTGTAGCGGTAACATTTGAGTCCCTCCCTTTCTTATTGTGTCTGCTCCACCCATGAGTTTTATACTTTTTTGTATTTTCATGGTGGTAGATATTATCCTTTTGCTTTCAGATGTAGGACTCTCTTAAGCATTTCTTGTAGGATCAGTCTTGTGGTAATGATTTCTTTCAGTTTTTGCTTATCTGGGAAATGCCTTATTTGTCCTTGATTTTTGGAGGATGACTTTGCTACATATGGTATTCTTGATTGTCAGTACTTTTAATACATTATCCTATTCTCTCCTGTACTTAATGGTTTCTGCTGAGAACTTAGCTGTTTGATGAAGATTCCTTTATATGTGACTTGATGCTTTTCTCTTGCTGTTTTTTTAGTATTCTCTCTGTCTTTGATTTTTGACAGTGTGATTACAACATGTCTTAAATAATATCTTTTTGGTTGGATATATTTGGGCATCTTTAAGCTCCTGTATCTGGATGTCTATATCTTGCAAGATGGGAAATTTCAGCTATTAGTTCATTAGGTGGAGTTTCTATGCTTTTTTTTGTCTCCCTTCTGGAACACTCAAATTTTGAATATTTGGTTGCTTTATGATGCCCCATATGTCAGGCAGGCTCTCTTCATTCTTCTTTATTCTTTTCTTTTTGTCTGTCTGTGTTATTTCAAAAGACATGTCTTCAAGTTTAGAAATTCTTTCTTCTGCTTGATCTAGTCTATTGTGGAAGCTCTCCATTGTATTTTTATTTAATTAATTGAGTTCTTCAGTTTAAATCTTTTTTATTATATCTATCTTTTTGTTAAATTTCTAATTTAGATTACAAATGTTTTTCTGATTTATTTGTATTTTTTGTGCTCTTTTATGTCTCACTAAGCTTCTTTAATATTATCTTGAATTTATTTTTAGGGATTTCATAGATTTCTTTTTCATTGAGATCTGTTGCCAGAGAATTACTACATTTCTTGTCATGATTTCTCATTTTATCATGTTTCTTGCCTCAATATGCTGATATCTGCAGATCTGATGTAACAGTTGCTTCTTCTAATTTTATGGATTGGCTTTCATGGCAAAAATTTTTTCCTGTAGATGTCCCTGTAGTGTTTGTTGGGCAGGGCACTTTGCCTTTGATTCTTGGTGGGTGCAGTATTGTAGTCTCTGTATGATTTATGCTGTAATCAGCATCCGTATTGTCTATGTGGTACTCAGAGGCTTAGGCTGCACTTGTAGGTGAAGGCTGTGGTGAGGCTTTACTGGAAATTAGAACATCAGGTGGGTAATGCTTAGACATCAGTAGTGTCAGCAGCAGGCCATGTGTGCCAGTCATTGGGTGCCCAGGTGGTGTATGCAGGCACCCAGGTGGTATATTCCAGGTAGGATGATTCTTGGGCCTCTTGGTGGCTTCTCATGTGCTTACAGTGACAGTATTCAGCTGGTTAGGCAGGTGGGTACTCAGGCCTCTTGCTTTGGGGTGTTCATGCCAGTCCTGTCTGTGGGCCAACCCTTAAGACCTCTGGTAGCATGCACAGGTGTCAGCAGTGGTGGCAACTGGATGAATGGGCCAGTCCTGAGGCCCCAAGTTGGCATATGCAAATGAGTGCTGTTAACTGTGGTGGTGGCAGGCTGGGAGGGGCCATCCTCAGGCTTTCAAGAGGCACATGCAGGCACTGGTGGTGACAGATGGAACAAGTGAATCCTCAGAGCACTAGACAATGTGTGCAGTCATCAGTAGGCTAAGGTCCCATTCTCAGGCCCCCTAGAATGCATTTATAGGTACTGGTGGTAGTGGATGGAGGGGTCAATCCTTACACCCTTAAATGATGCATGCAAGCATTGGTAGGGGCAGTGCCAGTTTGTATGGACCTGTTCTCAGGCCCCCTGATGGTGTGCATGGACACAGGTTGTGGCTGGTTTATCTCCATACCCCTGGACATTGTATAGGGCCCTGACAGCATGAATAGGCCAGTCCCTAGCCTCCTGGAAGTTATGCATGAATTCTTGTGGCTTCAGCCCCCTGGATAATGTGCACAGACACTGGAAAAGGTGGTCCCAGCTTGGGTGGGCCTGTCTTCAGTTCTCCCCAATGTTATCTGCAGGCATAGGCTATGGTGGGTGAAACAGGCCTCCAAACAGTGTGCTCACATCCAGCAGTGGCAGTGGTGGGCAGTGCAGACCAGTTCCCAGGCCCATGGATGATGCACACAGTTAATGGCCGTGGGTGGGGTGGATCTGCTGTCAGGTTTTCCTGATGGTATATGTGGGTACCAGGGACAGACAGATGGGTGGGTCAATCCTCCAGTTCCTGCACAATCCTCATAGAGGCTGGTGGCTCTGGTGACCAGGTGGGCCAGTCCTCAGGCCCCTGATAGTTCCCAGCTTATTAGCTGTGGCAGGCCAGGTGGATTGATCCTTAAGCTCCTGAACAGCATGTTTGGCCACTTGTGGAGTAGTATTGTTGTGTGAGCCAGGCCTGTCTTCAGGCCCCAGGATAGTGTCCAATTTGGCCAGTCCCCAGACACCCTGGAGCATGCAGGTTTGGAGCAGCCTGTTGATAGGGAGGTCAATGGTGCAATGTTGCAGTGGCTGCAAACAGGCAGCTCTCAGGCTTGTGGGAGTGTGTACTTTAACTCTCTTTGTCCTGGCAGCAGCCTCCCTCATGCACTACACCACCCTCCTGTTTCCTGGGACACAGGATACTGCATAGGCTGGGTGCTGAAGAAACATCCGAGCTGCTATGTCCATCTGGTGCCATGTTGCCATAGCTTTCTAGGTGGATATGAGGGGATGTCAGTGGGGCTCTAGGAATGTGGAGATGCAGGGGTTGTTGGGCCCCAAGGCAGGATATAATTTACTGGGGACTGAGCTCTCAAAATGGAGCAGTGCAGCAGCTAATTTGAGTCTTAAGAGATGTGTGGAACGCAATGTGAACTCCCTCTCTGGAATAATGTCATCGTGTGGACTCCAGGCAGCTCCTTATACTAGTCTTGGGGCCCATGAGGGCTGAGGGGCTATCCCAGGGCTAGGATTAGAGGAGTCCATGGTGAAAATGTGTACCATTGGGAAACTCTTGCTTACCTTTTCCCCACACTTGGTTGGGCTTCTTGCTTTACTTTCTTCACCTTTCATGATTCAGAGCTTTCATGCCACTTTCCTGCTCAATTTCAGTGTTCTCTCCTAGATGCCCTATCCAACCTGTGATCATCTATCTGCTTTGTGATTCAATCCTTCCTTGTATAGGAAGCAAATGTCAGGTGCCTCTAGTCAGCCATCCTGAAGCCCACATATAACTTTTGATTCCCCAAAAGCTTGATTACTAATAGCTTACTGTTGACTGGAAGCCTTACCAATAACATAGAATCAATTAACACATACTGCATCTATATAATTACAGCATTATTAACCATTATAAAGCATATAATATGTATTATATATGGTATTCTCAAAGTAAGCTAGAGAAAAGACAATATTATTAAGAAAATTATAAGGAAGAAAAATTATATTTACTGTTCATTAAGTGGAAATGGATAATCATGAAGGTCTTTATCCTCATCATCTTCATGCTAAGTAGGCTGAGGAAGAGGAAGATGAGGGTTTGGTTGTTGTCTCAGGGGTGGTAGAGGTGGAAGAAAATCCATTTATAGGTGGACCCATGCATTTCAAACCAATGGTGTTCATGAGTCAGCTGTATGCATATATATATGTCAGCGTAGAGGACAAAGTATGGGAAGTGATTTTTGGATATGTAGTTTTTCCTGTGTAATTTTTCTTTTGCTTATTAGAGGATTTATCCTTCATTGTCTTTTAAGCTCTATTTTTATGACAGATATTAATACTTATGCTGTTTTTCAAGGTTTATATTTAATTAAGAATTACTATTTCAAGCCAAAATGGAAGCCTGTTACTCAGGCATAAATTATTAAAATCAATTTGTTTTGTTTTGCGTTATTTTATAATAGGCTTCATTTTAGAGCAGTTTTAGGTTCACAGCAATGTTGAAGAGAAGGACCAGAGATTTCCAAGGTACTCTTTGCCTTTACACATGCATAGCATCCCCTATTATCAACATCTCTCACCAGTATGGTACATTTTTTACAACGGATATATCTACAATGACACATCATAATCCCCACAGTCCACAGTTTACAATGGGGTTCACTCATGGTGTTGTACGTTCTATAAGTTTGGACAAATTTATAATGACATATATCTAACATTATAGTATTATGCACAGTGTTTTCACTGCACTAAAAATCCTCTGTGCTTCACACCCCATCCCCACTGGCAACCACTAATCTTTTAGCTGTCATCATTGTTTTGCCTTCCCAGAAAGTCATATGGTTGAAATCATAGTATGCAACCTTTTCAGATTGCATTTTTTCACTTAGTAATGCACATTTAAATTCCCTGAATGTCTTTTCATGGGTTAATAGCTTATTTCTCTTTAGTGCTGAATAACATTCCACTGTCCCTGTGTAACAGTTTGTCCATTCACCTACTGAAAGACATCTTGGTTGTTTGCAAGTACTGGCAATTGTGGATGCAGCTGCCATAAACATCTTTATGCAGATTTATGTGTGGACATAAGTTTTCAGCTCATTTGAGTAGATACCAAGGAGCATGACTGCTGTACTGTATGGTAAGAATATATTTAGTTTCGTGAGAAACCATCAAATTGCCTTCCAAATGGCTTTACCATTTTGCATTCCTAAAAGCAATGAATGAGAGTTCCTGTTTTTCCACATCTTCCCAGCATATGATGTCAGTGTTCTGGATTTTGGTTTTTCTATAAGGTTCACAGTAATATCGCATTATCATTTTCCTGATGACATATAATGTAGAGTCTCTTTTTGTATATTTATTCGCCATTTGTATATCTTTTCTAGTGAAGTGTCTGTTAAGTTCTTTGGCCCATTTTGTAAAAGGGTTGTTTGGCTTTTAATTTTTCTGTATCTATTGATAAAACTATGTGATTTGTTTTACTTTATCCTGGTGATGTGATGAACCACATTAATTACTTTTTAAATGTTGGACTAGTCTTGCACAAGTATGATAAATTTTAAGAGTTCTTTGTATATTTTATAAATATATATTACATACATATATGTCTTTTATCAGATAAGACTTTTGCAAATATTTTTTCCAGTTTGTTTCTTGTCTTTTTATTTTCTTGGCACCAGTTTGGTACTTATTTTCATATAGTAGAAATTTTAATTTTAATGAATTCCATCTTATTAATTTTTTTTCAAAAGATCTTTGCCAAATCCAAGGTCATGAAGATTTTGTTGTTATACCATAAGAGTTCTATAGTTTTGTTTATAGTTTTAGTGTAGTTTATAGTTTTACATTTAGGTCTGATATTTATTTTGAGTTAATTTGTGTGAAATGTGTAAGATGAGTCTAAATCCTTTTTTTTTTTTTTGCATGTGGATGTCTAGTTGCTCCAGCACTATTTGATGAAAAGACTATATTTTCTACATTATGTTGCCTTTGTTCCTTTGTCAAAGATCAGTTGACTGTATTTAGATAACTTTATTTGTGGGTTTTCAATTCTGTATCATTGATACATTTGTTTTTTCTTTCACTAATATCACATTTTCTTGCTTGCTATAGCTATAGAGGAATCCTTGAAGTAAGGTGACGTCAGTTCTTCAACCTGGTTCTTATTTGTCAATATTGTTTTAGCTAGGCTGGATCTTTTGCCTCTTCATATATACTTTAGAAACAGTTTGCTAATATGCACAAAATAACTTGCTGGGATTTTAGTAGGGATTGCATTACATCTGTACATCTATTTGGAAGGAATTGACATCTTGAAAATACTGAATCTTCCTATCCACTAACATAAAGTATCTCTCCATATATTTAGTTCTTTAGTTTCTTTCACATCCAGAGTATTTTAGTTTTCCTCATGCTGGTTATGTAAATGTTTTGTTAGATTTATACCTAAGTATTTTAATTTTTATTAGTAATGAAAATTACATAAATACAAATAAATAAATATAAATAATGTGAATATGCATAAATAACAATTACACATGATTGTTTTATATATAATTTTGAATTGCTCTTATTCATTAGTAGGATATACAATATAGTAACATGACTGACTTTCATATATTAACCTTGTATCCTGAAACCTTGCTGCAAATCCATCATAATTCCAGGGGTTCTTTCTGTTTTCTTTTACTGTTTGTTTCCTTGGGTTTTTCCAGACCAATTATTTCAGATATTCTACATAGACAAACATGCCATCTTCAAAGACTTTTAATTTTTCCTTGCCTATCTGTAAACTCTTTATTTCCTTTTTTTCACATTAGCTAGAACTTCCAGTAAGATGCCACACAGCAGTGGTGAGACTAAACATCCTTTCCTTCTTTCTGATCTTGCTGGGAAAGTTTTGAGTTTTTCACCATTAAAAATGACGTGACCTGTAGGTCTTTCGGAGATATTATTGATGAAGTTGAGGAAGTTCCCCCTCTATTCCTACTTTATTGAGACTTTTATTATGGAGGAGTGTTGGATTTTGTCAAATGATTTCTCTGTATCTGCTGATAAAATTGTGTGATTTTCTTTACTTTATCCTGGTGATGTGATGAACCACATTAATTGCTTTTTAAATGTTGGACTAGGCTTGCACAAGTAGGATAAATCCCACGTGGTTGCAAAGGATACTTCTTTTTATACAGTGTTAAATTCATATGCTAATATGTTGTTGAGAATTGTTACATCTATATTTTTGAGGGATTTTGGTTTGTGATTTACTTTTTTTATAAGCCCTCTGTTTTTGGTGTCAGGGTAATGTTGGCATCATAGAGTGAGTTAGGAAATATTGTACAAAATGATTGTAGAGAATGGGTGTGATTTCTTCCTTAAATATGTAGTAGAATTCACCAATTAATCCATCTGGTCCTGGTACTACTGTTTTGATAGATTATTAATTATTGATTCAATTTTTAAACAAATATATGCCTATTCAAAAATGAAAGATAATTTAAATTGTTCTTGGAAACTGAAAATTGGTGACAAATTAGGTTATTTTAGCAAATATTTGTTCTATCCCTCCTCTTTATTAGAAAGGGAGGGCTGGTGGACATTGGACTTAGCTTTTTGGTTTGCTTCAGCCAATGGAATATGAACAGAAGAAGTATGTCCATGTTAAGCCTTGCTTTACAAAGCATTATAAATGTTCATATACCTGGGAGCTACTGACTTCTACCTGATGAGTGTATGTTCTCAAAGCTGCTGGTTCTTACTGTTTTAGTTTTGTCCCGGTATTTGCCTGTTACAGGTCTCACTTATCTGGCTTAGAAGCCAGGCAGCTACAATTATTCCAACTGAACAAACACATTAATAAACTTTGCATAAAAAATTGAGGCTCCTTACATAATTAAAGTGAATGAACTTTAGCACATGAATTTTGGAGTAAGTATTTTTGATGCAAAGAGACTTTGTTTAACCTCACAAGGTTATAAATGTTCAAATCGCTGTGTTCCCTCTCTGGGCATTTCTCTCAGAGGGAATGTTTTATATCTTCAACATGTCAAAGTGGAGCATGATCATGTAACTTGATTGGCCTGTGAAATGTAACAGGAAGTTACAAGTTTAGCATATAAGCAGAAGTTTTAAGAGCCATTATGAGTCCACCACATTTCTGTTCATTCTACTTGGAAACTGACAATAATAAAGACAAAAGCTGTTTAATTTAATCTGCTCCATAATGAATAGGTCTTTGAGGAAAGCTACAGTTCATCCACATTGAGCATGTCATATAAGTGAGCATTAGACTTTTGTTATTGTACATTATTGATTATTTGGAGTCATTGCTTACTTTAAACTGAGCAGTCCTCTTATTAATTATATTGTCCAAGTAGTGTGGTTTTATTTTAAGATAACTAGAATAAATCTACTGACGTAAAGAAACCTCACATCCTATATCCCTGAGAGATAACAGATTTAAAATTGATTTCAAAAATTTAGAGCACTTCAAATTTTGAAGTGATGGTCATATACTTATTTTTCCTACTTAAAGATTTATGTTACAGTTTTTAAAATATGACAAATATGAAATGAGTTTCAAGCAAAAATAATTAGGGAGGAAAATCAATTTTAGAAAGTTCATATCACTAATGAATTGTTTGACATCAAACCACAGAGATAGAGGCTACAATTATTTCTGCATCATTGGCTCACTGTCCTCATAAATGCTACCACGTATTGCCAGCCACTAAAAATGATTGCATTACTTTTTAAATTTAACTATGTGGATTGCATGCTCTTGGAAGAATTTGTCCTCAACGTATAAACAAATTCAGAGTATCTGACATTAGAGAGAACAATGAAAATTTTATCATTACATATGTCTGAAATTCTAAAAAAAGTTTGATGATTATATGAACCATGACGGTTCAACACATAATTGAATTGCTTTGGTGATCCTATGTAAAAATAGCTTATGTTTTGTCAAGGAAGTTGATCTCACTCATTCCCATTACTTTGAATGCCATATATTTTCATATTCTCAAATGTATATTACCAGCACCAACTTGTTTTCACAGCTGCAGACTTACACATACAACTGGATGTTTAACCAGTCTGCATGATTGTCTCAGAGTAATTTCAAAGTTAAATGACCAGAACTGAGTCCTATATGTATTAGGCAAAAAACTGTGTCTACCCCATTAATAACATCAACACTCAAACAGTTTTTAAGCCAGAATCTTTACGTCAACTGTGATAATTCAACTTAATTATCTAAGAAATCTCATCATTCTTTTGATACAACTTTATATATTTAAGATAAGCTCATTTCTGCTGTCTCTATTCTCAATATTATTGACTAGAGATCCTAGTATATAGTAGGTACATTCATTGAAGACATTAACAGAGACTGGATAGATTAACTCATATAGCCAGTTTATTGAATGCTCTTATGTGAACAATAAAACACTTTATAAATATGCCTCCCATTTTTAAATGAACTATATGACATTGATATACAAGCAATAATTTAAGAAGAAATATGTTACAATGATATAGAAAGCTGCTGTCACACTGTCTTTGTTACAGGTTCTTCTAATGATTGAAGGATCTTTAAAAATAAACTGACAAAATCAAGAAAGCTGTCTTTAATTCAAATTTAATTGAATGCACCTGCTAGAATAGTCTAGGTTGTGTTGCAAAACCCAGTGGTTTAAAACAGTCCATGCTTATTTTCTACACATACTGCATATATATCACAGATTAACTGGTGTATCTGCCCTGCATTCTCCTCACTTTAGAATCTATACTGACAAAGCAGAAGTCATCTGCAACATTGACTGTTTCTAAGGCAAAAGCTAAAAGAAAAGGTAATTAAATTAGGTTAGGTTCTTCCAGCTTCGGTCTGGTGATAAATGTATGCATTCCACCCATATTTCATCAGCACAAAACATGTTACTTCAGGGAGGTAGGTGAATTAAATCCTACCATGTTCCCGTATGAGAACCAGTTAAAAACCATAATAAAAATAGTAATATTTATTTGCGTCTACACTTCTGATCACCAACTATTTAGTCCAATCTCCTTTACATTTTCGAGATACACACAGCATATCCTCAAGAAATGCAAAACCCCTTCTAATCATGACATCGAGCTCAAACTCCAGACTCTCTGAATGATATAAGATATGCCTATTTAACCTAGCAACCTATGAACTAAAAGACATTATCTGCTTTCCTAGAGCCCATTACCTATCCCCAAGCATTTGGGGAGAAAACAATAATTTTAAGGCTTATAAAGTATTTTTTTTAGTCGAGGCTGATAGATATTTTGAATTTAAGACTTAAACTCTGCTTTTATATTTATTGTCTGTCAGCTTCACAAGCTTTCATATAAACTCTTCTCTCCTGAAATGTATTGCTGTAAGCATCAAATTTTTATTGGCTACCACAGGTGGTATTAACAACTTTTTTCTAGATCAGCAATTTCATCAGGCCTATGCTGTACTTTATAAGTTACTATACACAACACTTTACAAATTACCACAGCATGACCTGGATTTTCATCTTTCCAGCTTCTGATGTTTTTCTCACTACTCACAAATGAACAATTAAGCCATCTCTACATCATGTAAATATGTCTTCCAGCACCACCTCATTCCTAGCATCAAGTTATATACTAGTCACTCTACTATCCTGCTTAGTACATAACTTGGTGCTAGGAATGAGGTGGTGCTGTAGTATCATTTGTGCTTGACTAACAAACCCCGAAGTCCCAGAATCTGGAAATAATAGTGATTGGTTGATGATGCTACATTTCTACCAATAGTTCAGTCTGTTTCCGTTACCAAAATCTGTGATATAATTGATAGTAAACCTATTACCTAGAAGGCTTTTGGCATTTAAAGTAGAGGGGGGAAAATATTCTGAATTCTCCCTGACTGAAATCTTTGGCAAAAAAGGACATGCATCACTTAGTTTTACATTTTCTTATTTGCAAAACACATCATGTGATCATACCTAACTCCAAAGGGATAGAGGTGATTCCAAATCCAAATGTGATTTTGACTGCAAAGGGGGGGAACATGAATTTCTTCCATGTGTATGGAAAGATAAATAATGCTCCTGCCTTATCCATCAGAATCTTGCAATCACAGAGATGTTCGAATGGAAAAGTTACTTTCAAAATTAATTGTATAATAATTTTACAAATTCCTCCTTGTAAGAGGAGTTGTTTTGATTATACTGCCTTCCTAAGGACATTAAAATTGAAAACAATATGAGGATATTTTAGTTTCTTAAAATATATTTTATCAGACTTAGAGTTCATAGCTTTCCCATTTCTGCTTCTATATTGAGTAGTTTTACTATCTTACAGAAAATAAATATTAATATAATGAATCTAATATATTTATTGTTAATACATCATATATGATTGTATTTAGAAATTATAGACTCAAGGAAGAATTGTTAAAATTAAAAAAATTATTATCTGGAGTGTTCAAGAAGGTCAGAGTCCCAGTTACGATTACAATATTTTCTCTGAGTCTTACATAAGAATCCATCATGCATATTATTTTTATTTCTGAAGAGCTAGCTAGCTAGATAAAAATAAAATGTTACATACATATTTTAAGCATTGTGTATATGTCTAAATATATGTATATATATAATGCTGTTGGAAATTCAGACTTTTTTGGAGTAAGAAAATTTGATAAGTAATGTAATTTAGTTTTTCCTTCTTCAAACAAAATATGTTCTCTCCATCTTTAACCAAGACATTCATTTCTTGGGCAAAATAAGATAAATAAAAATGGTCAGCTCATCTGATGTTAAAAATATACTATCAACTATTTTCTTATGTGAATTATAACGTCACTTTCATTACCAACATGACCTGCTATGTATAGTGACTGTAAAATCATCATTGCAGATAATAATAAAAATTTCCTCTCCACTGCAGTATGGCAGGTAGCGTAGCCTATGCTCCTTATGGTATAGAAGAGACAACTATCAAACATAATAGCACCATTTTCCTCATTGTTGTGTAGCTAGATTTTTAAACATTAATTTTATTAGTGTCTTTTGAAAGTTGAAAGCTTAATCTTCGATAATTGTAGTGGACATGCGCCTCCAGAATGTATTCATTCCACAGACTTTAATGTAGAAAAGGCAGCCAAAGGTACTAGTCCTAGAATTTTATCTTTATTAAAAATTTAATTCACACACAATTCCCGTGGCATAAGATATATATTTTACATACATTTTACAAATGAAAATACTGTGACCCAAAGTGGATATTAACAAGGTTATTTAACAAGGTCACACAGTTAAGAAGCTAAAGATAGGTCTTGAACACAGAGTGTTTCCATACTTGTCCTTAACCACTATACTACACTACGTGGTGGAGGAGAGTAAAATGGAAATAGGAAGAGAAAAATTTATTGGGCATTTACTGTGCAGCAGGTACTACTTTACTACGTATACAGATAAACATTTGATCATCAAAAATAACCTTGTGAAGTAGGAAACACTGAGCTCTTTAAAAGATAAAAAAATTGAGATCATGAAATATAAATATTTTCCTAATGTTACAAGTCAAAAAATTAACAAGCATTTTTTTTTTTTTTTTTTTTTTTGAGACAGAGTCTCACTCTGTTACCCAGACTGGTGTGCAGTGGCACAATCTCAGCTCACCACAACCTTTGTCTCCGGGGTTCAAATGATTCTTCTGCCTCAACCTCCTGAGTAGCTGGTATTACAGGCACCTCGTCCACACCTGGCTAATTTTTGTATTTTTAGTAGAAACAGATTGGCCAGGCTGGTCTATGTTGGCCAGGCTGGTCTCAAACTCCTGGCCTCAGGTGATCCTCCTGTCTCAGCCCCCCAAATTGCTGGGATTACAGACGTAAGCCACCGCTCCCAGCCAAACGTGAATTTTTTTAAGCCCTGTAAATTATGTATTTTACCCAAATTATATTTTAATACTTAATCAATTGCATACATTTACCATTAACCTAAGTTATAAAAGTTACTTAACATTGTCATAAATAACTGCTCATTTATTAAATGCTAATTTTATGAGGAAAGAAAGTTGTCACTAGATCATTAGATAAGTTTGAGCACAAAACTTTAGTGAAAAGGAACAACTAACACGATCACAATGTGTTATATTTAAGTACACACTAAGATCACAGAACCAAGTTAGCTAATGATTTGACAGATTCATTGTCAGACTACCAAAATGTATTGATATCATGTAATCTGGACTTGACTTCTAAAATAAGCATCAAACAAAACCATAAAAAGGGCAAACTGAGATTATTTCCCCAAAATACAAATACATTATATAAGAAAAATCTTTATCATTTTTTTCTATTTAATTTTTATTGTAGGTTGAGAGGGTACATGTGCAGGTTTGTTACGGGGGTAAACTGCATGACACAGGAGTTTGGTTATTTTAGCTTAGTATGAAACAACCCAGGTAATAAACATAGTAGCCAATAGTGAGTTTCTTATTCTTACTCTCCTTCTACCCTCCACCCTCAAGTAGGCCCCAGTGTCTATTGTTCCCTTTTATGTGTCCATATGTAATCAATGTTTAGATCCTATTTATAAGTAAGAACATGCAGTATTTGGTTTTCTGTTCCTCAGTTAATTCACTTAGGATAATGGCCTCCAGCTTCTTCCATGTTGCTACAAAGGACATGAGTCTGTTTTTTTATGGCTGTGTAGTATTCCATGGTATACATGTATCATGTTGACTATATCCAGTCTATCACTGATGGGCATTTAGGTTGATTCCATGTCTTTGCTATTGTGAATACTGCTGTGATGAATATACATGTGCATGTATTTGTCTTTCTAGTAGAACAATTTATATTCCTGTGGAAATATGAATGGAATTTCTGGGCTGAATGGTAGTTCTGCTTTAAATTCTTTGAGAAATCTCCAACTGCTTTCCTCAATGATTGAATGAATGTACATTTCCACCAGGAGTACATAAGTATTCCCTTTTCTCTAGAACCTTGCCAGCATTTGCTAATTTTTGACTTTAATAGTAACCATTCTGACTATTAATGTGTGATGGTTTCTCATTGTGGATTTGATTAGCATTTCTCTAATGATTAGTAATGTTGAGTATTTTTTTCATATTCTTGTTGGTTATATGTATCTTTTCATGTCCTTTGTCCATTTTTAAATGTGGTTGTTTGTTTTTTTGCATGTTCAATTGTTTAAGTTCCTTATAGATCTTGGATATTAGACTTTGTCAGATGCATAGTTTACAAACACTTTCTTCCTTCCTTAGGTTGTCTGTTTACTCTGTTGGTAGTTTCTTTTGCCGTAAGGGACCTCTTTAATTTCCATAGGTCCCAGTTGTCATTTTTTTATTATGTTGTAATTGCTTTGGGAGTCTTCATCATAAAATCTTTACCAGTTCCTAGTTCCATGATTGTATTTCATAATTTTTTTTCCAGGGCTTTTACAGTTTTAGGTTTCACATTTGAGTCTTTACTCCATTGTGAGTTGATTTTTGTATATGGCGACAGGAAGGTGTCCAGTTTCAGTCTTCTGCATATGGTTAGCCAGTTATTCCAGCACTATTAAGTGAATAGGAAGCCCTTTCCCCATTGCTTGTTTTTGTTGACTGTGTTGAAGATCATCACACTATCTGATTTCAAACTGTACTACAAGGCTACAATAACCAAAACAGCTTACAAAACCAGACACATAAACTAATGGAACATGAGAGAGAACCCAGAAATAAAGCCACACAGCTTTATCTATTTTGTTTGAACTCTTATATTATAAAACAACAAAAAAAAATTTATCTTGAACTTTTTTGCTAATTAGTGTGTCATGCACATTTTCAGGTTTCTATGTAGGGAGATTGCCTTCATTCATTATATACCCAAACAGTAAAATCTAGGTTAAACTAAATTTAACTAAAATAAGTGAGAATGGAATGTCATATTTATTTTCTCTGTAATACCACACTCTAAATTTTATTACCACTGGATATATAAGTTTGCCTAACCTATGTGGCTGTAAGTACCTTTGAAAGGAACTACAGTACATTTATTAAGTTTTGATACATACATGGTCCTAAGATGAATGTTTAGATCCTCCTAAAACTAATATGTTGAAATTTTAACACCCAGATGATGGTATTGGGAGGTGGCGCCTTTGTGAGGTTATTAGGGATTAGCACCCTTACAAAAGAGGCCTGAGAAAACTCCCAGACTACTTCAGCCATGTGAATACACAAGCAGAAGATGGCCATAAACTATGAACCAGGAAGCTGGCCCTGATTAGGTACTGAATCTGCTGGTGCCTTAATTCTGGATGTCTCAGCCTCTTGAACTATGAGAAATATTTTTTCTTTTTTTACCAACCAGAAGAAAAATACAGAACACTTCACGGATTTGTATGTCATTGCTATATAGCAGCCATGCTAATCTCTTTATTGTTCCAATGTGCTGCTGAATCTAGCACAGATTTCTGTTGTTTATAAGCCACTTGGTATTTTATATTTTTGTTACAGTAGCTCAAACTGACTTAAACACAGGGTTGATATTCAGTAAAAATTAAGTTAGGAAAGAAATATGTGTGTGTGTGTGTGTGTGTATTTCTGATAGTTTCAAGTGTGTCCTAAAAAATGTGCCCAATGACTTATATTTAATTTGAACTGTTTTATGCTTATTCCCCAAACACTGTTTATAAACACATATATTAAAAAGTAATTATCTTTAAAAATTTTATTACAATGTGTATATTTCATTAAACATTATTTTATAGTAGTTTGATACATTTAATGGATGTGAGAATTTTCATGTTATTATTAAATTTGTAAATTTGAATTTGTATCTATGTCCTAATTTATTCAAGGCTCTGTGCCATAGCCATTTCCTAGGGAAAATTTTCTTATGGAAGGTTGTATTTCTCAGGTGCGTCTAATGAGAAAACTCATATCATTAAATAATATAGTTTGGATGTTGTCCCTGCTCAAATCTCATGTGAAATGGAATCTCCAATACTGGAGATGTAGCCTGGTGGGAGGGAAATGAATCATGGGGTCAGATTTCTCGTGAATGATTTAATATCATTCTCTTGGTACTGTCCTCAAAAAAGTGAGTGAGTTCTCACAAGATCTGGTTGTTTAAAGGTGTGTCACATCTCTTCTCTCTGTCTCTTTGTTCTTATTTTCACCATATGATACACCTGCTCCCTCTTCACCTTCTGTCTAATTGTAAGATTCCTGAGGCCTCCCCATAAGCAGGTGCCATGCCACTATACTTCCTGTACGGCCCACAGAACTATGGGACAATTAAACCTCTTTCCTTTATAAATTACCCAGTCTCAGGTATTTTTTATAGCAATGTGAGAACAGCCTAATGCAGGGTGAAGTATTGCACACCTGAGAATCTGGAAGCAGCTTTGGAATTCACTAACAGGTAGAGGTTGGAAGAGTTTCGAGAGTTCAGAAGAAGAAAGGAAGATGAGGGAAAGTTTGAAACTTAAAGACTGATTAAATGATTGGGACCAAAATTCTGATAATGATACGGACAGTGAATTCTAGGCTGAAGATGTCTCAGAAGAAAATGAGAAACTTACTGGGAACTGGATAAAAGGTCACTTTGCTATACCACAGCAGAGAGCATGGGTGCATTGTGCCCATGCCCTAGGGATCCGTGGAACTTTAAACTTGAGAATGATGCAAGCGTGTGTAGCCTGCCTTATTTTGTTGTTGTTGTTCTTGTTTTATTTTGTTGTTTTAGGCTTGAAGCAGCCTGTAGACATGGTTTTAGTTTCTGTCTTCAGTGATAAGCATAAAAGAGAGATAAAGAAGAGGCTTTACTGGCCCAACCAGACAAACAGAAACTCAGAACCCACGAGTGTATTCTCTCCCTGGGACACCTCTGGTTGTGGAATAAATTTCTAAGCAGCAAAGTGTTCAAGATGCACACTGGCTACTTCTCATAGCCTAATTTCAGATGCAGTAGCAGAAGAATAACTTGAAGTTGGAACTTATATTTAAAAGAGAAGCAGAGCATAAATGTTTGCAAAAAAAATGTAGCCTGGCCACACGGCATAGAAAAAAAAAGAGTTTTTTGAGAAGTAATTCGAGCAGGCTACTGAGCAACCACTTGCTAGAGAAATTTGTGTAACTAAGAAGAAGGCAAGTGCTGATAGCCAAGACAATGAGAAAAAGGCCTGGAAGGCATCTCAAATATCTAAGAGGCAGCCCCTCCCACCAGAAGCCCTGAGGCCTGGGAGAACAGAATGGTTTCCTGGGCCAGGTTTTGAGCCCTGCTGCCTTGCCTAGACCCAGGACACTGCTTTTGCCTCCTGGCTGCTGGAGCTTCAACCCTGGTGCAAAGGGACTTATGTACAGCTTGGGATGCTGCTTCAGGGAGTGTAAGTGGTTTTAAGCCTGCAGGTGCACAAAGTGCCAAAGTTGAGGCTTGGGAACCATTGCCTAGATTTCAGCGGATATATGAAAAAGCCTGGGTGTCCAAGCAAAAGCCTGATGGAGGGGTGGAACCATCATGGAGAACCTCTACTAGGGCAGTGGGAAGCCATCATGGAGAACCACTACTAGGGCCGTGCAGAGTGTGAAGTTGGAGTCTCCACGCAGAGTCCTCACTGGGGCACTGCCTCATGATGTTGTGAGAAAAGGGCCACTGTCCTCCAGATCCCAAGAATGATATATCCACCAGCTTATGTTTGCCTGGAAAAGTTGCTGGCACTCAATGCCAACCTACCAGCCTGTTAGAGCAGCCATAGGGACTGAACCCTGCAAAGTCACAGGAGTGGAGCTATCCAAGACCTTGGGAGCTCACTTTATCAAACCAGTGTGTCTTGGATGTGAGACATGATATCAAAGGAGATTATTCTGGAGCTTTAAGATTTAATTATTGTTCTACTAGGTTTTGGACTTGCATGGACCCTGTAGCCACTTTCTTTTAGTGGGTTTCTCCTTTTTGGAATGGGAGTGTTTACTCAATGCTTGTACCTCCATTGTATCTTGCATGTAACTAACTTGTTTTTGATTTTACAGGCTCATAGGTGGAAAAGACTTGCTTTGTCTCAGAGAGACTTCAGACTTTGGACTTTTGAGGTAACACTAAAATGAGTTAAGACTTTGGGGGATTATTGGGAAGGCATGATGGTATTTTGAAATGTGACAAGGGCATGAGATTTTGGAGGGACCAAGGGCAGAAAAAATATAGTTTGGGAATTTGTCCCTGCCCAAATCTCATGTATAAATGGAATCCCCAGTGTTGCAGGTGGGGCCTGGTGGGAAGTGATTGGATCATGGGGGAAGATTTCTCATGAATGGTTTAGTACCATTCTCTTGGCACTGTCCTCTTCATAGTGAGTGAGTTCTTGCAGGATCTGATTGTTTAAAAGTGTGTGCCATCTCCCCTCTCTTCCTCTTTTCTCCTGCTTTGGTCATGGGAAGTGCCTGCTCCCCGTTAGCATTCTGCAACAATTGGAAACTTCCTGAGGCCTCCCCAGAAGCAGATGCCACTAGGCTTCCTGTACAGCCTGCAGAACTGTGAGCCAATTAAACATCTTTTCTATATAAATTACCCAGTCTCAGATATTTCTTCATAGCAATGTGAGAATGGCCCAATGCAACAAATATAAGGGAAAACATAATAAGTTTGCCCAGTGTCACAACCTGGATAAGTGTGTGAGGTGGCTGAGTGTCTTAAAGCCTAAGCAGATCCCAATACTATCTTGCCTCCCAAATGTGGCAGTCTTGAACAAGCTCACACAAGATTTCTTCTCCGTTTTATAGAACTGTCTTCAGGGTTTCTACTACACATTTTATCTTCCACGTAGTTGACAGATTTAATTTCTGAAAGGCAGATCTGAAAAAAAATGATTACCCTGTTCAAAGAAAAATAGTCCAAATGCCCTAGCAAGGCAATCAGGCCCTCTCTGATCAGCCCCAGCTATACCATTTTAATCTCAGTTTGCTCTGTTTTGAAGTATCACACCATGTACTTAATTACACCAACCCAGGAAGCTTGGCTTATTACTTTCCTGCCTCTTTTTTTCTTGGATATGCTAAACTTTCTTCCTGGGTTGCTCTTTCGACCTCAACCAGGCTAATGTTCTATACTATATACTTTTCAAGATCCTTTCAAGTGCCATCTTCAGCTAAACAATTCTTTGACTCTCATACTCATAACTAAATTTCTTTTACATAAAAGAATTATTTCCCTAGACTTCTCAGTATAATTTGTGTTAAACTTGTGTATGCTATTTATTATATTGTAATTTGTTTTAAATGTGTTATCTGTCTTTCCAATTAAATTCATGCATTTTAAGGTTAGCAAATACATTTCATTATAAGCTTCGTGTAATCTAAACTATTTGAATAACAAAGCAGGCATAGCTCTCTCAAATGTGTACGTCTCTCTTGACATAGTCACCACTTCACTGCTAGTTTCCGTAGACAGAAATGTTATTTAAGCTTTATGTATGTTTTTAAACTAGTGTTTCCAGTATTAATTGTATTCATTCAATCTTGATTTAATAGGAAATAGGTTTTCTCTTATTTGCACAATATGCTCCCCTTAATTTCATTCCTTTAATGGTTAGCATTTCTTTGTTTACCTCATCTTCTCAGATTTACCATTTTAAGTAGAAAATTTCCAAAGAAAACACAATTTATTCACTTTTCATTGGTCTAAAAAATTTAGATCATTTTTGCTATTTTTTTATATGTACAAAACAAACATTTCAGAGTTACTTTTCCCTTGCCTACCAAGGGAAATACAAACTTTAGAATCAAATTCAAGAAAAGCCTGGATATGACCTATTCTTTTTTCTGAACCCAAGATAGTTTTATTGTAAAATAACATTTAGATGGCTTTCAAATGTTTGAATCATGGCAGTGTTAAAAATATTTCCATGTCATCTAATTTGGTGCTTCTCAAACTATGTAGAGTAAAGTAATTTTTTTTAAACTTCTATTTTGTCATGGACTGATACATTTGTAAAATACAATGAAAATAAACTATTAGAAAAAAATACTAATATATCAATTATAAGCCTCACTATTTTATGATTAAAATAGTAGGTTGGGCAAGCATAAAATATCTCTTTTAAACGTCTATGATAGCTTACAAATGCCCACTCCTAACTATTGGATTATATACAGTAATAATAGATATTTGAATCATTACTGGGATGAGGAGTACATCTGCTTATAGGAGACCCTAAGTGGCACATAAAGGAGTTGTCATCTCTTTTGGACAATACGGAATGAATATGAACTATACAGATTGTGACGGAACACACTTCAAGCAAGGGAATCAAATTTTCCTGAAACTCAAGAAATAAAAATTACAAAATGTGTATTGAGCCTGATAAGTAGTATAGAATGTTGACACATGTAGTAATAGAGAAGAGCTAGAAAGTAATCTCAAGAATGTGAATTGGGGTACATAAGAGATGTATAAAGTTGAAAAATGAAGGGTAAGTCTGTAAAAAGATCTGCTACCTACAAAAGCAATGCCTTCCAGTGAACTCACGTGTCTTATCTCCCAATCTCCCATTGTTTATAATCCCCCATCCCAGATTAGAGTTCTCCCTAAATCACTCTGCCTAAAGTAGTCTAGTTAAACTCAATGAATATCACACCATTTAATATAAGGGATACTTATTGCATTTCTCTGTGCTTCTTAGCCATATTTGACACCACTAATCTTGTCCTTTTTACTTAAATTATCTTGGTGAGGTTTCTGTGATAAACATTCCCCGTGTTCCTATCTCTCTGGTACATTCTCCTTGTTTTCCCTTATCATCTTCTCTTTATTTAAAACACATGCTGAAGTTTCTCAGGCCTCTGTAACTGGTTCTTTTCTCTTCCTACTCATTACATTGTTCTTTACAAATGTATCTTCTCTAATCCAACAGCTACAAAGATCACCTATACATTTTAAATTTCCAAATCAACATATTTAACCATGACCACTCCCCTGAGTTCTTCACAGCCAAAGGTCTAATGGTTAACTATACATGGATATCACACAGGAATCTCCAACTTAAAATGAAAAAAAAAAGGATGATTTCTAACTGCCTGTCTACTTGTCTGCACTCAAAATAAGAAAGCAAGCTAGCAAGCAAGCAAGCAAACAAACAATATTCTTCCCTCCCTGAGCGCACACACACACACACACACACACACACATAGACTTAGTAAATTATTTTAGCCTCAGGCATATCTCCCTGTTATATTCTTCTTATAAACTATCTAGGACACACATAAATATAACTTCTCCAGGAAAGCCTTCCTGTTCCATAAAAAATGAATAAAAGTCAGAGATACCAGACCATGCCTAAGGAAAAAGAAATCACACTCTCAGATTTATACTAATATAGAAGACTTTCTGAATTCAACTCCCATGTGCTTTTGATTAATTCTTATATCATGAAACACCATAAGAAATAGGAAAAAGAAGACTGAGGGGGCATGGGGAGGAGGAAAAGGGGGGCAGGAATATGAGGAAGAGGCAGAAGAGTAGATGGAGCAAAAGAGAAGGAAAAATGAAAAGAAAGACAAAAAAAAAAAGATACTGTCATTTGCATGTACACGAAATTCTGAAAACTGCCATGTGGCCATTCTAAGGCAGATACTATTCCCATTTTACAGATGAACAAACTAAAGCATAAATATGCTAAGTATCATGTACAAGGTAAAGTATTAAAATGGCAATGTCAAAAATTAAGAATTGTCAAAATTTCTAAGGTTACAAAGGTATAATTTGTATGCACTCTTACTATCCTGTAATTATTTCTACTGTTTTCTGAGGACAATTGTTATTTTTACTATTAGAAGAATTAGAGAATTATTGAATGCTTTATTTTATTCATAAGAAATATTTAAAAAGCTTTTGAGAGTTTTACCAAAAAAAAAAAAAAAACAATAGGAGAAAGAGAGCTCTTGAGGTCAGGTTACTTGGAGAAAAGATTGAAGAAAATAGAATGAGATGATATTGGAAACATTTACCATTTATCAACTCAGGCTCTTAGAGTTCTTGCATGCTCTTCAATCATTGACTTATCAGTAGATAAGCTTCTGACATTTTACAAGAAAGAAATGAGACAACAGCAGGCAGCAACTGGAAATGGTTCATTGTTATATTTTTAAAATTTATTTTTCCTACAATCTCTTATTTTTAATGTTCCAACAAATACTTGAAAATGGTATTTAACAATTATTTTAAATCTGCTCTCCATTTTGTTATCCATGATTAGTTATTTTAATCATTCATGGGAACTAGCTAAATGAGCTAAATAAATATTCCCATCTGCTTTATGAAAATCTTATTAAAATTGTCATCAGAACATGACTGTCTATTAATGAATTATACACTAACACAAAGTTAAATTATATGTATTTGTTTTCAGAATAAGCTGGGGAGAATTTGAGCAGTAGGTAAAAGGGTTTGAGAGAATGTCTTTTTATGTGAATGTATGAACAAATATTCTAACAATAATTTGATTTGATGTAGAAAATCATAAACTTTATTTTCAAATATTATACTCCTCCATCTCAAAACTATCACTACTGAACATGAATGCTGTGTCAAATTCACATGTTTCTTGAACCGGAGTGCAC
Organism: Homo sapiens; assembly: GCF_000001405.40. NCBI lineage: Eukaryota > Metazoa > Chordata > Mammalia > Primates > Hominidae > Homo > Homo sapiens. The sequence continues at coordinate 64,404,935 of NC_000004.12, forward strand.
TTATTCAACACATATTGTTTAAACACTTTATTTGTGTTAAACATTGCTATTAATGCTGAAGATACAAGTGTGTAAAACAAACAAACAATCTGATATTTTTGTGCTTATATACTAAGGGTAGGCCAAATAATGAACTAAAGAAAGAAAAATAAATAGTAGTTTAGTTGGCAATAAGTCTAGTAAAGAAGTAAAACAAGGAAGCATAATAAAAAATGTTGGCTAGCTTTGCTCTCTTAGTAGTCAGGAAAAGCCTCCAGGAAATGTTAACAGTTAAGATCTAAAGAAAAGCATTGACTAGTTTTGAGGAGCAAATGATATTATCTGCCAGGATTTAACAGGCTAGTTCTTGTTGTTAGTAGAGGATATATTGAAAGTGATAAAGACACAAGTAGGAGGAAGATTCAGGAGTGCTAGAAGTAGAAGGGTTGATATATTTTGAAGCTATTGCCAAGAAGATGGATTGTATGTGAGGTGTCAGATTAAAAGACAAGTCATGATTTCTCCAAGTGTTTGGCCTGAGCTATTTGAAGGATGTAGTTGCCACTTATTGGCTTAAGTAGCTCTGTGGAAGATGTTTGGGAGAAGACCAAGTGGTCAGTTTTAGAGATATTAAGTTTGATATGCCTGGTAAACATCCAGATAGCTCAATAGATTAAATCGATATATAGATATGTAGATTTACAGTCCAAGGAAAATAATAGGTTACAGTATATGTTTATGAGACATCACTAGGAAGTTTTTTTTAAATTATGGAACTCAATAAAGTAAATTATTGTAGAGGAGGAGAAGTTGTGATGACTCAGTTCTTGAAAGTCCATTCCTAATAAGTCAGTTGAAGAATCAGCAATAAGGAAAGGGAAAAGCCAACGAAGTTGGTTAAAAAAAGTGTATATTCTCCTGGAACTCAAATAACAAATGCTAGTTAAGGAGGAGGCGATTAACAGTGGAAAATGTTGTTGATATACCCAGTAAGATAAGACGTGAGAATAGGGCTCTGCATTTAGCAAAGTATTTGCCGTGCCTCACTGGTGACCTCAGTAAGTTCAGATTCTGAGAACTGATGGAAGTGAGTGCCCAAATGAATTGGGACTAGGATACAGTGAGAAGAGGCAAATGAAAGCTGACAATATGAATACCTAAGGAAAGTAATGAGAGAAATGGGCAAAAACTAGAGACGACAGCAGAGGCAAGAGAAAGCTTTTTTATTTGTTAGGCGCGCGCGCGCGCGCGCGTGTGTGTGTGTGTGTATGTGTGTAATTAAGTTAAAGAACATAATAAATATATTTTCTTTCATCCTAGGACTTTTCTCAAAATTTTTATCTCATGAATATTTTGAGTCTATACTTTGTCCATTTTAAAGTTTGAGTAATAGACATAAAACAAAGTTTCTGTTAGAACATACATTACTAAGATAATACATCTCATTTAAGATATTTGATAAATATATCTATCCTAAGCATTATAACAAATCATGTCAAAGAATAATTAAATATTAAGAAGTCAAATTTAAATTCTTAGCAAGTTATCAAAAGGCTCAGCATTTGTTATTGTTATATTTTATGTATATTACTTTCTCTCTCCAAATGATTATTAAAAATAAAATAATAATAATAATTTTGTCCATATTATGGTCAAAGCGCTATTCTAAGCATGTAACATATATTATCCCTACTCTACTAGAAGTTTCCAAAGTAACATTTATTAACTTTATTGATATGATTTTATTAACCCATATTCTAAATAAGGGTCTTGGGGATGAGCAATTCAGTGACTTTCTTACTCCTTGATAGACACAAATGATGTAACAGGGATTGAGTCCAGATATGCTTAATTCCAAAGTACATGGTATGTAAATTGTACCACTTTACAGCATAGTAAGTATTGAAAGACGGGCACTAAGTTATAAGCAACATTTCTTTTGTACACTGGGTAGAGCCAGGTACAATGAAAGGCACTTAATATGATCTTACTACAAAGTTGTTAATTTGTCTAAGAAAAATAACATCAGGAATAATAATAATAATAAATAAATCAGTCTTTTTTATGTTTACAAATTCAAAATGTTAGAAATTACTAAGCAAAAAAAAAAAATTAATCTAGAAGACTTTTTTCTCTGAAGTGTCTCACCACTATTATGAAACAGTTTATCAATTTACAAACTAAAACAAGACACAGCAAGATCCACTTCTACTCAGACATCAAAGATTTGAATGCAGTAAATTGCACATTATATAGGGGTGATTGTGCAATAAAGGATTATGAGCTATCCAGTGTTAATCCTCTATTTAGCCTGCTAAGTTTCTATAAAGATCTGCCACTTGAGATGCAAATGTCAGGACTCTCATAGTTCAAACATGAGACTCCCATGCAAAATTGCAAAATTCTTATCTCTGAATAATGAATATTTAAATTTCATTTCTTCTAAATGTTTAATTTTTTTCACAATTTAATTAACACGTAAAAATATAAAAATCCCTGTCTTACCTTCAAATAAAATATGAATAAGAAAAAATTTAAATGTGTAAGGCAAATAATTAGGAACTAATTGGCATGTGTGTGTGTGTGTGTGTGTGTGTAATTAAGTAAAAGAACATTTAAACATCATGAGTTTTTCATTACTTTAAGGTGGATTGCCTGTCAGGGTCTATACACCTGTCAGAAAGGACACAATAACCAGTGTCATTTTAGAATTGTAGTCTTTGGAAATCCTTGACTTATTTGATTTTCATTCCATTTGTTGCACTGTGTCCTTGAATTTAACTGTGTTTTTTCTTGTAAGATTTGTGTTTTTCATAGTGGAATATTATAAACATTAGCAACTTCTGAAGAGTAATTTTATTTTTTTATTTTTCTTATGATATTTAAATATAAAATATTTGTGTAATATATTTAAATATTAAATATTTTGTATGATATTTAAAAATCTCAAAACTTCACCTTGATACTAAAATAAAAGTAAATTATAGAAGTCCTGAAATAAATATATCAAAATTCTATTTTGTATGATATATACTCATCGCTTATATATGGCCTCAGTAGAACTATAGAAAAAGCATATGATTTAAAACTGTACAGAAATGGTTTTAGATCTTTTAGTTCAATTCATGACCTGTGTGCACTAATAAAAGGTCTTAATCTTTCTTTTCCATCTATGAATTAAAGTTAATATAACTCAATTTATAAACTGCTCATAGTGTTATAATTACTGAATAAGAAATTATATATTATGTGCTTGGCAATTATTAAAGAAAGGACTAAACAGCTTCTTTTTTCCTTTTTTCTAAAGACCTAGCTAGAACATGGAAAAACGGAATGATTGATTGCATTTTATTTTTAGAACACAGCAACAAAAACGTATTCAATATTTTTGTAAAACAAGATCAAGCTCTATTTTATTACCTGTACAAATATGCCTTTCTCATATTAAGTTAATAGTACTTTTCAAATTTATTAAAAACTGAAAATGCTTGGAATATTATTTATGCATATATTTATCTAAAATATAAACATATATTTATAATTTAGTTTTCTAACCTAAGAAGAGTATATTTTCTCATTCCTTAGTGCAACACCTGTGAATATGGATTTGGACGAGTAACATTTCAAAACATTATTTTCATGAACTTAAATAGTGTTTTTGAAGCAAGTAAACTTTCATAAAAAGTGAGGTAGTCACTTTTTAAGAAAAATAATAAAATCAATTCAAAATAATGCTTAAATGATTAAATTTTTTCAGACATATTACATGTTACTTCTAACAACTACTGTGGCTTTTGCTTACTATTTTCTATAGAAACTAATCAAACTCTATGATAATTTGTATATACAATGAAGTACACGAAGACAAAAACCTGGAGACATTTTACATGTAGGAAAATAGGTTGAGCATTTGTAATTTTACCTGTGGACAATGGTCAATGACAGCATAAAATTCACAGACCAATGACAGAACCTCATTATTATCTACCATTTAATTAATTTAAATTGAGTATGAGAGATGCATTGAACATCTTCTATTAAAACAATGCATAAAGTATGCATCCTGTTCACCACAAAATTAAGGTAAAAGTCAGAAATGTATTTCAGAACAGTCGTGTTAGAATTTAATCAAGCAATCAATAATATTTGGGGCAGAGAAGAAACACTTAAACAAACAAACAAATAAATAAATAAATAAACTCACCTTATCCAGAATACATATCTGTTTCCTTGTTTGAGCATCAAATATTTCAATCTCAAAGTGAGTCGTTTTTGAATGTTTGACTGCTGGAGTTGGTCTTAGAGGGCCCGCTGAGAGTACAAGTTTTGACAAAAAGTGAAAATTTCTCATATCATCCTTCAGTATGAACCGTGTAGCTCTTTGGGAAAGTAATGCTCTCTTGCGTTCCGAAGCGAGGGACTTGTGCCTTTTGAACATTGTGTGAACTAAGAGGAGGGTCTGTCATGTCAAAAGTAGAAAATTGCAAGTGTGTTCCTTTTGCATCAGTTAAATACTGCTGGAGAACCTTTGAAAGGTCAAATGGTATGCCATTCCAAGAGTTCAGTTTTATTTAGCAGGCTTGAAAACAGTGACTGATCTTATTTCTATATATAACACGCTATTGTGATTTGCTGTGTAGAGTATTACTTTACCAGCAATTGAATGATTTCTTGCTTTCTCCTTTTATCTCTGCTTTGTAATATGACTACTCTTATCTGAAATTCCAAAGCAAGAATAGACAGAACATTTTCATCATCTCTGAGTTCTGGATGCACTGATCTTCAAACACACACACACATTTGCATTGAGATGTATTTAACATTAGCAAAGTGCTATCTTAAAGTTAAATTTTTAAAAGTCCTAGTACATTACTATGTAACATTTAAAAAATCCTGTCTAAGGTAAAGAGAAGTGGCATATATATGTTTATATATGTTTTATATATAAATATATGTGCATGTGCATGTAAAGCATTCTAAAGTGAAAAATTTATTTTTGTCAGTACTAATTACAAATCCCAACGAACTTAAAATAACTGTTACACAATATAAAATGATGAATTCTTCACTTCATATAAACATTGAAAAGATAGCAAACTATGAGATTAGAATTTGATAGAGAACAATTTTGTAACCTGGGGAAAAAGAAGTAAACATTATTTTAACATTGTATATCTTTGGAAATCTGTTGAACTGATATACAAAATCTGTAGTCAGCATCACATTTTCCACAACACTATGTTATAGAAAATACAGATAGCCTCAGAATGAAAAATGAAATCTGAAAAACATCCTGGCAAAAGAGCTTTTAGAAAAACTCCTAGTCCTCTGAGATATGTAAATCTGATGAAGAAACAACTGAAAAAAAAATCCAAAACATATTATCACTGATTCAAAATGATATTAAAGGAAAATATTCTGGAATGTGATTTTCAATGAAAACATACAAATAAAATGACACAAAATATATAGGGGAGGAAACCTGTTATCTACCTGAGGCTAATCTTTACTTTTATAAACAACTAAAATAATGTATTCATTTTTAATTTTATTATACATTATGCCCTAGAGATTCACTTTACACTCTTCAGTTATTATGTTGACACTTAATATTTTATATTACATTACATTCAATATTTTATATTTTCAAAAATATAAATGATAGGGATATGTGTCTTTTTACACGTATGTGTGGGCACACATTATGCAACTTTATCATCTGGTTGTTCAGCACTTCAAACTTGGAATCATCTTTAACTTCTCCATTTCTCCCACACCTCACATCTAATCCATCAGAGATCCACTACACAATCTGTTCACAGTTACAATCCAAGCATGAATCTCACCTGTATTGCATATCCAAACTGCTCTTCCTACCCCAACACTAGTCAATCAATAGTCTATTTTTAAAACAGTAGGTGGAGTGACCTGGTTCTATATTAAGTGGGTAACTTAATCTGCTCAACACACTGCAGGGGCTTTCTATTTTATGTTAAAAAAAAAAAAAAAGCCAAAGATATTTGCAAAGGTTTGCAAAGTTCTGCATCACCCAGCACCCTATGACATCTCTCTGACCATATCCCCTAACCTATTTACAGCATTTAGAACAGTTTCTAATATGGACTGGTGATCCATAAACAGTATTAAATAAATTAATTAATGACCAAAAAGTATAATTTGAATGTGTAACAGAATGATATTGTGCTAAGTTATTGCATTATATTGAAATGACCTAAACACTATTCATATAATGTTTCTCCAGATTTTTTTTTTTTTTATTTAAAAAAAGGAATAGTTGGCTGGGTGCAGTGGGTCACGCCTGTAATCCCAGCCCTTTGGGAGGCCGAGGTGGGCACATCACAAGTCAGGAGTTCGAGACCAACCTGGCCAACATAGTGAAACCCCGTCTCTACTAAAAATACAAAAATTCGCTGGGTGTGGTGGCGAGCGCCTGCAGTCCCAGCTACTCGGAAGGCTGAGGCAGAAGAATCACTTGAACTCAGGAGGTGGAGGTTGCTGAGAGCCAAGATCGCACCACTCCATTCCAGCCTGGGTGACAGAGCAAGACTCCGTCTCAAAAAAAAAAGAAAAAGAAAAAGAAATAGTCAAAAGAATTCAGAAGCCAATTGGAAAGAGCTCTCATAGCCAAAGTTTGAATAATTCAAGCAACAAAATAAGTACTAATAATAATGGGTTCAAATTCACAAAACAGTATACCTAGGAGTTCATACCATTATAAATAAATGATTGAATACATAATAAATAAATAAATAAATAAATAAGAACCAGGAGCAAGTCTTCCTTACACAAGACTTCCACATAATTTATGGATATATTGTCTCCTTGAGTGTGGGTTTCAATTACTGACACATTTACAAAAAATAATGAATGAAAAGGGAAAAACAGCCACTTTATAGAAGAGAAATCCGGAAAGCAGATAGCATCTTAACCACTTGACCAAGTCTATTATCACCATGAAAAGTCATGTTGCCATTCATGTACTCATTATGTCATGAAAGGAGAAGAATGCTTCACTCTTGTAATATTCCTCCAAACCTCATTATCTCAATCCAGCTACAAGAATACATCAAGGACAAATTGAGGGACATTTTACATAATATGGGACCAATACTATTCAAAAGTATCAACACGATAAAAAATCGAGAAAAATTGAGACTGCGACAGATCAGAAAAGCCTACACAGGGACACTACTGGAACATTCGATGTGCTATCCAGGGTTGTTTTCTGGAACCAAAAAAGAATGTTAGTGGGAAAATCTGTTGAAATAAATATAACATCTGTAGTTTAACCGTATTGCATCAATGTTAATTCTGAGTATGGTAAATCTACTATAGTGATGCAATATGTAAAATTAAGGTAAATCCAGTGATGAATATACAAAACTTTCTACTTTTTTCTCAGGTCTGATAAAATCATTCCAAAATAAAAGGTGTAAAATAAACTTACACCCACCAAAATAATAACAAAAGCAAGGAATGTAGAAAGAGACAAAAAGATGGGGGGGCGAGTATCCCTGAAAAGAGGAAAATTGCATCTATTCACCTAAGTTAAAAATTTTGAAGGGAAGTAAAAAATTTCAGATATTATACTACTTATTATTTTATTACCTATACATGAAGTAGTTTTAAAAACAAAATATTTGTTATTTGTTAAGGTGTTTTATATGGTTTTGCTAAACATATCACAATGAAAATAACATTGAATTAATACTCGTACTAGATAATGGATATCATTTGGTAAACTATATTCCAATTTAAAATATATTTAAAATTTAAAAATAATAAAAATACACACACATTAATAAAAATACACAGTCAAAAGATGGAATCTTCATTCCAGTTGCATTTAGTTGTTAAAAACACTGAACAGAAAAAATTACATTATATTCACTTCCTATTTTTTATATTTTTTAACAAAAAGCATTTCATTTCAGTTTAGTCTCCATTTGAGGTGTTACTTCTTTTCAGCTCATTTTTAACATTAACAACAAGGCTTAGAGCAGTTTTAATTTACAGAAAAATTAAGCATAAGGCACAGATTTTCCTAATAATCCTTTGCACATCCTCAACATTAGTTTCTTTAATTATTATTTAACATCTTTCATAGTGTAGTAAAATTTTTATAGTTGAAGAACCAACATTGATATATTATCATTAACTAATTTCACTAGGTTATTTTAGATTTCCCAGTTTGTGTTTTACTGTGTTGTGACAAATGCAAAATGTATCCACCATGACAATATTATACAGAACAGTTTTGGTGACCTAAAATATTCTATCTACCAATTGTTCATCCATCCTTAGCCCCTCTAAGCCCTGGAAATCACTGATGATTTTATCATTTTCATAGTTTTGCTTTTCCCATAATGTCATTAGTTGGAATATGTAGTACGTAATGTTTTCAGACTGGCTTCTCTCACTTAGCAATTCATATTTAAACTTCCTCCATGTTCTTTCATAGCTTAACAGCTCATTAATTGTTTTTAATTGCTGAAAAATACCTAGTTGTAAGGATGTACCATATTTTGTTTGTCCTTCCTATTAAAGGAAACCTTGTTTGTTGCTATGAGTATTTGTGTGCAGGTTTTTATATGAATATAATTTTAAATTTATTTGGTAAATAGCTATGAGTATAATTGTGGGAATGAATGGTAAGCTTATGGTTAACTTTATAAGAAACTGCCGGAATGTCTTTTAAAGTGGTTGTATCATTTTGCATCCCACCCAGCAATGAATGGGAGTTGCTGTCACTCCACATCCTCTCCAGCATTTGGTATTGTCAGTGTTTTGGGTTTTAGCCATATCTAATTGATGTTTTGTGGCATCTGTTTGTCTTATTTCATAATGACGTGATATTGAATATATTTTAATATGCATATTTGATATCTGTATATCTTCTTTGGTGAGGTGTTTGTTCACATCTTTTGTCCATTTTGTAATTAATTTGTTTTCTTATTTTTGAGTTTTAAGATTTCTTAGTACATTATAGATATAGCTCCTTCATCAGATATTTGTGTTACAAATACAAACTTCCAGTCTGTGGTTTCTCTTCGAGGACCTCACAATAAAAATTGTGTTTTTAATCTATGCTAAATGCTACCCAAATATATGTTGGAAGACACTGAACCTGGGGATGGGCAGGTGAAAGAGAAAACAAAATAGGACTCTAAAGGCAAACCACTTGCCCTGTATTATTTTGTGTCAGTATTCATGCAAAAATGTTACATATTAGATAAAAAGAATTGGAATTCAGGAAGTTACATAATGAGCAGATTTTCAAAATACTGTATACATCAAGCTACATTATTGTTAGATGTAGGCAAACACATAGGTAAGAAAGATACATATAGAAAATGGCATCATTTACTGGAAATTGTATGGATTCAAGAAGCTCTTTCTTCTAAAGAGTTATATGATCTCAAGATTTCTATTAACTGATACATTTTTATAACATTATGAATCTTATAGGACTTTTATGAAATCTAACAAGAAAATTCATATAAAGTAAACAGAATTTTTTTGAAAACAGAAGGTGTTATATATATATGAACAGATTATATATATAAACAGATCTATGTTTTTCAAATCAGGTTTCTGTGTCTTTCTTCATCCCCATCACCCTGCTCAAACATTAAAATTATTCCTGTGCTTTCTCTTTCTAAATTTAAATCGTTGTAATACACTTAATAGTAATAAGTATACTAATAGGCAAACTGTTTTAATGGGTTTGGGCCTTGATCCCCAAAGACACAATCTTGAATGCCATGACCCTGGATGCTGAAATCCCAAAAGATAAAAATTCCTACAGTTTAAAATCCTGGAAATCAAAGTCCTGGACGATCAAAATCCCAAAAATATAATTCTGAAAAAAGTATTTAAAAATTCTATAAAATGTTTATTTATATGTTTAAATAGATTTACTTCAGAAACATTAAAAATATGAAAGAATACTTCATGGACCACTTTACATAATAAATTAGGAAATAATGACATGCATATTTTTGTGAGTATAGACACTGGTATACTAAGAACTGTCACATCACTATAAAGTATGAGCAGATGAACCATATTCATAAATAAATAGGTCAAAAAGTAAAATGTATAAACACATAGCACTGTAGTTGGCAATTTTGTGCACCCAATTTTTTTTAGCTTTTAACTGCAGTAATTTAAAGTACCATAATGGACTACCTAATTGTTCAAATAAGATAGATCAAAAACTGTAATGGGTGCAGTCTCTTAAAGAGCTAAGATCTTGAGAAATTTTATTGTGTGCAAATGCAGATATACAAAAGTGACACCTTTTAATTTACTGAGGAAATTTCAAGGACTTTCTGTACTTGCACAACACTAACCCACAAAGTCAATGTTGTGATAATACACTTTCATGAAATCAAATTTGCAAAAAAAATGCATAAAACAAATTAGAATGATCTAAATATCTTTACACAATATATAACCCCCCAGTATTGAGAATTAGGCAAAGATGAAATACATAGCATAGTAAATTAGTGCTATATGTGAAGAGGAAAAGGTTATATGAGATTAAATAATTTGGCAGGGAAGATTTGTTGTATTTTTTGCCTGAATTTTTATTTCTTCTGCATTCTTTGAAACACTCACTGCACTTATATTTGGAGAATGGTTGTGGTCTACTAAATCTGTAAGTATATGCTGCCCATTTGAATATCTGGTTATTGCACAGCCACTGCAATTAAAAAATTCTCTGCCTTCGAAACACTGATAATAATGACCTTTAAGACTTCATATTTCACCATTAAGTAGTCTAGTAAATTTAATTTTAATAGCATTTTTGTGAGAGAACAATTTCACTAGTCTCTTCTATTGTATTGTAAGAAATACGGTAAGAAGAAATAATATTGGGCTTCCCCAGTACCAAATCTATATTATGGTTCTCCAGAGAGACAGAATCAATAGGATATATACAGAGATAAATAAAAGAGGACTTGATAAGGAACTTTACTCATGCAATTATTGTGGTTTTGAAGTCCCACAACAGGCCATCTGCGAGCTGGAGACCCTGGGATGTCAGTAACAGGGCTTTGTCCAAAAGATGGAGAACCTGAAGATCTGATCTCTAAGGCAGCAAAAGAAAAGTCTGTCTCAGCTCTCAGAGAAACATCAAGTATCCTTATGTATTCATTTTCTCTGGGAGCCCAGTTGATTTGATGGTCCATGGCAACAATGAGGAGAGATCTATTCCACCTGGTCCATCCAGACTTACACACTAATCTGCTATGGAAACACCGCAGAGTCACACCCAAAATAATATTTTACAAGGTTTCTAGATACCTTAATCCAGCTGACACTTAAAATTAAGTCCACGATTCCAGACTTTGTCAACCTGGCCGCCATATTCATCTCCTTAAATCACACTTAATTTCCAAATAAAGACAGTAACAAGGTAGTAGTTTAATCTAACATGATGCAACTATCCTGCATACAACTGAAAACGCACTAATCTCTTACCTAGCATTTAGCATTCAAGGTTTTGACATTTGGGATTTTAATCTTTTGAGATTTAAGACATTAGGAATTTTAGACTTAAGACATTAGGAATTTTAGACTTTGGGAATATTTATCTATAGAGATTGTTTAAAATCTTTTGTGATTTCAGGATTATGGCATTTAGGATTGTATCCTTTAGGTTTATTATTGGCACTGGGTTCTAACCAGGTCAATTGACTCACAGAAATATCTTCAAGTACATTAGCCTCTTCACCCATAAAGTTTATATAGTCTCATTTCATTTCTTTTTCCAATTACTTTTTTTTTTTTTTAGAGATGGAGTCTCACTCTGTTGCCCAGGCTGGAGGGCAGTGGCGTGATCTGGGCTCACTGCAACCTCTGCCTCCCGGGTTCAAACGATTCTCCTGCCGTAACCTCCCGAGCAGCTGGGATTACAGGTGCACACCACCACGCCCAGCTAATTTTTGTATTTTTAGTAGAGATGGGGTTTCACCATGTTAGTCAGGCTGGTCTCGAACTCCTGACCTTGTGATCCACCCGCCTTGGCCTCCCAAAGTGCTGGGATTACAGATGTGAGCCACCGCGCCCGGCCGAAGAGATCTTAATGACACAGAAATAAACTATTTTCTGAATCTCACACTTCTGAAATAGCTAAAAAAACAAAAACAAAAACAAAAAAAAAAACTATTTGACCAATAAAATTAAAAGCACCAGTGTTAACATTTCAACTAATACATAACAATTACGAAATTATTTTGGTTACTTGAAATATATCCCTTGCAAAAGCAGAAAAGGGAGAAAAGGTAAAAATAAGTGTTGTTACCATGACAAAATATCAGTTTTAAAGTTTTGAACAACAAAGCAGAATTTGCTGACCTAAAATGATTATCAATAAGAAACAATAATAAATAAATCTGTTAATGCTATTATACATAAATGGTATTGCTCTTCTAAAAAACACAGTGTAGCTGCAACGTAGAGGAAAGTGCTTCGGAGTTAAAAGTCAGATATGGGAATTATTTTTCAAACTTTGCCAATGCATGATGTATGATATTGAATAAACTGGGTAACCTGGCCGAACACAAATTATCTAATTCATAAAATGAAGTCATCCTCAACGTGATTTCTAATGACTCTTCTATGATTTCTAACCAATTTTTGAAAGTTTGTTTCTATTTAAAATCAGTGTTAGCTAAAAAGTTAAAACTGCACAATAGATAAAATCTGCACAAAGCTCTTCCTTGAGAAGATTATTGTACAAAGTAATATCTGTAAAAATATACTATGACTTTCTATGACCATATTAATAATTAATACACCAGATAGAGGTGGAAGGCTCTTTACTTAAGACTATGGTAAAATTAAATGGTTTCCTGTAGAGAAAATAAATCAGACTGAGATTTAATCTTTCTTTAAGAAAGCTAGGGAAAATGGTCTCATCTTGTGTGTACAAGATTCAAGTTACTTGTAAAATTAACATATGTATGGAAAAGGGGGAAAAAAAGAGGGAACAGAACTTTCTTCAAAGTCAATTTGAACCAAGCCATCTAACTTGATTGTCTTTTGAAAATTTATATGAATATTTACAAAAATGTTTTCTTTGAACAGTTTATACAAACTCACTACAAATCATTCAGTCTATCTTTAACTCAGCCCTGCCTGCTACACTCTCTTTAATTGCATGCTATTCTTTTATTAGGCAGTTGGCTCTGCCTTCTGTGTTCTCTGAATCATTCCTGGAGAGTTTCCAGATCATTCCACTCTGCCCTTCCCGAATCTGAGCCTTGCTATTGCAGTTGTTCCCCTCTTTGTGTTGGCACATGCTGCCCTTTGTTTTGGGAGCTGAGGCCATGCCTATTTCTTCTTTTCCTTTCAGGGATTTCTTATCACAAAGAGATCCTTTACCAACATTGAAAGAACTTGAAAAAAAAAAGATCCCCTTGCTTGAGATCCTCACACATAGAAACAAAACTACACATTTCTTATGTACCTTGACTTCTAAATAGTTTGGTAAGTTGTGAGAGAATTATAACCCAAAAAAGTTAAGATTCAATTTGAGAATCAAGAACTAAGTTTATTTTTATTAAATTATATGTAGCTGTTTTTTTTTCATGGCAGTGAGGGGATCAAGGACAGTACATTTCTTTGTTTCATAGATATTCATGAAAACTTAAAATATACCAGTCAGATAAGAATGAAACAGTACAGAGTGAGGGTGCTGACATTTCTTCTCTATAATTTAAAATATCAATAATATTATTTTTATTCATGTCTATGTGCACATATCGAATAATTTTAGTAATATGATCTTGGATGTGTGATGTGTATTTTTCCCTAGAAGCAGAGAGATTGACTATCATTATATTGACTATCATCCTGCCTTATGATTCTGAGAATATTTTATTTTTATTTTGAAATATACTTCATGCCACAAGATTTGCATAGATCAATCTACATTTTAAAAAGTTATGCCTGTATTGAAGTACTCATGATTCACATAACAATAGCTAATGCTCATGTGAGGCTTATGATGGCCGAGGCAATCTATGCAGTGCTTAACCACCTAACAACTCTATAAGGTATCTATTATTACAGATGCAGAAGCTAAATGTTAGAGAGTTTGAACAACTTAACCAAAGTGATAATATTCAAAAAATGGCACAACTAGTCATGAAGAAGTCTAAGCTGTTAATCACTTCACAGCATCACCTTTTATGACCACACAAATACACACAGCTAAATACATATGCGGGTGTCCATTATTTATCATTATAGTTAAAATCATTCTATACAGAAGCATACATATGCTATCAAGATATAATTGCATATAATATCAAGATATTGTATTATATCAAGATATAATATAATACAGGCGTGAGCCTGTAATCCCAGCACTTTGGTAGGCTAAGGCAGGGAGATCACGAGGTCAAGGGATGGGGACCATCCTGGCCAACATGGTGAAACCCCATCTCTACTAATAATAATTAGCTGGATGTGGTGGTGCGTGCCTGTAGTCCCAGCTACTCCGGAGGCTGAGGCAGGATAATCGCTTCTGCCTGCAAGGTGGAGATTGCAGTGAGCCGAGATGGCGCCACTGTACTCCAGCCTAGCAACAGAGCGAGACTCCATCTAAAAAAAAAGAAAAAAAAAAAGATACAATTGGTACTGCAAAATACAAAATAGATACACACAGTTTTCAATGACAACTTTTAAAACCCAGGGATCCTTCACACACAATGTCTTCCATGTGTGAGTACCTTTGTGTGTATGTGTGTGTGTGTGTGTGTGTGTGTGTGTGAGTGATTCTTTAGGAACTTAGGAACTTAGAAACATTAGTGATGCTTTTGACAAGTTTGCTCTTAATGAAATAGAAAAACGTGATGCTTCTTGACAGGTACATAGGCTCATGTTTCTCTGACCTTCAATAACTCTAAACTAATATCATTGGTCACTTTTTCTGCAATTTCTACAACTCAACCATTCTGGGATTTACAGGGCCATGGTTAATAGTTAAACTCAGAGTTAGACAGTTTTCTTAAAGATTGATGAGGGCCCTCACAGGTTCATTATGTTTACTACATAAGGAAATTAAATCATACTGTACTAAACAGCACTTTACTGTAACAATGTATTTTGGTATTTGAAATATTATGCCTTTTATAAATAAGATTGTATTTTTTAAAATCTTAGGGTTTACCTTACTTCATCTTGTTTTTAAAGAGCACAGCACAGTACCTTATGCATAGTATGGCCAACTTTCAATAAAGGTTAGTGAATAAATATATAAATGTCAACATAAAAATTATGCTTCAGACAATGTGGTAAAAATATATGAATTAAATGTAGTTTTATGTTAATAAATACAGTAGCTATCAGAATTGAATTAGAGTCTATGTGGGACCAGAATATTCCTATGATTTCATAAGGAAATAAAGATCCAGTCAAGAATAGTACTACCTAGATTCAACTGTGTCTGTCTCCTGGCAGAATGGACAAACAACAGATAAATAAAAAATAATCATATATACGGAAGATAAAAGTCTCGGTTATGTTTTGTATATCCTGTCCTATTATAAGCTCAGAAATGGTGAACAAAGGCAAAATATTTGTTATAGAATATCAATTAATAAAAAACAATAGCATCTCAAAGACAGCATTTTGTTACCACTGTAGAACAATTTTTTCATACAAGATTATTCAATGGACGACAAAACAAGATATTTACATAGTTCCAAAGTATCTCCATGTAGTATAATTACTATTTACTGAGGAAAAAATGGGAATATCATTGAAACCTGGGGGCCACAACAATGACCATGTGATTTATGTTAATATTAACAAGCATAGGATAAACTGGTATCTTGTATTCCTTGATATAATTTGCTGAAAAAGATATAATATGAATTCTGTGTCATTCTTGTGAAAAATAAAGTTTACTCCAAATATAAGGAAATGTCAGACAGTAGACAGGCAACTGGACTAAATTCTCCAAAAATTGCAATGGATAAGACAAGTAAATAATTATTTTATATTAAGGGAGACTAAAGAAATGTTAATAATAATATTTATAATTAGATCCAGGGCCAAGCAGAAATTTCTGCAATGCTGTTATAGAATGAATTTGAGGTCATTGAAGTAAGAATTAACTATATATTAAATAATGTCAGTGTAAAAATATTAATTTTATTATAGTTATGTTGAGTTACTTAGGAAGATATGGCCCTGATGTCCAGAACTAAATCTCAAATAGTTTGGGAATAAATAATATATTCATAAATGTCAAAAATTTGTTAGGGTTAAGGATATTAACCGGGGTAAAATATGTTCACTTTGCTTTCATTCTAACTCCTTTTTCAGCCTGTAATTATTTAAAAATAAGAGATATTTATTTTTACAAATGAAGAGACCCTCATATACAACATTCAAAAGGGATGAAAAGTAAATATGTAAGTAGAGAAGCCCGTAGTTTTCCATGTTTTTCTCATTTGCAATGATATCAAATGTAGGAATCTAGAATTTTACTTTCTAGATCCATGACACCTTGTGGCTAACCTTCAGAACAAGGAGTTTCACTGTAATGACATTAAATGACATATTGTCATCTGTGTAGTCTACACAGAAAGGGCACTCAATCAAGTCTGAAAAGGAATAATCACTATAAAATTATTATAAAATACATATTGCAATAACTATTTGACACCAGGAACTCTGAGAAAATGCCATAAAAATCATCACTGTTTTTCTCCTTATTTTATGTAATTCCTCATGACTTTCCTTTTCTTTGTAAATATTAGTAAATCTGCAGGATAATTATATTAATACAAGCACCCTAAAACTGAATTGCAAATATCATATAGGTCATTTGCTAAGCGACAGTGATAAATGTCAGTGTGCTTATTATATAACTCTAATTGATACAATACAATGTAATATATCTACACATATATATTTTTTCTTTAGTATTATTTTAACTTTATTCAAGTTGATATGCCAAACTAGTGTTATTTATATGACCTATTGTGTTGATAAATATTATCGTTATGCTTGTTAACTTCAAAGTCTCCAAGCTGAAAAAACACTGAAAATTAAATCAAAACTATTAAAGGTTAAATACTGATGAAAAAGAAATGGTTAGATACAGATGAAGAAAATGTGTATATATCCATATATTAAAATATTCAACTGTATCAAACTACATATGAAAAATGATTTCTTAGTAATACAAGTTAACAGAAAATTATCTACTATAAAGTAATTTATTTTTTGTTCAATATGTATAGGACCATACTTTGTTTGGAAAGAGCTAACCCTTACATTAGAGCATGTGGTCCTGTATATCTGTATTTAGCTGAACATATCTGAGAGTCTGAGGATTTCTCTTCTTCATTCTACTTTCAATACATTTACCCCCATTCCTTTCTCTCAACTGTTGACTTTTTTTTATATTTCAATAAGAAAATATAGGCAATCATAAGAAAATTTTCATCTATCAACCTGATATTGTGTTTATATAGTCCTTCTATGTACTTATACAGCATAGATGGACTGTTTTCCCACCTAAAGTCAGAGCCCACTCTGACCTAAGACACCACTATCTCTCATTTGAATATGGTAATAACGTTCAAACTGCCATCCCTGCTCTCATCTTACTCCCTGAAAGCCAATTTTTACAGAAACCAAACTGATCTTATCGCCCTGAGAAGTAAGCACCAAGATTATATTATACACTACAGAATCTTCTCTTGTTAGAGCTGCAATCTTCTCATGTGTCTTCCCACTGTTCTCAATTGTTCTGCTCCATCACTCTGGCCTAGCTGTTTCTAGAACACATCAAGCTTTTCCTCTCAGGTTTGCACTTTGTTTTCACCCTTCTTGGAGGGCAGTTACTCCGATTTTTGGAAGATTACACTTTTTTTCAGGTCTCTGTTAAATATAACATATACAAATAATGCTTTTGCGAGGAGCGGCCAGCAGTGGACCGAGTGAAATGAGTCAGTCCCGTTTCCCCCGCTTGAAGAAGGGTCAAGGTCAAGGGAACAATTGTGTGTCATCTCTCCTTCCACAGGTAAAAGAAGACACATAGGAGACTAATCCGTCTCTCTCGACATATGCCCGCAATTCTGTCTTTATTCTTTTTTATTTATTTTTAGCACATATGGCCATTTGACACTCTGAATATGCCTTTATTTGTTTATTTGTTTTCTTATCCCCACTCCCAGTGGAAGATGAGCTTTACAGAGTAGGGATTAGTCTATTTTACTGTTGTATCTTCAGCACCAAAAATAACTGCCTGGCATGTGATAGGTATGTGAGAAATATTTATTGAATGTTTTTGAATGAATTAAGTATGAAGCCAAGCAGACAGTTTAAATGCGCTGCAGTTCATTGTAGCTGAAAATAGTCTTAAGATTTAGTTGTTGAAAATATCAGAATCATAAAGGACAAAAAGACACAGTAACATATCTATTCTTTATATCAAGAAAAACTCTCTAGACCAGAAGCTACTCCTGTCATACCTCTGATCATGTTTTCAAAAGAGTTTCCTAAGATTTTTCGTTGTTGATCCTTCAGACAGACTATATCATTCAAGATTTAGAGAAGAACATAGAAGTACTAGTATTTTTTGGCTGTCAGTCTGAACAGATATCTTGAATTATTAATAAAATGAGTGAGAAAGAGCATGAATATAGAAGATGATGGTTTTCAGAACAGGCAAACAGCAACTAGTTAGTGCATTTAGCAGCTGTTTACATTTTTTAAACTTATCTTTCACAATTCTAAAAAATTGTTTATGGTAATAATAAAATAGTTTCTTCAATCACATTGTGCATAGATAATGCAATGCATTATCTCTTATAGCCTCCCTCATTTTTCATTAATCCACATCATAATTATATAGCAGTAATTTCCTCAAATTTCTAAATATTTATCTTTCTCTCTCATTAAAATCAACCTTCATAACTCTTAAGAATTTCATACTGTCCATATTAATTTTTATTGGATTGGCAAATCTAAGTAATCTACTCATCCAGTTACTCCGATAAAGAATAATACTGAAGGGAACATTGACATAAAAACACAGAATTCACATAGAATGGAAAGTAAATATACTATTAGATATAAGAATTTACACATGATGGTATGAAGCTCTTTCCCTAACACTAAAAAATGATTTCTTATATTTTGTAGATGTCAATATTATATTTTTAGAGTTAAAAACTAATAATAATGGCTGGATCAGAAGACTGAGATTTGGAGTTTTCACTTTAATATTGCTTTCCCTTATGTACTCAGCTAATACTGGTTTTATGATGTATACTGATATTATGTTACATAAAGTGGTTTTCCATCAGGAAAACAACATATTGATCACACATGCATGCTGCTCAAAATTACATATTGGTATTACACTACTTTTCAGTTCAACTTCAAAAAATTTATCTCATTTTTAAGATAAATTTTTAGATAACTAAAGTATTTAATGGTCCTTTATAATACTTTTCAAATATATAAATTATGTGTCTGAAGAGAATCCAAGAAAGGATACTTCAAAGTCATGGTATCCTGCTCTTCTGGTTCAAATTTGATTAAGAAAAAAATAAAGTTTCTTTTTCAAAATTTTGCTTAATCATTAAACTTGGTTATACACTCTATTTCAGTGAATATATTTTGAAAAATTGAAATAAATATTTTTTCTGCTTTTCTACTTAATAATTACATAAAATTTGGAGACTGAATCTCAGATTGAAACAAATAAGTTGACTCTTTAATTAGTTCTTTGTTGCTGTCATTAGTCATAATCTTGAACTATTTGTGGCAGGTCACGTGCATTTTTGAAGGTTCCATTGGAGGAAAAGCTCCAAGAGCACTTTTGTTTTTATTATGTCATCATTTTACCAAATGCCTGTCATGTGCTATGAGATAATGCTTGTTTAATATAGAATAAGAATAGTTATGCTCTTGATTCTAATTATGCTAATACAATTTCAAAATATATTTTAGAGAGCTTATAGATTTGTACACATGTCACTGAGGTATACCAATGCTAGAAACCAAAAAACAAATAAAATTGCCATATTTTTTGTAGTGACATTTTATATACTCCTGATAATCTTACTTTCTCCTCAAAACAGTCATGTGTAATTGGTTCTAATCTTCATTAATTAGAACTGGATACTGGAAAACAATGTGATTAAGCACACCAGGCTTGACCCTTGGTCTTCTGAGGACAATTCAATGACTGCCTGATAAAAAGTATTTCAATCCAATAACTTTGTTAAACAGTAGAAGTAAGAAGAGAAGTGAAAATACACTTTTTAAAGGCAAAATGAAGGTTTCCCTATATGGTGGAAGATGTATGTTAAGATTTAACCCTATCAGGCACCAATCTTTGTGCATCTGCATGTTTTTATAGTTTTAATAGATATTGTGTTTGTGTATCTATGCATGCATATATATATGAAAATGTATATATTTGAACATGTGATTATATATGCCAGTTTCATCAATTTTATTTCTGAAATATATTATGAAAATAAAATAGTGTATATAATGTAGCTTTAAAGTTTGAAGAATGTTAATAAAATAAAACAAGCATCACGACATAGTATTAAAAGATAACATTAAAAGTCCTGACTGTGCCCGTACATAAAAGCATACTTTTTGCTCCTTCAGTTAATAATTTTTCTTAGTTTTTGATTATTTACTCTAAAACAATTATTTTATGGAGGTTTGAGGGCCTCTTTTTGATATATATCTAAATAGTGCTTCTACTTCACTGATTTGCCTATTCTCCAAATATTCTATTTTTGAGAATCAGATGTATTCATGCATGTTATCATAAGTGATTACAATAAAAGAAAATATTCACCAATTATCAGACCTAACATGCCAGACTATATCATCTCATTTAAAATTTATGTAATTGTGGTTAGACATTTAATTTTTTATTGTATGTCAGTCAGGGTTTTTTAAAATTTCTGGTTTTTGTCTGTTGCTTTTACCAACAATTCTGCAGTAAAAAGTTATATGCATCACCCTTGGTATCCACATTAAGTATTCCATTACATTGAACTCCTAGAAATACAGTGACTGTCACAAGTGCAGGTGTGTTGTGTTGTACTGGATAATGAAAATATTTTCTCAAAGTTATTCTGTAAATTTAAAATTTCAGAAGTGTCTACCATTTTCATTGCCCCAGAAACTTTTCAGCACTTGATATTGTTAAGCAATTTTTCATTTTTTTTCCAACACGATGTGTGTAAATGTTTTCTCACTCTGATTTTAATTTTCATTTCCTATTATTGAAGTCTTTCAAGTTTACATAAATTCCATGGTATATTTATTTCCATTTAGTTAAATGAGTTCAAGATTTTTGTTTGTAATTTTCTATCAGATTGTTTGCTCCTTCAGATAATTTGTACAGCCTCTTTACTGTTTCTGTAAATATTTATTGATCATATATATTGATAATATAGTCACCAAACTTTTGACTTGTTATTTATCCTTTTTTATGATGGACTTAATTAAAAAAAACTTACTTTTAATGGAGTCTAAATTTTCAAACTTTTTTCTGTGCCTAACTACTTTTGAATCTTAAAAAAAAATTGTATTTTCAGAACTAATAAAGCTTTTCCTCAATATTTTAAAGGTTTTCAAATTGGGTCTTCTAAATGTAACCTCAAAATTCATTAGTAATTTGTTCATTAATGTTATAATCCAGGTTTTATATATTTTTTTCTACATGGATAACAAATGGATCCAGCACCATTTACTTAATACTCAACCATTTCCTGCTAATATGCAATGTCAGCTTTGTATACACAAGGTTTCCATATAAATGGTGATCAGATTGTTGTTTTTTATATATTACAATTAATGAATTGCCCATTCCAGTACCATTTCTAAAGGAATTTTATTGCTACAGCTTTACAAAAAGCCATGACATTAAGAAGGAGAAATAAATCCTTCTTCATTGTTCTGTAGGTTTAGCTTTTATATGTTTGACTCCTTACTCTTTTTTACTAATTTTGGAAATTATGCTATCAAGTTTCCTGAAAAAAGTATAGAAAATTGATTATTCTTATAAATTGAAGAAAACATTTTAATTAATTTTAATAATTTTTTATGATTCATATTTTTTCTCTGAATTATCTTCAAATTATATTGTTAGACCTTATATTGCTTTTCTTTTATGTTTTGCTTGTTAGAAATTATATCTTAATTTTAAAAAGAAGTGGTGATACAAAACATTGTAGCTTTATTTTTTCTGAATCGATATTAATGATATGTTTCTAAATACTATTTTATTTTTATTTCACAAGGGTTTTTCTAAATTATATATATATGTATTCATATTTATTTTTGTGACAAAGTCTCACTTTGTCATTCAGGCTGGAGTGCAGAGGAATGATTTTGGCTCACTGTAGTTTTGACCTCCCTGGATTAGGTGATCCTCCCACCTCGGCCTCCTGTAACTGGGACAGTAGGCACTCACCACCACCACATCTGGCTAATTTTTGTACTTTTGTAAAGGTGAGGTTTCACCATGTTGCCCAGACTGGTCTCAAACTCCTGGGCTCAAGTGATCCACCCACCTCAACCTCCCAAAGTTCCGAGATTACATGCATGAGCCACTGTGCATGCATGCAATTAAAAATTTGTCAATTTTTAATTGACAAATAATAATTATATATATATATATATATATATATATATATATATATATGATTATAAAAAGGATTAAAGGTAATTATTGGTGAGGATTCAGTCTGGATACTTTCAATTGACCATTCTTTCAGTAGAACAATCTTGATTTCAACTTGGTTGAAGTGACTGTCAAACACATCTATTGAGTTAGTATTTTTTAGATGCACTATATTTTAGTTCAGAATATTTAATAGATTGTTATAGTTGCAAACTCATAAAATGTCATGTAAATTCTTTTACCCTTTTTTAAAGAATTTATTTTACTAAATGAATCATTTATTTCAAAAAGACTTAAATATTTGGATATACTCTATAATATTTGGATTTCTACTAATTTCAATATTTAGATGACACATGGTGTGGTTTGGCTCTGTTTCCCAACCCAAATCTCATGTTGAATTGTAACCCCCAATGTTGGAGGTAGAGCCAAATGGGAGGTGATTGGATCATGGGTGCAGATTTCCCCCTGGCTCTTCTCATAATAGTGAGTAAGTTCTCACAATATCTTGTTGTTTAAAAGTTTGTGGCACCTCCCCATCACGCTCTTCCTCCTTCTTTGGCCATGTAAAACATGCCTTCTTCCCCTTGTTCCGTCTTCTGTCATGATTGTAAGCTTCCTGAGGCCTCCTAAGCCATGCTTCCTGTACAGCCTGCAGAACTGTGGTCAATTAAACCCCTATTCTTTATAAATTACCCAGTCTCAGGTAGTCCTTCATAACAATGTGAGAATGGACTAATAGGAAAAATTGGTACCAGGAGTGGGGCATTGCTATGAAGATACCTGAAAATGTGGAAGTAACTTTGGAACCAGTCAACTGGCAGAGGTTGGAAAATTGTGGATGGCTCAGAAGAAGACAGGAAGATGAAGGAAAGTTTGGAACTTCCTAGAGACTTGTTGAATTGCTTTGACCAAAATGCTAATCATAATACAGGCAATGAAGTCCAGCCTGAGTGGTCTCAGATGGAGGGGAACTTATTGGGAACTGAAGCAAAGGTCTCTTTTGTTATGCATTAGCAAAGAGGTTGGAGGCCTAGAAATCTGTGAAACTTTGAACTTGAGGGAGACGATTTATGGTATCTGGTGGAAGAAATTTCTAAGCAGCAAAGCATTCAAGAAGTTACCTGGCTGCTTCTAAAAGCATTTGTTCATATGCATGAGAAAAGAGATTATTTGAAACTGGAAGCTATGTTTTTAAAAGGAAAGAAGAGCATGAAAGTTTGGAAAATTTGGAGTCTGACCATGTGGTAGAAAAGAAAAGCACATTTTCAGGGAAATAATTCAAGCCAGCTACAGAAAGTTGCATAGGACAAGCCAAATGTTAATAGTCAAGTCAATGGGGAAAATGCCTTGAAGTCATTTCAGAGACCTTTGTGGTAGCCCCTCTGATCACAGGCCCTAGGAAAGAAGAATGGTTTAATGGGCAGGGCCAAGGCCCCTCTCCCCTGTATAACCTTGGGACACTGCTCTCTGCATCCCAACTTCTCCAGCTCCAGCTATGGCTATAAGGGCCCCAGGTACATCTCAGGCTGCTGCTCCAGAGGGTGCAATCCCCCATAAGCCTTGGCAGCTTCCACACTGTGTTAAGCCTGTGGGTGTGCAGAGGACAACAGTTGAGACTTGGGAGCCTCTGCCCAGATTCTAAAGGATATACAGAAACACCTGAATGTCCTGTTAGAAGTCTACTGCAGGGGTAGAGCCCTCATGGAGAAACTCTACTAAGGCAACGCAGAGTGGAAATGTGGGGTTGGAGCCCCCACACAGAGTCCCCACTGAGACACTGCCTGGTGGAGTTCTGAGAAGAAAGCCACTGTCCTCTGGACCCCAGAATAATACATCCACCAACAGTTTGCACAATGCACCTAGAAAAGCCACAGTCACTAAACATCAGACTGTGAAAGCAGCCATAGGGACTATATCCTGTAGAGCCACAGTGGCAGGGCTACCCAAGGCCTTGGGAGCCCACCCCTTGCATCAGTGTTGCCTGGATATGAGACATAGAGTCAAAGTCAAAGGATATTATTTTGGAGCTTTCAGATGTAATGACTGCCCTGTTGCATTTCAGACGTGTTTGGGGCTCGCAACTCCTTGGTTTTGGCTGATTCCTCCCTTTTGGAAAGAGAGTATGTATTCAATGCCTGTACTCCCATTGTATGTTGGAAGTAACTAACTTGTCTTTGACAATACAGTCTCATAGGTGGAAGGGACCAGCTTTGTCTCAAATGAGACTTTGGATTTGGGACTTTTGAGTTAATATTGAAATAAATTAAGACTTTTCAGGACTGTTGAGAAGGGATGATTGCTATTTTGAAATGTGAGAAGGACATAGGATTTGGGAGGGGCCAGGGGTAAAATAATATGGTTTGGCAATGTGTCCTCACTCAAATCTCAAATTGAATTTTAATCCCCAATGTTTGAGGTAAGGCTAGATGGAAGTTGATTGGATCATGGCACTCACCAAGCACAGCAAAGAGCTCCCCGTTGCTGTTCTTGTGATAGTGAGTGAATTCTCATGAGATCTGGTGGTTTATAAGAGTGTGGCACCTTTCCCCTCACCCTCTTCTGCTTCTCCAGTCATGTAAGATGTGCCTGCTTCCCATTCACCTTCTGCCATAATTGTAAGTTTTCTGAGGCTTCTCCAGCCATGCTTTCTGTACAGACTGTGGAACTGTGAGTAAATTAAACCTCTTTTCTCTGTAAGTTAGCTGGTCTCAGGTAGTTCTTTATAGTAATTTGAGAATGGACTATTATAACACATAAGTCTCTTCATGTTTTATATAGTATTACTTTTCTCTACAAAATAAACCTTTATTGTGATAGTTTTGTACCATTTTCAGCTTCAGAATTTGGACTCTGAATAGCCTCATGTTCAAATTTGCCACCGTAGCTCATGGTTCCATGCAGATTTCTGCTAGATTCCCTTCCCACCAAAACTAGTCTTCTGCCTGGAAAAAGCTGAAGTACTCACATTCTTGGCCCAACTAAGATCCAGAAAAAAGTCCAAGACAAAGAAAATAAAAGTCATTACTTCAACTTTGAGAGTTTCTCCTCTCTTTGCAAATGTATGCATTTGATTCCTCCTCATTTCTTCTATAAAACTGTGATGTCTTTGAAGACAAAATACCTACATTTTAAATTAGTTTTCTGATTATTCTAAGTGTAAGAGTTAGTCTGACACAAAATACACTATACTATCCCAAAGAAGAAATCTCAAATATGATTTTTTAAGAATAAACTAAGTAGAGTTTGAGAATGGAGAAGCTGCTGCAACAGGGCCCATGGCGGACACCCAGGACAACTTGCCCAATGACATTAGAGTGTCTAGCCTGGACTGCCATGAGGCCTTCTGCCTGCTGTCACCCACAGAGCACCTCTTCTATCCCCACCACCTGTCCCATGCCCCCTGGTATGGAGGCCTGGCTGGGCTGCTACAGGCCTCCCCTGAGGCCCCCTACATCTATCCTCTGCTCAGCTGCCGCTTCTGTGCCCAGGACCCCGACCAGCTGTGCCAGCGTGCCTTGGCCAAGGGCCTTACCGAGAAGAAGTATCAAGAGAAGTTGAAACAGGTGATCCTAGGAGTGAGGCCGACCAGGGGCCTCTGGCAGACCTGCAGGGAGCTTATGCTCTCTCTGGAGCTAAGGCTTCGACACTTCAGGCTAGGGAAGGAGGGAATCACCACCTATTTCTCTGGGAATTGTACCATGGAAGATGCCAAACTGGCCTAAGACTTTCTGGACTCACAGAACCTCAGATCCTACAACACCTGGCTCTTCAAAGAGGTCAACGGAGAAGGGAAGCCCGACTATGAGGTGTGGCTGACTTCTGTGCTCTGCACAGAGCCTTCCCTGCACTCCGAGGTGACTTCCAGGCTGAAGAGCTACGAATTCCGGGGAAGCCATTTCCAGGTGACCCAGAGGGACTAAGTGTTCATCCTCCAGAAGGCAGTGGAGCAGATGGAGAAAGCCAAGGCATATGCAGCCAACGGCTACCAGGGGCAGATGCTGGCCCAGTATACACAGTGCTTCACCCAGGGCTCCATCGAGGCCCACAATAGGGGCTCCTGTTTCTAGAGCCAGGACAAAAGCCCCATCATGGAGAGTTACAGCGGGTTCATCGCGAGCTGTAACCCTTTGGTTCCCGAGGACAATTTGAAGGTTTCGTAGCCATAGTGAACAAGGCCATGAGCGTCAAGTTTGAGCGGCTGGTGGCCAGCGCAGAGCAGCTGCTGAAGGAGCTGCCCTGGCCCCAAGTCTTTGAGAAGGACAAGTTCCTCACCCCCGACTTCACCTCCCAGGATGTTCTTGACTTCGCTGGTTCTGGCATCCCTGCTGGCATCAACATCCCCAACTACGATGACCTGAGGTGGATGTAAGGCCTTAAAAATGTGTTGTTTGTGAACGTACTGGCTGTGGCCTAGGCCATGCAGCAGGATAAGCTCACCTTCCTGGAGGAGAATGACAAGGACCTGTACATCCTCTGGAGGGGGCCCTCCTTCAATGTGCAGATGGGTCTGAACGAGCTGTTGGGCCATGGCAGCGGCAAGCTCTTCCTGCAGGATGAAAAAGGAGCATTCAACTTTGACCAGGAGACAGTGATCAACCCAGAGACTGGAGAGCAGATTCAGAGCTAGTAGCCGAGCAGGGAGACCCGGGACAGCAAGTTCAGCACCATCGACTCCACCTACGAAGAGTGCCAGGCTGAGAGCATGGGTCTCTTCCTCTGTCTCCCCCGCAAGTGCTGGAGATCTTTGGCTTCCAGGGGGCTGATGTGGAGGACGCGATCTATGTGGACTGGCTCCACATGGTTCATTCAGGCTGGGCTACTTGCTCTGGAGTTCTACACACCTGAAGCCTCCAACTGGTGACAGGCCAATATGCAGGCCCGGTTTCTTATCCTGAGAGACAAGTCTTTGTCTTGTCTTGTCTTGGGTGACAAGTCTTTGGGTGATTCTGAGAAGAGTGGCATGACCTGAATTAATAATATAATGTTGGTTATTCTATTGAAGATAGACTGAAGAGTGGACATAGAAATAGTGAGAGCAGTTAGGAGGTTGCTTCTGTGTTCCAGGCAAAACATGATCAATTTATACTGGACAGTAGTGGTGGGGATTGTGTGATGTGAAACTCCTGAGCAAAAGTAAACAGGAGGCTAGTGACGGACTCATTACCATCACTCCCACCACAGGCTCTGATGGACACCCGGATGCCAGGGTCCGCCTCGACTGCAGCAAGATCCGGTCTGGGGGCAAACCTGCCCTAGAGGGCTTCCTGCAGAGACTTCAGGTGCTGAATGAAGTCCACAGGGGGATGTGGCCGGAGAGTGGGCCATGTACAAGCGGTATGAGGCCCCTTGAGTGCTTCCTCACCCTCAGGGACAAGGTACGTCAGCGTAAGGAATCTCAGAAGCTCATCGTTCAGCCCAACACTTGCCTTGAAGGCTCAGACGTGCAGCTTCTGGAATTCGAGGCCTCAGCTGCTGGCATCATCGGATCCTTCTCCGAGCATTTCCCAGAGGATGGACCCGAGTTGGAGGAGTTACTCACACAGCTGGCCACAGCCGATGCCCGATTCTGGAAGGGCCCCTGAGGCCCCACCTGGCCAGGCATGAGGAATATGTGTGGGGCCTCTCCCCCAACTCCATGAAACCAAGGCTTCAAGTGGCCCTCCATTCGCGGGTATATTTAGGGGCTGGGGAGGGGGAGGGGCAGGAGCTTGGACGTTGATACTACATCAGCTGAGGGTGGTGACACTAACCCCTTCCATTTGTCAGCACTTTCCAGCTTTCCAAGTGCTTCCCCTCTGTGATCGCATTTCATCTGCACTGCCATACGTGGAGTGAGCAAGACAGGGTCCACCAGCCCGCCTACCAGATGAGGAAATGGCAGTTCTGAGAAGTCACTGGTCTAGATCCTGCAGGTGGCTCGTGACAGCTAGGGTTCAAAATGTTCTCACCAAATCCAATGCTCCTCACATATTAATTTTATAACCAGGCAAATAAATATTAGAGATAACCATCAAATAAATAAATAAGCTAAATAATTTTGACTGATTTATTCCATTTACATTTATGACATTTCTCATATATCAACATCATATATATGGATTGATTTCACTTATTTTATATTTTATTTACCCATTCTATCATTAACAACTTTACTGGTTTATTTGTACCCCATTCTTTGGATATTTTAAAAAATATTTTATTTGGCCGGGCGCAGCGGCTCACGCCTGTAATCCCAGCACTCTGGGAGGCCAAGGCGGGTGGATCACGAGGTCAGGAGATCGAGACCATCCTGGCTAACATGGTGAAACCCTGTCTCTACTAAAAAAATACAAAACAATTAGCCAGGCGTGGTGGCGGGCGCTGCTCGGGAGGCTGAGGCAGGAGAATGGCATGAACCCGGGAGGCGCAGCTTTCAGTGAGCCGAGATCGCGCCACTGCATTCCAGCTTGGGCGACAGAGCGAGACTCCGTCTCAAAGTGGCCATTATTTGGTATATTTTTCTTCAGTTCTGAAACAATATAAAAGACTTGCAGAAATTATCTAAGTTTTCAAACATTTACTGTTTCCTTGGATCATTTTTTCTCAGATTTATTAGATTATTTTTGCTCATTTCTTGAATAAATCCTTTAGTTTTCTGCAGAAGTACCCTGCTTAAACTAACCCTGTAGGTTATATATTGGATATATTGTTTATATAAGAAACATTTTACCTTATTCTTCTTAAAAGAATTATGTTGTGATTGCAATTAAAATTAAGTTATTTAGGCTGGGCGCAGTGGCTCACACCTGTAATCCCTGCACTTTGGGAGGCCAAGAAAGGGGGGATCACAAGGTCAGGAGTTCGACACCTTCCTGGTCAATATGGGGAAACCCTGTCTCTACTAAAAATACAAAAATTAGCCAGGCATGGTTGCGGGTGCCTGTAGTCGCAGATACTCAGGAGGCTGAGGCAGGAGAGTAGCTTGACCCTGGGAGGCAGAGTTTGCAGTGAGCTGAGATCGCGCCACTGCACTCCAGCCTGGGTGACAGAGCAAGACTCTATCTCAAAAAAATAAAAAATAAAATTAAGTTGTTTGAAGATAGTACTTTGCTGTTCCTGCTTCCATTATTTCTATGAAGCTATAAATTGACCATCTATTTTCATTTTTCTCAAAGTAATTTTTTTCTTTTTTCTTTTTTTCTTTTTTTTAGACAGGGTCTCACTGTGTTACCCAGACTGGAGTGCAGTGGCATGATCTCGGCTCACCATAACCTCTGCTTCCCGGGCTTAAGCTGTTCTCCAGCCTCAGCCTCCTGAGTGGCTGGGATTATAGGCAAGCACCACTACCACCTGGCTAATTTTTGTATTTTTAGTAGAGATGGGGTTTCACCATGTTGGCCAAGCTGGTCTTGAACTCCTGACCTCAAATGATCCACCTACCTAGGTCTCCGAAAGTGTTGGGATTACAGGCGTGAGCCAGTGTGCCCAGCCCCAATTTTTGTCTATTCTGTCTTCTCTCTCGCTTTTCACCTTTCAGGATGCTTTAAAGATTTTCTCTTTACCTTTGGTTTTTGAAGTTACATTAGGATATATCTGGCTTCAAATTTCATCTTATCATTCTTGGGATTCACTGAGTTAATAGAATGTAAAAATTGATTTCATTCAATCATGTGTAAGACTGTCATTTTCTCCTTCAAATATTCATCTTTAAGGGTTAAATTTCTTTGGATATAATGACCATTTTTAATATACAATTATAGTTTAGGTTCATTTGAGCAAATTTTAGAATGTAAGAAGTTCAACCATCACTTTTTTTTTTTTTTTTGTGAGACGGAGTTTCGCTCTTGTTGCTCAAGCTAGAGTGCAATGGCACAATCTCGGCTCACTGCAACCTCCATCTCTCAGGTTGAAGCAATTCTCCTGCCTCAGCCTCCCAAGTAGCTGGGATTACAGGTGCATGCCACCACACTAGGCTAATTTTTTGTACTTTTTAGTAGAAATGGAGTTTCACCATGTTAGCCAGGCTGATCTCAAACTACTGATCTCAGATGATCTGCCCACCTCGGCCTCCCAAAGTACAGGGATTACAAGCATGAGCCACCATGCCTGGCCTCAACCATCACTTTTAACCACAATTCCAAAAACTGATTACTGCTAACATTTCAGTATATGCAATTGTTTATTTTATTTATGACAATTCAATACAAAAATATTTTAGGCTATACATATAAAAATATATTTTAGGCTATATATTGACGAATAGTAAATAAAAGTGATTTTACAATAAAACTGTAGTGATCCCATAGTATTATATCTGAAATCCTATTTAATCAAGTATCTTTTACATCCTTAAATCATTTCCAGCTACCCACTTTAATACTTTATTATTAAGATGTGATAATGATTAAAAGAGGCAAAAAATTCTTGCCCTCACAGAGCTTACAATCTATTTGGAGAAAACCAAAACCAAATAACATAAAATAGTAAATATTTAGTATTTTGTAATATCATTAATGCTAGGGATAAAACGTGTAGGTGAGAAAGTATATAGACTATCTAGGTTTGTTGTGTAAAGTAAAGTATTCATTAGAGTATCCAGGAAAGATTTTCATGAGAAGATGTTTTGATGAAGACATGAATCAGACACCATTCATGTGAATACCTGGAGGAAAACCATGCCAGAAAGAGAACCGCCTGTATAAAATTCCAAAGTGGCAGCATGCCATGGAGAAGAAGCTAGAGTGCTGGCATGATGTAGGAATGAGGAGAGCATTTGGGATTGTCATCAAATGGCTGCAAAGGGTCACCTTATACTGAAATACAGAAGTCCTAGTAAGGATTTACCTTTTTACTACGAAGGAAATGACAAGTCTTTGGGTGATTTTGAGAAGAGTGGCATGACGTGAATTAATAATATAATGTTGGCTACTCTGTTGAAGATAGACTGAAGAGTGGACAAACATAGAAATGGTGAGACCAGTTAGGAGGTTGCTTCTATGTTCCAGGCAAAACATGATCAATTTATACTGTAAAGTAGCAGTGGGGATTGTGCGATGTGGTGAAACTCCTGAGGAAAAGTAAACAGGAATTGCAGACAGTATGGGTGTGAATAACTCAGACTGGGAAAAGAGAGTGTTAAGAATGGGAAAGGAAATATCAAGAGATCATATTCATAGGTAAATGCTATTCATATTTCTACTCATTTAATTATAAATACGTGAACATGAAATGCTGTGTCAAAAGATATGTACATTTAAAATATGTTGCTGTCTATTGTCAAATAACTTTTCAGTATAACTTCTACTAAATTATGCATTCCTGAGAAGCACATGTAACTATTTTTCTTCACACTCTTGAATACTAGTATTCCTCTTTTTCAATTGCTGTAAATTTTATGACTAAAAGTACATCTGAACATTGATATAATATGCTCTTTAATTAGAATAAATCAGTTGGGTTTTAAGCAAACTTAATTAAAAATACTTGAGTAAAATACCACACAGTTTGATTTCTCCCTGCTCTCTACATTAATCTTTATTATAACTTGCTGCCCATGTTTTTCATTTGTCATTTCCTGCCTACAGGACATTTAAATTCTCTTACAAGTTTTGGGGATTCTCTATTATGTTCCTTGAACATTGGAACCTGAAAGGAGAATATTCTCTGTATTTCCATTGTCTGGCAGACAGGAATTGGTAGCTTGCATTTTTTGAAATAGTCTCTCTTGCCAACAATTCAGGTTCTCGATTGAGTGACTCAACTGGAAAGAGAGAATAAGTTGTATTTGCAACATGTATTGAACATGGTACACAAGCATGGGTAAGGAGCCTTGACTAAGTGCTTTAAATAGTGAAGTCCTACAGACATACTGAATGTGGCCCTATTTAAAAGCTACTTCTCCAGCCTTTAGTAATTCTCTTCCACCCTTCATATTTATAAAATAATCCCATTCTTTGCTTCCTTCAGCCAGAGTTGCTAGTATGCGAGAACTCTGACTGGTATTAACTGCAATCTCTATTAGGCTCAAAATAATTATTGTACATTGTTGTTGCTTAATACTTTAATAGAGCAAGAATATTGTTATTTGCCTTTCTCCGTGGTCCAGGATATGTAACCCTCCTGCTCCCAAATATCACCCAAGTATCTGAAAGTGAGCTCACTGCAACCTTGGCGTTATCAGTACTGCACAGAGCCCTCTTCAGCTGCATAAACACTATCTATAAAACCCCAGCAAGCCTTTGTTCTTTGCAGTTAGCCCCTTGTCTGCTGATCCTGCTCATTGCCTCCTCACAAAATATTTTCGTAGTTTCTCTAATAAATCTACTTTTCTATAACTAAAACTGTCTTGGTAAATTCTTTTACCTCTGCACCACCAGCCCAGATAGTTGTCACTCTTCCATGACAACAAATGCACAGGAAATTTAAAGTAACTAATAACCCTTCATATATTTTATTTAAAGATTACTTTTCAAGATTTTATCTTTGTCATTTGCACTCTTTGTCAGAAAAATAATCAAGGAGTATCAAAATCAAGTCTTGGGTGGGAGGTTATTTTATTTAGATTATTTTGGGTCATTCTACATATTTTCAATGACAATTTACTCATTTTTAATTTCTTATTTTAAGGTATATGGCACATGTATATGAAAATTTTGCATGGAAGTTAAATGTTATGATTTACGTGGATCAGAGTATCTCATTGTTTCCACAAAATATTTTTTCCCAGTATAAAATTTTATATCTTGCATTGGTAAGTACTATTTCAATTCCAAGTGACTAAAAACAACTTTAACTGGGTGAGACCGAAGCAAACAAGCAAGCAAGAAAGCAAACAAACAAACAATTACCCTGAGGGGTCAGGGTAATTTATGGTTGAGATGTCATGTAAACGAAAGTTGAGCAGGAAGCTTCTGGATAAGGAAATTTGCAGCTGAGCATCTAACATCCAAAATTAGGGCTGGAGAATGTTTGGGTTTTGGGTTTTCCTATTCAATTGGGATCTCCACTCCTTGCTGAAGGTCTTTTCACTGTCATTTCTTGCTATACACTAGCTTCCTATATCTCATGGAAAATTGGTCTACCAAAAGCTGGCAATATTTAGAGTCTAGCCACTCTGAGTAACATACAAATCAATTATCCCTTGGCCTTCAAGATCAAGAATCCTGAAGACAGAACAAACTCTGCTAATGTTCAGGAAAGATCACATGCATATAAAATATTTTTTAAATTTTGATGTTATCTACAACTTAGTAAATCCGGAAATGATTATTATAATGCAATTACTATTAACTTATACTGTCTCTAACACTGTAGTATAACATATATGCTGTGTATTTTAGGCAGGGCCTGAGTGTGAATTTTCCAATAGATTAGTTAAAAAGAAAATTTCATAAAATACTGTTCATTTTTTAAAATCCTATAAATGCTTAATATAGTGTCTAGCACAGAGAAGATTCTCAATAAAATGTAGAAAATTCTGAATAATTAATTTTGCTAAAAGTCCATTCAACTAAAATTTGATTTTCATAATACTGAATATAATCTGGTTAGAGTTCATTCAAGCTTCAGCTGATTATACATCCACTTAATTTGTATTCCTGAAAAGTTTTATCTCCCACAAAGTTTTGCTTTTCCTGTCTGCATTCCCTAGAATTAAACTTCTCTGTTCTCAGACTCTGAAGGCTGGGATCAAGACTAAACTTATTTCATTGAAAGCAGGAGTATTCAATTAATTGGTTGGATCAGAGATGTCGATGAAAAGAGTAAAACTCTGTAAAATATTTGAAGAGATTTATTCTGAGCCAAATATGAGTTACCAAGGCCCATGACATAGCCCTCAGAAGGTCCTGAGAACATGTGCCAAGGTGGTCAGGGTACAGCTTGGTTTTATATATTTTAGGGAGGCATGAGACATCAAACAAATACATTTGAGAAATACATTGGTTTGGTTCAGAAAGGCAGGACAACTAAAAGCGGGGGCTTCCAGGTTATTGGTAAATTTAAACATTTTCTGGTTGACAATTGGTTGAGTTTATCAGAAGATCTGAAATTAATGGAAGGAAATGTTCAGGTTAAGATAAAGGATTGTGGAGACCTAGTTTTATTGTGCAGAGGAATCTCTCAGATAGCAGACTTCAGAGAGAGAGCAGGTTGTAAAATGTTCCTTATCTGACCTAAAAGGGTTCCTGGCTCTTAATTGATTGATTATCTCCTGGATCTGGAAAGAAAGGAAGAAAAACAAATGGGGAAGAGGATTCTCTAAAGAATGTGGATTTTTCCCACAAAAGACTTTGCAGGGCAATTTCAAGGTATGGCAAGGCAATATGCTTTGGGGCTAAATATTTTTTCCTTGTCTTATAATGTTATGCCAGACTCAGATTGAAAAGTAAGTCACAATATGTAGGGTCAAATAAAACGCATCTGATGAGAATTTCTGGTTTGTAGGGCATAAATCCCTGGATCCCTTAAGTAGGAATTTGGACAAGATAAAAAACAGAGCTTACTCCTCAGTCTCCCCTCTTGGCCAAAAAGCATTCCAAAGAATGCATATGCAGGCCAACAAAACAGAAACATGTCCCATGGCACTAGGAGGCTCATTCCTAGAGTTGTCTGATCTAGTTATATGCAAGATTCCAGAGCACTAGGAAGGCTCATTCCTAGAGTAGTCTGGTTGATGGGAATAGTTTTAAATATTTGCAAGTTGGGTCATGGAGAGAGGACACAAAATGACCTAATGTAACAGTCAATAGTTCAAGGGGTGAGATGGAGTCAGGCTAGGGTTTAGTCTATAAAAAAATCCCACATCATCTCTATTTTGTGAGCTATTATGATCCAAGTCTTTAATCGTGCCTTCTTCCTTTTGCTATATCTGGCATAACATTTACAAGAGATATATAATGCTAATACAGTTACAAATACCATAAAGATAGCAAGGATTAGTGTCCAAGAAGGTTATAGGTAGAGTCAGAGGGCAGTAAACAACCTAACCAGCTAAAAAAACCACTGCATGCATCATCGTATTCTTTGATCAGACTCACAATGTGTTTACCCTCTTTATCAAGGGTCATTTGAACCTTATGATACATCTTATTTGAGGATTGTAGGACTGACACTAAATCAGAATCCAATAAATTTAATCTCTCTTCCTGCCAATTTATCTCCATAGGTATAATATCCTGAGGAGGGAAAAATCAAATGCAAGGAAAGCCTGGTCCTCAAGTATAAATTGTCATGGGACCTGTTAGCAGTAGACAAATCTATTTTCTCCATCACTTTTTTATTGCACCATATACTGGTATTTGGGAGATAAAAGGAGGTATTGTCACAGGAGGAGTCATATAATTCTGCAGTATCCTTTTGTTGCCTTGCCCAACAGAAGCAGCCCTTCCCGATATGCCAGATGCTATGTCCCATGGGAGTGGATATTAGAGGCAAAATTTGGGAAAAATCAGGGTTCCAAGTGGTTTGAGGCATAGCCATTCTCCTTTTCTGTTTTAACAATCTGAAAAGTATGTGGGATGCCATGTGTTATTACCAGCTAAAATAGCACATCTGTTTCCCAGGCAGAGTATTCTTGTGTGGTTTATAATAGTCCCAGTGCCTGCCAGTTGGACAACAGACTGCCTTTCAGCCTCATTTAACTTCGGTGTCTGTGCTCTGAGAATACAATGTTTAAGGTCACATCTACCATCCAAAAATCTCCATAAGTTTGGGGGACCATATATTTTACACAGGTGTTTGGATTGTGCCTCAGTACTGAGGATCATAGGCCATTGCATTGTAGCCACCTCAGATTCCATTTGCAATAAAATAGAAATGAGCCACTGTTCAGTAAAAGGACATGCTCAGCTGGGCGTGGTGGCTCACACCTGTAATCCCAGCACTTTGGGAGGCCGAGGTGGGCAGATCGCAAGGTCAGGAGATCAAGACCATCCTGGTTAACACGGTGAAACCCCGTCTCTACTAAAAATACAAAAAATTAGATGGGCGCGGTGGTGGGCACCTGTAGTCCCAGCTACTCAGGAGGCTGAGGCAGGAGAATAGCATGAACGCAGGGGGCAGAGCTTGCAGTGAGCTGATATTGCACCACTGCACTCCATCCTGGGTGACAGTGCGAGACTCCCTGTCAAAAAAAAAAAAAAAAAAAAGAGAACATGCTCATTCCCATCTTTGAGTTTAGGAGTATGTTTTCATGGTTTGTCTGGTTTCTTCTATCTATTTGATGAGTGCTGCATTATCTTTTAAATATATCCACTGACTGGTTAGGTTGTTTCCTGCCCTCTGACTCTACTTATAGCCTTCTTGGATGCCTAATCTTTGTTGTTGTTATGGTATTTGTCACTGTATTAGCATTATATATGTCTTGTAAACGTTATGCCATTATTACTTCTATCCATTTGATGAGTGCTGTATTATCTTATAAATCTTTTCACTTCCCATCTTTTTCCCTCTTCCTGGAATAGCATTTCTTCTATGTGGCCCTTTTTTGATAGGGAATTTTTTTCTAAAGAAAGTCTCTCTTTATTAGTCATGAGCTCAGCTTGCCCCAGTATGCCTAGCCCTGCTCCAATTCCTTCAGTGAGGTCATGCTTTAGGTTTTTTTGGGTGGCCAATTTTGGTGTATCCACTAGGAATTACGTTGCCATTGTACACTGTTGGCATTTGTACAATTTGGATAAATGGAACCAATCCAGAACCGTTGGGTATCCCAAACAATTGTTAAGTGGGTGGAGATTACCCTTGTCTGGGTATTCCAAAAGGCTTCCCAGAGGCACCCTGGTCTTAGAGTGGAAATTGTGCTGTCAGGGACCTCTGTCCAAAATTAACTCCCATAAATAGTTCTTTATGGGCAGTGTCAGTGTGGTTGGTGCTGGATAGGTGCATCCAGCTGCAAGCACAGGGCAGGTGGTTATTTAGCAGGCCATGCTATGGCAGTTTACACAGGAGGTAGCTAGATTTTTCCCATTATAACCGGGCAATTGTCTCAACTGATCATCCCTAATATCTATTGTTATGCAACAGTCTACCTGGTTAGACCCCTCAGTAGTCGTTCTGAGGCATTGTTATGAGTCCTTTGTCTAAATAGTACTCAATGATTGGTTTGTTTCCTAGTAAGGCTTTAGGTATAAGGGGATATTGCCTTACATTTGGCAGGGGTTTGGATTTATTTATGGTTATCTCTATAGGGACTGCTGACTGAATTCTCCCATTATCTGTGGAAGAGCTTGCCCATAAGGAGTCTGTTACCTTAGATAAGAGAGGCTCTAATTCTTCCTGTGCAGAATCTTGATTCACTTTCACAAGCATAATATTACATGTAAGTCTTCTGTGTCTCCCAAGTGGAGAATCACTTCTCCCTTCTATGAAAATGAGATGTGAGCATTATGGGTCTCTAGGAAATCCCATCCCATACATCCCTGGTGTATGGGGGCACTAAGTACTATAAGAAAAACATGATGCCCCACTAGTTATCCTAATTGAAATAGAAGGGGATTTGATTTAAGGGCTGTAATAGGAGAGTTCAAAAACCTTACCATTTCCACTTTTTCTTTACTCCAAGGGAGAGGGTTCTAAATAAGGTAGAGGTGAGGACTGACAGTGTAGCACCAGTGTCGACAAGGACTTTGGTATTTTCCCCATTTATGGATATTTCTACTCCTAAAGCATTAGTTAGAAGTAGAGGGAAAACCCTCTGTATTCCCTCAGAGAATCCCTATTCTGAATTTTAAGTTGTTCTGTTGCCTTCCTCTGGGGCCCTTTGCCCCTTTGTGTTAGCACCCATTTAAGTTGTTTGCATTCCTTTTTTAATTTTTTTTTTTCTTTTTGCAATGGTGGCAAAATGCTTCCTCTTTGGGTTGCTTAGATTTCTGGGGACCGTGGGACCCTTGCAAATTCCCAACTTGGTTACTAAGTTGTTTTAGTTGTAAACTCATAATTTTAGAGACTGTTTTCTTTTCTTTCTTAATGATTGTGACATTTGGTCAGCTTGGGTGACTAGGTGGCTAATGGGCAAGAAAGCCTAAGCTGCATTATTCCTCTTCATTAGGGTTGCTAACTCCTTATCTAAACCTTGAGTAAAGCCAGAAGTTAGTAAGTTGTCACTTCTACTGTGCTCAAAGTTTTCAGGAAATACTCCTGAAAACTGTTTGAATGACTTTTCAAACCTGATGTAAAAGCCAGACATGGTTTTGTTAGGTTACATTCTACATTGTTGCACCTTTGCCCAATCTATAACCTTGGGGAATATCTGTGAATAGGTTCACAGAGGTGATTGCAAAGCTCTCTGCATTTCTCTCTTCCAGTTGTATCTATTCTGTCAAAATCTTCTAAAAGCTGTTTCCAACCTGCTACTTTAAACCATTCTTCAGTTTTGTTTTTGGGAACCAGTAACTCAATCAGTTGATACAGGTCAGAGAACCCTGAATCATAAATCTTAAGTGTTAATTGGAATTCCTTAGCAAATCCAAAGGAATCTTTAGTCGCATCGGGGAATCCAGATACCTGGGCCTTTAACTCTGATTTTCCTGGGGGTCTATATTATGTTAGGATCCCCTCTGCCTGTGGGTTTTACTCTGAAAGGAGCAACCACTATATTATTTTCTCCAGCTATTTCTGGTCCCCCTGTGGCTTCAGGCAAGCGAGTACAGGAAGGAGAAGGAAAAGTGAAATTTTCTAAACAAGGAAGTTCAGAGAGCAGAGGGTCAGGAGGAGCAGAAGGGGAGACAGTTTCTAGAGCCTTCCTGATTTCAGAAGTGGCCTCTACTAATTTCTTTAATTCTAAGACAGTTTCAAAAATTTTTATATTAACTTCCTGGAAGGAGGCGAGATTATTTTTCCCTCTTTTTGAGGATTCTAGGTGCCAGCTAAAGTACAATTCTCATTCATTTTCTTTGATTTGGGAGGCTAATTTTTCCAATCTAGCATGCAAGAAAACTAATTTAGGGATATCAAAAGTTCCCGATTTTGAAAACCTAAGACCTAGGTAATCTTTAGTAAGATGTTCCCATTTATATGAATACTTGCAAGTAAAGGTGCCTTAATCAGTAAACATAAACCTAGCTGGGGTGCCCGTAGGGGCCTGCTGTCCTTTCCTTTTCTCTTTATTGGAGGGTTTATTTCCCATCCTCTTTTTTTTTTCTTTTTTAGAGGCACTTACCTGTGGCTTAAGGTTTTTGTGTGGTGGATCACTATGTGCTGCTTGTGGGCTGGACTTCACAGTGTGTCACTCCTGAGTCATTTCTACCTTCTTACGTGCCTCAATTTCTCTTTTCAGAGGTCTATTAACTCTGAGAGGGCTCCAAACATTGGGTGATCAGCCCTTAAGTGCATTTCCTGGACAAGCCTTTTTAAATTAATATTAGTTGGGAAGTTTCTTATAGAGTCGCTGCACATTGTGGAGGGTCAACACCTTAGACACTCCCATGAGGCCCTTGGTCACCTAACAGTGACTTTGGACTGGGAAGAGCAATGCCCTTTCTCTTCAGAGCTGAGGAACTCAGTCTCTCATTTACATATGAAAAATGACAGTTCAGTTCCTCATGCAAAGTGTGCACAGACAAACAAATTGAGATTAATTTTGAGACAAAAGGCAATGGAGAAAGACCCTTTTGAATGCACCTCTGAAACTAAAATTAGGATTTTAACCAACTTCTTATGAGAAAAGAGATAGAAAAAAAAAACCAGCTAAGAATAAATAAAGGACCATCAACCAAACTCAAGGGGCGGGGTTCAGGAGGACTTACCAGTTCCACCCGAGGAAACTCCGTGAGGTTTTTAAGGTACCCTTCTGGTACCATAGCTCAGGTTTTGGGGAACTCTTTTGTGGCCCTGAGTATTCTCTGAGGCCTCATGTGTTTGGGTGCCAGATTATTGTCAACAAAAAGAGTCAAGCTTTTAAAATATTTGAAGAGATTTCTTCTGAGCCAAATATGAGTGACCATGGCCCATGACACAGTCCTCAGGAGGTCCTGAGAATCTGTGCCCAAGGTGGTCGGGGTACAGCTTGGTTTCATATATTTTGGGGAGGCATGAGACATCAATCAAATACATTTAAGAAATACACTGATTTAGTTCAGAAAGGCAGGACAACTAAAAGCACAGGCTTCCAGGCTATACATAAATTTAAACATTTTCTGGTTGATGATTAGTTGAGTTTATCTGAAAATGTGAGATTAATGGAAAGAATGTTCAGGTTAAGATAAAGGATTGTGGAGACCTAGTTTTATTGTGCAGAGTAATCTCTCAGATAGCAGACTTCAGAGAGACAGTATGTTGTAAATGTTTCTTATCCGACCTAAAAGGGTGCCTGGTTCTTAGTTGATTATCTCCTGGGTCTGGAAAGAAAGGAAGATGAACAAAGGTGGAAGGGGATTCTCTATAGAACATGTATTTTCGCACAAGAGGCTTTGCAGGGCAATTTCAAGGTATGGCAAGGAAATACATTCGGGGTTAAATATTTTTTCCTTTTCTTATAATGTTATGCCAGAGTCAGATTAAAAAGTAAGTCACATTATGTAGGGTCAAATAAAACCCATTTGAGGAGAATTTACG
The DNA here is from genome assembly GCF_000001405.40 of Homo sapiens. Classification (NCBI taxonomy): domain Eukaryota; kingdom Metazoa; phylum Chordata; class Mammalia; order Primates; family Hominidae; genus Homo; species Homo sapiens. The sequence goes on from NC_000004.12 coordinate 64,446,162, forward strand.
GTTTGTAGGGCATGACTCCCTACATCTCTTAGGTAGGAATTTGGGCAAGATAAAAAAATCAGAGCTTACTCCTCAGGATACCAGGACAGAGAACTGGGAATCATGATGGGCACCAAGAAAAATAATGGAGTCAGAGGAAGCTATCCAAAAAAAAAAAAAAAAAAAAAAAAAAGAACTTAGCAACTTAAGATTATAACATTTTCTTGTCTTTGTTTCTCCCAAATTGAACCATGGTATCGTTTTTGCAGCTTTAGTGGTATGTACATATGTAATTGATAACTGCTTAATGTGCATAGTAATTATTACCACAAAGAGGTACTTGTGTAAAGAGTCGTTTGAATATATTAGCTGGAAATAGTAATAATTTTAGCTAAAATTTTATCTATCAAAACATATCTTGTTACATGTAGTTAGGCATGAGCAGGGCAGGAGAGGGCTCTCCCCACAAACCAATGAAATGTTAAGTGATGGTTCGGCAATTATCGCGTTGCCTCTCTAAAACTGATAATTTGGCAGCCAGGGAGAGACAATCTCCTGACGGTCCACATCTGTTAACATTGAAAGTAGTAATTCAATGCAGGCCCTAGGAAGAAGCAGCTTCTTGGGTATATGCGTTAAGAGAAAAAGTGGCAAAGTATAATGTTGTGGGGGAACACGCCACTGGTAAAAGAAACAAAGACTCAGATCAGCAAACGTATAAAACTCTGTAAAATACACTAACTGTGCTCAATTCCAAATGGTAAAGAAAGCACTGCACGTGCAGAAAGCCCACCCTAGGGGAAGAATCATGGGGAAAAGGCGAGCCTTTAAGGTCCCAGGATCAAGGTTAAAGAGGCTCTTTTCTCTCTTTTCCTGTCAGGCACCCACTTGGATATTTTCCAAGGGTTCTTTCTTTTATTTTCTGGGCCGAAGCCTTTTCAATAAACTTCTGTGTCAGCCATTTTCACACTGCTATTAAGACATGCAAGAGACTGAATAATTTATAACGAAAAAAGCTTTAATTGACTCACAGTTCCACATGGCTGAGGAGGCCTCAGGAAACTTGCAATCATGGCAGAAGGGGAAGAATCATGTCTTACATCGCAGCAGACAAGACAGAGTGAGCAAAATCAGGAAAAAAACTGCCTTATAAAACCATCAGATCTCATCATACTTTTTTATCACTCATCATGGGGGAAACGACCCTCATAATTCAATCATCTCCCACTTAGTCCCTCTCTCAACATGTGGGGATTATGGGGATTACAATTCAAGACGAGATTTAGGTATGGAAACAGAGCCAAATCATATCACTTCCCCTCCTGCTCTGAAACTTGCCTTGGTCTCTTTTTCTGCTTTATGCCCCTCGATCAAATTCTTTTTTTTTTTTTTCTTTTTGAGGAAGCAAGGACTGAAGTTGCTACAGACTGGTACTGATAGGCCACTGGTAATATGGGGTAACTTGGATCACTTCCACCAGTCACAATCTCAAATGTTAATATGCCTTCTTCTAAATTCCTGGTTTTGCTGAATATTGTTTATGAAACTAAATGCCCCAATTTCTTTATTTCTAAACATCTAATTTTGCAGCATAAGATTAGAAATTCAAAGAAGCTAAAAAGAAACACAACACTAGACTAACATTTTCTATCCTTTTAAATATTTTATATTTTGCTTTAAATTTACACAAAATATATCAGTACATAGGTATTTTATATATGTTTTTCATATAAGCTTATACAATTGTACTAATAAAAATTTAATTTCTTGTCCTTTTTTTTTACTTCTTGCCAAACAGTCTATCATCAGTGAAAATTCAAGAGATGTGTCATCTGGCTATTTTCTTATAAAAATACACTGTAAAATGAACTAACTGCCTGCTAAAACATGCTCTCATGTGCATAATACATATATTAGTCATGTTTTTCCACCTCAGAAGTTTTATCTTTTTTCATCATAATATCAGTGTAGAAATAGGGAAAATATGGTCTGGCACAGTGGCTCACTGCCTGTAATCCCAGCACTTTGGGAGGCCGAGGCGGGCAGATCATGAAGTCAGCAGATGGAAACCATCCTGGCTAACACGGTGAAACCCTGTCTCTACTAAAATACAAAAACTTAGCTGGGCATGGTATCGTGCGCCTGTAGTCCCAGCTACTCAGGAGGCTGAGGCAGGAGAATCACTCAAACCCGGGAGGCAGAAGTTGCAGTGAACCGAGATTGCACCCCTGCACTCCAGCCTGGCGACACAGAAAGACTCAGTCAAAAAAAAAAAAATAGGGAGAATATGACTCAGTGAATGTAGATACCAAAAAGCCCCTTTCACAAAGCCCTTTCAATTTTTAATGAAAGGTTCTGAATGAGAGAAATATCTTTGGGCATGCAAAAAGAGAAATGCACATTTTGGATTCCAACAGAAATTCATTTTATATTTCTTGTTACTGGGTAAAAATTCATTGCATATGCAAACTTCTTCACACCCAAATCACAATTTCATTCTCTCAATTTGAGGGACCAGGAAGCCATTCATCTGAGTTTATCCATACTTCAGATCACCAACACAAACTGCAACCATGAGAATCCTTACAGAATTTTTAAATTATGTCAGTTTATTTGTTATGTATTTATGTAAAATTTTCCAACTGGTTGATAGAAGTACATATTAAATCCTAAAGGATTAAAGGAGAGTAAGCCTATACCAGAAAAGCACAAATTTAAAAATTTAAATAAACTTATCCACAAAGAACAAAGCAGAATGAAAAATAATATGTCATCATCAATATTCTTATTTGAAATAGAATCAGGTAAACATTTATATTGAAAATTACATATAATAGTATTAGAGTTAGATTTTATAATTCTAAAGTACCTAGAGGAAAACAAAAATTATCAAAAGAAAACATATTGTTTAATGTAGGTTTAAGAATTTTGTTTTGTTTTGTTTTGTTTTTTCTTCAGATGGAGTGTTGCTCTGTCATCCAGATTGGAGTGCAGTGGCACGATCTCAGCTCACTGAAACCTCTGCCTACTGAGTTCAAATGATTCTCCTGTCTCAGCCTCCCAAGTAGCTGGGATTACAGGCACCTGCCACCTCGCCCAGCTAATTTTTATATTTTTAGTAGAGACAGGGTTTCACAATATTGGTTAGACTGGTCTCAAACCCCTGACCTCAGGTGATCCACCCGCCTTGGCCTCCCAAAGTGTTGGGATTACAGGGGTGAGCCACCGTGCCCGGCAAGAACTGTTTTTTAATAACACTAGTGACTCATTTCATTTGTGAATATAAAATAATTTAAATAAAATATCAAGAAAATGGATATTAGAATGTCTTCAGTAAATGTCACAGGTTAATGCTATATTCTCTTCTCTCACAATAGGAAAAGAAATGAAATTATTTTCAATTATTTTTCCTCTTACATAAAGCCAAGTCAAATAAGCTTTCTGAAGGACAAGACAGAATTTAATATTAATTCCCTGAAGTCTGCTTACAGAACTGGGATGGGTAGCTTTATGTGAATTTCTTGAAAAACAGAACCAGGAAAGATAACTTCATGAGGACAGCTCCTGGAATTTGTTGTAACAAGGAATGCATAGGTCTGCCTTCTAGGGATTAAAAGGGACTAGAGGGCAGCCATTGTTTTCTCTTTGCATGCATTTATTCCTTGATCTAACTCACCACCACTACAACCACTGCCACTCACTGATTCATCAAATATTGGGTAAATAATGATCTTATTTGTTTTTATTAGCCTTTCTTAAATGCATATACAGCTCCCATTTATTTCACTGTTTAATCTTAGAAGTGTTTTTCGTCTTTATTTATAAATTTGCTGATGCTTTGTGGTCAAAAATATTCTATTGTACTTAAACCTTGTTTATGTCAATTAGCCTGTGGTAAAATTCCTTTTGTTATATGTCGTTTTGCTTAAAGTCACAGTTTCCAAGAACCTATTAAGTGAAGACTTACTGTATATGCTTTAATTAAACCTCACAATAATACAACATAAGAATGGTAGAAAAGGAAAGAGGAAACTCTGTAATATCTGTAATGGATCCAAATCTAGGGAAAGAAAAATTATGTCTTCTACAGACAAAATTATCTCATATTCAATTTGAATATAAAAAAGTATGAAATTTCATTCAGTTGAGCCTAAATAATGGTCAACTACAAATCATGAGTACAAATTTAACAAGGCAGAGGAAAATGGTGGCCAGAGGCTTATTTACTCTTCACTGTTACAGTATGGAGAGATTGGGCACTTCATGGGTTAATTTAATAGAACTGCTTTGTAAACTGTTTCAGCCAACCACCATGTCTGAAACAAAACTTGTGACTTAACAATTAAGAATCATTAGTAGGTAAGTTTTAAGAACAATACCGTTTAAAAATTGTATTAATTCCAAATAATATAAAGATCTCATATTGCATAAATATGGAAAAATAAAATAATTGAAATAAAATGGTCATACCTTATAAACGGACTTTTATCCTCCTGTTTGTCTTTAACATGCATGGCTTTCTTATGTCATTTAACTTAGGAAAGGGAAGCCAGACCCTTGAGTTAACAGAAAGTCCACGTTAAATATCTGAGAATTTGGGGAATGAGAAATGAGTATCTCTCACTTTCATGTCTTTATTTATTTTAGGAGTGAAAGTAATAAAATACCTTCTTTGGGGGTTAGCACAACAAGACCCAAAACCATGAAGAGGTACCATACAAGTATAATTACTTCAATTTTCACAAAAGTTTCAGTCTTTCATATAATCACTCAAACCTCTTTACTTACATGCTTTATTATCCCTTCTGCCCTTCCAACATTTCACAACCCTTGCACTGGAACTCTGAACTTATCAGCATAAGCAAAATTTTTAACATCTTCCACCTCTTCTGTTTCCTTTTTTCACTGCTAACTTTAACCAAGATCAGACTTTTCTGAGGCCATTTCTTGCACCACAGCCCTTTAGTACATTATCCACTTGCTCCCAAATACATTTCCCTGAGCCTGGAGATGGATCAAATAAATGTATTGCTTACAATTGCCCCTAAATAAAATTTTAAAACCTTACTCACTTGCACTGTCTGCACTAATACTCTTACCATAATTCTTGATAATTTAAAGAATGCAATTAGTGTTCCCAATACATTTGCTGCTAAGTTCCCTGACCTTCTTTATTCTAATATTTTTGTTCTCCACTGTACCCCTGTTACATCCTCAATCATATATAGCTTAGACATTCCCATGACTAGTAAACTAGTCATTATATCTTTTCTGTTACCTACCTATTTTAGTCTGTTCTTTATTCTCAACTTAAAATTTTATTCTACAACCATCACTTCTGTTTTCCAACCACACTCCACAATATTTACAATACTAGCAAACCGGGACATGCATTCCACTGATCTTACCACTTTTTTAAAGTTCCTTATTCCCCTCATGTTCTTCCTCCCCTCACTACCCAGCATATGGTTTATAGTCTCATCTTAATAACTGCACCTTACAAAGAAATCCTGATGTTACTTAGTATGATTTCTCCTACTCTGGTTAAACTCGATGTATTACCTATTTTCCACTTAATTCTAGGTAAGTAGGAATGTCTGAAAAAACCTATAAAACTGCACTGATTTTACTCACATTAAATTAGATCTAAAAATTATTAATGTTTCACAATTTGCTTAATACATTTTCCCACTTCCCTCTCCCACCTTCCTAGATGCCCTTTTCACTAATTTTCTTATATCTTCAAGCCTCCACTACATCCTCTATCTCCAATTTCTTGATAAACATGCAACCTATTTTTTTCTGAGAAAATAGAAGCAATTTAAAAAAACTCTCATGTTTCTCCTACCTATAAATGAATAGATTTGTTTTCATAAAAATGATTTACCTACTACTGTTAAGATGGATAAACATGTATAATTAGTTCTAAGGCCAAGCTCTTTTTTAAACTAGATCCCACCTATATTAGGCAATTCTTATATTGCTATAAACCAATATGTGAGACTGGGCAATTTATCAGAATAGAAGTTTAATTGGCTCATGGTTCTGTAGGTTATACAGAAACCACAGCAGCATCTGCTTCTGATGAGGTTTCAGGGATCATTTACTCATGACCGAAGGCAAAGTGGGGTTAGTCAAGTCACATGTTGAAAGCAGGAACAAGAGAGAGAAAGTCAGGAGTCAGGTATGGGGAAGGTGTCACACATGTCTAAACAATCAGATCTCATAAGAATTTACTCATTATCATGAGGAGAGTACCAAGAGGATGATGCCAAACCATTCATGAGAAATACACCTCCATAATATATTCACCTCCCACAGGACCCACCTCCAACACTGAGGATTATAATTCAACATGAGATTTGGGTGGGGACAAATATCCAAATTATATCATCATCCTTTTTTGAATATCAAAGACATAGCCCCAGGAATTATATCTTTTCTGTTACGTACCTATTTTAGTCTGTTCTCACACAGCTATAAAAAACTGCTCAAGACTGGGTAGTTTCTAAAGGAGAAAGGTTTAGTTGACTCACAATTCTGCAGGTCTGGGGAAGCCTCAGGAAACTTACAATTGTGGTGGAAGAGGAAGCAAATATGTCTTTCTTCACATGGTGGCAGGAAAGACAAGTGCCGACCAAAGAAAAAAAAATCCCCATATAAAACCATCAGACCTTGTGAGCACTCACTCACTAGAGTGAGAACAGCATGAGGGTAACCACCCCCATGATTCAATTACCTCCCACTGGGTCCCTCTCACAACATGTGGGGATTATGGGAAATACAATTCAAGTAGAGATTTGGATGGGGACACAGCCAAACCATATCATTTCACCTCTGGCACATCTCAAATCTCATGTCATCACATTTCAAAACACAATCATTCCTTTCCAACAGTCCCTAAAATTCTTAACTCATTCCAGCATTAACCTAAAAGTCCATGTCTAAAGTCTCATCTGAGGCAAGGCAAATCCCTTCTACCTATGAACCTGTAAAATCAAAAACAAGTTAGTTACTTCCTAGATAAACGGGGTAAAGGAAGTGGGGAAATACAGCCATTGCAAATAGGAGAAATTGGCCAAAACAAAGCATCTAGAGGCCCCATGCAAGTCCAAAATCTAATATGGCAATCATTAAACCTTAAAGTTCTGAAATAATCTCTTTTGACTCCATGTCTCACATCCAGACCACAAGGATGCAAGAGGTAGGTTCATACAGCCTTGGGAAGTTCTGCCTCTGTGGCTTTTTTGGGTACAACTCTCCTCCCAGCTGCTTTCATGGCTAGCATTGAGTTCTGCAGTATTTCCAGGTGCATGGTGCAAACTCTTGGTGAATCTACCATTCTGGGGTCTGGAGGATGGGTCCCTCTTCTCACAGCTCCACTAGTCATTGACCCAGCGGGGACTCTGTATGAGGGCTCTGACCTCACATTTCCATTCTGCAGTGCCCTAGCAGAAATTCTCCCTGAGGGCTCCACACCTGCAGCAAACTTCTGCATGGACATCCAGGAATTTCCATGCATGCTCTGAAATCTAGGTGTAGGATCCATAACCTCTATTCTTGGCTTCTGTGCACCTGCTTGTTTAACATCACGTGGAAACTGCCAAGGCTTGGTGCTTGCACCCTCTGAAGCGATGGCTGGAGCAGCTGGGATGCAGGGCTCCAAATCCCTAGGCTGCTCACAGCAAAGGAGCTTTGGGCCTGGCCCAAGAAATCATTTTTTCATCCCAGGCCTTCAGGACTGTGATGGGAGGGGCTGCCATGAAGGTCTCTGACATGCACTGGTGACATTTTTTCCATTGTCTTGGTGATTAACATTTGGCTACTTTTTACTTATGCAAATTTCTGCAGCAGGCTTAAACTTATCTTCAGAGAATTGCTTTGTCTTTTCTAATGCATTGTCAGGCTACACGTTCTCCAAACCTTTATTCTCTGCTTCCTCTTGAATGCTTTGCTCCTTACAAATTCCTTCTGCCAGATATACTAAATCATCTCTCTCAAGTTCAAAATTCCACAGATCTCTAGGGCAGAGACAAAATATCACCAGTCTCTTAACTAAAGCATAGCAAAGGTCACCTTTGCTCTACTTCCCAACAAGTTTCTCTTCTCTATCTAAGACCATCTGTGCCTGTACTTCATTGTCCACATCACTATTAGCATTTTGGTCAAAGCCATTCAACAAGTCTCTAGGAAGTTACAAACTTTGCCACGTTTTCTTCTCTTCTTCTGAGCCCTCTAAACTGGTTCCAAGCTCTGCCTGTTACGCAGTTCCATAGTCACTTACACATCTTTTTTTTTTTTTTTTTTTTTTTTTTTTTGAGATGGAGTCTCGTTTTGTCGCCCAGGCTGGAGTGCTGTGGCGCGATCTCCGCTCACTGCAAGCTCCGCCTTCCGGGTTCACACCATTCTCCTGCCTCAGCCTCCCGAGTAGCTGGGACTACAGGCGCCCGCCACTGCGCCCGGCTAATTTTTTGTACTTTTAGTAGAGACGGGGTTTCACCGTGGTCTCGATCTCCTGACCTCGTGATCCACCCGCCTCGGCCTCCCAAAGTGCTGGGATACTTCCACATCTTTATAGCAGCACGCCACTCTCTGCAGTACCAATTTACTATTTTAGTCCAATCTCACACTGCTATAAAGAACTTCTCGAGACTAGGGTAGTCTATAAAGAAGAGAGATTTAATTAACTCACAGTCCTGCAGGGCTGGGGAGGCCTCCAGAAACTTACAATCATGGCTGAAGGCAAAGAAAACACATCCTTCTTCACATGGCGGCAGGAAGGAGAAGTGCCAAGCAAAGTGGGAAAAGCCCCTTGTAAAACCGTCAGATTTCATGAGAACTTAATATTACCAGAACGGCCTGAGGGTAATGGCCCCTATGATTCAATTACCTCCCACTGTGTCCCCCCATGACACATGGGGATCATGGGAGCTACAATTCAAGTAGATATTTGGGCGGGGAAAGAGCCAAACCATATCACTATTACATTGTTTTTCTACTATGTCATTCTGATTGAGCAAACAAATAATATAGATATAATAGCAAAAGATGCTATAAAATTTTCTATTTTTTAGAATGCTTTATAAAACTTACTATTTTTTACCTACTATCTAATTTTTTTTTACCCCTTGAAACAAAACTTCTAAAAATATTGTCACACACTTTCTTCATTTCTTCACCACCAGTCATTTCTTAAATCTACTCTAATTAGACTTTCATGGATACCACTTCAAACTTGAAATTTCAAGGTTGCAAGTGCATTCTATATTGCTAAATCCAATACAAAACTTTTAGCACTGAAAGGTTTGATGCTTACTGAAATTATCAGGAGCATCACTTCATTCTTCTGCATAAACTCTCTTTATATGATTTCTGAAATACCATTCTATTTTGTTTTTTTCCTATTTCATGGATCATTTTCACCCAGCTTCTTCTGTAGGTCCTTTTCTAAATTTTCATGATTTAGACCTAAGTATTGGAAATGGCTAGAGCTTGAGAAGAGATCTTTTCTTATTTTATTTTACACTCGACATTTTGTGAATTTTTGGAGTCCCATGGATATAAATATCATTAACATCCTGAGGATTTCAACCTTTATACCTTCAAACTGTACTCTTGCTTGAAACTCAGGCTTATGTGTCAAACTGCACACATGACATTTCCATTTAGAAGCTATTTCAAACTTAATAAATAAATCCAAAACAGATGTTGTACTCTCTGTAAACTCTACTCATGCAGTCTGCCACTATGATTGATAGAAACTGCATTAACTAGTTCCTGTGGAGACTAGTGGAGACTAAAAGATCAGTCTCCACATAGAAATCAAAAACAAAGGCGTATTATATCAACGGTCCTCACAAAGCACCGTGATAGCCTCTTATCTCATTCAAAGCATATTTTAAAATCTTTATAGTGGTCTACACAATTTGATGTGATCTTCTCTACACCATTGTATGATCCTCTGACTTCATTTTAACCTTTATTCCTATTGCTTACTCTCTTCCAGTAAAAATTGGTATGGACCATACCAAGCACTTTCTTGTTCTGAGGCCTCTGCACTTGCTATTTTCTCTCTATAAGCCCCTTCTTACACCCCTGCAGATGCTTGCTCTCACACTTCTTTCTGTTATTTGCTCTAATATGACTGTCATAGAGGCTCAGCCTGATCATCCTCAATAAAATAATCCATTACACCTAAAATGATTTAGCTCTCATACCGGGCATCACGTAACTACAAAGCATATTTGCTTTATTTGTTTACTTTTTACCCCAGCTGAATATGAGGCCCAGGATGGCAATAACTTTATTTGTTCTTAGTATTGATATATTCTTGCACTAGAAATATCAACTAACACACAACAGATGTTCAAGAAATATTGTTAAAATGATGGATGATTGGATGGGCAAAGGGATAGATGAAGAAATAGGTGAATGGTATATTACGCTATCAGAGATAGAAACCCTAAAACCCACTCCACAGACAAAACACCAAGGAGGAAGTAAAACTTTTAGAAATACTTAGGGGAATTGAAATATAAGATATTATGCCAATTCCTAGATAAAGCTCCAAAAATAAGGCAAGCTTCCAGAAATAAATTGGTTTGCATTTATGAAGATAGATATTAACTTCACAGGATAACAAGTGCTGAAGCAGGAGAAAAATTATTTTAAGCATAAAAGTAGCATAGAAATAGCAAACAGAGCTGATGGACCTGAAGGTACATTAGAAGGAGGAGTGGTTATAAGGGAAATTCCATTAAAAATTGCATGAATTAATTATGAAATTGAGAGAGTGGGGAAAAAAGGAGGTAATGAATTTCTCAGAGAATCATATCAGGTGTTGATAGTAATAAGTACAGTTGAGACACTTTGGCTTCAATCTTTGACACAATAAAAACATATTTTCCAGGATATAAGACAAAATGGCAACAGCCTTTTCATTTTTAATATCTTCCTGTCAAATTGCAAAATGTTGATGAGAGGCCTGGCTAATGAGAATAATTTTAATTAGCTTGATGTAAGCCCCCAATCCTAATAGATTTTATGAAACTACAAGATTAAAAATTTAACACTACTTATGGCCATATGGAGTGGCCACTGCGAAGACACTGGCTACAGTAAGTGAGGTGTGGCCAGGGTTGTGTGCTTCTTGGGCCAGCAGGAGCCAGGAACAGGTGGGAGCCTTGGCTCCTATTGAGTTGGTGATGTGGGGGCCCCACATTCCTGTGTGCAGTTGCAGCTGGCCAGCTGCTGCTCCAAACACAGTCATCCTTGTGCTCTCAGGGGCCCAGGAAGGCCCCCTGCCACCATGGGCTTGAAAGTGCTTGCTTCTGCTTCTTCTTACTCCCAGCACCCACTCTGATTTCAGAGCAAAGTTGTGTCCAAGTCCAGGCACTATTAAGACCCAGCCAGGTGTGTACATACTTGGGGTGGTGCTGACACACTAGTCCCTGCTGCTTTGGCCCCCTCTGGACCTCAGGTGCCAACCACAAGCATAGAAGGCAGACTGAGGAGGAGTTGAGAGTGCCTTGGCATGGGCTTGCAGGGACCCCTCGACATGAATAGCCTGGATGTTGTGGATGACTTATTGATGGCCGCAGGAGAAAAACAGGATCCTGGGCAGAAAGAGTCAGGTCCACTGTGAAGCCCCACTTTCAAGCCAGGGGTGACCTAAAGCCTGGGATCGGGGCTGTCATTTCCAGGTGAAATCTGGCCCAGAGTGAGAACTTACATAGCTTCTTCCCAGACCACCTATGGCCACCAATGAACCAATCAGCATGCAGTTTCTCTCTTATAAGCCCATAAAGACCCCAGACTCAGTCAGCCTCTAACAGACATAAGGACTACCAGTTGCATAAAGGAGCTATCCACTGCAGGTCTCCTCTAGGCTTAGAGTGGGATATGTGGACAACCTGCCTGTGGAAAGGAGCTACCCACTGCAATTCTCCTCTCCAGACACTCGTCTGGCCACTCGTTGAGATGACCTGCCTGCAGAAAGGAGCAACCCACTATGGGTCTCCTGAGAGCTGTTCTGTCATTCAATGAAGCTCCTCTCCACTTTACTCCCCCTCCAGTTGTTCACGTATCTCATTCTTCCTGGATATGGGACATGAACTCTGGACCTGCCAAATGGTGGGACTAAAAGAGTTGTAACCCAAATAGTGCTGAAACGTGTCCCTGTGCCTGCCATGTTGTGGGTGATGAGGAGAGAAGAGATGCAGCCCTTTTGGGAGCCCAGACCTAGGGGCTCCCTGAGCCAGGGTCGTGACACCTTCTTTGGAGCTCTGTAGTCCCTGGAATCTCCAAACTTCTGAACACAACCACATTCCCCTAATCCAGAGGTGGATGCCTGCAGCAGAAGCCATGTGCAGTACATCTGGTTCAACTGTAGCCTTGCATGGAGCCAGCATCTGTGTTGCCAACCCTAGCTGCCTGCCCTGCTGAACAGCCAGCATGCCTGGCTATGTGCAGTAGCCAATCCCTGTGCTTACTTGATCACACTCTCCTTGCTGCCCCACACCTAGCTTGCCCTTGGCAAGTGTGGGATCTGAGCTGGTACTGCAAGCCAAGTGCAGCCTGCCAGGCCAAATGGGTAGAATGAGCCCAGCAGGAGCCAGCAATACTTAGGCAGAAGGTGCCACTGGCCACAGAGGTTTTCAGCTGGTGAAGTGACACCTCAAGGATCCCATGACACTACTAAATTGATCACATAGCAACTAATATTTTTTCTCTTATATTCTAAACCTCCCTTCTGACATTTTGCTTAAGTTAATAACATTACTTTTAATATCATGGAAATATTTGGCATTTTTCTATTTGTCTCCTTTCTGAATCACAATGATTTCTGTAATGGATTTAAAATGAGTCATATTCATATGTGAATTAATTATTTTGAGAGAATATTTAAGAGAAATTATGTTAGAAATTAGTTACAGAATCCGCTACAGATTTGAATAGGGGATATTCTATTAGATTATCTCAAAGATTTTTTTTTTTTTTAAAGAGTATGCAGGAGTTCAGAAGATAAATAACCAGAAATGAATGTGTCCTTACAAATATTTTCCTACCCAAAGGAAATTGGTAGGTAGTTTTATTTGGCAAGAAAGCAGTACTGTAATTTTCATCAGATGTTTTTTCAACATTGCTAAATATATGAGATAATAACTACTCCCTCTGTTTTAGAAACAGTATTTTCTCAATTATACTAAAAACCAAGGTGTTATAATCATACTATATATTGGTTTTCAACCCAATAACCATTCTTTAGTGATAATAACCCTGTCACCTTGAACTGAACAAGATTTTATCCAGAACTGTTTAATTTCATAACAGCAGAGATAGATGGAAAAATTTAATGAATGTTATCTGACTAAATAAATGAGCTTCTCATTTTCAGATCTATACAAAAATCCCAACTCATATCAGACAAAAATTAAAATTGTGTGTAGAGGGCAGAAGGACTTTTGATTCATTTTATGTTTATTGATTAATAGACTTCTCATTTTTGCCAGGAGATTGCTGCAAAATTGCAATCTATGTGAATAATTAATTGGATAGTCTTGTTTCCCTAACCGAAATGAACAAATGACACCTACATTTAGGTGGGATAAATAGGCTTCTTTTATCATCATGCTAACATTTTTCCACTATTTTTATTTCAATTAACATGCAAATGAAAGTAGCATCCCTAGTATTACAAAACAGATTTTGTAACAAAAGAGAGATGTTTTTAGCAACTTTCTGGTGTGCATGAGAAACAATTAATTTTTACAGCTTAGAGAAAATAAAGGCAATATTATGTATTTCCTTGTTTAGTACAATGATCCACTAGCAGTTTAAATAAAGTTGGCTTATATTAGATTTATTTACAAGTGTTATAATAGAGAAATTGTTGTCTTTTATTGAGCAAACCAATATACAGCATTTTCATTTAAAATATTTTCCTAAAATATATTGATGTTCTTTAGAATACACAAAATAAAATTACTGAGTTAATTTAAAAAGCATATTGTCTAAAAATACTGAGGAGGCTCTATAGAAAATTACTTATCTATTACCTAGTCATTTCCAATAGCTAAGACATTTCCATTAAAACCTATTTTGAGCATGTGTATGTGTTTGTTTTATCAAAAGTGCCTTTTAGTTTCTTATACATACATAATATAATTTATTCTATATTATAATTTTTAGGTTTTTTTGGTTGCTTAGCTAGAAACAGTTGAAAACCATCTGTTAAAATCCAGGTGAGCATTTATTTATTTATTTATTTATTATTTTAATTTCCAACTTTTACCTTCAGGGGTACCTGTGAAGGATGTGCAGTTTTGTTATACAGGTAAATGTGTTTCATAGTGGTTTGCTGAACAGATCGTGTCATCATCTAGGTATTAAGCCCAGTGACCATTAACTATTCTTGCTGAAGATCTTCCTACCCCCACCCCTCCCCTCCTACAGGCCCCAATGTGTGTTGTTCCCCACCATGTGGCCATGTGTTCTTATTATTCAGCTCCAACTTACAAGTGAGAACATGCAGTGTTTTGTTACCTGTTCTAGTGTTAGTTTGCTGAGGATAAAGGCTCCCTACTCCATCCATGTCCCTACAAAAGACATGATTTCACCTTTTTATGGCTGCATAGCATTCCATGGTGTATATATACCATATTTTCTTTATACAGTCTATCATTGATGGGCATTTAGGTTGATTCTATGTCTTTGGTACTGTGAATAGTGCTAAAATGAACATACATGTTCATATGTCTTTATAATAGAATGATTTGTGTTCCTTTGGGTATATACCCAGTAATGAAATTGCTAGACAGTATGGTATTTCTGTCTGTAGGTCTTTGAGGAATCACCACACTGTCTTGCACAATGATTGAACTAATTTACACTCCCACTAACAGTATAAAAGCATTCCTTTTTCTCCACAACCTCGCCAGCGTACGATATTTTTTGGCTTCTTAATAATAGCTATTCTGACTGGTATAAGATGGTATCTTATTGTGGTTTTTATTTACATTTCTCTAATGATCAGTGATATTGAGCTTTTCTTCACATGTTTTTTGACCACACATATATCTTCTATTGAGAAGTTCCTGTTCACATCTTTGCACACTTTTTAATGAGGTTGTTTCTTTCTTGTATATTTGTTTAAGTTTCTTATAGATGCTGGATTTTAGACCCTTGTTAGATGCATAGATTTCAAAATTTTTTTCCTATTCTGTAGGTTGTCTATTTACTTTGTTGATAGTTTATTTTGCTGTGCAGAGAAACTACAGAAATTAACTTAGACAATCTAATTTAATTAGACCTAATTTGTCAATCTTTGCTTTTGTTGCAATTGCTTTGGGGATCCTTGTCATGAAATCTATGCCCTGGCCTATGTAATGAATGGTATTGCCTAGGTTTTCTTCTAGGGTTTTATAGTTTTGGGTTTTACATTTAAGTCATTAATCCATCTTGAGTTGATTTTTGCGTATTGTGTAAGTAAGAGGCCCAGTTTCAATTTTCTGCATATGGCTAGCCACTTCTCCCCACAACATTTATTAAATTGGGACTCCTTTCCCCATTGCTTGTTTTTGTCAGGTTTGTCAAACATCAGATGGTTGTAGATGTGTAGCCTTACTTATTGGCTCTCTATACTTTTCCATTGGTCTATGTCTATTTTTGTACCAGTACCATGCTGTAAATGTGACTCATCACATAAACAGAGCTAAAGACAAAAACCACATGATTATCTCAATAGATGCAGAAAAGGCCTTTGAGAAAATTCAACAGCTCTTCATGTTAAAAATTCTCAATAAACTAGGTATTGAAGGAACATATCTCAAAATAATAAGAGCCATATCTGACAAACACACAACCAATATTGTACTGAATGAGCAATAGCTGGGATCATTCCCCTTGAAAAACCAGCATCAGACATGATGCCTTTTCTCACCACTCCTATTCAACATAGTCATAGGAGTTCTGGCCAGGGTAATCAGGCAAGAGAAAGAAAGAAAGGATATTGAAATAGGAAGAGAGGAAGTCAAAATATTTTTGTTTGCAGACAACATGATCCTATATCTAGAAACCCAATCATCTTGGTCCAAAAGTAATAAGCTGATAAGCAACTTCAGTTAAGTCTCAGAATACAAAATCAATGTGCAAAAATTGCTAGCATTCCTATATACCCTCAACAGGCAAGCCAAGAGCAAAATCAGAAATGAATTCCCATTCACAATTGTTACAAAAAGAATAAAATACTTAAGAATACAGCTAACAAGACAAATGAAAGACCTTTTCAATGATAAATATGAGCCACTGCTCAAAGAATTCAGAGAAGACATAAACAAATGGAAAAGCATTTTATTCTTATGCATAGGAAGAATCAATATCGTGAAAACGGCCATACTGCCAAAAGCAATTTATAAATTCCATGCTACTACCATTAAACCACCACTGACATTCTTTTTTTTTTTTTGAGACGGAGTCTCGCTCTGTGGCCCAGACTGGAGTGCAGTGGCGCGATCTCGGCTCACTGCCAGCTCCCGGGTTCACGCCATTCTCCTGCCTCAGACTCCAGAGTAGCTGGGACTACAGGCGCCCACCACCACGCCAGGCTAATTTTTTTTTTTTTTTTTTTTTTGGTATTTTTAGGAGAGACTGGGTTTCACCGTGTTAGCCAGGAGACATTCTTTATAGAATTAAAAATACTATTTTAAAATTCATATAGAACCAAAAATTAGCTTGAATAGACAAGACAATCCTAAGCAAAAATAACAAACTTGGAATCATCACTCCACCCAATTGCAAACTATACCACAGGGCTAGAGGTGAGTATTTACAGGGAAATTTTAATTTTCTATTTTTGAATTAGTGACATTAAAATGTATTTATAATAAATATTTCTAGTAATTAATTGCAACAGTTAAAACTAATATTGCAACAGTTAAATATTGCAACAGTTAAAACTAAAAATTGATGGTGCTTGACATTCTTAATGAATCAAACGGCCTGGCACGGTGCCTCATACCTCTAATCTTAGCACTTTGGGAGGCCGAGGCGGGTGGATTGCCTGAGCTCAGGAGTTCAAGACCAGCCTGGGACACATGGTGAAACCTGGTGTCTACTAAAATACAAAAAATTAGCCTAGCATGGCAGCGTGCACCTGTGGTCGTAGGTACTAGGGAGGCTGAGGCAGGAGAATTGCTAGAAACCAGGAGGCGGAGGTTGCAGTGAGCTGAGATCGTGCCGCTGCACTCCAGCCTGGGTGGCAGAGCAAGACTCCATCTTTAAAAAAAAAAAAAAAAAGAACGAATCAAGCATAAGTTTTCTATATTTAAAATTCTCAAAGTTACATGAAATTCATGCAGTGATATGTGCAGAAATTATCATACACCTTTGGGCCATATTTAGAAAGATGAAGGTGTCAAAGGATGAACATGTATTTGTACCAGAACTAATTATAATAGAACCTTCTGATAAAGGATCAGAAGCAATTATGGCTATAAATACAGTATTAGATGTTCTATGATCAGAACTCTAGATTAATAATTGGGACATTGGGTCTCTGGATTTACTTCACTTCTGATCCATATTACCAAATAATAGGCCTTATACAAATGCATTTCAAAAGCTTGCAGAAGTGAATGAATGAAAGCTTGCAGATTTATTTCCTCATACAATGATACAAAATACAATTCTGAAATCATTGTCTCTCATACTTATTTTCTTTTTTTAATTGTTGTAAGACAAAATGGAATATATATTGAATACATCTGTAATTGTTGGAAATAAAATTATATTCACAAATAATTTGTATTATTTGTTAAGAACAAAAGCAAAAACAAAACTTATCTCTCATTAACACATTGAAGTTTAAATGTAGCGCCAATGTGCCATGAAAGTTGTCATCTATTCCTGGTAAACTGATGTAAAAATATAAAAAGAAATAATGAGAAAAAAATGGTGCCACATATTGAATACTCTCTGAAGGAAATATTAAGACTGTAGGTAGGCACTCTTGGATTAATATTCTCAAACATTAATAAACAAAAAAGGATTAACCATTACTTAATGAAGAAACATATTTAATTTCCCATTTAGACAAGCAAACACGAATAAAAATTCAGAAATAGAAATAAATTTTTAGGAGCTGAACTAACTTTTGGGATTGCCTTTAAACTGTAAAAAAATCTTAATTTATTTTGTTTGCTTCTTTTTTTCACTTTTGATTGATTTCCACGGATGATTTATATTCAGCAGGTTTATTATGGTAGAGAATAACAGACTTTATGGCTGTCAGGAAATGCTAGAAGTAAGATGGTTGGCAGTAGAATTAATTGTCGTGATCAAAACCAAACTAAACAAAAACAAAAACTGTGAGATAAGGCCTCAGTCTAAAGTTAAAATAACTTAGGACAATACTGTATAGGGAAAAAGACAGCAAGAGCCAAAAAGACTGCCTGAACCATATAAAGAAGGCCAGGGTTCTGAACAATGCTGTAATTTAAAGAAAAACTAA
Organism: Homo sapiens; assembly: GCF_000001405.40. NCBI lineage: Eukaryota > Metazoa > Chordata > Mammalia > Primates > Hominidae > Homo > Homo sapiens. Next base: position 64,464,649 of record NC_000004.12, read on the forward strand.
AATGTAAAGCAGAAAAGTGAGACAAGCATCAGTGTACGTATCAGAACTAAATGGCAGGCCTCTAACTTTCCTGGGTCACCGCTGAGACATTCAATACCAGGTCTGCTACAGAGAGGCTAAAGCCATCTATAAACCAAAATCACACCACAAAACCGGAACTGAGTTCCTAACATGCTCCTTGCCTGATCAAAGTTGTTTAAGGAACTTGGAATGCGTGAACCAAGTTAAACTTTTCCTGTTTTCCTTAAATTGAACAAATAACTCATAAAATAGTCTATTTGGTTTGGATTAAATCAGCATTCTGAGTTCCTCACCAGTCTCCGAGTGTGATCTGTTATGATTCTGAGTTTAGTTAACTTGTTTTTTCCTTCAGTCTTTTAAAAATATATTGAAATAGTTTTTGGTATAACTTTTCAAATAAATGATTTATAAATGATGGACCAACAGTACTTGCATTACCAATAATATCTTCAATAACAGTACCAATACACCATTCTAAATGAGTAACTTTTTATCTAAAAAAGAAATATATATTAAGGTTTCTCTTAATTGTCATATAATTACACAGTACTTGTGTTTTATTTTATCACATTGGCTTTCACATTTATGAAAACAGAAAATATTTCAAAGGCTCTGTTGATATACAACTTACTCCGCAAGAAAATGCAAACCTGTCTTTATGGGAGTTTTGCAACTTTTTTATTTTCTTTACCTATTGACCTACTGGAAAAGAGCTGTTACATTTTTGCATTAATCTCTGTGTGATAGCACCAAGAGAAAACTGCTCCTGGGAGACCAAAACAGTTGCCAAGACAAACAAGTAAGCAGACTCTGTCGAAAGGGAGCACTAGACACGCGCCATGCCTGAAGAGCAGCATGTCAGTCTGTACCTATACCTGTCCTGAGATTTTAAGTATAAGACCTTCCAATTAATTGTTCAATCAATTTCATTCAATTGCAGAATGACAACAGCAGCCCTTAACTGTAAGCTGGAGAGCAAAAAAAAAAAAAAAAAGAAAGAAAAATGAAGCTTATTTTCTTTGTCTTGATAACTCTGATCAAGATGATAATTTGTCCAGATGCATATCTCCTTATTTCTTTGAAATTTCTACAGAAGTGATCCTCAAAATAAACAAATACAAATAAGAAACTAAACAAAATCAAGTAAAGAATCTTCATCATGACTAGAAACTAAGGGTTAGAATCATAGTCTTTTCAGAATCATTGATGACTGTTTTTTTTAGAGAGCCCACAGGTGGGACCAAACTAAAAGAGGTCTGTGTGAAATAGGGTGATGTACAAGGAATAAATATGAGAAGCATCCATTCTAATTCAATCAGTTCATAGGATAATCAGGTGCCAATTCTATGAACAGGTAGCAATTGGCTTCTATTAGTATTGATGAGAAGATCAAGTCTTAACATTTTATTGTCCCCAGCCTCTTCTGGCAAAGGCCAGAGATTACAGGTTTTTTTCTTATTGTGAAAATCATACCAAATTCAGAGAAGTAGCAGAACAATAAAACTGTACACTAACTACTTATAATAACACAAACTTCTGATTCAACATAGACTATTTAGTCTCCTCATATTGTACATTTATGAGAATATATATTCAGGCCACTACCTCAATGTTGGCATACAATTTTGAGCGGAAATTAGCAAAATGTCAGCCAACATCATGCCAATATCTACCTGACTGTAAACCAACTCTGAGTAAAGACTAATCTTTCTGTTTAAGTGGCAGAAAAAAAAATCAGTGGATATTTTTAAAGACTATGGTTCAAAATCACATATTGAATTGAGAAGACTGACCATTTGAAATAAAAAGAATAAAAGTAAAACATTTTTAAACTGCTAATTTCAGAAAATTCAAGGCAACTATAAGCAAAAAGAAGCTGTGTGCAAGATCTGCATACACACATACACACACACACACACACACCCCTATTCAGATCCTATTCAAAGTAACAATAATATTATTATCACATAGGAAAAATGTAAACAAAATATGTAAATGGCAGGAATATAATTACAAAACATTGTGAAAGTTAAGAAAAAGTTAACTCATTTCATGTAATGTAATGTTTCCTTCTTTTTGAAAGACACCAGTATTCTACATAACACTAAAATTATAGAGCCCCAGACTTAAAGATGCTATTATATCATCAATTTTAAATGTATCTTGTATCAAAATGTTATTTGCAAAAGTATCTTAGAATCAGTGAAATACAGTAATTTTGTCAATATGCCAGTTTTTCTAGGATGGAGTGACATTCTCATAATTAGATCAACTACTTTAAATTTATGTCTAACAATAGACATATTATATATAATATAAACACATATGTATTTGTTGGCATATGACTTCAATTAAAACTCTACATGTATTGACATTAGAAACATTCTTTTGAAAGAATAAATTATGAAATAAAATAAAATGAGTTTCTATTCTATTTATGTAGAATAACAAAGCAGGTTTAACCTAGTAGATATTAAAATATATACAAGAACAATTATTATAGGAGGGGACTATTGGAATGATGGTATCCAATGAATAGTAAAATAGAGTAAAATCAATGGTCATGAAATAAAAATAGTGAGTATAAGAAATGAATACACAAGCAATTTACCAACTTTCAGTGAGGAGTAGAGGAATCATTCCAAAATATGCCAAAGGGGGCTTCACCTGAAATTTTAGAGCTATGATGGCCAGTGGCAATATGTCAGAGGCAAATTGACTTTTCTGAATATTTCATCCCACTTTATTTTTGAAAATTAGCTACAGTACCAAACACTTTTTAATCCTTTATTATAAAGTAGGGGCACTATAAAATAGTCTGATATTAATATGCAGGATAGAGAACTCAGAAATTCTTAAAATTACCAAAAACTCAAATGAACATGCTACTCTTTAATGGGAAAAAATCGCTTGAAAATGCATATAAATACATTCTAAAATGTTTTCAACTATAGCAAAAAGTTCAATACTTTGAAACAAAATGTATTTCATTACTGACATGTTACAATATGTGTATGGAAATTCCCTTTCATATAACCAAACCTAGAAAGAGATTCAAAGTGTAAAAATTCAGATGCTGTAGGTCTTCTAAATATAAGAGATTTGGAACCATGCAGAATGTTTATAAGATCATCTCACTCCAAAAAGTAGACAATTAAATTAATTATAAATATTAAATAACCAACTTAAATAGCATAGGCTTTATAGATAATTTGAATTGCATCAGACAATGCAAACATAAATATTTAAAATATAGCATATTTGTTATATATCTCCTAAAATAATACAAAATAAACCTAGTAATCATATATGAGGTCTTTTACATGTGAATAAGTTGAATACTCTCCAAAGATCAACTTTATCTCAGATAAGTTTGCTTTTCTTATTTGGGGACCAATTTAAATTAGTGAGAACCGCTTAATAATATCAACTACTAACAAAGTATTTACTATTCACCACACAAAAAATCTAAGAGATAAAGAAATATTCTGAGTGGATGTGTTGTAACAAATGCAGACTCTAATCTATGTTTTAAAATTATAGTCTATAATTTCTTTAAGTTATATCTTTTTTTCATATTTCTATCACAATTAGAGAAAGAGATAAAAATAAAATAAGGAGGAGGCTATTAGAATTCAAACCCTCATTCAACTGAGTTGCCATTACAGGACATATTTTTTTTTCAGACTATGATAAAGAAATTGACACTCAAATAAGTTTATTACACAACTACATACACACATGGATGCACACAAACCTGCATGCACATTCCCTCTGCTGTGATGATAAGCAAGTTAATCCATCTCACTAGGTGACTGACACCTGGCTCTACTCACGTGCCACTCATGAATGAGATTAGAGTTTTAGTAAAATATTTTAAGGTAAATGAAAAATTCTCCATATGGGTTTATTTCCAAAAGTGAGATGTGCATACTCAGAAGATCAGCGTTAAGTATGAAAAACTTTGTGAATTTGATTTTCAAATAGGAAGAATAATCAGTTCAAATTGTGTTCATTTATTAATCAGAAGTCAATATTATTTGTTATTACAAAGGAAAAAATACTTCTAAGGATAGAAGTGTGTGAATATAATGAGGATTACTAAGAAATAGACACAAAAGTCAAATTACTTATAGAAATGTAGAGAAAGTAAGTGATTTTCAAAAAAATAAACATCGGACTGTGGCAAGAATTTGAAAAGAATTAAAAATACTAAAAAATCTCTTTTAAAAGACATGACTAGATGAAGCAAAAGTAATGGGTGTTAGAGTAGCCTACGTGTTATTTAAAATAACCAATGTGATGTCCATGAATCAGTTAGATTATTTCACATAGATAATTCAGAAAATATTTAGAGAATAGATATAAAAATGTCTAAAGACATGGAAAATAAGTTCCACAAAAGCAGGCCCAATAGTTCTCACTTATTTAAACTATCAGTTTATGCCAACTATTCTGGGATCACATAAAACTTAACAAAGACTAAGTTTACTCACAATTTATCTCATAGTTTTTGACCATATGATATTAATTTATATTTTCATATCTCAGCATTAACGTAATCGTTGATCCCTAATCTTTCACTATTTTCATGATATTAAAATGTTTTACTTCAATTTAAACTATTATATTTATGATTAATAAATGTTTTTATGAATGGATTATTTTAAACATTTGGTAATAGGAGAATAAAAGTATAAATATTGATATTTATTGAATGTTTATAATTTTTTGTATTAAAAAATACGAATAAGTGCTAATTATTGTAAAGGGAAACTATCAATTCAGAAGCTGTTAAGCCAGGTCCAGGATTGTCTATATTTTCTGAAATTATTTTTATCAAAGAAAATGGAAAAATGTCTACCAATTATAAATGAGAAAAGTGTAATCTCCAAACGTGCTAGAAACAAGTTGCTTTTATATAATGCCAATTAGTTATTTTTTCTAAAATAATTATTAGCCTAAAACATATATAACACACATACTATTCTTGAAATAGTTAATGTCACATATATATAATAGTCTATATATCACAGTCCATGCCTTATCCAGTTATGCCTAATTAACTTCCTAGATTAGTAAAGTATAATATATGACTACTCTAATTTTATTGAATATTTAGAAACATTAAGTAATAAAAAGGAGAATACATAAATGCAGCATCTTTATTAGTTAAGGTAACACAACCTGTAACATTCCAGGACAAGTAGTAGAACAAAAATACATAATTTCTGACAAAATGTATATATACATATTAGACTATTTTGATTTCTACAGATTAACAGCAAAGGGATATAAGCTCTAAATGTTTTGAAAGAAAAAGGAAAATGTATGTACTAGCAAGCATCATGAGTCAGCAGAAGTAACAAAGGGTAGAAATACATGACAGAGACTTGGCTATTCAATTACACATAGAACACATAAAACAAGTTGAAAAGAGATACACATAATAATGGTAAAGGATCATTTAAAAAATATGAGCAATGATCAAGACACCTTAAAAATTAAAAATTACTTTGAAAATAATAAAGAAGATTTTTCTATACTATATTACATATTTTATAATTATTCATTAAAGAATGTCTAAAAGAACAGAGCAGATGCATTCAACAAGAAAATTATAAAGTATAAATTCAAGTCAATAGTAATTACAGGAAATGTCAATGTAGATTACAAAATTGGGTAAAAATTTATGTACTATTTACCTAAAAGGTATCTAAAAATTAGGATATGGATAGTTTGAAAGTTAAAGGGTTGTAAAATAATGTGCATGGTAAAGCTAAAAACTAAGAAAATATGTGAGGTCATGTTAATACTAAACATATGGAATTCATTGAAACAACATTATTAAACAAATAGGTACCTAATACTTTATAATGCTTAATTCAACAGTAATAATATTTCAAAGTATACATGCACCTAATAATATACCATCAAGATAAAGCATACACTGTTTTAAGATAGTTATGCATACCGGTTGACAAATTCCCTGTCACAGTTGAAGATTTTAAATACATCTCTCTTGTTATTCAACAAGTTAATCAGTCCAAGTAGTAACAGGGTTAGGAAAAGTTTGAGTGACATAATAAGATCCAATACATACATGCAAATGTATGTACATATATACATAGAAAGTTTTACATAAAAACAATTTGAAAGTATGTATACTTTTGAAGCACAGATGAAACATTTGTGAATATTATTTATTTAAAAAACTAAAATCTAGGCTATTAAAAAAATCTTTATCATTTTCAAAGAATATGTAGCATTCCATGATTTCTGACCACAATATAAGCAGTATTGAGATCAATGGCCAAAGGTGTGCTGTTTGAAATATATTTCACTTTCATGAAGAACATTATTTCTTAAAATACTGGCTGGACATGGTGACTCATGCCTGTAGTCCCAGCTACTCGGGAGGCTGATGCAGAAGAATTGTGTGAACCTGGGAGGCGGAGGCTGCAGTGAGCCGAGATCGCGCCACTGCACTCCAGCCTGGGCGACAGAGTGAGACTTCGTCTCAAAAACAACAACAACAACAACAACAACAAAACAAACAAAAACAAAAAAAATGACCAACATTAAATAAAATCACAAATAAACAGCTTAATCATATTAATGAATAGGAAGACGATAGAATAAATGTGTGGAAGTTCCCAAAATTTGTCTATGAAAACCATGTAACTTCAATAAATAATATCAACCCAAATTTTACACTAAAACTGAGAGTTGGTTTTATAATTTACATAGAGATTAAAGGTCTTAATATAAAGAAGATGGAAAAAAAATAAGGGAAATTGTCCTACCGTATATGAGAATATGCTATGGTAGTAGCGATTAAAACTCTACGCTATTAGCACCAAATTATATAGCAAATTAATAAAAGGACACATAGAGTGAATAAGCAGACTCATAGCTATAACTATTGATAAAAGGGTACATAACGTTGAGAAGCAGACCCATAACTATATAATGTGATGCTAAAAGATGATCTCTGTGAAAAATGATAGCCATTGAACTACATACACAAAAATTATTTTATATTGATTAAAAATACCTAAATGTGAAAAACATCTTTCTTAAGCTTATAGCATAGATAAAAAAGCAATTTTTATTATTTTGAATAGCAAAAAACAGATTCTTTTATAGGACAAAAAAATTGCAAAATAAATGTAAGATGGATATATTACATAAATCCTTAAAACTTTATAAAGATACATCATAAAATGTGAAAGAAAAATATAACAGCAAGATATTTGCCATTCATATATATAAAGAGCTACATATCAGGTTAAAAAAGAAGAAATAATACCCACATGGAAGGGAAATTCAAAGAGGTAGAGACATGTATGATCCACACATACATTAAAAAGTGTACAATATCACTAATAGTCAAGGATACACAAATTGAATTGTAGGGTCAATTATATACCATTTAAGGCTCAGAAGATTGCCAAAAATTAATATTTGCAATCTCAAATGCTGGTAGTAATGATGAGAAATAGGAAATAGAATACATTAATACTTTTCTAAGCATGTAAATTTCCACAATTAAATTGATAACTAATTGACATCATTAAGTAGGGTAGAAGATAGGCAAAAATTATGACCCAGTTCCACTCTCAGTTATTCTTAGCCCTAGAGAAACATTCACATATTTATATGAGAAGAGCTGGACACAAATATTCAGAACCTCATTATGTGTTGTGGTCAAAAACGTTTCTCAATAAGAGTAAGGACAAATGAATTATGGTTTGTTTATATAATGGAATATTATTAAACCATGAAAATAAATGAACTGGAACAATACAAATAACAAAGATTATTGTCACAAATATATCAAGCCAAACAAAAACAACAGCAGCAGCAAATCACATAGCAAAAGAAAAATTAAAACACATAGTATAATTATCATTCTTATGAGTTTTTTTTAATATACAAAGCAAAACTCTGTATATTATTTAGAGGCACACATGCAGTAAAACTTAAAGAAATACCAATGAATATAAGTTGCTACTTCTTAGGTGACATCAAGAGGAAAGGAGAAAAATTATGGACAGTATACATGAGGGTTTTATTTTTACTACAAGGATGTATTCCTTATGTTTACTAATATGTAAATGAGTGTTCACTATTTAATTTGATATACAAATATATAATATACAGAGATAATGTATTCTATATTACTTTCTTATGCCTAAAGTCACTTATTAAATTTTAAAGTAAAAGTCATACAATCTTACTGACTGAAAGAGAATAAATAAAATTATTTTATAAAGTACACCAAGTAAAGACTTTAAGAACTTGGAGTTAAATGTTCAGCAGTAGTAATTATCTGCTCTGGACAAGTTACTTAATTTCTTCAAATCTCACTTTCTTAATTTGTAAATCAAGGATAATAACAGAATCTGCTAAATAAAGGCTGCAGATTAAAGCACAAATTTAGGTAAACTGTTGAGCATGATGCCTAGGCCATAGTATTTGCTCAATAAATACAAACTGTTAATCTCACTATTATCAATAGCATATTATAAATTTAAATATAATTATAAATGATGGCATCTAGTAATAATATAATTTCAACACATCAGAAAAATAGCAAAATATTGCTTAGAAAAATTTTAATATGAGTATAGAAAAAAATTAAAATGTGGAGAGCAGACAAGAAATAAAGTCCCGCATTTTATAAATGTCCCTTTAAAAATAAAAGATAGAAATGCTCTTTTGCAGCCAATTCTCAATGTTGGTTACAGTTTAAACTCACTTTTACTTTAATCTCAGTGTTTCAACTTACTGTAATGAATTCTTGAACAGAAGAAAAGATTTAAGTTATCTGTCCCAAAAACGTGGAAATAATATGGGGTAATGATAAATATGTGGTTACCTATCCTTCCAAAAATCATATTGGAAACATATGCCATTATAGATTATATCTGTGTGCAATGCTTCACAAATTATCAACATCATGGAATATTTTTCTTAGCGTTAACGATTAACTGTTATCATATTTCCAGAGAGTAATTTGGTCTTATATGCCACATGTTACGTATAAAGTTGTTAGAAATTTGGTAGTGTTTCAAGAGTGTTATTACTTGAATCTAAAGATAATTTCTAAGTAAAGGGTTGGAATTATCTGAGTGCCTAAGGAGTATTTTATTCCATCTTATGTTTTATAAGAAGGTTCTCTTAAAAATTCTTATTTTGCATAATTTTGTTCCAACTAATTTAAAAGAATTAGTTTCAGGCCTACAAGGCAAAACTGTCTGGAATTCAGCTGAACTTCCAGATGCTGTTTAAATAACATGAAAGTAATTATATAAATTTTAATTAATAAGGCATCATGAACTTTTTCTATTTTTCTTACTAAATAAGCAAATGTACATTGGAAGTATATGCCTTTTAGAAGGATAAAATAATTTTTGGTGTATTATTTGGTATTTTAAATATATGCCTGTGGGTAAATAGAATTAAAAGTCGATGGCCCTGAAGGAAAACTGAAGCTGATCTTTTCCAGATGTACCAAAGAGACACATTTAGGAACCAGAAGTTGCATTTATATTGATATATTTTTCTAGGTTTGAGAAGTTCTCTGTTATTATCTCTTTGAATAAACTTTCTACCCCTATCTCTTTCTTTACCTCCTCTTTAAATATTTCAAATCTCTTTATAGATTTTAAAATGACTATTTAATGTAGTGATGTGAATGTTTAGCAATTAGGTGTTGTCTTATTTTTATTTTTAACCAAACTTAATTTAATATTTGAGGGACTATAGTAAATAATATTTTTTGACTAGAACAATAAATGGATTAATATATATTATTTTATTCCTTATGTTAACTAACATTTTTACTAATATGTTTACTAATATTACTTATATGTATATATTAGTAATAATATATGTATATATTAGTAAACATAAGGAATAAAATAATATGTATTAAATTAAGTTAGTTTAAAAATAAAAATAAGACAACAGCTAATTGTTAAACATTCACATCACTATATTAAATAGTCATTTTGAAATCTATAAATAGATTCATTTTTTCTTACCCACAGGCATATATTTAAAATACCAAATAATTTACCAAAAATTATTTTATCCTTCTAAAAGGCATATACTTCCAATGTACATTTGCTTATTTAAGAAGAAATGAGATGATACATATGCTATGAAGTAGAAAGATAAAAATATGTATAAAAACTTTGACATTTTGTAATAGAACAATAAATGTATTAATATATATTATTTGAAATGATATATATGCTATGAAGTAGAAAGACAAAAATATGTATAAAAACTTTGACATTTTATAATCTTTTCTGAAACTTTAAAATTAGCATTTCCCCTTAGATTACTAGCAAACTGATAATCTTTGAAATTCAATTGCACTAATTTAAAAAATGGACATAAAGTCAGATTTAAAAAAAAATGTAATCCTGCTTGGCTCTTTGAAATACTTTTAGTTGAATTATTAATTCCTTTGTCAACAATAGTAGTTAGTATTGATTATAATCTTTCCAGTTGTATGTTACCTTCACACTCCCTCTTTCACTCCCATAGTCTTGTGACTATATACCACCTTTACCAGTCCTACACGGTATACTAATTTTCCTCATAGGAATGTCACAGATTTTAGAGCAAGTTCCATTTAATGACTGTAAACTTTTAGATAATCCCTTTTAGAAAATCCCACCTAGCAACAGACTCTAATGGAAATGACTGTTGTACCAATTAATCATTATGAAAAGAATTTATAAAATAAAGGTGCATCAATGCTGCTGGTATGATTTCATTTTAAATATAAGGAGATGAATCCTCTCAACATTATTGTAGTAACTATAATATTCACCAGAAATTACAAATATAATTTTTTACATATTGACATTTTAAGCCTCAAAAAGAATGTCATGTAATTAGAGCTGCAATACATCTCAATTGCAATAAAAGAATAATTACTTGAAAATAAATCTCAGTCTTTAATTGAAAAGAAAGAACCAGATAGTTTGTCTTTGCAATTTTGAGGAAGGCGGTATTTAATTAAATTCCACACGAATACTACTATCACCGTATATAAAAGAATCAAACATTTACTGATAATTTAAAAAAGATATTTTTAGACTTTATTGCATTTAAACCAGGCAGTTTATATTTTTTAAAAAAATATAGTAAGCAGGCACGTCTTTTGGAAAGATTTTTACGAGGGAAAGATTTGTATTAAAAATAGATACTTCTTTCTTTGAAATAGTAAAGTTTGGATAACACATTGAGGATGTGAACATAAAAGTATGTGTAGAGTATAATTTATGTTTATTAAGTACCTGTTATGTGTTAATCACTGTTCAAAATATATGTTATACTTTCTCTACCCCAGCCTTCACCACAACCCTGTATTTACCTGTGAGAAATCAGACTTTGACAGATTATGGACACAAAATTAGTAAATAACAAATTTTGCCTAATTCTCAATGCCAAGACCTTTGTATAATATGCCATGTTCTCTCAAATTATTAAAATTATTAAGATGTGTGAATAGACTGCACAAAACTCTATGTAATAAATTGTATTACAATATGGGAACTTCTTTAAAGAAAAATTCATCAGAAAACTAAGAGTGATAGTGTGGGGCAGAGGACAGGGGGTTGTAAGAATATTTTATTTGACCAACCTATGTAACACATGGCTTTATAATAATGATCTCAAGAGATATGATATGTAATTTAGCACCTCAAGCTTCAACTTGAAAATAAAGTATATGCAGAAATATGTGTTATAAAATGTGCCTTTAATAGTCAATAAAACTAGCAAGAGTCATTGCTTATTACCTGATAGCTAGTAGGTTTTCAAATTAAAAAATTCATCTGTTACACTCCACTTAGCATATCTATAACTTTCCAACAAAGGATACAATCTTCAAGCAATTACTTTAATGGGCAAAGGATGGAAGGCTAAAATAAGAGGTAATAGAAGGGAAAATGAAAAGCAATTGTATATTGTCTATTAAGACAGAGAAGGAGATCACCTGGAGATGCAAATCTGTTTTCTCAAATGACTGTATTAACAGCATATATAAAAACTGGAAAGCAGCATATATGCATAACAGCATATATAAAAACTGAAAAGCAGCATATACATATAAATATATGCTTTATTAATGGTATATATAAAAACTGAAAAATTCAGACAGCTTCAGATGTAGTCACAGATATTTTTATATTTGTAGTATTTATTATAATTAACGTAAAGCAACATGCAGAAACCAAAAGAGTGATTGTCATGATTCACTGAAGCAACTATATCTACATCCATATAGAAATATGTCTCACTAATTATGTATCTGTACTAAAACAAATCTGTTGAAATTCTTCACTCATTTTAAACCCTAATATTAACCTTTTTATTCAGTAATATTTAAAAAAATTTGTAAAATTTTAATTACACATTTGAGCAAGCTTGTAACTCATTGGACATAGTGTGGAATAAAAATATAATCTAGAGCACAAGAAGTCAAGAATATAAGAGAAATGGTTAAGCACTAATATGCTTTCAGTGGCAAGTGAGATTTTTTTCTTTAAACAGGGTCTGGTCCTGCTGCCCAGGCTGGAGTTCAAGTGAGATTTTTTTGAGTCACCCTACTGTGACAAAGTTGTCATCTAGTGATAAAAATAATTTAAAAGGGAACAATTTGATACTAGTGTAGGTGTTGGCAGTGTTAGAACTTCTTATCCTTTTGAGCCAGCGAAAATTGCCAAGACTAAAGATGGATAGTTACTTGAAATAGATTGTTTCTGTAGGATACTGAAATATTTAGTAGGCTCTTCACTTTGACTACTATATTACACTTAAAAAGTTTAAGTTTATATTTTGTGTCAAAATATTATCCTTGCAATAATCATATTTTTGTCTTTATTTTTAATTACTTAAACACTTTTATTCATATGTACATTTTTCCATCCAACTCTAGTTCATGATGTTGGCTTTAGAGTTAGAGTTCCTCTGTGTTAGGAATTCAGAGCTTCCTAGCAGGGTATCTTCAGCGTCTGAAAATCCTTTGACAAGATACAATGGCTTTTACTCAAAATTATCTAAGGGTAAGAATATATTACCAAAAACATGATTATCGGGTGTCTCTTTTGAGAATTATCATATTCTTTCTTTAATCATGGGAACCTTATCTTTCCTTGTTCTCAGTCCTAATAAGGAAAGAAGAGAGTTGAAATAACAAATGAAAATGACTAATGGAATATTCTTTATATTTTTTCATAGAGAATAAAGGATATGAAATGATGCCTGATGGCAAAGGTAAATAAACAGAATTGAAAGTCGTTAGCACTGAAGGAAAATTGAAGATAATCTTTTCCAGATGTACCAAAGAGACACATTTAGGAACCAGAAGTTGCATTTATATTGATATATTTTTCTAGGTTTGAGAAGTTCTCTGTTATTATCTCTTTGAATAAAGTTTCTACCCCTAACTCTTTCTTTTTTTTTTTTTTTTTTTTTTTTTGAGACTGAGTCTCGCTCTGCCACCCAGGCTGGAGTGCAGTGGCGCAATCTCGGCTCACTGCAAGCTCTGCCTCCCGGGTTCATGCCATTCTCCTGCCTCAGCCTCCCGAGTAGCTGGGACCACAGGCACCCGACACCACGCTCAGCTAATTTTTTTGTATTTTTAGTAGAGACGGGGTTTCACCGTGTTAGCCAGGATGGTCTCGATCTCCTGACCTCGTGATCCTCCCACCTCGGCCTCCCAAAGTGCTGGGATTACAGGCTTGAGCCACCTCTAACTCTTTCTTTACTTCCTCTTTAAGATCAATAATTCTTGGCCGGGCGCGGTGGCTCACGCCTGTAATCCCAGCACTTTGGGAGGCTGAGGCGGGTGGATCATGAGGTCAGGAGATGGAGACCATCCTGGCTAACACAGTGAAACCCCCTCTCTACTAAAAAATACAAAAAATTAGTCGGGCGTGGTGGTGGGCGCCTGTAGTCCCAGCTACTCGGGAGGCTGAGGCAGGAGAATGGTGTGAACCCGGGAGGCAAAGCAGTGAGCCCAGATCGCGCCACTGTACTCCAGCCTGGGCGACAGAACGAGACTCCGTCTCAAAAAAAAAAAAAGATCAATAATTCTTAATTTGCCATTTTGAGGTAATTTTGTATATCCTACAGGAGTGTTTCATTGTTTTCTATTTTTTCTTTTGTTTCCTCTGTGTATTTTCAAATAACCTGTCCAGTCTCACTAATTCTTTCTTCTGCTTGATCAGTTCTGCTATTAATGGACTCTAATGCGTTTCATCAGTATGCCAATTGCATTTTTCATCTCCAGAATTTCTCCTTGATTCTTTTGAATTATTTAAATCTCTCTGTTAAATTTATCTGATAGAACTTTGAATTCCTTCTCTGTATTATCTTGAATTTTTCTGAGTTTTCTTAACACAGCTAGTTTGAATTCTCTATCTGAAAGGTCGCATATCTCTGTTTCTCCAGCATTGGTTCCTGGTGCCTTATTTTGTTACTTGGTAAAGTTACGTTTTCCTGGATAGTGTTGATGCTAGTAGATGTTCTTCAGTGTCTGGGCATTGAAGAGTTAGGTATTTATTGTAGTCACTGTCTGGGCTTGTAGGTGCCTGTCTTTCATGGGAAGGCTTTCCAGACATTTGACAGGACTTAGGTGTTGATCTAAGCTGGGGGCTCCACACACCCAGTAACAATGTGGCCCTTGTGGACTCGTAGAGGTACCACCTTGATGGCCTTGGGCAAGATCTAAGATAATTCTCTGGATTACCAGGCAGACACTGTTGTCAACTTTCCTTACTTTTTCCCAAACACACAAAGTCTCTCTCTGTTCTGAGCCACCTAAAGCTGGAGGTGGAGTTACAAAAAACTCCTCCCTGTGGCCACCACCACTCGACTGCACTGAGTCAGACCTGAAGTCAGCCCAGCAGTGGGTCTTGTCCAAGGCCTGTTATATCAACTCCCTGGCTACTGCCTATGTTCACTCAAGTCCCTGGAGCTCTACAATCCAGTAAATGGCAAAGACAGCCAGGCCTGTGTCCTTCCCTTCAGGGAGTTAATGTCCCCAGGCCCTGAATGGATCCAGAGGTGCCCTCAGGGAGTCTGGGATTTGAATTAAAAACCTTAGAAATCTACCTGGTGTTCTATTCTACTGTTGCTGAGCTGGCACTCGAACCACAAGATGCAGTCCTTCCCACTCTTCCCTCCCCTTTCCAAGGGCAGAGGAGCATCACTCTATAGCTACCACCACCCAGGCCACTAGGAATACTGCCAGACTACCTCTGATGTTCCCTTAAGGCCCAGCGGCTTTTAAAATGTCTTGTGGTGAATGCTGCTTGCCCTGGGACTCACCTTTCAGGGCAGTGGGCTTCCTCCTGTTTCAGGGAAGGTCCAGAAATGCCATTCAAGGGTCAAGTCCTGGAAGCAAGAGCCCACTTGGTGCTCTACCACCATGTGGCCATGCTGGTACCCAAGTTGCAAGACAAAGTCCCCTTTATATTTTCCTCTTCTTTTCTCAAGCAGAAGGAGTTTTGCCCTATAGCTAACACAGCTCAAAAACGTGCTGAGTCTAATCTGAAGCCAGCAAGTCTCAAAGGCTAACCCAAGGTCCTAGATCTAGTAACTCGGTGTCACTGTTGATTATTTAGGGCCCAAGGGCTCTTCAGTTAGCAGGTGATTAATGCTGCCAGGACTAGGTTCTTTCCTTCAAGGCAGCGGGTTCCCATCTGGTGCAAGGATGTGTCTAGAAATGTCACCTGGAAGCTAGGGACTGGAAAAAAGGCCTCCTGACTCTGACTGGTGCCCTATCCTGCTATGGCTTAGCTGGTATTCAAGATGCAAGTCAAAGTCCTCTGTATTTTCCCTCTTCTCTCCTAAAGCAGGAGGAAAGGGTCTCTTTTGAAGCCAGGAGCTGTGCAGCCTGGGGTTAAGGGAGGGATGAGGCCAGCATTCCCTTGGCTGCACCTACTTATGTCTCAGTATGTCACGTGTCTTCTCAGTCCACTGTCTCTGGGCCTAGTTCAGTGCTAGGACTGGCCTAAATGTTGCTGTCCTCATAGCCTATACTGCTTTTCAAGTTCATTTAGAGACACAGAGTTCTTTCAAGTTCACTTAGAGACACAGCACTTTAGCTCATGGTAACGAAGTTTGCAGGAACTCAAGTTCTGACCACTGGGATGGGCTAGTCATGGGCTAGTTCCCTCTGGCTAGCGCTGATATAAGGGCTCTCTCCATAGGCAGATGTCAGCTGAGTTTGGGCCAGTTTTTCTTTCTGCTGTAACAGAACAGCAATGAGTTTAATGCCTCACAATTGCTGTGTTCTCCCTCCCCCAGCACCCAGAGACATTCTCTGCACCACCCTGTGGCTGCCAGGAGTGAAGGAGGCATGGCATCCGCAATTCTGGATTGTTTTATTTATCTCTTCAGTGACTCTTTCAGTGATGTGAAGATAAAATCAGCTACTATGGGGACTTAATTGATTTTTGGTTCTTGTAAAGGTGTTTTTGGGTTTTTTTTTGTTTTGTTTTGTTTTTTCTCTGTAGATAGTTGTTAAACTGGTGTTCTTCGGTGGCGGTGGCGGGATGATCATTGGAGACTTCTTTTCCACCACCTTGCTCCTCCTCTGAAGTGGTATTTATATTGATATTACTAAACTTGTTACAGGTAGTTAGACAGGCATGAGCGGGACAGAAGAGGGCTCTCCCCCACCCACCATGAATGTCAGGTGATGGTTTGACAATGATCGCATTGCCCCTCTAAAAGTGATAAATTGAGAGCCTGCCCTAGGGAAAAGCCATTTCCTGATGGTCCACACCTGTAGCACTTAAGTGCTAATTGAATGCAGACACCAGGGAGAACCAACTTCCTGGCCATACACGTTAAGAGACAAAAAGACAGAGTATGACCTTCCAGGGCACACCACTGGAAAAGGTAAGAAAGCCTCAGGCGGGCATGCATAAAACTTCCTAAACACACTGCTGTGCTCAGTTCCCAAGGGTAAGGAGGGCACTGCACATGCGGGCAGCCCATCCTAAGGGAAGAATCATGGGAAAGGGGTACAACACATCAGAAGTGGGCCAGCCTATAAAGTCCTAGAATCATGGTTAAACGCCTCACTTATCCTTCAAGTGGCCTCACTTATCCTTCAAGTCGCTTCCAAGTGTACTTTCCTTTCTTTCCTGTTATAAACCCTTTTAAAATAAACTTCCACTCTTGCTCTGAAACTTGTCTCAGTCTCTTTTTCTGTCTCATGCCCCTCAGTCAAATTTTCTTCTGAGGAGGCAAGAATTGAGGTTGCTGCAGATCCATATGGATTTGCTGCTGGTAAGTCGGATACCTTCCACTGGTAACAAACTTAGTCCCAATTCTTCTTCTGATTTTATAGTACAATTACCTTGTTACTTCATGATTCTAATGAAAATTCTGAATACATGCAGAATTATTTCCCTTTCCTTAAAAATTACCAGTATCACAACCTAACAAGAACATTTTCCTCCCACGTTTTCTAATTATCATTTGAAGACTGAAGCTTTCACCTTTTTTTCTAGAATAAAAAGATAGATGATTAGTTTTAGTTCAGGAAACTTGTTTCTATAGCTATTTTTTGTTCTCTAAAATTTCTCTACTAGGTTGATGGATTTTTCAAATCCTCAGATGTAGACCCCCTACTGATTATAAATCAGTTGCAATTTCTAAAGTGGGTGAACAAGTGCTACCTGATTTTCTTTAGGTTTCTCACATACATTTTCAACAACATCTTAAAATTTGTGGTAAGTTTAATATTTTTTGAGGAAATTAAAATAAAATTTACTGGATATCTTCATAATTATACCTTTTGGCATAATTTAGCTGATAGAACTTTCTTAAAAACAAACTTAGAATGTCACTTCTATGCTTTGGCTCAGTCCTGTAATTATGTTTTCAAAGCACTCAATGAAAAAAAATGCACGTATAACTGAAAGAAATTTACAGACATTTTATATGTCTCTACATAACTCAAAGGCAAATTACACATTTAATATTAAATTTGAGATCTTAGACAAACATATTGTGAATAGGCCATAAAACAAGGTAAGTTAAAGAAAACCCATTTCCATGCAGTTGTACATGGGACATCTGACTCCATAGTAGTCTTTATCATTCATTTATCTACAAATTCTAATAGATTGTCAAGTAAATATATTCAAATATATTCAATTGTAATTAAATTAATACAAATAATTTAATTTGGAATTATTCACAACTAAATGTTTTATCACAATCTTTAAAGTATGCAATATTTTGATAATTTATATTAAGATCTACTGTATCGGGGTTCAATCAGAGGAGCAAAACCACTGGAATGTGTATATAGATAAAATGTGGGATCTGTCACAAGGATTTGACTTTTACAACTGCGGGAGCTAGTCAGGCATTCACTGTAAGCCTGCTGTGTCCATGTCTGATTCTAAACCCTGAAGTCTGTGGCAGATAGTGAGGAAGAGATGGATATATATAAAGTTGAAAAAGAAAAAAGACACGCAGGAAACCATAAGAACAGACTGAAATCCACATCCCTTAATGATGTACGGATGTCCTGCAGGAGAAGCTAGACTTGCTCCCTGTGATGCTAAATAACTGTCCCAGAAGTCGGAGAAAAGGAAGGAGGATCTAGGAATGATGGAGCAGTTGCAGGTCTGGCTGCTGTCTCACACCAAAGAGGTCAGCCAGTAGATGAGTAAGAACATGTGTGAACCACAAAATAGTTGTTGCTTCATTTCGGACCACCAGATCTCACACAAGAAATTACTGAATACAACTCCACTATTTATTAGGTAAAAATGAATATACAAGGTTTAGATAAGCATGAAAATAAAGATAATCATGGTTTTAATTGATTGAAGGGAGGGGTAAAAAAACCTCCCTTCTGCTACAAAGAACAAATTTAAGTAAAACAGAATCTGAAAAGCTAAGCATAATGTAGCAGAAAATTTATTGCACATATCTTAAATGATCTGTAAAATAAATTCCAAAATTGCGATACTTCATAAATTCATAATACTCTATAATTCATACATGTCACAGTTAATCACTTATCTTTCTTCAAAAATAGAGCATAACATTTACTGTATTTTTATATTCAGATAACTAAATGAATATCATAGATTTCTTGGCCTAAAAGAGTGTCATGAAGGGAATATCTATTATTAATTGAGTACTCACTATATGTACAGTATTTGATAGGCATCTTAGAAAGTTACTAGTAAAATAAAAACTTGTGTTTGAGTACAAAATGAGTGCCCCATTTTGTTTTGTGTCCCTATACCATTACAAATATTTCATTATATTAATAAATTCCCTGTACTTGGAAAAATTTGGGGGTTTACCAAGAAGATACCAAAATTTATTTTGTAATTCTGATATTTTCTTCAAGCAGATTAGAATAATTAAACATATCAATATTTGCCTGGCACGGTGACTCACGCCTGTAATCCCATCACTTTGGGAAGCGGAGGTGGGCGGATCACGAGGTCAGGAGATAGAGGCTATCCTGGTTAACCTGGTGAAAGAAACCCCGTCTCCACTAAAAATACAATTAGCCGGGCGTGGTGTCGGGCGCCTGTAGTCCCAGCTACTCAGGAGGCTGAGGCAGGAGAATGGCGTGAACGCAGGAGGCGGAGCTTGCAGTGAGCCTAGATCGCGCCACTGCACTCCAGCCTGGGCGAAAGTGTCAGACTCTGCATCAAAAAAAAAAAAAAAAAAAAAAGTGTATATATATATATATATATATATATAAATATTGAAAATGTTCGAAGTTCTTTCCAATACTTAGAAGGAACTAAGATCAAATCATATCAGTGCTTGAATATGCCAGTTGAGAGCTCCAATATTAATTCCCACTGATAATCCTCATTGCATAACTAGGAATTCCCAAAGTGAGTCTAATATGAACTCAGAGAGCAAACTTGGTTTCTGGCTGGGTAATTGCTAACTTCAATTGCTTTTATTTTTAGTACTTCATCTCTTCTCTGGCCACTGCTGTCCAGAGATTTCCTGTCAACGCTCACCCTCAGTTCACTCCTCTGAGGTGGGTCCATCAAGGTAAAGCTGTTCTCTGCTGAACTCAACAAGAGACATCCTCAGGCTGTTGCCTCCAATTTTTATGGGGCCAAAAAGCCAGGAAATCTCTTGTAAAGACTTTTAACCAGTTACAGAGATTCCCATGAGGTTTTTCATAGAATTCATGAAGTGACACATGAAATTACACAGCAAATGTCTGTAATGCAACACAAAATTTAAAAAATGTGTATATATATTTGGCAAGAAAAAGTTGATAAGACACCAGTGATATTAGAGTTAATATTTCACTCAGCAGAAGTTAATACAATGTGTAATTTGAAATTCTGTATTAATCAGATGTGAAATGAAAATTTCTTATTTATATTTTTAAAAAGTTATGTTTATATTTCACCGAAGCTTACTTAATGAGTTATACATTTTAATTGAGTGTGTATTTCTTTTATAGACTCAATTAAAATTAATTGACTACCTATATGGATGCTAATTAAAAAAATTATTACTTACAAAATTATTTATTATTTATGATATTATTTACTATGTCATTTGTATATTCAATATTATTAATTTATGATATACTATTTTGTTATTAAAATATGTGTTCTTTAAAACTAAAACCAGCCCCCATTCATAAAACTGATTGGAAGAGGTACTAGTTCAGCTGACCAATAGAAAGCTGCAATTATGATAATAAAAATAACAATGTAATAATTAATATTTATATGGTAAATTCAATGTGCTGGGAACCGTTCTAAATAGCTCACATATATTAGCTGAGTATTGCCATTTAAGAAAAAAAAAAAAAACAATGCTGAGGCCTAGAGAGGTAAAGTAACTTTCCCAAAATCACCAAGCTGTGAAGTGGAACTGCAATGTAACTTTAGGTACTGTGTGAATTTAACTACTGTACTTTAATTGTTTAATAAATATATTAAAATATGTTAAATGATACTTAAGTTATATTAAATTATGTATTTTAACATGAAGTGCAGGAAGATGTTAAGACTGCCAGGCAAGAGTTGTTTTTTAATTAATCTTTGTATCTTCAGCGCCTAGCCTAGTGCATCACTTAGAGTGGTGTCAGAAAAACTAAACAATTCTGTTCTCAGGGAGTTTTAATACAGGGAGTAGAGACTTTTACATCTTTTGGAAAGTTGATGGAGAAAAGATCCCAAAAGCCATTGTTAGAAGCATGTTGCTCACAGGTTCTACCCCAGAAACTGGAGAATCTCTTAGAGGTTAGTGTGCTGCCTCCATTACTGTGCACAACTGGCAAGTCAAAACTGGGTGATTCCCAAGAACATTCCCTAAGAGTAGCCGTGTGAATCTTGCTTATAGCCTTTAAGCATCTGCTCCCAATGATCTCCAGAGAATAATGGTTCTTCAGTTCTGCCTTGCAGATCTCGTGCTAGTTTCCCTCATAGAAAATTGATAATGCAGATCTATATGTTAAAAGACATTCTGAGAAATAATTCCAGACATCACTGTTATGAAACAGAGGAGAAGGTGAAAGAGGATATAAGAGGTGTCAAGTTGATAACAGGCAAACTGTAATAGCCATACCTGATATAAAGTAAACTTTATGCATTAGTCAGCATACTCCAGAAAAACAGAAACAACAGAATACACAGAGATACAAAGAGATTTATTATGAAGGATTGTCTCAATTATTGTGAAGAAGTCCAAATTCTTCAGGGTAGACCGACAGCCTGGGGACCCTGAGAATAATCGATGTTGTAGTTCAAGTCTGAAGGCAGCCTACTGACAGTATTTCCTCTTTGGGTGGGTTCAGTCTTTATTCTATGAAGACCTCAACTGATTAGATCAAGTGCACCAACATTATGCAGGGCATTCTGGTTTACTCAAAGACTACTAATTTAAATGCAAAACAATATTTTTATAGACACATCTAGCATCCAGAATAATATTTGACCAAATATCTTGGAATTACGGCCTAGCAAGTTCATACACAAAATCAACAATCACATCCTTCACAAATAATTTTAAAGCAAATAATATAATAATAATTAATGTTAAATCCAACTATTTTTATTAACTAAACATTGTACTATATATATGTGTATATATATATATATATGGCACACATGTATATATATGGCACACACACACTATATATAGATATGTGTGTTTACTATACCCTTGCTGCAAGCTTCCATCTGAACAGATTCTTAGCCTATTTTTACACGTGGAAATATAGTACAGCTTGAGATTGTGCAAAACAAAAACCTCGACATTTTTTCACATAAAATAATCTTTTTTATGTGTCAGTAAAATTCTTAATTATCTTCATAGTTTTATCTAGTTCATACTTGGTTTTGAATAGAGACTTCAGAAGATTCTACGTGGATAGGTGTTTACGGAATAATGTAACAGAAAAGGAAACAAGATCTGATTGAAATTGTTGAGTGCCATTTTCTGATCCATTCTGTTTCTGATAATGTGGTCACATGCTGCTTTGTAAATTTCTGTTATGTAGAACTAGAATTTAACACTTATAATCGTAAAAGTAATCGCATATTTTCTGCATGAAAAAGATCATCATAACTGCTGGCTTTTAATCAATATTTATTGAGCCTTCATAGGATGCACTAAAAAGATAGGCTAGGGATTATGTGTTTGAATTACTAATCAGTTGGATAATAAACTTTTTTGTTATTATTATTATTGTGTGTAAATAATAGAAAATAATGGATTTTAAGAAAAGAAAATAAACTTACAACGCTACTGTAAAAGTATCTGAAAAGCACACACAGAAATTTTGTTTAAATAATTTTGTTGAATGTGTTTCTTCATTTTATTCACAGGTTCTATTCAAGTAGTGAAAAATTATGGCACCAGTATCTGTCATTTATCACTCCTGGAAGCAGTAAGATGCAACTTCATTTGTTGAAAGTCAGGGATGTACTGGCTCGTTGCTAAATATTAGAGAAATGCACTATGACAACAGCATATGAAATGATACAGATATTTCTGTGTTTAACGTGTCTGTTTTCTCATTTTAATTTGTTTTCATCTCAAGAATCTGCCAATATCCCACTCTTCTTTTATTTCCACACTTTAAATAAAAAAAAAAAAAACAGGACAGAGTGGGAAGAACATTCATGCGTCTTCAAACCACTACTGCTATACCATACTTCATTGTTTCTCAGGCATGAGTGTTATGACCAAATTTAGGGTCCCCTGGGACTCAGCTTCTATACAATAGGATAATATGAATAAATTTTCCAGCCTCAGTAGTTGTTCTCTACAAGAGGAAATATGATAATTTTTTCCCTCTGTGACATAGGAAGTCGGATATAATATCATCTATAAAATTATATGATTAATTGAAAATGGATCAGAATGTAAAAAAAAAAGTCAGTTTATCTCTTTAGGACAGCTACATTTTGATAATAATCATATTTTTGTCACAAATACATTTCAACAATTAGGAATAAAGACCTATAGAGGATATAGAAAATGTGTGTATTTATTTGTATGTGTGTATATACATATATGTATATATTCTTTATGTGTGTGTATATGTGTGTACGTGTGTAAAATCCTATTGAGGGTGCTCAAAATACAGTTTAGAAAACATAAAATTAAAATATGAAACAACAGGGTACAATGGCACACAGTATATAAGTAAGCTGGAATATGTTTATTAATGGATCCTTCAATCGGAAATAGTCTGCTGTTGTTTCTACTTCCAGTTTTATACATTAATGGATGCCCAGGGTATCCCAATGTCAGTTTTCTTAGACAAAAGTATTAGTTTGAGAAAACCAAGCGCCATAAATATGTTGTGGAGAGCTAGAATATCCATGACATGTCTCCTATATCTCCTATATTATTGTAACGAAAAAAATACATTATAATAAAATGTAATCAGAGGAAGTACATTTGTTAATATATAATTATTTATTGACTACTATGTATAACCGTCATTTTAGGCTCAAAGAATGGAAGAAAAAACAATATTAATGTAATTACTATACTGAAAGTTCATATACTATAACCCTAAAAAGTCAACAAACAAATATTCATATATATAAACAAGGGATAGTATGCTATTGATCTAGGTCCCCAGAGAAACTGGATTCACCCCAGAGGATTCAAATGAAAGTATTTCAACAAAGAGATCCCTTTCACAGAGATAGTCAGGCTTAAGGAAACAAGCAAGAGATTGTGAGGTAATCAATAATTAGGAATAGCAGAAAGCCAAAACTATCTGAGGGCTGAATGGACAAAGGAAAGGAAGGGATACTGAAGCTCATTGAAAACCAGGACTGTGGAGAAGGGGCTGTAGTCTAAGAAAGACACAGAGACTGCTAGAGATGCTATGCAAAACAATATTCTGACACAACAGGCTAATAGTGCTGACAGGAGGGAGCAAAAATGTTTTTTAAAAAAATTAAGAACAAGAACAATAAAAAAAATTTAAAACACCTCTGTCTTCTCTGTGCATCCCATCACCTGTAGGTGGTTCCCACTGCCTGAACTTCCAGGAAGCCAGCTAATCAGGAAATAAATTGGGGGAGGTTAACAAATTTGGGCAAGAACACATTACCATCAAGAGACAAAGCTATTTCCTGAACAACCTTCGATTTACACAAAAGCTCATTTTTGTAACAATAATGCTTTGTTTCCTCTCTTCAAGTATCCGTTTATCTAATGAGGCTCCAGCTAGTTTCAATTAATTTTGTAATTGTAACTACTGCTCTCTAACATAGTTTTTATTAATTTGAAAGTAAAAAAAAACATACAGTCTCAGAGATGACAGTGTGTGCTATTAAATAGAACTTCATGGAATCTAACTATGATAATCAGTTCTTTTTACTATAACCTGTGGCCTATAAAACATTTGGTTGACAATACAAAAAGAAATCTCTATAATAGAGGCACATATGATTTCAAGAACCAATGATTTTCTGTCACCTAGACAATGGTGCTATATCCTTGGGTGCTGACTAGACTATATTCTGAGGGAAGCCAAATCTGAGTCACAGTTTAGTGTCAGGATGTTTAAGACCCTACTATCAGCACCTGTGGGAAAAAGGGAAAGCAAACTAGACAGAGCAGGCACGACTGCCTCAGCCAAACCTCCTCAGAAGCTCTGGAGTAGAAATGGCCCATCTAACCTGTCCTGGGCTGAGCAGGAATGAGTAGCCCTTATAAATGCCTCTTTTTTCCATCTTTCCATCTTTTCTCCTTCCTCCAACCTCAATTAATCGTTAGTTATTTGCCATCCTAACAAGGAGATGGCTTTGAGCAAGGTATTTCTCAGCAACAGGCCATCCTGAAAGTGTTGATGGCTGAAGGCTCTCATCAGACAGCATTCTTGGAATTAGGACAATATTTCTTCTTTGAAGGAGCCTCTCCATTGTCCCTCTTCATATTCATCACAGATACATTTTCTCCTGAGATATACAAACTAACTTTGGCAATGATTCATTCTTTCCGAACTTGAATAGATTTATCTTTCTAGAAGTACTGGATCCATATATGCCTGCATATTATTTATGTCCACTTAACCTGTCTCCTTTCTAAACCTTACCTAATTTATTACACATATGTCATTCTTTCAGGCAATTTCAAATCAGTTTTTGAATTCTCACTCAAATATAGTTGCCAACTGTAAAAACTCCTCTTTTCTTTCTGCTTTCATAAACACCAAAATCAAAGGAAAAAGAGCTTTAAAATTTACTCTTAACCTTCTTCAAAATGCATGGTGGGTTTGTGGTAAATTTGTGATATTTCAGACAGAACTTCACTTACTGGCTACAGCAGTTGAAAATGAAGCAGAAGGCTGTTATGATCATTGGACCCTGAAAATCCCATGCACCGTTGTTAAAACAACATGGTTTCTGTCTTCGGAAAAAGCTTTCACTTTTCTCTCTCTAGCCAGCTAAAACAGAATGTAATTAGGACAGAGAATGGAAATCTAAAGCTCAAACAAAAGGCTGTATTGTTATGAAGTTTAAAGGTGAGTTTGTACAAATATCAAAAACTAATTAAGTAGAACAGGTGATATTTAACTACTTTGAGACTTCAAAAAAGGAAAATTGATTTTTGTCTCATTGGATTAAATTACATTTTCATACTGATTGACACAAAGTGCTTCTGTTACTTCTCTTCCAGACAAGGTAAATACACTAGCTGCTATTTATTCATGAAACTCCGTCTCTCAAAATTTCAGGGAATGTTATTCTAGCATTTTATTATAGAACAAATATTCTGACAGGTGATGATATTTTGGAAAATAAACAGCAATATATACCCAATCACTTCCACTGTGTAATTTAGACCTAAAAAATAAGGCATAGAAGTGGTAGAACATATTCACGGGTCAATGCTTTCTGTCTGATATAAATTAAGATCAATCAAATCAATAAAACATAATTAAATTTTGACCATTAATATTTTTGGCAGTCCCAAAACTAAGGTATTGACTAAGTACTGCTAGTAGTTCAATTATCATTTCATTTACTTCCAGGAAGTTATAAAACGACTAAGAAAAAAAAAGATGTAAGAAGCCCAATAGAACCATTAAGCAACAAGAAAGTTAAGAAAAGTTTCTTTAGAAAATGGGGCAGGGAAAAGCATGAAAATATGGAAAGAATCTTATTCTGTGAATCACAAAATACTCCCCTCCACCTACAGAAAGACACCAGTTTTAAACAATTTGCCTTGCTTTGCTTTGTTTTATAAAGTGAATAATGTGGCCAGGCGTGGTGGCTCACGCCTGTAATCCCAGCACTTTGGGAGGCCGAGGTGGGAGGATCACGAGATCAGGAGATGAAGACCATCCTGGCCAACATGGTGAAACTCCGTCTCTACTAAAATACAAAAAATTAGCCAGGTGAGGTGGCGCATGCCTGTAGTCCCAGCTACTCGGGAGGCTGAGGCAGGAGAAGCCCTTGAACCCGGGAGGCGGAGGTTGCAGTGAGCCAAGATCACATCACTGCACTCCAGCATGACGACAAGAGCAAGACTCTGTCTCAAATAAATAAATAAATAAATAAATAAATAAATAAATAAATAAATAAATAAAGTAAACAATGTGATAAAATGCTTGGAAGGAGAGAGGAGGTTCAGTGAAACAATTAAAAGTTAACCTTTAAAAACAAAATAATTGCATGGTCACCGTTCTAGGCTTTTATTGTGTTGATAGGAGGCTAAAACAGCGTGGACATTCTAGGGACAGTAAAAGGATTTGTAGAATCTCTGTGGGATCAGATCTGGAGAAGAAATGAAGCACATTTAAAAACGAAAAACAAATACAAAAACCAAACACAAAGCCTCATAAAAAGATCAGGGCTATCATAGGGAATTTTATTACTGTATTTTGTATCCTCACTTTCCTCCTCAAACTAAAATTTCAAATGGCTTTCCTTCTTTCCTTAAAATTTAAGAAGCTTAATATTTTCTAAAGGTCTTAAATGATTTTACACCTGATTACTTTTCTGATCTTATTTCCTATCATTCTTCAGAATGGCTCATTCTGCTCTAGCCACACCAGAATCATCACAATTCTGTGAATATTCCAAGTATACTCAAAACTCAAGCCCGTTGCAAAAGCTGTACCTTACATTCCAGATACCCACATAGCTTGCTTGTTATTTCCTTCAGCTCTCTGCTGAAATATCAAGGGGAACTTCCCTGACAACCCTATATCAAATTTCACCACCCACTGTGATCTGTTTAACCATGCTGTTATTTTTTTCCACAGCTATGGTCACTTTAGTATGGTCATTAAGGAAGTTTCAATAAATATATGCTGAATGATTAACTGTATCTCGGTACATCCCTACAAAAATAGTTAGGATAAAATAAACTTTCATTTGTGGGTTATGAAATTGGACATCCTTTAGGGGATAAAATGAAGCACTTAATAGAGCTCTAAGATAAAGCAGGGTTACAGCTAACAAATGCCTCCATGGTAATTATTGAACTAGTCAGTTACTCTGAGAGAAGAGAAAAGGATCTCATAGAATTATATCTCTGTGTGAGTGAGGTACAGAGAAAAGAAAATGAGAAATTTCAGATATTTATTATTTAGTAAAATGATGGCGATATACTATAAAGGAATTTTGTTAAATTCTCTATGTTGGGCCGGGCGTGGTGGCTCACGCCTGTAATCCCAGCACTTTGGAAGGCCGAGGCGGGTGGATCACTATGTCAGGAGATTGAGACCATCCTGGCAAACACAGTGAAACCCCGTCTCAACAAAAAATAGAAAAAATTAGCCGGGCATGGTGGCGGGCGCCTGTAGTCCCAGTTACTCAGGAGGCTGAGGAAGGAGAACGGTGTGAACCCGGAAGGTGGAGCTTGCAGTGAGCCGAGATCGCGCCACTGCACTCCAGCCCGGGAGACAGAGCGAGACTCCGTCTCAAAAAAAAAAAAAAAAAAAAAAAAAAAAAAAAAAGAAATTCTCTATGTTGGAAACTATATCATATGGTTCTGGTGCATGGCTTTATGGTGATTTGATGTGCCTGAAAGACAGTAAGGGAACCAGATGCCCTATGTAGATAAACAGTTTATCAAAGGTATTCTTCCTCACTGATGAGTTTTTATAAGGAGCTACAGAGCAAATAATTAGAAGCTTAAAATGCTGGAGAATGTCAAATTTCCTATGTTTAATAAGGAATCATATTTGGCTCATTCCAAACTGTTTTAAAAACTTCATGGATAAACAAAGCCAAATATTTAATACCTGGCTACATTTACTACTTTTCAAGTCTCTCTCAAAAAGCATTTTTTTTTAAGAAAAATAAGAATAAATCTAGTCTTAATATTTTTCTAACTGTAGAGGAATAAACTTTTCCTACAAACATAGAAGACCCTGAGGGAATTCAATATTCTCTTTCAGGTGACTAACATTTATTCAATAACAGTGGAAATGAGAACCACTAAAAAGAGAGGAGACACTTTGTTCCAGGCCATGCCACTAAATCTTTGGTTCCATTTGTTAAATAAAGTGAAAAAGCATCTAGTTGTTCTAGACTATTAGTTCTTAAAGAGTACAGTGTTTTAGAACAAATATGTAAAAGGGATTTAATCCACCTCTGAACCTGAAATCAGGGATTTCAGGTCCCTCTGAACCTGAAATCAACCTTTTAATGTGAATGTCTCTGTTCTTCATTATTTCTGCATAGATTATATCAAAGTTTATTGCACACTTGGTGATTTAAAAACATGTTGAAGGGTTGATTGAATAAGTCAATACATGAATTAGTGTGCTCAGTAGGAAAGAAGCATATTTTAACTTCTGTTATTCCTATTAATAAGAACATTAAAAAGTAGGGAGACCATTATGTTCTTGTGACAAACTAAAACAGAACTAAACATCTTGAGTTACTTTTCTTGAATTAAATTAATACAAAAATTTAAAATGATATTTCAAGTTACATTTTTCAAATCTTTTAAAAATTATTTTATTGCTTTTTTATTTTTAAGTTCCAGGGTACATGTGCAGAATGTGCACATTTGTTACATAGGTAAATGTGTGCCATGGTGGTTTGCTGCACCTATCAACCCATCAAAAGTGAAGTGATCTTCAAATTCCATGTTATCGATTTCCCACTATGATTATGTGTCATAGTAGAAAAATTTTAAAGTTGCTAAAGAGTAATCTAAACCAATAATGTTTCGTGAAATATTGTTCACTGGCCACTTGTATAATGTACAACTGTGGAGACTTTTAAAAATGGTGAATTTAGTCCCACAGCTGGCATGCTATCAGGACAAAGATTTTTGACAGATTGGGCACACAATGTCCATATCAGAGTTGCTTGAAAAATAGAAAAATGATTTTTACTTATCATATGGTTTAATATGGTCATAATGCTTCAACATAGTGTGTGGGAAGAACAGAGCACTCTAAGTAAATGCTTGTATCAGTACGTTTTCATGCTGCTGATAAAGACGTGTCAGAGACTGTGTAATTTATAAAGAAAAGAGGTTTAATGGACTCACAGTTCAACGTGGCTGAGGAGGCCTCACAATCATGGCAGAAGGTGTCACGTCTTACATGGCGGCAGATGAGAGAGAATGAGAATGAAGTGAAAGGGGCTTCTCCTTATAAAACCATCAGATCTCATGAGAGTTATTCACTATCATGAGAGCAGTATGGGGGAAACCCCTCCATGATTCAATTATCTCCCACCAGGTCCCTCCCACAAAAAGTGGGAGTTATGGGAGCTACAATTCAAGATGAGATTTGGGTAGGGACACAGCCAAATCATATCAGTGTTGCATCCCAGAGTATCATAGTTTTTCACATCTGGTTGGTTAGAACCTGTCCCATGGCCTCACATAACTTAAAGGTGGTAGAAGAGTATACTTATGCAGGCACTTGGAATAAAAGAAAGTAACAAAACCACAGAATTCAAATCTCTGAGTAATGGGACTAAAAAGCTATTTTAAATACTTTCAACAAGTTCAATAAGTATGACGAAATTTATAACCACTACTCTGATTTAACTTCTGTAAATGTGTTAGAGAGATTTTGATTTGAACTATTACGTTTAATTCCTTTACTCATTTAATTCAATAATGTAATTGAAAATATTTGGTTCTGATTCAGTTTGTTATGCAAATATAATGCTCTCCTAACTTTTAAAGTTTCTGTGAATGTAACCAAAATTAATATATACCACTTTCCTAGTTCAAAATGTTTATCATATAACATCAACAAAGCATAGCACTTATTAATATTTTATTCTGCTTATTGACTATCTAAAAAGATGAGGTAAAAAGTAAATGCCAGGGGAAATACATTCCTGTTTGTGAAGTTTCTGAAAAAGTAAGCTATTTTTGCGCACTGCAGTATTTGATGAAATAGTCATCTCAACTACCACAGCCAGTTGAAAATCTCATTCCCTCCATTTGGAGACTTTTACATTTATGTTTACAGAGTTGTCTCAGGAGCTAAAATTAACAAGAAACTATATACACACACACGTACAAACACAAAAACATATATATGTATGTGTGTGTGTATATATATATATATTATATATATATATAATTTCTTAAACCTGAATATTAAAACTAAATAGAACTACCAGACAATTAGGCTCAATAATAATAAATAGGGTGCTTTGATGATTTAGTGAAATTTGTAAGATAATATAATAGTTATGCTAATAAACAAAAAAATGTGAAACAATCTTATGCCAATCAAAAATGAGCCTCATCTAAATCTGCCATTGTCTTAGATGACTATGAGAAGAAAATATAGTATGAAACAGATTTTATGTGAATGACCAGAGGGGATTACAAAACTCTGTGACTTAAGGTGTTTCTCTCTTCTCTGTGAGGGGAACAGCACATCATACTGATTTTTTGATTGAGCCATTTGACAAGCTGGATGGCAGGTCACAGCTGAAAAGACAGCTGGTGTTAGGCATTACCCATCACTCATATGCCAAAAAATATTGTGAGCTCAACTTTGCAATGTTCAAGCACATGCTGATCATGGTCTTTATCTAACATCACATCAGAAAATAGAATAGGGTGTTTTCATCGAGCAAAATTGAGTAAGTCCACATAGCCTATGGGATATTTTGAGTTATACTGCCATAACCAATAATTTGACCAATGCTGACAATCGATTGAATAATTCAGATACATTTAATTTGAATCAAGAGAGAATATTGAGGTATACAATTTAATTGATATAGTTACCATAACGATTGTCAATTTTCCACCTCAGTTTATTACTGTATGTGAGCAATTATAGCTCAGTGAACTCTAATTTCTGAATCATGAAGATGAATACACATATACAGAAAGAAAGAAAGAAGAAAGAAAAGAAAGGAAGGAAGGAAGGAATTGGTGTATAATACTATTTTTTACTAAAATGCATAATCAATTTTATCCTCTACATCTTGCTTGACAGTTTTGGTGTATTACCTGTATTGACTAATCTATTTTCTTACCTATTTTCCCTAATATAGGACAGAATGAAAAGGATCTTTTAGAGAAAAGCATTGCAAGGGATATTTGATTCCTTTACATAGAGTAGAAGAAAACCATGGTTTATAAAGGATATGAATGTTATTACTTATAAAGTAGATTTTAAACAATTAAAGTGATTTATTGCAAACTATTTCCTTCTATAGGTTATCCTGAGTGAGGTTTTTCAAGCACAAAGAAAGGGAGAAAGAATGGATGTTTTTGAAACTTGACATTTCAAATAAATATATAAATAAGATGTCATATATTGTCATACCTTGTCAAAATTAGAATAAATAGAATCCTATTTTATGCCAGATATGGAGATATAATTTAAATTGCATATGGAGAGAAATATATATTTATCTTTTTATAAGCATTGAATAAAGAATAAATGATTCTTTTTTAACTTACTATTATTTACATTTTAATTGCTGTTTAATGCAACTACCAGACATTAATTCTATATTTTATTTATTACACAGAAATACATGCAATCAGTACATATATATTTTACTTATTATGCAAATATTGTTGTTTTATATCTGTAACAAAAGGATCCACTTAAATGTGTTGGGTAGATGATAAATTAAAAAATGTACCCAGCTGGGATAGACAAATTAAGGTTATAATTAGTAAGAAGTTGATAACATTAATTTCCCATCCATAGCAATTACTAGTACATACTAAAACCATAAGCAGTAATGTTTGATTTATAATGTAGTTACTTTAAGAGTCTATTAGAGAAATTAATCAAATCTTTTTTATCACCACAAATCTGGAATATTTTGAAAAGGTGTTAGAATTTTTTATTTAGTGGTAACACTTTTTTTTTACAGTCACAAGATTTAAAATTAGCTTGTCTCATTCATGCACATTGAAAAAATCCTCCCCTCAGATGATAGCATCAAAGAATCAGTCTTTGTGTGTACAGAATAAACGTCAAGGTTAATTTGGGCTGAAATGTGCACAACCCTCATTAATGACTTTCAGGAAAACTTTAATGTGATGGGATTTCTTCTGGGCAAGCTGTGCATTGGAAAGGAGGTTTAGAAGTCCTCAGAGACATTTATCTATCTCACTGAATTCCATTCCTATTACTGTAAGAAACCACATTATTTTTAAACCTCCTTACTAACTTTGATACTCACCCAAAATGAGGAAAACATTTAGTGATAATGTGAGTAGACAACAAATAGTATTTATTTTAAAAATACTAGCAACTACTTGAAGTGTTTTTTTTCTATTAAAGCTAGTGTTTTTGTTGTTATTACAGAATTTATATATTCCCTGCTGCACTGTCATATTGAAACTACAGAGGCAAATAGTAATGCAAATTTTTAACTTTAAAAAAAATTAAAAATTTAACTTAAAAAAAAATAAAGAAGATTTAACTACAGAAAATTTCCAAGAAAATACCAAAATCTCCCAAATACACTTCATTCATTAAGGTTTTCCTATTGTAAATGTTTTGCACATTTGAATTATTATTTTCTCCTGCTTTCTCTCTCATCCTCACATTTGTGTTTATATAAAAATACATATACAGTCTCACACATATATATGATTAAGAACCATTTGAGAATAACTTGGAAACATGAAACTTTTCTTTTAAAAACATCCGTGTATATTTCTTAAGACAGAAGCATTATTTATATAATTATAATAAAACTATCAAAGCCAGGAAATTTGACATTGATGTATTAACATGATCCAACATACAGCTTTACTCAAATTTTGCCAATTTTGCCCCAAATTTTTCTCCTAGAACTTTCTGATCCAAGATCAACACAAGGATACACATTGCATTTACTTTTTATGTCTTTTTTTGTCCTTTTTCAATCTGAATTGATTTTTCAGTCATTCTTTGTCTTTCAAAACTTAAAAATTTTTAAGACCATATGCTTGTTTTTGGAGAATGCCTCTCAGTTTGTGTTTGTCTGATGGTTCATTAGCTTTTGGCTTTGGATATGCATTTTGGACAGTAATATTATATAAATATTCATCTTCAGTGCAATACATCAGGAGGCATATGATAATCATTTGTCTCCTATTAGCTATGTAAACTTTGAACACTTGTTTAAATGGTAATCTCCAAATTTCTCTCTGTAAAGTAACTATTGTTACTTGCATAATAACTAAGTAATTTGAAGGGTGGTTATTTTTTGATAATGTAAATAACCTGCCCATTATCAAAATTTCATTCATTAGTTTTAACATGTATTTTTGCCATAATCTGTTGTTGCTATGATTTTTGCATAATGGCAATTATTTATTCCACATGTATCAATTGTTAGTCTGTTGTAAAAAATATATTATCCTTCTTTTCTATTTATTTTTTATGTCTTGCCCAATGCATTTTACTTAATTTGGTGAATTAAAATCTATTACTATCATTATTTATGTTTATTCCCAAATTATTCCAGTTTAATCAATGTGAACTCATTCAAATGTCTTCTTTAAATTTTTGACACATCTTTATCAGTTTTGTATACTTTATTTTTCTGTCACAAAAAGATATTCCAATCTTATATAAAGTACTTCTTTTCTTCCCCAGCCCTGCAACCATCCATTTCTCTAAGAAGCAATGATTCTATATATTAAAATATTCAGAAAATGATTTGTTCAAGTAGTGTAATTTTAAAATTATTTTTAAAAATTCAAATTTATATAATTTAGAAAATTTGAGGGACATAATATTACATATGTTTGTCAACACAAAAATATAATTTAACCTTGGGAAATATAAAATATATACTATTTTATTATAAAGCAAGATTTTTTTAACACAATGTGATTTAGAAAACTATATATAATACACTATTAAAAATAATAATGTTTTCTCAAATGTACTGACTAGTAATACCACAGTGAAAGGTAACATAATTTCCCAGGTAAATTTGGAAAAATAAAAGAAATATTCAGAGTTAAGAACAACAGTAAAAATATTATTTAATTAGGGCTATTTATATCCCACCAAGGGAATCCCAGAAACTTGACACTTAGGCAGTTCACAACCTCATCTTATCTAGGTATATCATATTATAGTCAAACTCAAGTCTATATCACTTACCTTAGTACTTGAAATATGCTAAGTATGTGCTAATTCACACTTAATGAATAAATAAAGAACTCATGTTATAAAGGTAAAATGGGTAGCTAAAAATGAATAAAGAATTAGAGAAAAAATTTAGCCACTTCTCAGAAAGATTTCCACCTTCGTTGAGGAGGTGCTATGACAAAACAAATTTGAAGTAGATGCTTAGTCTCAAAGGGCAGACTAATCTTATATTTTGTATTCAAAAAGGAAATTATTCTCAGAAATAGGAAGAATATAACACAATTCTTGGTAAGGAGAAAAAGTTGGTCATGATGGATAACGTGAAATATATGGCCTCAACATAAAGTACTTGAAAATCAAATAACAAAAAACGTATTATATTTGTGTTGGCATACAAAGTTGTTTGTGAGGAAGGACTAAAATTTTATCTGGTTGGAAAATAGGGAGGAAGTCAGCATTGATTAAAGATGTTTTACAACAAGAATTCATAAAGCATTAGAGCATAAGATAGATTTCAGAAGAGCAAATATTTCAATGTGTGGATTAGTCCGTTCTTACACTGCTATAAAGAAACTACCAGAGACTGGGTAATTTATGAACAAAGGAGGTTTAATTGACTCACAGTTCCACATGGCTGAGGAGGCCTCAGGAAACTAATCATGGTGGAACGGGAAGCAGACATCTTCACAAGGCAGCGGGAGAGAGAGACAAGAGTGAGACAGGAACTGCCAAACCCTTATAAAGCCATCAGATCTCGTGAAAACTCACTCACTATCACGAGAACAGCATAGGGGAAACTGTCTCCATGATCCAATCACCTCCCACCAGGTTTCTTCCTCAATACTTGCAGATTATAATCAAGTTAAGATTTGGGTCAGGACACATAGACAAATCATATCAGTGTGTTTGTAGTTTTGGGCACTAGGATACACTGGAAAGCTGGATTGATTTGAATTTTACCCTGTCATTTATTCAGCTGATAACTTTTACTGGGTCTTTGATTCTAAAAACTTTCATTAATTGTATTTCCCATTGTAAGAACTGGAAACTTTTTGAGTCCTGTAAAATCGTTTTAACCAGTCAGTTTATTCTTGAACCTATCCATCTTCTGCAACACCTTGCCAAAACAGTCATTAGTAGCCAGCAAACACTACCAAATGTTATATTTTCTAACTATTCCCTTAGAGCTGTCAGACAATCAAAAACATTTTTCCACCTCCAAAATTATTGCAGATGATAGGTTTAACAAATGCTATGCCACTGAATAGCATGGATCACAAAGTTTCTAGCCTGTGGTATTACTTTCCTAGGTACATGTTGCCTAAATGCTAAGCCATTGTTAAATATTTTAGTTTTTGGTCAAAATAGTACCCTTATTTTATATCAATTTCTTCACCAATCAAGATAGTCTAAACTATGTTTCACAGGGATCTGGATACCTCAATATTTTCTCTCTAAGATGTAACATTTCTTCCCTTTAAGTATTGCAGATAGGACAAAGAACGAAGACGTGGAAGATCACGTAAGACCTTTTAGAATCTAGCTCAAGGATTGGTGTACACCATTTCTTTTCACATACCGTGGAGCAGCAATACTCACAGAAATATTTATGTAGCAAATAGGGAAAAAATGTCCTGTTATTCTTAAGAGAAAATGAAAAACTATTTGGTGACCAGGGATCACTTCTCTGAAACTTGAGATAAGGAAAAACATTCTTTAACCACATGTGTTATAAAAGCGGCAATTGGTGCTTATAAAGGGGGGATTTAAGATGGCAGAGAAGAACAATGAGAAAATTTGTGTCATTATATGTATCTAGACAAAAGTGAAACAAGATTGAAACTAATGAAGAATGAAGATAATGGAGGGTAAATTCCACATAGGAGATATATCATCAAAGAATAATTATTGCATTAGAAGACTGAATTAAAATTTAGATAAAGGAATCACAGATCTATTTTCAATTTTCTCACTTGGAAGACAAGGTAAATAGCTCTCCCGGACAATATATAAAATATATCCTATCTTTAAATGGATAAACTTTAGGTTACACCTGTTGAATTTGAATTGCCTATAAACTGTCTTCATAACATACTGGCAGTGGGAATATAATTTTGAAATTATGAACATAAATGAAGGTAAAATCATTTACATAAATATAAATATTAGTTATAGCATTATAAATGGACACGATCCACTTAATTTATATATATATATGTATTTTTTATTCATCAAATATATACATAGCACTGTGTTCCAGGTAAAGTAATATATGTTAGAGATTCGAATAAAAAAAAAAAGGGACCCCCAACATGGAGTATCTCATCTCTATAGCTAAAATTAAAATAATGTAAAAATAAAAATACAGTCTAATACATACCAAATAGAAAACCATTATTATTGCATGTACATAGGTAGATTATACACCAGATAAATATTAACATTGGTGCTAACTGAGAGATAGGATCCTACATTGGTTTTACTTTAGTGTGTATTCTAAATTAACAATTGTCAAATTTGTAACAAAATAAAGCTATATAATACAGTTATCATTGAGTTATTTGCTTGTTTGTCGAATACTTTGGGAGGTGCTTAATTTTTTTGTTATTGCCTTTCTTAATTTCCTTTAGTAGGGATTAACAGTAAAGAGATTTATTAAACATGAGTCATGAAATAAAACATTAAGAAGTCTGAAGCAAGGACTCTTGGAAATTCCAGGATTTAGAGACGGCAAAAGACATAAAGAGAGTGGAATCTGCAAAAGTGACCAACCTTAGATTGTTATTAATCAACTTTCAAAAGAACTTCACTATAGTGCAATTTAGTCTAATAATAGGGTGTTGATGATTAAACTGAAAATGATAAATAGTTGTAGTACATGTAGATTACCTAGCTTGCTGATAATTAAAATAATTCAAAAGTAGGTAAAATAAGCCAGTAGCTAGAGGAGGATATAAATAAATTAAATGTGTATGCAATTATTTTTTATTAAAGTGAACTCTTGAAGCATCTAATTCTCTTAATAAAAGCTATAACAGGCATCATGCCTGTAATCCCAGCACTTTGGGAAACTGAAGTGTGAGGATCACTTAAAGCCAGGGGTTTGAGATATAGTGAGAACTGGGCAATATAGTGAGAACCGGTCTCTACTAAAAAATAACAATAATAATAATAATCAGGTGTGTTGTGCACAGGTTTGAATCCAGGAGATAAAGGTTGCTATGATCTGTGATTGCACCACTGCACTCCAGTCTAGGTGGCACAGCAAGACCCTGTCTCAAAACAAGTGAAAAAAAATTAATAGACCTACATTTTTGTGAACAGTCATTGTGAAGTATTTAATTATATAAAGTTAGTTCTAAATTCTTATTGTTATGATTATTGATCCCACTCCTAATATCTCAGGTTACACAATTCAGTTTATAGATCTCTTTATTAATTTTACTTCAATTTCTCCAAAATTAAAGCATTTATAGTAGACCTTCCTGTTGGAGAGTTGTTCAGTACTTATTCAGAAGGAATTCAAACTGAAGACATTTGGTGAAAAAAGTTATTAATTGAGAGATCTATGAGCCTATTTAAGTGAAATTTTTATTTTTCTAAATTTAATTCCCTGGCCATTGATTTTATTAATGAAATATTCAACATTTTCTATTATTAAAGCAAGACATAATTTATGCCTTTATGAAAATATTCAAACACTTTTAACAATCAATCAATGGTATAAAATTTGCATTTCTAATCTGTAGCCTTTCATTCTTTTGGCCTCTCCAGTGAAAAAGTATGAATTATGTCACTGACACTCTGAAACTTATCAGACTAGAAAAGGGCAAGACACCTTCCCTATCTAATAAATGATGTGTGTTACACTGACAGTGAGATGAGGTGTCTCTCAACAAATACCTTATGTTTTCTCTGCCCATCTGGGAGTTGACTTAGCAGATAGAAACCTGTCACAAAGTGTTAGTAAAAGAGCAACATACAGGAAACTCTGAAAAAGAGCACGCTGTTGTATATAAATGTATCAATATTTCATAACGAATATTTTTTCTGTGTTATTGCAAGGCGATTCAATGCTTCAAAATAATTAGGTACATTCAATAACAGTCAAGATAGCAAGCAAGTGAAATGCAGTGATTTCTTTATCTAGATTATTCTATAGTATGTATTTCTCAAAGAAGAAACAAAGAAAATTTATTATTAAAACACTTATGACATCAAATAGAGTTCTATTAAATGCCTTAAATTACGTCACAAAAATTTTTCCTTATAATTCTGATTATATCATAAATCATCCTAAATTGTATCACTATCTTTCACAAATGTCTGTAAGGATGTCTTATTAAGAAACACTTGTGAAGTACACAGTCCAGAAACAGAGGCTTGCTAAAAGACTGAAATCTAATAATAGAACTATAGAAAGCTTTTCCTTCCCCCAACCTTACCACTATATCAGTAAAAACCTACTTACAACAGTTATTTTTACCACATGCATTACATCCAGCTATCAAGAAAAAATATAAGACATAGCAAAGGTGAAATAAAAATAAAAACAAAAGCCCCCACAACTTGAAGAAATAGAGCAAGCATTAAAGTAGACACGTCAGGGAGGTTGAAACTATCAGCTCCAAAATTTAAGACAATTGAAACTAATATTTTAAAGGCTCTAATGAGTAAAGTAGGAAGCATGAAAGAACGCTGGGCAATGTAAACAGAGAGATGTAAACAGAAGATAGGCAATGTAAACAGAGAGATGGAAATCCTAAGGAAAAAAAAAAAGAAATGAGAGAGATCAAAGACATTGAAATGAAAATGAATAATTCCTTTGATAGACTTATTAGTAGACCAGATGTGTCCAGTATGAAGAAAGTATCTTTGAGCTTGAGGATATATCAATAGAAATTTCAGAAACTGAAAAGACAACAAAAAATAGAAAAAAAATAACTAACAGAATATCCAAAGACTCTCAGAACTACAATAGGTGTAACAGAAACATTGGAAATACAAGAAAGAGACTAAAATACAGAAGAAATATTTGAAACAATACTGACTGAGAATTTTTCCAAATTAATGTCAGACACCAAACCACAGATCCAGGAAGCTATGAGAAAACCAAGCAGGATAAATGCAAAAAAAAAAAAAAAAAAAGAAAATACACCTAGGAATATTATTTTCAAATTACAGAAAATCAAAAATCAAAATAAATCCTGAAAGAAGCCCAGGGGCAGGACAGAACATACCCCTTACCTATAGAGGAAAACAGATAGGAATTACATCTGACTTGCCCTCAGAAATTATGTGAATTAGAGGAGAATAGAACAAAATATCTAAAGTGTTGAGTGAAAAAGAAACAACACCAGTGTAGAATTCTGTGTTGAGTAAAATTATTCTTCACAAGTGAATCTAAAAAGACATTTTAGACAATCAAAAATTGAGGCAATTTGCTGCCAGTAGATCCACCTTGAAAGAAATGTTAAAATAATTTCAGTAGAGAGAAAAAAAATTATATAGGGTACAAATTCTAATTTACATAAGGAAATGAAGAGAATTGATTGAAGAAGGAATAAGTGATGTTTAGAATCAATTATTCTTAATCTATCAGATAGTTATTTGTTCAAAATAATAAAAGCAACCATGTATTTGCTTATGTATGCTAATGTATAAACATATATGCCTATGACAAGTAGAATGAATGTCAGCAAAGATGCAAGATGTAGGAGTAAGGAATTAATGTTTTTTTCTTACTATATGTTACCTTCACAATGTTGAAATGGTATGATGCTATTTGAAAGTGGGCTTATATTAGTTGTGAATGTATGTTGCAAACTCTAGAGCAACCACTAAAAAAATTTTAAAAAACACACAAAACAGTATAGCTAATATCTTAAGAAAGGAGAGAAAATTGAATCATATATAATGCTCAATTAAAGCCACAAAAGTCAGAGAAGAGTGGAAGTCAAAGAAAAAAAACAAAGAACGAAGACTACAAATGGAAAACAGTAAAAGAAAGCAAATATTAATCCAATTATATCATTAATCATGTTGAACATCAATGATCTAAGTACCCCAACTATTTAGATAGAGATTGTCATAGTGGATCAAAAATAATACTCAGCTATATGTTGTCTAAAATAAACCTATTTTAAATACATAGACACATATAGATTAATAGTGAACATTTGGAGAAAATATATGATGCTAACAATTGAAAGAAAGTAGGAGTAGCTATATTAATTTCAAGCAGAGCAGACTTCAAGCAAGAAAAGTTATCAGAGATAATGAAGGGCATTATATAATAATAAAGAGGTCAATTTCTCAAGAAGAAAACATAATCCCTTACATATATGTGAATAACAATAGAGCTTCAAACTGTGTGATGCAAAAACTAGTAAAAATGCAAGGACAAATGGGTGAATGCGGTAACATATTGGGAACCTCACCACCCTTATTTTAGAAGTGGATATATCAAGCAGGCAAAAAATCAGTAAGGACATATGTTAACAACACCATCAAACCACTGATATCCATATAGATTATTTCAATAAATATGTTAGACTACTTTATCCAATAATAGAAGAATACACACTCTTCTCAAGGTCTCACTTGCTCTTCAACAAGATAAACCACATTTTGGGCCATAAAGCAGACAGACTGTAAACATTAAAAACAATAAATCATACAATATCTGCCCTCACAACAAAATAAAATTAAACTAGAAATTCATTATGAAAAGATAATTGGAAAATACCAAAATACATTGAGATTAAACAAGACACTTCTAAATAATGCATTAAAAAAATTCTCAAGAGAATATTTGAAAATTTTAAAAATAAAAATAAAAGCACACCTTGTAAATTTTGTGGGATGTAGTGAAACCGTACTGAGAAGAACATTTACAGCATTGGATACATATATTAGAAAATATGAAAGATCTAGGCAATACCATTCAGGACATAGGCATGGGCAAGGACTTCATGTCTAAAACACCAAAAGCAATGGCAACAAAAGCCAAAATTGACAAATGGGATCTAATTAAACTAAAGAGCTTCTGCACAGCAAAAGAAACTACCATCAGAGTGAACAGGCAACTTACAGAATGGGAGATAATTTTTGCAATCTACCCATCTGACAAAGGGCTAATATCCACTAATATCCAGAATCTACAAAGAACTTAAACAAATTTACAAGAAAAAAATCAAACAACCCCATCAAAAAGTGGGTGAAGGATGTGAACAGACACTGCTCAAAAGAAGACATTTATGCAGCCAACAGACACATGAAAAAATGCTCGTCATCACTGGCCATCAGAGAAATGCAAATCAAAACCGCAATGAGATACCATCTCACACCAGTTAGAATGGCAATCATTAAAAACTCAGGAAACAACAGGTGCTGGAGAGGATGTGGAGAAATAGGAACACTTTTACACTGTTGGTGGGACTGTAAACTAGTTCAACCATTGTGGAAGACAGTGTGGAGATTCCTCAAGGATCTAGAACTAGAAATACCATTCGACCCAGCCATCCCATTACTGGGTATATACCCAAAGAATTATAAATCATGCTGCTATAAAGACACATGCACATGTATGTTTATTGTGGCACTATTTACAATAGCAAAGACTTGGAACCAATCCAAATGTCCATCAATGATAGACTGGATTAAGAAAATGTGGCACATATACACCATGGAATGCTCTGCAGCCATAAAAAATGATGAGTTCATGTCCTTTGTAGGGACATGGATGAAGCTGGAAACCATCATTCTCAGCAAACTATCGCAAGGACGGAAAACCAAACACCGCATGTTTTCATTCATAGGTGGGAACTGAACAATGAGAACACTTGGACACAGGATGGGGAACATCACACACCAGGGACTGTCGTGGGGTGGGGGGAAGGGGGAGGGATAGCATTAGGAGATATAACTAATGTAAATGACGAGTTAATGGGTGCAGCACACCAACATGGCACATGTATGCATATGTAACAAACCTGCCCGTTGTGCACATGTACCTTAGAACTTAAAATATAATAATAAAAAATAAAAGAACATTGGGGCAAATCCGATTACTGTTACCAAGGTAACACAAGAAAAGTTCCTCAAACTAGGAAAATCTACTATTTACTGAGGCTTGTTTTCTTTTTTTGTATCTGCACTAGTGATTGACCACTGTTTTAGAAATATCATTTCCACCTTATATGTATATTTTTAATATTAAGAATGAGTAAAATAAAACCATATGAATTATAGGGTCAAAAAAAAAAAGGAATGAAATTCTGACACATGCTACAACATGGTGAAACCTGAAGACATTATGTTAAGTTAAACTAGCCAGACACAGAAAGACAAATATTGTATAATTCCTCTTATATGAGATACTTAGAATAGGCAAATTCATACAGACAGAAAGTACAGGAGAGGATACCAGAGGCTGGGGAATGGAGAAATGAGGTGTTATTGGTTAATGGGTACAGAGTTCTTATTAGGGATGATGAAAAAGTTCTGAAAACAGATAGGGGAGATGATTGTGCAACATTGTAAATATACCTAATGCCACTGAGTTATAGACTTCAAATGGTTAAAAGGGTAATTTTATGTTATGTATCTTATACAATTAAAAAGCTCAAAAAATAAAGCTTGGGAATTTTTTTTTTAAAAAAAGAAAAAGAAAACATGAAAGATCTAAAATCAATAGCCTAAGCTTCCAACTTAAGGAAATAGAAAAAGGAAGGCAAATTCAATCCAAAATATGTAGAAAATAAATAAACAATAAGAATTAGAGCAGAAACAGAAACTGAAGTTTAAAATGAGAAATCAATAGAGAAAATCACTGAAAATACAAACTGCTACTTGGAAAGGATTTATAAAATTGATTAACATCAAGCCAGGTTAACTCCAAAAAAAATACAAATGACTAATATTGGATCTGAAACATGAGACCGCAACAGATTGTATGAACATTAAAAGGATAATAAAATAGTATTCTATGACTCATTCTATGTCCACAAATCTGATAAGAGATAAAATAAATCAATTATTTGAAAGACACAATTTGCCAAAACTCACACAAGAAGAAATAGACAATCTGAGCAAGTCTGTAGGTATTAAATAAATTGAATAAATAATTGATAACTTTCCAAAATAGAAAGCACAAGGCACAGACAGGATAACTGGTGAATTCTAACAAACATTTAAGGAATAAATTATTCAAATTCTCTACAATCTCTTTTAGAGAATAGAAACAGAGTGAATATATTCTAACTCA
This sequence comes from Homo sapiens, assembly GCF_000001405.40. Lineage (NCBI taxonomy): Eukaryota > Metazoa > Chordata > Mammalia > Primates > Hominidae > Homo > Homo sapiens. Next base: position 64,509,027 of record NC_000004.12, read on the forward strand.
TTCTAGGAGGCCAGCATCATCCTAATACCAAAGTCAGACTAAACAATCTCAAGTAAAGAAACTACAGACCAATATCTCTCAAAAACATAGATATAGAAATTATAAACAAAATATTAGCATATTAAATCCAACAATATCTAAAAAATTATGCACCACAACCAAGTAGGATTTTTATAATTTTTTAAATGTGACTACATAGTAGCTTCATGTATTTACAGGTTACATGAGATATTTGGAAACACACATGCAATGCACAGCAATCACATGAGGTTGACTAGAGCATCCATCACATTAAGCATTTATCCTTTGTGTTATAAATGATTCAATTATACTTTTTAAATTATTTTAAAATGTCCAATTAAATTAGTTTTTACTATAGCCACCTTTTTTTTTTTTTGCCACCAAATACTGGGTCTTAGTTATTTTAACCATTTCCCCTTACATTCCACTCTCTCTGGCTACACTTTCCAGCCTCTGGTAACCAACCTTCTACTCTCTACTTCCATGAGTTAATTGTTTTTATGTTTAGCTCCCAGAGAAAAGTGAGAAAATGTGACGTTTGTCTTTCTGTGCCTGGCTTATTTTATTTAACATAAAGACCTGCAGTTCCATCCACGTTGCTGCAAATGACAGGATCTCATTCATTTTTACGGCCAAATAGTACTCCATTGTGTGTACGTGGCACATTTTCTTTATCCATTTATCTGTTGATGGACATGTAGGCTGCTTCTAAATCTTGGCTTGAGAATAGTGCTGCAATAAACATGAGCGTACAGATATCCCCTCATTATTCTTTCTTGCTTTTGGGTATATACCTATAAGTGGGACTGCTGGATCATATGGTATCTCTATTTTTAGTTTGTAAGGAATTTCCAAACTGTGTTTCATAATGGTTGTACTAACTCACATTCCCACCAACAGCAAACAAGTGTTCTCTTTTCTCCACATTTTTGCCAGCATTGGTTATTGCCTGTCTTTTGGAGGAAAGCCATTTTAACTGTGATGAGATGGTATCTCGTAGTTTTGACTTGCATTTCTCTGATGATCAAAGATGGTGAGCACTTTGTCATATTCCTGTTGCCATTTGTATATCGTCTTTTGAGACATGTATTCAGATTCTCTGGCCGTTTTAAATCACGTTATTAGATTTTTTTTCCCTCTATTTTTGTTTGGGTTTCTTATATATTCTGGTTATTAATTCTTTGTCAGATGGGTAGTTCGCAAATATTTTCTTCCATTCTGTAGGCTGTCTCTTCATATTGCTGATTGTTTCCTTTGCTGTTCAGAAGCTTCTTAACTTGAGGCCAGGCAAAAGTGGGTCATGCCTGGAATTTCAGCACTTTGGGAGGCTGAGGCAGGCGGATCACTTGAGGCTAAGATTTCAAGACCAGCCTGGCCAACATGGTGAAACCCGGTTGCTACTAAAAATACAAGATAATTACCTGAGCATGGTGGCACACGCCTGTAATCCCTGCTACTTAGGAGGCTGAGGCATGAGAATTGCTTGAACCCAGGAGGCGGAGGTTGCAATGAGCTGAAGTCACGCCACTGCAATCCAGCCTCGGCGACAAAGCCAGACTCTGTCACCAAAAAAAAAAAAAAAAAGGGTTCTTAATTTCTTAATTTGATTTGGTTGCCTATGCTTGTAAGGTACTGCTCAAGAAGTCTTTGCCCACTCCAATGTGTTGGAGAGTTTTTCCAGCATTTTCCTTAGTAGGCTCATAGTTGGAGGTCTTATAAGTGTTTAATCCATGTGGATTTGATTTTAGTATGTGGCAAGAGATAGAGGTCTAGTTTTATTCTTATGTATATAGATATACAGTTTTCCCAGCACCATTAATCAGAGAGACTGTCATTTCTCCAATGTATGTTCTTGGAAACTTTGTCAAAAATGAGATCATTGTAGATGTATGGATTTATTCCTGGGTTGTTCATTCTGTTCTACTGGTCTATGTGTCTGTTTTTATGCCCATACCATGCCATTTTGGTTACTATAGCTCTGGAGTATAATTTAAAGTGAGGTATTGTTTTTCCTCCAGTTTTGCTCAAGATAGCTTTGGCTATTCTGAGACTTTTGTGGATCCATACAAATTTTCGGATTGTTTCTATTTCTGTGAAGAATGTCATTGGTCTTTTGAAAAGGATTGCATTAAATTTGTAGATTGCTTTGGGTAGTAGGAACATTTTAACAATATTGATTCTTTAAATCCATGAACATGGAATATCTTTCCATTTATTTTCTGTACTCTTCACCATTTTAAATTCTCTTTTTGTGGGCCAGTGTCACCTGAGTTTATTCCAGATTGCTTTCTGCTATGACAGGGCAACTTTGAGTTCAATGCAACGTCTCACAATTGCCTCACTCTCCTTCTCCAAAGTATTCAGAATCTCTCTCTGCACCATGCCCCTACTGCCAGAGGATGGGGGAGGGATGGCATTGGCAATTCAAGAATGTTTTTTATCTACCTCTTTAGTGCCTCTTTTAGTGATATGAAGTTAAAACTATGTACAGTGAGTGCTCACCTATTTTTTTTATTTTTACAAAAGTGGTTTTCTTGTGTAAATAACTGTTAAATTGGTATTCTTTCAGGGGAATGATTGGTGGGGACTTCTATTCTGCCATTTTGCTCTGTCTCCAAGAATCTCCAGTAGGATTTATCTCAGGTATGCAAGGCCATTTCAGCCTTTGAATATCACCTAATGGAACCCATCATACCAACAGTGTAAAAAATAAAATTTACATGATAATAAGAATAGACATAGAAAAAGATTAGCAAAATTTAATACCCACTCATGACTAACAACTCTCAGGGAATTAGAAATAGTGGAGAACTTCATCAACTTGATAGAGAATATCTACAAAAACATACAGCTAACATCATACTTAATGATTAAAAACTGGAGGCTTTCTCACTGAGATCAGAAGTAAGGCAACAATGTATCCTCTCACTGCTCCTTTTCAATATTATATTGGAAGTAGTAACTAATATAATTACACAATAAAATATATAAATATTTGGAATAAATTAATAAAATTATATTTGTTCACAGAAGACATGATTGCATATGTACAAAATCTGAAAGAATTGACAAAAAAGAAACTATCAGAGCTAATAAGCAATTATAGCAATATCGTAAGATACAAGGTAAATGTACAAATGTCTATTGTTTTCCTATATGCCAACAAGGAACAAGTGGAATGTGAGATTAAAAACACAATACCATTTACATTAGCAACCAAAAAATATTATAAGGTGTACGTCTAACAAGATAGATACAAGAACCATATGAGGAAAATGAAAGAACTCTGATGAGAAAATCAGAGAAAAATTAATAAATGGAGATATAGTTTATGTTCCTGAACTCCAATCAAAATCTCAGAAAGTCACTGAGTGAATACGGACAAACTGATTCTAAAGTTTATAAGGGAAGACAAAAAGACTCAGAATGTCCAAAACAATACTGAAGTACAAAAAAAAAAAAAAAAAAAAAAAGACATAGAACTGACACTACCCAATTTCAAGGCTTAATATAAGGCTATGCTAATTAAGCCAGTGTGATACTGGTGAAATAATAGACAAATAGATCAACGGTACATAATATAGAGCCCAGAAATAGACCCATATAAACACAATCATTACAGCTTTGACAAAAAGACCAAAGGCAAAACAGTATCAGAGGTCACATTTTCAACAAATGATGCTGGAATGACTAAATATCTACATGCCAAAGGAATACATGTAGACACAGACCTCACACCCTTCACAAAAATTAACTTAAAATAAATTATAAAGTTAAATGTACAATACAATGCTGTGAAACTTGTAGAGTAAATGGCATAGGAGAAAATCTAAAACTAATATTTTTAACATGAGATTGAACAATCTAGCTTTTTGGTATTAAATGAAAGGAGTTCAAAACATATCTACAAAAAAAACTTGCAACCAATATTTATAGTAGCTTTATTTATAATTGCCAAAACATGGAAGTAACCAAAATGTCCTTCAATAGGTGAATGGATAAATAAACTGTGATACATCCAGATAATGGAAGAGTAGAAATGTAATTACACATTACTGTGTGAATAAAAGGCTACATGCTGTATAATTCCATACATATGATATTTTAGAAAAGGAAAAACTGTGGATACAGTAAAAAAGATCAGTGGTTACCAGGGCACTGGGGTTAGGGATGAATAGGTAGAGCATTGAAGATATTTTATGCAGTAAAGATGTTCTATATGACCCTATAGTCGTGGATATATATCATTATACATTTGTTCAAATTCATGGCAAGCACAACACCAACAGTCAAACCTAATGTAAACTATGGACTTTGGGTGATTAGGATGTTTCAATGTAAGCTCAACAATTGTAATATATATACCATTCCTGTGGGGGATGTTAATAATGGGGGAGGTTATACCTGTGTGAATATATGGGTTATCTCTGTACCTTCCTCTCAATTTTTTTGTGAATCTAAAACTGCTCTAGAAATAAAAAGTATTTAAGAAATACTAGCTTATTTGGTATTCAGCATGTTCATAGATAAATCTGTACATGTTTCCAGCTTCCTAGAAAATCTACCCTACTATAGCAGTAAATTTTGGCCCATTTAAATTTTATGATAATGTTTAGTTGTTTACCTGATGTAAAAGAGGAACCACGTATTTTATGTGATTTAATTTGTTTGATATCACTTGTAAAACACTCAAAAGTAATTTAGTAGAAATAAATGTTTGCTTTGGCTTAAGAGAGTATATTGACACTATAATTTCTAAATTCTTTTCAGTTCTGGAATATGATCTATAGGCTATTTCACGTACATTCTCAACCTCATGCATTGATGCCTTCCAAAAATAAACTAACACTTAATGTCATGATCTCTACAAGAATTATTGTATTCTCTCTATATATAATTTTATAAACTGCTTACCTTATATATAAAATTTAATTTTTTAATATTTTAACATTTATTTTTCTTTTTCTTTTTTTTTCTTTTTTTTTAGATGGAGTTTTGTTCTTGTTGCCCAGGCTGGATTGCAATGGCATGATCGTGGCTCACTGCGACATCCACCTCCTGGGTTCAATCAATTCTCCTGCCTCAGCCTCCCGAGTAGCCTGAGTAGCTGAGATTATAGGTGCGCACCACCATGCCTGGCTAATTTTTGTATTTTTAGTAGAAAAACAGAGTTTCACCATGTTGGCCAGGCTGGTCTCAAAACTCTTGACCTCAGGTGATCCACCCACCTCGGCCTCCTAAAGTGCTGGGATTACAGGCATGAGCCAGCGTGCCCAGTGAAAGATTCATTTTTCCACAGAGGCCAAAAGAGACTTTTCTTCTTTACCACATATTATATATTGAAGATGAAAGCTGTCGAAATGGAGAAGCTACAGTTATCAAAGTCCATAAGGCAATTATAACTTTAACAAACAAATATAATCCAAATAATTGTAAAATTTAGTGTCTCTCAATCAACAAAACTGCAAAATATATCCAGTCAATCACGATAATCCACTTTTCCCAATTGCACTTATTTCCTCAGGTTTGGAACATGCGTAGGTTTTTCATTTATCATAAACATAATATATAGTAGTTATACATGGGGAACGACTTTTATCCTTGTCTTTAAACATGAACCACTCCATGTCCCTTACTTCATGCTGACCTACTTTTCATTCCAAGAGTATACTATGTCAAAAATGACTGATAAAAACTCATTCTAGTTTTAAATAATTTCTCCAAACCTACTGCCTAATCTTAGCTTCTCTAGACCTGTAGAGACATTGTCATCAGTAAAGTAAAATTCACATTATGGCTAACAAAAGTGAAGCATCCTAGGCCAGCAAGAATAATAAAGGCCATATCCCCATCTAATTTCCATGTATTTCTCATTGAATGGATGTTATATTTATAATAAGAAAATTATTGGTTATATGCAAATAGATGTATTAGAGCATAAGGCTATGACACAGATGCTGTGAGTTCACACCTTTGCTCTGTCATTTATTAATTGTGTGGCCTTAGATAATGTTTTTATCTTCTTTGTGCCTACTATTCCATTTTTAAAAGGTGGAAATTATATTAGTGCCTAACTCATTGAATTATTTCAGACAATAAGTGAGAAACTACAGATTGTTTAGAATATTCTTAAATCCAAAATAAGCATTCAACAAATGCTATTATATAATTTTTATTTTGCTTATTATTATAATTATAGAGTATGATACAGCCGTAACAGGGAGATCTTTATTTGCTCAGATGTAACAAATCTCTAAGTCACAAAAACCACCTTTACTCTCTTAGATAAGAAAGAACAATTTGTAGGAGGATCCTTGAAAGAATTAAAACTAGTTTTTAATATCTTATTTGTTTTGTTTTTGGTTGGCCTACAAGGGCCAGTGTCTCACGAAAATGTGTTTCTGTGGAATGAGAAAAAGTTCATCAGAATCCAATGAAACAAGGAACTCAAATGAAATTGAAGCATGCTTCTGGAGTTAATTAACAAGTAATAAGGAGAATAGCATCAAAATCTTGGGCTCTGGTTAGGTATTAATAAAATAGTATTGAATGCTTTACTTTCTAAATAGAATCTTTTCAAGAAGTTCATATTTTTCTTAATTGAACCTTTTGCTCATTACATGATTTAGTAAGACTCTTGGCTTATTTTGCCTGTTGTTTTCTTTTCTAATTTTGTGTAGATTATCAGATTATGTCAGCTATGCCAAAAAGAAACAACAAAATGTACTTAGCATTCTTTATTTTTTAAATTTAAAGTATATAAAACTTGTTTTTAACAGAATTATTAATATATAATACACATACCATCAAATTCACCATTTTAAAATAAAACTAAGTGATTTTTAGTATATTCAGAGTTGTATGGACATCACTAAAATATAATTTTAGGAGATTTTGGTAATCACAGAAAAAAACTTTATATCTATTAGCAGTAAATCCTCATTTTCCCCTTCCCCTGGCCTCTGGAAACCACTAATCTACTTTCTGTCTTTATGGATGTACTTACTCTAGACACGTAATAAAAATGAAATTGTACGATATGTTATCTTTTATAGCTCACTTCTTTCACTTACTGTAATTGTTTTAAGGTTCATCTAAATGGTATAATGCATCAGTACCTCAATCCTTTTTATTGCTGAACAATATTATGTTGAATAGATGAAACACTTTTTTTTACCTATTCATCATTCCATGGTTATTTGTTTTCTTTCTACTTTTTGACTACTGTGAATAATACTGCTGTGAATATGAATGTACATCTTTTTGTGTGGACATAAGTTTTACTTCTTGTTGCTATATAATTAAGAGTTAAATTGCTGAGTCATATGATAACTCTACAGTTAACATTGGGAAAAACTGAAAAATTATTTTTCATGATGGTGATCTCATTTCCTTTCCTCAACAGCAATTAATGACTGTTCGATTTTCTCAATATTCTTGCCAACATTTGCTACCCTCTATCATTTTTATTATTGTCATTTTAGTGTGTGAAATAGTATCTCATTGTAATTTTTATTAACATTCCACTAATGAATAATGATGTTGAGCGTATTTTTCTGTGCTCATTAATCATTTGCATAACTTCCTGGAAGAAAATGTATACGTAAAAACTTTGCTAATTTTTAAATTGGGTTATCTACCTCTTAATTGTTGAGTTGTAGTATTTTTTAAAATCACAATTTTAATTGATGATGGAAAGCGAAAGTTTGATAGTAACAATGAATTAAGAGATCCAATATAATAATAAAGCAAAATAACTATTATTTACATATTCTGGTAAATAAATGTGGACATTAATTAATTTACTCAATAAGTAGTTACAGAGTACCTTCTATTTCCAAAACACTTATCTTAACATTGAGCTTACAGTGGTGATATGCCTTTTAGGGCTTCCATTGTTGACAAATAAGGATATGAATTAAAAGTATCTATTCTGTTGCTAATACTCACCTAGTAATAAACAACAGCAAAAACAACAAAAAAATGGTCATAATCAGGTAGATAAAACCGCTCTGTTGAGATGACATCGATCTGAGATTTTAAAATAACAACCTTTTAAAGAGGCAGTGGCGATCATTTTGGGCATTAGCAAAAGCAACGAAAGGTACTAAGGCAACAAAATGATTGATAGGGTTAAGGAAGAAAAATAAGAGGGCTGGTATGGTAGTAATTTAGATTTAGTAGGGAATAGACAAAATAAAATATTCAATGGAAGATCACATAATGCTTTGTGTTCTATGGTTAGGAATTCAGATTTTCTTCTATTAAATTGTGTGAGAAGCTATTAAGAAATTTTAAACAAGGGAATAAAATCTCCTTGTGAAAAGATCACCTTTTCTATAATTCGGTAAATAGTTAAGGGAACAAAAAAGTAGAAGCATAGAGGTGATGAAGGAGGTTATATAATAATCAAAGAAGGAGATGTTGCCCAGGACTCTGGTGGTGATGATAACAGCATAACCTCGGGGACAGATTTGAAAGCTATTTTGGAGGTAGAGCTCATGGACTGGCTGATTAGAGGATGATGTGAAAGGTGAAGGAAATGAAAGTATTCCAGATGAATCCAATTTACATTGCTTGTATCTTTTACCTTTATATATACATATTCTCATTGCAACCTCCGCCCCCCGGGGTTCAAGCACTTCTCGTGCCTCAGTCACCAGAGTAGCTGGGATTATAGGCGTGGGCCACCATGACTTGCTAATTTTGTGTTTTTAGTAGTGATGGGATTTATCATGTTACCCAGGCTGGTCTGGAACTCCTGTCCTCAAGTGATCCACCCACCTTGGCCTCCCAAAGTGCTGGTATTACAGGCATGAGCCCCTAAGCTTGGCATAAAAAATATATTTTATATTGTATCAGAGTGAATTATTAGTGGTGCTTTTTACTTAATCAGGGGAAGGAAGATACTTAATGTTGATTTAGTAAGGAAGGTGATTTTCTTCCACAAAACCATCTTTCAATCAAAAGCCCAATAGAAGTACAATTTGGAAGCCTACTTATGTATTACCCAGACAGAAATATTCTAGATTAACATCTTCTTCCACAAATTTGGGGTTTTTTAATGCCTTCAATTAACCATAACTCATCCAAGAAACTAAAAACAATTCTTCATCAGAGCATGTAATATTCACTATGGTCTATTTAAATGATTAGCATAAATACTTCTTAAATGAGTCAGGCAGTGGCCAGATTGATGTTCAAACTCTACTTCTGTAATTCCTAAATGTTTAATTATCGTGGACCAGTTTTCTGTCCAAAGTGCTCCTGGAAAAATAACATAGTAAATGATCGAGGGTGGGAAGATATGGAATTCCTCAAACCTTTCTTTTCTTTAATAATCCTAAACTCTTGGCTTTAATGTCCACCTGTGATACCAGCTGATATGACAAATATCACATTATATTAAAATATAATATGAATTAAAATATCATATTATCTTCAAATATCTGAACCATAATCAGATTTTCCCAGATGTCAGGAGTATCTGACGTTAGGAGTAGCTAAATTTACTTTATTTGTATCCTTCTCCTTACTTGCTAGTGATTAGACGAGCAATTTTATCAGTGCCAAAGTATCAAAAATAACCAACAATGATTGTTGTAGTCACTGGAACAATAGCTCTAGAGCTGTAGTTTTCATCATCACACCATCCACTGAACTCTATCTTTGTTACATTCCTGGTAACAAATGCTTAAAATGCCATTTAATAAGAAGAGAATTGTGCAAAATTTGGACTGAGAGTCTGCTAAAGCGAACGTAAACTGAAACCGAAATTTGCTGCTTTGTGGAAAATATGCCTGTTGTAACAAATCTTGTATTAAAAATTTGTTTCCTCAAGATTGTTTTCTTTTCTATCAAACCCATGAAAGACCCAAATGGTCTATAAGAGAGGTTATTGATTGGATACAAGGTTTAGACTTAATCCTGTAATATCTGGGCCATAAATCAATTATAGAATATTCATAATAATGGGGAAAAACATTTATTAAGCAGAGGTGGAAGTATTTTGCCACAGTCTTCTCATCCAACCCTATTGTGTGGATTGATTAAATAATTGGATTTACCTACATCACTATTTTACAATTTGCTTGATGTATCTCTGATAGTTATTTCTTCTTCCTCAGATATTGTCACCCATTACAAACACTACAGATATTCCAGGCCCTACTTTGACTTAAATTAAACTGAATAAATATTAGGCAAGATGATCAGATATACTATTCAATGCTTTTAAAAAAGATAAAGCAGGTGGAAAACTATAAAGGAGAGTTTTCTTTTCATTCATAAATATTCTTTTATTCAGTCATTTTTAGTGATTTGTATCTCAGAAGCAGAGCTGATTTGCTAGAACACTTCTTTATCATAAGCAACAGAAACTCAACACTAGTTCAAGCCATATACATACACAAATACTGGTTTGTGTGGTTGGGATTTATTGACTTACATAACTAAATTGGAAAAAAGGAAATGGTCCCCAAGTTCAGAGACTTGAAAGCCACCATGATTCTTTCTATCACTTGATTGTTTCTTTCTATCTGTTGGCTGCATTCTCTTCTATTGTAGCTTTTATCTATATTGATAGGCAACTGTGCAGTGAACACGTGGTTGTTGTGAGAGGGAATATATAGCCAGTGAAACTCAACTATTATAATCATGCTACTTGATTATTAAAATTGAAATAGTTATTTCTCCAAGCTCCATTTTAAAATAATCCTGGAATAGGACTTTAATTCACTCAGCATCTTTGCAGTCCTGATCAAAACCTGGTGGCAAAAAGAATGAAATATCAACACTGGCTTAACTTAGATGATGTGCTGACAACTTATACCCAACCATAAGATGAAGAACAAATGCAATCATGTTAAGAAGATATCAGCTCCTATTTGACAAATGTAGTAAAAGAATGAGGAAAGTAAGTTTTTCTAAAGAAGAGAATCTGAAGTTTCTGGAGAACTGGTGGTTGTCACTGAAACCATTGCCCTGTTGCTAGAGCACAGATTGTTGGGCAATAACAATAAAAAATGTCCACACAAAGGGCTGGCTGTCACTAATAAAGAAAAACATATTGACAAGCTCACAGAATTTGATCACTTCAGAGCACTTGATGCAAACCGAGAAAGAAAAAAAAAAGTAAGTAAATAAATAGAGATAAAAGGGGCCTAAACTAGATCTCTTCCTCACAAGTATTAGTTATTTATGTTAGTAGGTAGAAAATATTTTCAACATTTCATATAATTCTTAAAATATAAAGGGATTTTATTTGCTTAGCAAAATATTTTGCTTCTGTTTTGTTTGAGATACTTCTTAGGTACGCTTTCTAATGTGAACGTCAAAATAATTTTCATACCTAGATTTAATTTGAAGTTTCTAAGTCTGTCTAAAAATACTAATTACCTAGACTCTCCACAGCACTTTTGGAAGGTAGAAGATAACTGTATTTCTCTTTTACAGATGAATGACCCAGAGGCAGAGAGCTTAAGTGTCTTTGTAAAAACCATACAGTCATTCATGTGTAGAAGCAAGCGTTTACTGTAAGCATGGCCACTGCCTGTTTTTTTAACCATCAGCTTAACTGCCGCTTGTTAAGTAGAAGAGGTAGTGATCCATGCCCTCTATTTCCTTCCATTTAATTATCTGGAATCAGACTGGACTCTGAGACCATTGCCTTTTGAATTTATTTTTAAAAGCTCATATTTGAAAGATTTTACAAAAATCTGATTCATGTATAAGAACCTGTTTTGTATTTGGGATAAATCCATGTCATTAAGAGAAATAAAGCTCAGGTAATAAATGTAAGAGAATTTTTACTTGGAACATGTCTGAATGTCTTGAAATTGATTTCACCAACAAAGTAAAATATCTAAGCAAATTCTTCTTAAAAGAAAAAATGGGTTAAGCACATAAAAAGAGCATTAAATGTCCTTATTCAAAAGTCAACTTCAAATGAACCCCTTATAAAACTACAAGAGCAGACTTTTAAATTAGACTAACATTAAACAGGTGCAACAAATATATGTGTCAATACTGTAGTGTTAAGACCTACCATGAAACTAGGATATATAGTAGAATGGCAGACCAATGAACTAGGAACTCTAGAGGTAACAATGATAGACAGCAGTATTAACAATATAGATATGGTTTTTAAATCTTTGATTCAGAATTGATTCTTAACTCCAAACCCACTAATTTAAAAAGAGAGGAAAGATGTTCAAAACAGACTGCACTATAATTGTTTATTTTCTGATTATAAAAAATATTTTTGTTCATTTTAATCTAAGATATTCTCAATAATCAATGTGTGTTTGTAAAAATGCCTATCAAGATGGAGTGATTAAAAATGCTAAATGTAAATTTACATTTTAATGGCATCAACTGTATATACAATGGTAGCAATTATATCTGAAAGTATAGTTAAAATATAATTTGATTGTAATTTAAAATAAGCACCATTTTTGTGTCATTAAGTTGACTAAAGTATTGATTTTGAAATTAAGAAAAAGGAAAACCTATGTTCAACAATAAGATCTGCCATCTGCAAGCTATGTTACATTGGGGAACTTGATGAACCTCTCTGAGCCAGGTTTCTCATATATAAAATGATAAAAAGATATGGTATTATGAAAACTGATTATGAAAACATATGTAAATAGCTTCCATAAATCATTATGTATAGCAACCATTTATGACTCCTAATATAACTTTTTGTTCCATTTTTGACTCATAATAATTGTATATATTTATGGGATAGAAAGCGATATTCCAAAACATATATGCAATTGTGTAAGCATCATCTCATGGTAATTAGCATATCCATCACTTTATACATATTTCACTTCTTTGTTGTGAGAGTATTCAAAATTCTCTCTACTAGGTTTTTGAAATATAGATCACCAATAATAAAGTTTGAGAAAAAAAGGGAATGTATTATACAATGCATAAATATTAGCTGCAGTCACTTTATTGTACAATAGAGCACCCAGAAATTATTTCTCCTAATTGTAACACTATACTTCTTGATCAACCTCTTCCCATCTTCCCCTCATCCTCTGTTCTCCCCAGTCTCTGTTAACCAATATGCTTTCAACTTTTATAAGATCAATTTTTTCCAGATTCCACACATGAGTGAGATCATATTGGTATGTGTCTTTCTGTGCCTGGCTTATTGCACTTAACGGATTTTTCTAGGCTCATCCATGATGTCACGAATAACAGGATTTCATACTTTTATAGCTGAGTGGTATTCTATTGTGTATATATCCCACATTTGCTTTATCCATTCATTCACTATTTGACACTTGGGTTGAATTCATATCTTGATTGTTGTAAATAATGCTGCAATAAACATGGAAGTGCAGAGATGTCTTTTTGACATACTGTTTTCATTTTCTTTGAATATATATTCAGAAGTGGGTTTGCTGAGTCATATGGTAGATCAATTTTAAAATTTGTGAGGAACTACTGTACTGTTATTTGTAATGGATGCACAGTCCACAGTGTATACAAGTTCTCCTTTCTCACAGCCTCACCAGTATTTTTTTGTTTTCTGTTTTGTTTCATTTTGTCTTTTTCACAGTAGCCATTTTAACTGGGGTGAGGTGATATCTCATTTTGGTTTTGATTTGTATTTTCCTTATGGCTAGTAATATTGAGAATTTTTTATATCCCTGTTAGCAATTTGTAAGCCTTCTTTGAAGAAATGTCATTTTTTAGGTCTTTTGCCAATTTTTTTTTTATCAGATTACATTATTTTCTTTTGCTGTTGAGTTTCTTGAGTTCCTTATAAGTTATACATGCTAGCCAGCACAGAGGCTCACATCTGTAATCCCAGCACTTTGGGAGGCTGAGGAAGGTAGATCATGGGGTCAAGAGATTGAGACATCCTGGCCAACATGGTGAAACCCCATCTCCACTAAAAATACAAAAATTAGCTGGGCATAGTGGCGTGCACCTGTAGTCCCAGCTACTTGGGAGGCTGAGACAGAAGAATTGCTTGAACCCAGGAGGCGAAGGTTGCAGTGAGCTGAGATCATGCCACTGCACTCCAGCCTGGCAACAGAGTGAGACTTCATCTCAAAAAAAAAAAAAAAAAAAAAAAGATAAAAGAAAAAAAATTATACATACTAACCTTTGTCAGATTATGTCAGATTAATAATTGGCAGATATATTTTTTCCTATTCTGTAGGTCCTTTCTTCACTCTGTTGATTTTTTTTTTTTTTTTTGCTGTGTGAAAGATTTTAGTATAATTTTGCTTATTTTTGCTTTTGTTGTTCATGCTCTTGAGGTCTTATCTAAAATATTTTTGCCTAGACCAATGTCATATAGCATTTGTCTTACATGTTTTTCTAGTAGTTTCATTAGTTTTTGTTATACATTTAATTTTTTAATTATTTTGAGTTTATTTTAATATATGATGAGAAATATTGGTTTAGTATTACTATTTTACATGTATATATGCAGTATTCCCAGTGTCATTCATTGAAGAAATGGTCCTTCTCCTATGCGTGCTCTTGGCACCTCTGGCAAAAATAAGGTGACTGTGAATATGTGGATTTATTTCTGGGCTTTCATTCTGTTGTTCTATGTGTTTGTTTTTATGCCAATACCATGCTGTTTGGGCTACTATGGCTTTGGAGTATATTTTGAAGTCAGGTAGTATAATGGCTTTATCTTTGTTCTTTCTGCTGAAGATTGCTTTGGCTATTGGGGGTCTATTGTGGTTTTCTAAAAATTTTACTTTTTTTTCTATTTATGTAATATTAAAATTACATAATTTAATTTAATATTAAATTAAAATAATGTAGTTTATTCTATTTACATAATATTAACATTCTGATAAGAATTGCATTAAATCTGTAGATCACTTTAGGTAGTGTTAATATTTTAACAATATTAACTTTTTCAATCTATGAACATGATATATATTTCCATTTATTTGTGTCCTTTTCTATTTCTTTCATCAATGTTTTATAGTTTTTTCTTTGTTAAATTTATTCCTTGATATCTTCCTTTCCTTGGTTAAATTTATTCCTATGTATTTTATTACTTTTGTAGCTGTTGCAAATAAAATTGGTTTCCTCATTTCTTTTCAGATAGTTTGTTATTGGTGTATAAAATGCTACTAATTTTTGCATGTTGGTTTTATGTCCTTTTTATTGTATTTGTTTATTAGTTCTAACAGTTTTTTATGGAGTCTTTAGGGTTTTTTATATATAAAATTATGTCATCTGCAAACAGGCATTATATTACTTTCTTATTTCCAGTTTGGGTGTCACTTCTTTTTCTTGCCTAATTGCTCTGACTAGGACTTCCAGTATTATACTGAATAGCAATGGTAGAAGTGGGACCCTGAAACTTGTTCCAGATCTTAGAGGAAAAGCTTTCAACTTTTCCCCATTCAGTATGATGTAGGCTCTGGGTTTATCATATATGGGCTTTATTATGTTGAGGACATTTCTTATTATACCAAATGTTTTACAAATTCTTATCATTAAAATGTATTAAATTTTGTCTATGCTTTTTCTGTGTCCATTAAAATGATCATATAATGGTTGCCCTTCATTATATTAATGTAGTGTATCACATTTACTAATACGTGTATGTTAAACCTTACTTGCATCTCTGGGACAAATTCTACTTAATCACAGTGAATGATCTTTTTAACATGCTGTTGAATTTGAATTGCTAGTATTTTGTTGAGGATTTTGCATCTGTATTTATTATGGAAATTGATGTGTATGCACTATTCTTTGTTGTTGTTGTGTCTTTGTCTGGTTTTGGTGTGAAGGTAATGCTGGCATTATAGAATAAATGTGGAAGACTTTCCACCTTTTTAGTTTTTGGAATAGTTTACAAAGTATTAGTAATAGTTCCTTAAAAGTTTTTTAGACTTCAGCAGTGAAGTCATCAGGTCCTGGACTTGTCTTGATAAGAAAATTTTAATTACTGCCTCAATCTCAGTACTCATTGTTGGTTCCCACAGATTTTTCTATTTCTCATTGAGTCAGTCTTAGTAGGTTGCATATGTGTAGAAATTTATTTATTTCTTCTAGGATTTCCAACTTGTTGGTGTATAATTGTTCACAGTAGCTTCTTATGATTCTATATAGTCTATAGACATCAGGTGTAATGTCTCCTTTTTGATTTCTGATTTCATTTATTTGAGTCTCCTTTCTTTTTTCTTAATTTAGCTAAAGTTTTGCCAATTTTGTTTTTATTTTCAAAAAAAAGCCAATTTTTGATCTTTTATATTTTTTGGTCTGTAGTTTATTTGTGCTCTGATCTTTGTTATTTCTTTCCTCCTATTAATTTTATATTTAGTTTTTTCTTGTTTTTTTTTCCAGTTCCTTGAGTTATAACATTAGGTTGTTCATTTGTAATATTTCTTATTTTTTGATGCAGTCATTTGTTGCTATAAACTTCCCTCTAGGACTTATTTTGCTTTATGTCATAATTTTTGGGTTGCTGTGTTATGTTTTTATTTATCTCAAGAAAATTTTAATTTATCTTCCAATTTCTTCATTGTCTCAGTGGATGTTTAGAAGCATGTTGTTTAGTTTACATGTATTTGTACAATTTCTAAAATTTTTCCTGTTGTTAATTTCTAGTTTTATTTCATTATGATTAGAAAAGATAATTGACATTATTTTGATTTTTTTAAATTTTCCAAGACTTATTGTGGCCTAATATAATTAGTTTTGTACAGTGATCCAACTGTATTTGAGAAAAATGTAAATTCTGAAGCTATTGAATGGAATGTTCTGCAAATATCTGCTAAGTCCATTCAATCTGAAGTGCCCTTTAAATCCAAAGTTTTTTGTTAATTTTCTGTCAGGATTATCTGTTTATTGCTGAAAGTTGGGGGTTTAAATACCCTATTATTATTGTTGTCTATCTCTCCCTTTGATATACTAGTGTTTGCTTGATATATTTAGGTGTTCTGAAGTTGGATGTATATATATTTATGATTGTTCTTGTTGTATTGAGCATCTTTTTGTTATATACTGGCCTTGTTTGTCTCTTTTTATAAGTTTTAACTTAATTTATCTGATAAAAATGTAACTATTACTGCTATCTTTTGATTTCTATTGCATGGGATATCTTATTTCATTAATTACTTTTGGTTTATGCATGTCCTTAGTGGTGAAGTGAGTCTTTACAGGTAGCATATAGTTGAATCTGGCTTTTTATCTGTTTAACCACTTTATGTCTCTTGATTGATGAATTAGTTATTTATTCCAGTCTTTGTGGTCTGGGACTTTCGGTTACCATTCTGTTTTGGTGGGCTTTTTTAGAAATTCTGAGGCGACTGACTGTTGTATTCCTTTTTACTACTAGAGGGTTACCTTAGCCCAGGTGAGACATGAGTTGTTATGATTCTGCAGCTGATCCACAGAGAGCCTCCCACTTCTCAAGTCATTGAGAACTATGAACCATTGAGAACAATGAACTGGCTGTCTCCAGTTGTGGGAGAGCCAACTGTGCACTCATGTCATTGAGAACTATAAACCACGCGTCTTGTGACATGGTGCCCCTATACAGACTATTTGGTGGGACACCTCTGGTAGAAATGGAGATCTATTTCCAACTTCTTTGGGCTGAATACCACTAACCCTACCATCCTCGTTATTCCTAGCTGGTCTCATGTGGTTCAGCACTGCCAGTATTTGTGGTGTTCCCTGAGGGCCCAATCAGGAGCGAGTCTTTCACAGAGAGATCCAGGATGGTAAAGAAGCCAATGTCTGCCTCTAGCTCACATTTTTTCAGTATAGAAACTGGGAGTCCAGAAGACTTTTAATGTGTGACATCAAAATATCTTTGTGGGAAGTGTGTCACAGTCACACAGAATCAATCTCCTTACCATCCAACTGCAGTTTTGCTGATCTTGTGAGCCAAAGAAATTTCACACCTTGCTCCTGTGTTCAGGTTTTCTTAGCTCTAGTGAAGATAATGTGGGGGAGCTGTAGGCTCTTGGCCCACTAAAGAGTCACTAAAAATCACAGACATATGGTGGATTGATTAATATGAGAAAAGGCATACGAATATATTTAACATGCATACACAGTAGTTTCCAGAATGATGACCTAAGTTCCCAATGGGTTACAGAAACTTATCTACTATCCTGAGGCCAAAGTGAGGAATGCAGACTGAGAGCATGGCCAGAAACAGGTAAATCACATTGAGTGGCAAGACTGTTTAAGAGAGAGAGAAAGAAGCTTGGCTAGCAAAGTTTGTATTGTTATATAGATGAAGCCTCTCTCAGAGAGAATAGATAATAAGCGTTTCTGTTCAGATTTTTGAAGATGTCTGACTCTCAGTCTCCAATTGTGATGGTTAATATTGAGTGTCAACTTGATTGGCTAGAAGGATGCAAAGTATTTATCCTGGGTGGGTCTGTGAGGGAGTTGCCAAAGGAGATTACCATTTGAGTCAGGGGGCATGTAATGTTCCAAAAAAAGCTTAGATGTGTTTTCAAAATGGGGTAATAATACTAGTGACTTTCTAGGATTTAATTAGCTTATATTAGTTGTTATTTTTTCTGAATGCCTACAGTTTAATCAGTATACCTTGGGGCACTATAACGTAGGAGACAACACAGGTTCTGGAGACTAAATGTCTTGATTTAGTTTTCAGCCTGGTTTTCTACCAGCTATGTGGTTTTAAAAATACTTAAACTTTCTGATGTTCAGATTTTTCATTTGCAGAGGAATGCTAGTATTAATCATACTTAGCTCATATGTTTATCAAAAAATTTAAGAATTAAGTGAGATAATAAATGAATGACACTGATATATCTAGCCCATAATAAATTTTTAATAAACTGTAGTTATTACTATTTAAAAATTATAGTCCAAATAATGTCCCTAGAACAACATTATCTTTACATAAGCTCTTAGGTAAAGATAATATCTCACAGACATCAAAGAAACATACCTCAAAATAATATGAGCTATTTATTACAAATCCATAGCCAGCTTCAAACAGGCAAAAGCTGGAAGCATTCCCCTTGAGAACCTGAACAAGACAAGGATGTCTATTCTCACCATTCCTATTCAACATACTATTGGAAGTCTTAGCCAGAAAAATTAGTCAAGAGAAAGAAAGAAAGAAAAGGCACTCAAATAGAATGAGAGGAAGTCAAACTTCTCTCTTTGCATAAAATATGATTCTATACCTAGAAAACTCCTCTTAGTCTGATAGCCTCAACAAAGTTTTAATGTTCAAAATCAATGTGCAACTATCAGAAATATTTATATAAACCAATAACATCAAAGCCGAGAGCCAAATCAAGAACAGAATCCCATTTACAATAGCCAAAAAAAGAATATAACATCTAGAGATAGGGCTAACTAGGTAGGTGAAAGATCTCTACAATGAGAATTACAAAACACTGCTGAAAGAAATCAGAAGTGACTAAAATAAATGAAAAACCATCCATGTACATGTATAGGAAAAATCAATATTGTTAAAATGGCCACACTGCCCAAAGCAACTAACAGATTCAGTGCTATCACTATCAAACTACTAACACCATTTTTCACAGAATTAGAAAAAGATTATAAAATTCAGATGGAACCAAAATAAAGTCCAAATAGCCAAAATTTTAATAAGCAAAAAAAATAACAAAGCTGGAGGCATCATCTGACCTCAAACTATACTACATGTCCGCAGAAACCAAAGCAGCATGGTACAGGCACACACACAAAAAAAAGTCATATAGACCCATGGAACAGGTTGGAGTACAGAGAAATAAAGCCACATCCTACAGCTATCTAACGTTGGCAAAGTCAACAAAAATAAGCACTGGGGAAAGGAATATGAAGGAATATAAAAACCCTAAAAGAAAGCCTAAGAAATAACATTTTGGGCATAGTTTTGGTAAAGCTTTTATGAAAAAGATTCCAACAGCAATTACAACAAAAACAGAAATTGACAAGTGAGACCTAATTAAACTAAAGAGAATCTGCACAGCAAAAAAAAAAAAAAAAAACTATCAACAGAATAAACAGACAACCTACTGAATGGAAGAAAATATTTGCAAACTATGCAATTGACCAAGGTCTAAAATTCAGAATCCATAAGGAACATAAACAAATTAACAAGCTAAAAAAAAACCAACAACCCCATTAAAAATTGTGCAAAGGACACAAACACTTTTCAAAAGAAGACATACATGTGACCAACAAGCATATGAAAAATGCTCAACATCATTAACCATTAGAGAAATGACAATCAAAAACAAAATGAGCTATCATCTCACATCAGTCAGATGACTATTACTAAAATGCCCCAAAATAACAGAGGCTGGCAAGTTTGTGGAGAAAAGGGAGCACTTATGTACTGCTAGTGGAAATGTAAATTAGTTCAGCCACTATGGAAAGCAGATTGGAAATTTCTCAAAAAACTTAAAACAGAACTACCATTTAACCCAACAATCCCGTCACTGGTATTCCCAAAGGAATATGTCTTTTTACTATAAAGACACATGAATGCATATTTTCCCTGCAACACTCCACAATAGCAAAGACATGGAACCAACCTAGATGCCTATCAACAGTGGACTGGATGAAGAAAATGTAGTACATATACACATTAGAATACTATGTAGCCATAGAGAAGAATAAAGTCATATTTTTTGCAGCAACATGGATGAAGCTGGAGGCCATTATCTTAAGTGAATTAATGCATAAACGGAAAAACAAACAATGCACATTCTCACTTATGAGGTAAACAACCGGTACACACAGACACAAAGAAGGTAATAGTAGACACCAAGGCATACTTGAGGTTAGAGGGTAGGAGAAGGGCAGGATCAAAAAACAACCTATCAGGTACTATGTTCATTTCCTGTGTGAAGAAACAATCTGTACACCAAAACTTGGTGACATGCAATTTATCTATTTTCTTCTTCTGCATCTACTTGTTACCAAAAAGGAGTCCTAATCCAGATTCCAAGAGAGGGTTCCTGTATCTCATACAAGAAAGAATTTGGGACTAATCCATAGAGTAAAGTGAAAGCAAGTTTATTAAGAAAGTAAAGAAATAAAGAACGACTACTCCATAGGCAGAGAAGCAGCGTGGGCTGCTAAGCTGCTTATACTTATTGTTACTTTTAATTATATGCTAAATAAATGGTGGATTATTCATGAGTTTTCTGGGAAATTGGTGGGCAATTTCTGGAACTGAGGTTTACTCCCCATTTTAGATCATATATGGCAATTTCTTGATATTGCCATGGAATGTGTAAACTCATGATATTGGTGGGAGTGTATTTTAGCATGCTAATGCATTATAATTAGCGTATAATGACCAGTGAGGACAAACAGAGGTCACTTTCATCACAATCTTGGTTTCGGTGGGTTTTGGCTGGCTTTTTTCCTGCAAACTGTTTTATCAGCAAGGTCCTTATGACCTGTATCTTGTGCCTGCCTCCTATCTCGTCCTATGACTTAGAATGCCTAATCTCCTGGGAATGCAGACTAGTAGGTCTCAGCCTTATTTTACCCCTCCCCAATTCAAGATAGAGTCACTCTGGTTTAAACGCCTCTGACATACTCTTCTATATAACACTTTTTATGACAATTAGAACTTTTGATCATCTCCCCACCTGTTAACTACAACCCATCTGTTGCTACTTCTAACTCTATAGTATATATTCAAAGTCAACCTCACATTCTATCTGGTTAAAAAAGTCTACTGAGAACATGTCATCTTTAAGAATTTTGCTGGATTTTTAACTACTTTTGTTCTTATTACATATTCTATATGTTTGTTATGTTTTTCCACCTTCCTTTTTCAATGAATCCTCAAAAGCAAACTTTATCAATTAATTAACTTTTTGTTGACTAATCCTTATGCAGGTAACTTCTCCCAAAAGAAATTGTAAACCTTAGAGTCCGGAGACATGAATTTTTAACTATCATTAAGCTCATATAATGAACGATATAGCTAGATGCAGAGTGGTTACATTAGTAAGACAATTCGAGTCTCTACCACAATTGCAATAGCTCACCCAGAGGTTTGTTTGAAGAAACGTGACTCTGACTATTGTGTCTGTAAGAAGACAAAATATAGAAATTCAATATTCTGCCAAATGATTAGCAGCAACTTTAATTATTACAATTGTGGGAAGAATGACCTTGACATTGATTTTATAGTAAAAATTTAAGAGATAATAAAAAGTTGATTTCTTGTGAGAAAGTGATTAAGATAAATTTATACTCATAAATTTATGTATATTCCACATGAAGATTTACTTGTTTTAATAGGAAATTTATTATTTTAAAACTGCTCTGAAGGTAGAAGGCAAAACCTACAATAAATGGAACATTTTCATTATTAACCTGAAGTGACCTCAGGATTTGTATACGATTTACAGTGTGAAATATGTGTGTAAATGCTTCCAAAATCAGTGGTAAGAACTTTTACCATCAGCATACTTCTAAGGCACTTTTCCTTAAGTTGCCACTAATATATAGAAATGAAGCTTAATTTTCAGCTTTTACTAGATAGAAGCAAAAATTTGAATAACAGCCTGCAGGCCAGTGCCTGCCTTTTGTATCCTCTTATCATTTTCTTTTACATCTCTTCCTTACAATAGCATCATTAATGCATTTCTTCACTTTTTCTGTTGCTATGGAGGAAATCAATAATAAATGATTGACAATAAAATGTCTGACCAACTGTAATATCCTTTCAGGGGCATTTATATTTAAAAGAAAGCTTAGTGTTAGAAGAGCAATAATTTCCAGACTTTAATGATCTGATTAAATTGAATTAAAAAAATTAAATTTAGGTTTTATGCCACATTTCAAATTTTCCTGGCAGATGTACTTTGCAGATGTGTGAAGGTGTTTTGGGTCTGTATATGAATTATATCCTTGAGATATTTCCAAAAATGTACAATTAGTGTAATGTTATGTAGTAAACATTTACAAAACTAAGATTTTATTTCAGAAGTATTTAAAAATTTTATAAAAAATATTTTAATATTTTGAAAATATGTCCTTGTGTAATATAAATTAAGATATCTAACACTGCTCAAATGTGGTAATGAAAGAAACACCAAATAGAATTATTATCATTTTATGTCGAATGCTGGAAACAAGTGATGACATTTTCACTTTGTCCAATTAAACAGATAGGGCAATTTGCTAGATGTCATTTAATGTTTTCCTAAAAAATTATGCTATAAAATGATATGAAAGGTCAAAATCAGTCTGTGGTTAATATGTTCTTTTCTTCTGTGTAGTAATAAGATACAGTAAACATTACTTGTTTTCAAAAAAGTTTATTTAGAACAAAAAACAACTACTCAATAAAAGACAAAGAAAAATATTTGTATAGTCCCTCAGAGTAGTTTAAGATCATCTAAAGTGAAATTATATTTTAGGTAAATGGCAGTTTTAACAAAGTTACTAATTTCTAAATGTCATATTCCTTGATCAGTAGAATATAATGTTACCCAGACTAATTGAATCCTTACCATGTGCATTAAAAATTTTTTTCTAGTTAATTATACAACTATCTTTTCTTAAAAGTAGATAGTGTTTTTATAAACTGTAATAAATTTAGCCAAATAGAATTAAATATTATGCTGATCTTTAATAAAATAAAAATTGAGATAAATATTTTATATTATTTGTAAAACAAAAATGTAACTGAGACAGGTCTCAATCAATTTAGAGGTTTATTTTGCCCATGACACAGCCTCAGCAAGTCCTGAGAACATGTGTCCAAGGTGATTTTATATACGTTTCATACATTGTACAAGGGATTATAAAATTGATACATTTTAGGGAGAAAGAAGTTACAGGTCAAGATATAAATCAATACATGGAAGGTATACATTGGTTTGGTCCTGAAAGGCAGTAGTACATCTTGAAGTGGGGGTTGGGGGGCTTCCAGGTCATAGGTGGTCTCAAAGATTTCCTGAATGGCAATTGTTTGGAAGAGCTCTGCTCTACCCAATGAGTTGAAATCAGCTTGTGTTCAGGTAAGGGGGAATTGTGGAAGCCAAGATTCCTGTTATGTAGGTGAAGCTCCCAGGGAGCAGGCATCAGAGAGAATAAATAAGTAGGTCTCTTATAAGACCTTAAGAATGCCAGACTCTCTGAAAAGTACTTACTAATAAGGAGATTCACTAAAGAATGTAAATTTTTACCACAAACGCAGCTTTGCAGGGCCATTTCAAAATATGTTGAAGAAATATAGTTTAAGGTAAAATACTTTGATCTCCTTCAGGGACTACTATCTGTCATGTGATATCTGGCAGAGTTAGGTTGGAGTTTAATATCTTATTTCTGCAGAGTCTGCATTTTCAGTCAAGATTCGTTTTGATGTTAATTCTGATGAGTTGTGTCTAAATTCTAAAGGAAGGAAGGTATAATGAGGCAAATCTGACCTCCCATCCCACTTCCCCTGAAAGGGAAAAAGCCTGAACTACTTTTTCAGGTTTTTTGGGGATCCTCAAGGCTGAGAGAGGAGTCTATTCAGTTGGTTGGGGTGCTTAGGATTTTATTTTTGGTTTACATGTTCCTCCAACTAATCAATGTAAATAAAAGTATATACAGATACAGAATATATTTTCAATGTAGAACAGTTCAGAATTTAATAATAATGTGAAATGAGAGCCATGAATGATTCTGAGATTTTTGGCCAAGCAATTAAAAAACAGAGTTACCATGACTAGCATGAATATAACCATGGGAGGAGGTTGTAATGGGAATAGGGGTGGGAAGAGAGATTCAGATTCAGCTTTGGATTTTGCATTATCGAGGAGGCAGTTTGAAATAGCAACCTGCTGTTCAGGAGAGAGGTCCTAAAGAGGTAGGCACTTAGAAGTTATGGAACTAGCTGAGATCACACAACGGAAGATTTATGTTTAAAAAAAAATACGAAGGTAAAGGTCTAAGAATTGGAATATTTTAACATTAAGTAGTTCTGTTTATGAAAATAAACCTGCAGGGAAAATTTAAAAATAAGTGACCAGTGAGGTAGGACAAAAGCAGTAGAGTGTGACCTTGGAAGTGAAGACAATGTTTTAAAGATACAATAGTGAAGTATGATAAATGCTTTCACAAGTAAGAAGATTCAGATTTGATTACTGAGTTTAGCAAATGTGGGTCATCAGTGATGATGACAAAGCTGTTTTCTAGGGTGCAAAAGCCTGACTCAAAGAGGTTCCAAGAAATGGGAGAAAAGCAATTTGAAACAATGAACATCCACAACGTTTTCGTGAGATTTACCCTAAAGAACGAAGTTCTTAACTTTAAACAGCAATTTATAGGAAAGTCTCGTACTTATTCTAATTTCAAAGTAATGATGATTATAAAAGATATTTTGCCATATTACGGTTGTGTAACATGATAAAATATTTGGTGGAAAAATCAGGATTAGACCTAATACTGTTTGTGATAGATGTTGGAATGCATAATTGAAATAAATGTGAAGTTTCAGTTAGTGAAAAAAAAGGTCAAGTTTTTTTTTCATTATTTCTTTATCCATGTATATTAAACTCTAAAATTCTGTCTATGGTTCTCTTGTATGAACTCTATATTCAGAATCCCTACTAGAAAGGGAAATTGAGTGACAGCTGGAGGATGAAACCAGAGCAAGGTTTTTGTTTTGTTTCTTTTTTTTTTTTTCCTGGAAGAGGACATTAGCAGCTTGGATGGAAAATAACAAATTTAGAGAAATATCAAATTTGGAACAAAAACTAATCATTTGAGAGCCAAAGGTGGGAATTATTAGAACATATTCATGAGTATATTAGGCATTCAAGTGGAGGAGTCAGCCTCAGCAGGTGCATGGGCAGTAGTAGGAAAAATGGCAAGAATATTGGACAAAGATGCAGGCTCATGGTAGCTTGTAGAATTTCTCTCCTGATTTAGTCAATTGTCTCAGTGAAATAGAAAACAACATGAATAGGGAAGAGTGCAGAGTGGAGACTGGAAAGAAGGTGTTAGAGATTTGAAAACAGAAGAAAATTAAAAAATATTCTTTAAAGACAGTAGAAAATTGGAAGAACTAAATATAGTGTGTCAGTATTAATGAATTTACATTGGGAAAAATCTGCAGGTTTTTTTTCTGTGTTTTTCTTTAGCTAAGTTTAGCTGCTCAGAAGTCAATGCATAGTAGTTGAAGAGTTGACCTTAACCAAAGTTGTCTATTTTTAATCATCATTCAGTTATTCATACAATAAATATTCATTAAACACCTATCATATGCTGGTAATTCTAAATACTAGGAATACTGTTGTAAACAAGATGATAAAGTCTCTGTTCTTGCAGAGATCATAAATGGTTGGGGAACAAGAGAAGTAAACATTTTAAAGTGTAATGATCAGAACACTATGCAAAATAGGTATTTACCTATTTTAGGAATGTAAATCTCACCAAGAGGTTAGGGAAGATATTCCTAAGGTAATTAAGCTCTGAGACTAAAAGACTACATAGTCATGTTTAGTAAAAGGTAGGGAAAGAGAGTGTCATTAAACAGATGGAGGAAATAAAAATACTTTTGTCTATTTATTTATTTTCACTTTCCTCTGTAAGGTGCCATACTGGGTCTTTTCAGCTGCCAAAGTATGACATTTGATTTGTTTTGAAAATGTATATAGAAATATGAAAAACCTCCATCCAGTATTTATGTTTATGCAATCACTAATATGCACAACTTTTTGCATATACTGTTCAATTGTATAAAAAATAGTTTTGCTCTCTATATATTCACCTCCCTTCCCACACACATCCGCAAATCCTCTTAGCTAATGCTCTGGGGATGAGTAGGGCAAAGTTTCTACTTATGTGAAGTCTATAGTATAATCATGATCTAGCCCCTAGAGAAATATTTACTAGTTTCTATCTTCTCTGTATAGCTCTTATTACAATTTAATGTATGCCATGTTTACTAATTTATTACTAATTTTTTAATTTATATATTGTCTGCCTCCTCCCAACTACAATATAAAGAACTGAACCAAGGTGTCTCTGTTTCTGATTGTATCTCCAGTGCCTGGAACTCTCCTTCAGTTAATAAATATCTCCTTTTTAATAAATATCTATTGAATGAATGGATGAAATTACTCATATTTGATATTTGTGAATATAGAGTCAGCTATAGGTAAAATTATCATTCACTTCCTATTTAAGATGCAAAATTTCTTTTGTAGAAGAGTCCATAAGAAAAATAGGGAGATTACACTCAGTATCTGCTGTTATGTCTGTTTAAATTGAAAAATTGTTGTATAAGAAGTGGCTCTCTTCAGAGCTTCCTTGCAAGTTTGTGAGTTCAACTTCCTTGTGAGTTTGTGAGTGTAAGTTTCCTTGTGAGTTTGTGAGTTCATGAATTTGGTTGCCTACTGTGTACCTATAAATATGTAGACAGTACTTTCTTCCAGGGATCTAAACCCACTCATTCTTAGATGGTATGACTGATGATCTATAATTTGTGCAAATAATTAAGTGGAATTTCACAGAATCAGGGCCATTAGCTTGTACACATCAGGCTGTTGCTAATATTATCTTTGTTTCCATGATTATACTTGATATTATTCAGTATAATTTTGTTACTAAGTTTTCTCTTGGATTTCCTCTGCAAAACTTTTTTCTCAAAATGATACACTACTTACGTTCTGACTACTAAAAATTTGTGTGCTTTTCTTTTTCTTTTTTTTTTTCTTTTTGCTAGATATGAGGATCTCACTGTGTTGCCCAGGCTAGTTTCGAACTCTGGAATCAAGCAATTCCGCCACTTCAGCCTCCACAGTGCTGGGGTTACAGGCATAAGCCACCATGACCAGTTTGGTTGCTTTTTTTTTTCTTAACTCTAAGATAAAATGTTCTTTCTTGCTGTAGTTTACGTTGTTTTCCTATTGTCTTTATAAGTGACTATCCCATGCCTTCCTTTTAATACTCTCAGATACGTAACAGTAATTAGTTGTTGGTTTTTTACTTGTGCATATATGCCTTGAGAGAGAAAGCAATATATCAGGGCTTAAAGTGAATTGATAAGCCAAAGTCCTATTCCTTGTCATTCTTTCTAGCTAAGAATGCTTCATAGCAAACATTGTTTAAGCTGCTTTAAAAATCTAAATATGACATCTGTAGCATGTCTGAATCTTGTAGCCACTTGAATACTTCTAAAATTCTAAATTCTAGAGAAATGAATCATCATTTAATCATCCAATAAGAAGTACAGTGAATTGGTATGAAACCAATAGATCAAAAAATAATGGATACTTGGGGGAAAAATTATATAGCACTTACTTGCTGCAGAATATGGTGTCCATAGCCGGGTACATCATTATCATCATTATCATCATCATCATCATCTTAGCAAAGGAGCTATGACACATTTGTCTATATGCCCGGGGCTTTGTGACATTCTAATCTGTATTGTGAGACACAGATTTAGATTTTCATTCTTTTACAAACATCTCTGCTGTCAGAATCCTGACCAAGCAGCAAATAATTAAAAGAGTGACATCAGAACTGAAATGTAGTTGTTTCTCGACCAAAATTATTTATTTGGTAAGTGTAATAACACTTTAATGGATTGTATTTGAAGCTAAAATTTAAGTTTTATCTGTATCAATTATCTGTGCATTTTGAACTAAATGCACTATTTACAAAACTAATTTTTCCTGAATACGCTGAAAACTACACTAGCTTTCCAAGGTTCTGGGCTTTCTCTCAGGAAGTAATTTATTCACATATAATAAATTAGTTCATAAAATGCTCAAGTTTTGATAGAATATACCTATATATGTTTTTTAAAAGAATATACCTGTATATGTCATTTCTACCTCTAATGGTTTTCTATTTTAAAACAAAAATTTTGCGAACACAAACAGTAAATACATATATCTAAATAAATTTGAGGAAAATAACTAATGTGTAGAGAAACCAGAACATTTAAAAATAAAAAAGACTAGAGAAGAAAGTAATTTTACTTTCCCTAACTTCCTTTCTTTCATATTTATTTTTGAAATAAAATATTTTTGAATCTAAGTAAAATTTAAAGAAAGGAAGTTAGGGAAAGTAAAATTAATCAAGTCAGAAATGAAGGAATCTAGAAGAGGTAATATATTAAAGATGACTGTCAAAGCACTTTTAGAATTTTAAAGAAATGTTCCTCGCTCCAGAACTATTTGACCCTCCAGCTACACAGGTTTCTTCACACTTATGCCACGTGCCATCGAACTGCTTTAAAGTAATGGTAAACCTAAGTGGAAAATTACTTTTTAGGCCAATATTGGTCTAAAGCCCATTCAAATTCTTGTCTTACTGTCCTGGCATATGCTCCTACTTCTGCTCTTCCTTTTTTTTTTTGAGATGGAGTCTTGCTCTCTTGTCAGGCTAGGGGGCAGTGGTGCGATCTCGGCTCACTGTAACCTCCGACTCCCGGTTTTAAGCGATTCCCCTGCCTCAGCCTCCTGAGTAGTTGAGACTACAGGTGCCCACCACCATGCCCAGCTAATTTTTTTTGTGTGTTTTAGTAGTGACAGAGTTTCACCATATTGGCCAGAATGGTCTGGATCTCCTGACCTCATGATCTTCCCGCCTTGGCCTCCCAAAGTGCTGGGATTACAGGCGTGAGCCACCGCGCCTGGCCCTGCTCTTCCTTTTATCTCTTTAAATAGTATTTCTTTTTCAACTGCAAAACAAAGATCTTGCAGCATTTCCTGGAATACTTCAAACTTGTTTTGGCTATCCATCGTTCTCTTCTCCAACCGGGCAGAAAAAAATTGCAGTTATTGAAATGTCACTTCAGACATTCCAGTCCTTTCACAAAGCCGGAAAAGTGATTAAAGGCAAATGGTAAATAAACCCTTAAAGCTTCTAAGCCGTTATGGATCCGTCTCCACAGCTTCCAATGACTTCTGTTTGAAAGAAGCTTCAGAATAATTCCAAATCAATAATGGGCAGGGCTGCAATGAAATGATATCTTGGATTGTATTGTTTGGCTTTTCTTGCTATTTTGGAGACCCTGAAAATGAAGGACAACTAAACGTGTTCTTAGCTCCTTGTGAAAAAATGGAGTTTCATTGTTTGTTATTAAAGTGATGATATTTTTCAGGCCCGGGTCATCAGATGCAGAAAATATGTGAAATTTTCCACAATACTTTAGCCATAATAAAAGAGAAAGGACAGATTATTAGATTTTTGTTTGTAGTCAATGCATTTGTAAATCAATTTGCCACGTTTTTAGTTTGAATACTCTTCTCACTCCAGTTAATGGCTTTCCTGATGTCATTAGAAAACTACACCTTTTTATTATAATTATTATTACCAACTAACCACCTAAATTTCTATTGGAAAACATTAACTAGAACACATGTGGATAGCAGCTTGCTTGTCTGTGAATATCCTAAAGTGCTGGGGTAAGGCTGCCACCTAGTGGAATAACAGCAACACTGGTGAAATAAAAGATCATCTGGTTAACGACAATAGCTATACCACGGTTTTCACATATCCTCAAGTGCTACAATTTATGAAAAAATAATAATAATTAAAAAGTAGTATTACTTATTTACCCTGAAATATTAGGGAACTTGTTTTCTTTGAGGTGTATGTGTGTGTTTGTAAGCAAAACAAGCAGGAATGTGAAAATTACGATTATTCAAGACCATGAAAATTAAACTTGTCAAGTAATAAGTAATTTTTTAACTAACAAACAAATAAGAAAATAATATCTCTATTTTTGCTCTTGGTGTTTTCCTATTTTTCTCAAGGAGTAATATTGTTTTAAGACCCTTATATACAGTTAAGTCCAATACAGAAAAACATTGAAGAACCTCTGCCTTCCCATCTAAATCATTACATTTCCTCATCCACCTCTCAAAAGCAATTTTGTTAAAGAATAAAGGTGTTTCTTTCAGAGTCTCAAAATAAGTATGCAAGGGTGATGCCAGCTCCTTGGGTGTAAGAAATGGTTCATTCATCCTTATTTCCAGCATATATAGAACTTGGAAATTAAAAGATGTTTCAGCAAATTATTGGTACACGTTTATGTATACATGGTTTGAAATCTTTAAGAGGCTTTGTAAAATATGTGCATTGTAAAATATCATAGTACCTGCACATTTTAAGTATACAGGAATTTTATTAAGTTAGCTATATCTGTGTGATACATATAGAGAGGACAGACAAAAGACAGTATATTTCAACCCTTTAAAAACATTAAATTTCTGGATGTTTTAATTGTACAATTTTATAAACATTACATAATTATAATATGTTATACATGATGCCATAATGATCAAAGAGCACAATGATTGTAGTGTGTAGTAAATCTTATAACGGTCTGTGGAATTTTATTTGTTTTGTTAAAATTATACCTAAAAACTGAAATAAATCACGTTTTAAGAAATTTGGGGGGTCAACTGCTTAGAAATGTCTAAGGTTATCTAGTTTTGAAGATTATTTGTGAATATTGACTCTTCTAGTCCTTTGTATTATAATATAGTTATTTTAATTAAATGATAATTTTAAAGTGGGAAAAATATTAGGCTGCTACATCTCTATGCTACCACCACATTCAATCTTTTGTAGACTCCCCAGCTTGAGAATGCCATCTCTCATTTTAGAGATTTCTACTTTGTATATGATCAAGGCCAAAATTCTTGACAAACCATGTAAGGGCTTTCATCACTTGGCTCCTACCTGCTTTAGTATCTTAAACTCCAACATTCTCCAAACCTACACACAACACAAGTCAGCTCACAGAGAGCTCTGTTTTCCAGTCAAATTGTGGAACATCTCCTACTGTATTTTGTCCTGTTGCTTCCTCTCGGACTGACAGTGCTGCCTCCTTTGTTGAGCAAAAGCCAAACTTATTGAAGAACAAAAGTAAGGGATGCTATTGTCAAATGAAAAGGAAAGTAGATTCTAACCCCGATTCCTTAGAGTTACATGGACTTTTATAAGTAATGTATCGTCATTGCATTTCAATTTCCTCAAGGTTTTAATTGTTGACTCAGGAACAATATGCTTGTGTAAAGGGGTTGGAAGAAAATAAATGCTCATTAAATGCTACACACATTGGTCTCTTACCAAAATTTGTTTTCCGAGTAACTTTCTGTGTAAAACTCTCTCTGAGCTGGTGAAACATTTTAGCAAAATGGGCCACAAATCTTTTGAGATACTTTTATTATTTACTTAAATATTTGTATATGTCTTCTTTGAAAAATATAACATTCTTAGGAGGGAGAGCCTTGAGAGTTTAATTTACTACCATATTCCTAATGGTTAGCATATATTCGATGCTTACAAAGATGAACTGCCCTCTCCTCCACTGCTTCATAATGGTCACGGTGTCTCTTCTCTAGGTGTAAGAAGCACCTAGAAACATATTTTGGAGCATTAAAATTGGGAATAAATTGTATTTTTAACAAAATGAATTGTAATTATATAAGAACATGTTAATAGTGGATTACAATCACAAAAAGGATTGAAAGCTTTGCTTTGCCTCTCATAAAGCTTAAAAGACGCAAATTGCAAAATTAGCCCGCAGGAACTTTGAAAACATCTCAATATACCATATTTCTGCTCTGCAGAGCTTCCAGTTTTTAATGTCTAGTAACAAATAACCTGTTATTTATACAGAACAATCATCTCACAATCTGTTCACTTGTTTTCATATAGTTACTATTTTAAGTCAGGCACTTTCCACTTCCCAAATCTTGTACCAAACTCTTACGTTTCCATAATTTTAAATCAGATATTCACGTCTAATTTCTGCCTCTCCATTGCGAATAAATGTGAACCTGGGAAAGTCAATCCTTAAAATGAATCCCAAGTGGCTGAGACTAAAGTCAAATACAACCAAATGGCTGTTTGCTGACTAGAGGTTACACACATACTCTGAATTCCCAGAAAACCCACTACTTCTGTTTAACTTTGGGACTTTCAGAACTCACATGACCAACTAATCAGAGTGCATCTTCCTTGACCAATCATGGCTTTCCAAGTTTGGATGCTTCATTTGAATAAATGAACCTGATTGGGAACCTGGGCTGGAACTTTCTCTTTAAAAATCAAGCCCTGCTTTTTTTCTCTGGAAAGCACCTTCCTTTTACACCAAAGGTTTTCTTCCTGGTTTGCAAACTGTTCACAGGAATAAAGTCTTCCCTCCAAATTCTTTTTCATGGAACTTTTGTTCACACCATTAATAACCCCAGATAATATATCTAACAGAATATTTATCCTTGTTCCAGTGTGCTTTTAGTGTGTTTGTTTTCTTTCAGGCTGAAGATCTTTATTCTGACTCAGAGTCAAGTACTCTATGCAACAGGTCTTGCCATTCCAGGAGCTGGCATGAAAACAACAAACAATTTGTTATTATTAATAATTCTCTAGCTTAATGAAGAAACTAAACTGGAGAAACAGCTCATTAGTGTGGTTTAAGCTTGAGTTGTGGCATAAAAACAGAATTTGAACTCCAGATTCGCAAATTACTAGCTTTCTGCATTTGGTCAAATTACTTAACTTCTGTAAGCCTCATTTTCCTCATTAATAAAATGTAAATACAAATACACTGTATATTTTGATGTTATTGTTAGAATTAAATGAGAAACAACTATGTGGATTGTGTATAGTACAAAGTCTGAAGTGTAGTGTGTGGTATAATTGACTACAATATAGTGTACTACTGTTATTTACATGGTAATGAATGTTTTGATAGTGTTATTGTTTAAATATCCCTAAGTCTAAGCTTATTGAAATTTTATATTGAAAAATATGTTAAAATATGCTTTAAAAATTTTGATGACTATATCCACTATTTCACTTGTTTAACATTAGTAATAATAGCAATTTTTAGAAACTACTAACCAACTTTATCAACAGAAGCATATTATATTACTCTACCTTCGTAACCCACACATGAGATAAGCAGAGCACGTATTAATATGCTTTTAAAATAAAAGAGAAAAAAAGTGTTCAAAAAGCTGCATATGTTATACAAAATTACAAGTAAAGAATAGAACCAAATTTTTCTGTTGTCTAGTAACCCAAGTTATTTGGTTTTAATACTATGTATTTTTCTATTTAAAATAAAATTGAACATTTATTTATCTAATACTTGTTTATATAATTTCAATATATTAACTTATTTATTATCACAAAATGTAACTTAACCAATTAAGTATTTGTATTCTCTCCAGTTTAAGGGATGAGGCTCTTTAGAAATCGAGGAAAATTACCCTAGGTCATTGACCCATTATGAAGAAAATACAAGATCTGAGCCACATAGTCCAACGATAGAACTAAACTTTTCAGTATTATGGTATACTGCTTATTATAAATCCATGGAAAGTTTATTTCCCATATTGGCATTATTTGAAATTAAAAATTAAATCATGGGACTAAAATCAAAACATTGAATCACTGCCAATCTACAACTGAAACAAAGCAGTGATAATTTTCTAAAAATGCTCTCTTAAATTGCATGTGCAAACTATGAGTTTATGATTATGGCCCCATTTGAGAATTGCCAATTTACAGAGCTGTGGTATATACTTAAATAAAAATCTATACTTAAAAGCAGTTAAATATTATCTGCATTTACACAGTGGCAATTACTAACTACAATAGTGTACAGTAATTCAAATGCAAATATAGGGTTATCTCAAAGTAACAAAACTAGTAAACTATGGCTTCAGTCACACATTGAATTAGAAAACAAAGAGTACAGTGAATACTCTGGAGGCATCATGCATGTGCTGTTGTCTAAAAAATAAAAAATATGGAAATGCTGTTTAATGAACTGAGGCCATTCTTTAAATCAAAAGAGTTATCATTTGGAGTTTGAATTATGCAAGTCAAAAAAGTATTCTCTCAATACATATCTGACAGAAATGAATATGCTTTATCTAATAGTCAGCAGCTCCAACTCTTATTATCCAGGGGAACTAACAGAAAGCACAAAAAAGGCAGACAGTTGCTAAATGCATATAAAAATACAGCTCTTACTCAAATTAACTAATTTTACATTTTGAGAGTTTTAAGAGCTATCTAAGAACTTTTACTTAATGCTCACAACTACCCACTAGATTATTATTATCCCTGTTTTCTAGAAAAGAAATTCTGACTTATGGAACAATAAAATTGTTAAAATGAATAAATGCAAATATAGGGATAGACATCTAGTATATAATACATGTAAGATCGAAACTGGTATCATGGCCGGGCACTTTTCAACCCAAAAGCAGATCTAAAATTCCCCAGCAAAGACATCCAAAAGATGATCAAAAGCAAATAAAGTAAAAGCAGAAGTGAAAGCAGGATAAATGGTACTTTTGCCTAAAATTTTCCTTGAATACAAATTCAATAAGAGATTAAAATATTGTTTTAAATTTATTTATAGGTTTTTTTATTCCCGCTTGCTTATTGTGTTTTATCTAGTCATTCAGAATATTCTAAACTCAAATAACAGAATCAGAATTCCCAGGGTAACAAAATGGGGAGAAATATAAGTTTTAATGAGAATATACTCACATATTTATATATTTTATAGGGATTATATATATTTTATGAGAATATATATGTACATATGTATGTAACAGTAAGAATAAGAAAGAAAACTTTCTTTATGTAGTTTCCTATTATGAACACTTCCCTTGGGAGAAAAAAAAACTGACATACGAGTTATTTAGAAATACATTTTTAAACATTTGTTATTTTCTGGATACCTAATACTTAGTAGCATAACTAGGAAATCATGGCTCTATCTGTATGTTCTGCAACCATTCATTTTGAATTTTAAATTAAATTCAGTCAAAATTAATAAAGAGAAAAGTAAACAATGCATTCCAAATGTAGATAAAATAGAGCATGCATGTTGTAATTAGCACGTGTCTGCATGAAGTCTGAGATGCTGATCTGATTAAGGGAAAAGATACTCATATGAAAGGAGATAGAGACTCCCCATCTTGATACAAGAGAATCACTACACTACTTCAAATAAGGCATGATTCTTAATTTTCAAACAGTGAAATTGAGACCAAAGAAATAAAGTAAACTCTCAGATAATTTTGTGCCTTCTAAAAGGCTGTATAATGTTGATGAAGGGACAAAATTTTATCGACTGAAAAATGACTCAAACACAGATTCTGTAACAAGTGCGTTTTTGAATTAAAAAAATAATTAAAACTTACTGAGCCTCAGTGTGTTCATCCATATAATGGAAACTATATTAGCTTCTGTATAGGATTGTTATATAGATTAAATAGAAACAAAAGTTATACAAACTTATAAAAAGGTCTACAAAGTAAAAAAAAAAAAAATCAGTATTCTTTTCTGCCTTCTTTCCTAAGAATTGAATTTTCTGGGTATAAAAAAGATTGCAAAATGCTTTCTACAGACTGGTGAACCTTGACAGCGTTCTTCATGGTTGAAGTTATATAAAATTTCTAAATGGACACAATTATATATAGTTCCTGAGTTTCCTTTTTGAGAAGGAGTCCCGCTCTGTCACTCAGGCTGGAGTGCTGTGGCGCAACCTCGGCTCACTGCAACTTCTGCCTCCTGAGTTCAAGCGATTCTCCTGCCCCAGCCTCCTGTGTAGCCGGAATTACAGGTGCCCACCACCACAACTGGCTAATTTTCTATTTTTAGTAGAGACAAGGTTTCTCCATGTTGGTCCGGCTGGTCTCGATCTCCCAACCTCAGGTGATCCGCCCGCCTCAGCCCCCCAAAGTGCTGGGATTACGGGGGCGAGCCACCGCGCCCGGTCCTGAGTTTTTTTCTGAAAGCAATATCACCATAGGCCGTGTTGGCTCGTGCCTGTAATCCCAGTGCTTTGGGAGGCCGAGGCAGATGGATCACCTGGAGGTCAGGAGTTCGAGACCAACCTGGCCAAAATGGTGAAACTCCGTCTCTACTAAAAATACAAAAAAAAGTAGCCAGGTGTGGTGGTAGTCCCCTGTATTCCCAGCTACTCCGGAGGCTGAGGCAGGGGAATCGCTTGAACTCGAGAGCTGGAGGTTGCACTCAGCCAAGATGGTGCCACTGCACTCCAGCCTGAGCGACAAGAGTGAAACTCCGTCACACACACACACACACACACACACAAACACCAGTTTTTTCTTCCAAAGTCTGTATAGCACTTACAGCACTTTTTATATTTAAGAAGATTTAAGCATAGTTTAATTTTATTTTAATATAGTATTTCACAGGTGCATTTGTGCAGCAATTGTATCCCTACACACTTTCTATGTCAATTTCTAAAAAGAAGAAAATAATAATAATGATAAAACAAATATATACCAAGTAACTGAGTACTTACCCCTCTCCTAGTTTATCTCATTTAATTCTCAAACCAGTCCTACAATGTTAGTATTGTAACACCGTAATTTTCAAAATCTTGAAAATCTGAACCTCATACAAATATAAAGTTAGTATGTATAAATATTTTACTCAACTCATTCATACTGGAATCAATCATATGGTAAGGCTGGTTGAAAATACATTTGAGGATTTGAACGGTTATCAGTATTTTAATAAAATAATCTTAGAGTAAGATTGGTAGGCTAGGTATGAAACTGATTAATGTGTTTAACATCCTAGAAGCTAATAAACTGTGAATTTTGAGTACCTTTCCTATTGTAACAAAATGATTTGCATCTCTACCAAACAAAAGTTTACAAGTTAACATGAAACTTTACTAATTCTGGGACATTAATAAATAGTAAGCAGGAAATGAACAAAGTACATTTCCTAAATAATTAAGTAGTTCACGGATGTGCTGGTACTCCTGCATAGCCACTCGTACTTTAGCCTTATTTCTGAATTTATTTAGTCTCGCTTAACACTATTATTACAGTCATCTTGAAGGTAGTTAAATTAAGTTTTAGATGGTTTTAGTCAATTGTTCAAGTTTCATGCTTTATTAGTGTTGAAGACAGGTTTGAAACAGATTGGTTTATTCATGTGTGTTTGATTTTGCTCCAGAGCCTTACTCTTACCTATAACACTTATTTTTGTAGCCTAGGTAGAACTAATTTTCTGTGTATTTTATTTTACTCTATCCCTTACACTCATCTTTTTCTTCCCAGTCTCAATATGGTTACCCCGTATTATGCTGTCATCAACAACTAGTTATTTCCAACATGGCTTCAATGAAATAGTACAGATAGAAGTTTTTCCATGACTTTTTTGGTGAAAAAGCTGATCTTACCTGAACTCGTATGGCACTAAAATCTGACCTGAACTGATGTAAAGCTATCTAGACATTTTACTTATTTCACTTAGCATGAATTATTTATTTTGTTTTACTGTATAACTATGTTTGTGAAGAGTACTGCTTCTAACACTAATGAATATGTCATTTAAAAGAAAAATCTGACTCAAGAACACATTCAGTCTCAGGATTTTAGGTAAAATTCCATGCCATGGTAAAGACACTGTGAACAAGAAAAAGGAATTTCCAGGTGAATTGCTCTGTGGCTTTCCAATAACTCACATTCTCAGGGAGCCTTTTTCTGATCTCTCTCTCCATCTATTTTCTTTTTGTTTTCTGTCATTTACTAATAGGTAATGTTTATTGAACTAGGACACATTACTATTCTTTACAGTTATATTACATCAGTAAGAAATGTATACTTGGTGCATTGTTGCAACTGATGGTCTGAATAAATGAAAGAATGAAAGCAGCTTACATGATTAATCTGTTTGCATTTTTGTAAAGCCTTCAATACTGGGACTTAGAATTGTTACCCTTAGCTAAAAAAAAAAAACACAACAACTAATTACTTTAAGTTATCTAAGAAACTCTTTCAAGTATCACACACCTAAATTAATTGCTATTTCATCTCAGTTCTATCAGTTTTTTTTTTTTAATGACTACTGGTCACAAAATAACATGTTCTTTCCTAAAAGGTGTTATTAATGTATAGTCAACATGCATAATGTGTAAAATTTGCTAAGGTTTAGCATGTGAATATACTCATGTGAATATTGTTATTTGCCAAGTTTTTGCAAATAACTAAAACTTGTGAATTTGCTAAATTTTAGCATGTGAATCTATAGGTGAAGGAAGCAGATCAGGTGCTTCCCATGCTTGTGTATACGTGCAGAAGCGAGGTGTGGATCATGACCCCAGTCAAGATGATGAAAATGCCATCACAACAAAGATTTTTCTCTTGCCCCTTAGTAATAGCTACTTTCTTTTTCCTCTTTTCCTGATCCACACCTCCCTTCCACACGTATACACAAGCCTGAGAAGCACCTGATCTGCTTGCTTCACTATAGATTTATTTGCACTTTCTAGACTATCGTGTCAATGGAATTATAGTTTATATACATATTTTTTCTTCTTTTTGATATTTGCTCATGTTATTGTATATATAAATAACTTTCTACTTTATTGCTTAGTCGTATTTCATTGTGGGAAATAACACAGCTTGCATCAGTTTACCTAATGATAAACATGCTCTATCTGCATGTATTGAAATGATTGTCTTTTTGTTTGTTTTATTCTATCAATAGAGTAAGCGACATTAATTTACAAATGTTAAACTGATTAAGTATTTCTCAGATACATCCCACCTGGTAATGGTGTATTATCTTTTCTATAAATTAATGGATTTATATTTTTCTTTTTAAAGAATTCTTGCATCTATTTTCATGAGCCAGTGCTTTTTATTTTTTGCAAATTTTTGCTTTTGTTATCTTTGTCAAGTTAATTGCTCTCATTTTTTTCTGAAATATTTGATAAGGTTTTCCAATAAAGCCACCTGATTCTGAAGTTTTCTTTGTGAACATATTTTAACTACAAACTTGTTTTAGTATAAATGGAAATAAAGATTATATATTATCCATTTTTTTGAATGGGTTTTAGTGGTATGTGTTTTTCTTGAAACTGGCCTATTTAACATAACTAGCTGAATTTATTAGAATAAATTTGTTTATAATGATTCTGTACTATACTTGTAATATCTGTTGTGATGACACCTGTCTCATTTCTGATATTGTAATTTCTTTTTTCTCTATTTATTTCTGATAACTCTGACTAGTGGTTTATCATCATTTTTAAGCTTCTCAAAAAAGTTAATTTTCGATAATTGTATTTTCTATTGTTTTTCTGTTTTATATTTCAATAATTTTTATTTCCTTTCTCTTGCTTATTTGGGGTTTCATCTGCTCTTTTTTTCTAGTTTGTTAGATAGAAATTGAGGTTGTTGATTTGAAGCTTTTCTCTTTTTCTGACATGGATATTTAGTGATATAATTATACCTCTAATTATTGTTAACTTATATTTCACTAATATTGACATGTCACATTTTTATTTTCATTCAGCCCAAAAAATTCAAATTTCTTTCTAAATTATATATCTAACTCATGGAATATCTAGTATTGTGTTATGTAGTTCCTAAATACTAATATTTGGAGATTTTCAAAATATCTTTCTACTATTAAATACTAATTCAGTGAAGATGTCTGAGGGCAGAATTTTTATGATTTGCTAATTTTTATATTGACTTGAAACTTGCTTTCTAGACTATGAAGTATTCTACCTTGGTAAATATTTCTTGAGCTATTAAAAATAATGTTATTTTTCGGTTATTGAGTAGAATATTCTATAAAAGTTAATTAGGTCAAGTGGATTGATGTCATTGCTCAAGTCTTTTATAGCCATACTGATTTTCTGTCTACTTATTTTAAGAATTATTTAGAGATGGATATTTAATATTCTAAATATCTTTTAAATTAAAATATTATTCTTGTATTTCTATAATTTTTTGCTTTATAAATTTTGAAACTTCGTTATTGGGTGCCTAGTATTTAGGATTGATACATCTTCTTGATAAATTGACTCTTTTATCATTATAAAATGACTTTATATCCCCCATAAAATACCTTTCTCTGAAAAGAAATTCAATATTCATTTAGTCAGTACAGCTTCCTTTTTATTAGTTTAATCATAAGATATCTTTTTTATCTTTTTATTTTTCATCTGTTTATATTTTACATTTAAAATTGGTTTCTCATAGGCAACATATAATTGATTCTTGAAATTTGTGTCTATTGTATAATCTCTGCTTTCAATTGGGGTGTTTAGATTATTTACTTTCAGTCTTATTATTGATATGTTTGGATTTAAATATACCATACAGTTATATAATTTGTACTTGTCTTCACCTTTCTCTGTTTATCTTTCTCTTTCTTCCTCCTTCAGCTTGAGTATTTTATGACTCTTTTTTATCTCTTTGTTGGATATTTAGTTAAAATTATTTTGCTAATATTAACAGTTGACTTAGAATTTATCATTTATATCTTTCATGTTTCATAATCTATTTTCAAGTTATGTTATAGCACTTATATAATATAAGAACCTTAAAAATAACATACTTTTACTTTTCCGCTTCTGATACAGGAAAATGTATGTGGCTGACATACATTTTCATCCTTTGATTTTCTGCTTTATAGTTAATTTAAATTTAGAAAATATCAAATTCTTTCTATTTTCCTTTTTCTCTCTTCTCATTTGAATTCTTCAGTCACAAATATATGAGGCCACTTGAAACTTTCCCAGAACTCACTAATATTCTCCTCATTTTATTTCAATCTTTTTCTCTGTTTTTGTTTTTTTTTCTGTTTTTGCAGTTTCCCTTGCGATATATATTTTCAAATTTATTAATGCACAAATATTCTATCTATTCTTTAGCAATATCTGATTTGCTATTAATCCTACTCAGTGTATTTTCAGACATTGCAGCTTTTTTGGTAATTGTTCTATTTGGATTTTTAAATATTTAACAAGTATCTAGCTTCTTAAATATATGGAATGAAGTTAGGGTAAAAGAAAAAACTTTATACAAATTAAATTTAGCAGAGTTTATTTGAACAAAAAACAATTCATGATTGGACAACACTCAGAACTAGAAACATTGAGAGAGAGCTGCCCCGCAGTGTGAACAAAGAACTTTTCAAAGGTCAAAAACAGAAGCAAAGTAGAAAAGTCATCAAATTGGCCAAACCTAGTCATCTGTCTTATTTGGGCATAGTGTGATGAGTTGGCTGTCTGACATTTGCTGAAACCTGACTACTTCTGATAGGCTGGAACTCAGCTGTTTGTTATACTCCTAAATTAGTTTTTGGTTTATTTAAGTGCTAAATTTGATTGCAGATTGTTATGTAGAAACCCTAACTAAAGTTATAGCCTCTGGCTAAGGGCCTTCTGCTTAATGAATTTAACAGAATTTAATTAAATTTAAATTTAATTTACAATTAATAATACATTATTAAATTTATTAATTAAATCATATTAATTATATTGTATTGTATTAAATTTAATAATAAATTAAACAGAATTTAATGAATTTAATAAAAACATAATAATTGTTTTAAGGTTTTTGTCTACTACTTCTATAATCCCTGTTATTTCTGGGTTGATTTCATTTGGCTAATTTTTCTCATAATTATGGACTTGTTTTTTTGTATACCTGCTAATGTTTAATGTGATGCTAGATATTTTGAATTATAGCTTGGTTGGCACTAGGTATTTCTGTATTCTCCAGAATATTATTGAGCTTAATTCTTAGACCTAGTTCAGACCCTTTTGAGTCTTTTCTTTAAAATCTGTTATTAGGGTACAGAGTTTTTACTCTAGCGCAAATTTTCACCAATACTGAGTATTTCAAAATACTTCTTAGCCTCTACCCAGTGTCCCATAAATTATGAAGATTTTCACTCTGGCTGATGGCAAAAGTAACTATTCTTTGTCTGTTGAGGTGTGGGTATTGTTCTGTCTACTACTATTGATGATGTCAGATATGTTGCTTTTAAAAAATGAATGCATATTTATGTTAACTAATAACCATATTTTGCTGGTTTTAGGGTTTCACTTGTGTATACCACTCTTCTCTGATTTCTTACATTAAAATAAATTATTGGTTTAAATATAGAAAATTTATATATCTAAAGATTATATAAATAGTAAATAAATACCATTCATTTCCAAAAAGTTGTTCCATACTTAAGAAAATATTGTCTAGTTAGTTAAAATTGAGTGTAAGAGAAGGAATTTGAAATCTTTGTCTGATATATACATGTTATATCAATGGAAGATCCAAGATCAAAATAAAAATAACCTGATTTATCCTTCATCATTTTGTCTAAAAATTAGACTAACTTCTTAGATCATGTATCTTGAGTGTTTTCCCAATACCAAGAAAAGGCAATCATAACAAAAAACTAAACTATATAGCACTCTGCTCTTTTGTGTGGGTGGATGATTTTAATCCTAAATAAAATGAAGAGTGAAGGCATTGAGATGATCAAAGACAGGTAATTCAAGCCTGCTTTTCAGAAACCTGAATCTTGAGAGTTAAGAGCAAAAAAATAATTCCACAAGCTAATTTCTTTGTATCTTTTGTCTTTGTGCCTATTCAATTTCTCCTTTTGCATGTGTTTACATTTACATTTATTTATTTGTTCTCATTTTGTAATTTTCCATCGTGCTTTAAATTTGTTTTGTCCTTTTCTAATTGTTTCTTTCTCTGTGTGTCCTTTTCTTAATTTGCCATTCTCTTTATCTGGTCTTTGCAAATACTCATCTTAAATCTGTATAATTGCATTGATTTCATCATAAAAATCAATAAATATTTATCCAAAATAAGGTACTGCCTTAAACATTAGCTTCAAAAATTAAGTAGATTGAACTATTTTAGTGATAAAATGGAACCAACTGTAGTAACCACATTTACTTTTATCTCTTTTTGTCTAAGCTAATGAATCTTCTGCTGAAATCCAACTTTAATTATTGGTTTTCCAAGAATCCAAGAAATTATCATTTTAAATTAGGTAGCAAAGAAATCTTTATTTAAAACAAGCAAGTCAGAGAAAGTAGATCTAATATTTTTTCCCAAATTAGTTTAGCTAGTCCATTTCTACAGCACGGCTGTTTTCTCCATCATAGTTAATTGATCTAGGAAGAGAGACAGTAATGGTAAACTTTTAAGCAATATCCTTTTGGAGAAATTACCTTAAAATAGATATGATTTCAAAAATAAATTAAGGTCTTTTTCTTCTTTTAGGAGAATTCATACCAGTTTGACACCATTTTAAAGTGTCATTAAGCTG
Organism: Homo sapiens; assembly: GCF_000001405.40. Classification (NCBI taxonomy): domain Eukaryota; kingdom Metazoa; phylum Chordata; class Mammalia; order Primates; family Hominidae; genus Homo; species Homo sapiens. The sequence continues at coordinate 64,553,136 of NC_000004.12, forward strand.
CATCTTCACACAGTGACAAGGGATGTAACTATTTAGCAACAATATCTCAGAAAATATGCTTAAAAATATTCAGTGAAGTTTTGTTTATAAAATGAATAAAATGTTTGAATAAATGAGCCAAAAACAACATAGAAAATAATCAAGGCTCACTATTGTCTCATTATTTATATTTGCTATCTTGACCCTATATGCTACCCAAAAATATATTTTAGTATCCTAGGTATTACTTATTGGCCTGCATTTAAATTATTCCTGTGGTAATTGAATTATATATACATAATATATATGTTATAATTATATATGAAAATTTATAAAATTTATATAAATATAAATTTTTATATTTACATAAATTAAATGTTATATAAATTAAAAGTTTATATAATTATATACAGTGTGTGTGTGTGTGTGTATATATATATATATATTTTTTTTTTTTTTGAAACAGAATTTCGCTCTGACCCTAGGCTGGAGTGCAGTAGCATGATCTTGGCTCACTGCAACCTTCCCCTCCCAGGTTCAAGCGATTCTCCTGCCTCAGCCTCCCAAGTAGCTGAAACTACAGGTGCGCGCCACCATGCCCAGCTGATTTTTGTATTTTTGGTAGAGATGGGGTTTCGTCATTTTGGCCAGGATGGTCTAGATTTTCTGACCTCATGATCCGCCTGCCTCGGCCTCCCAAAGTGCTGGGATTACAGGCGTGAACCATCACGACCGGCCATGAATTATATTTATTTTTATGATTTCTTCAAAGTATTAAATAGAGAGGTGGAATAAATAATGATTGTTCAAGAGTGGTCATATTTCAATCAATATAGGTAAATTCCATATGCCATTTACGTCCCTACTACAAGGCCAGGCAATTACTCCATTTTTGCTCCCAGATTACACTGGCAAATCTCAAGGACACCACATGATGTACAGCAAATACTCCTTAAAACTTGACAGTGGACTTTTGTTCTTTTCCTTTGTTTTCTTCCTAACTTGAACATTCCTTGCATTGATCAGTTTAGCTTCAGGAAATACTTGGCTCAATAGTATAAATTTCCTTTGTTTGAATTTGAAAAACTACATAATGATTCTTTACCTTGTGGTTAAACTCTAATCCCATAGAAGGATGTCCTCAGACAATCGTCCCATACAGCACACCTTGGGTATAAAGTATCATAATCCTGCACTATTCCAGGTGAAAGACATGGTAAGCATCTATCCTTTTTATCCCCATAATCCTCCCCGTGCTTGTAAACCATAAATTAAGAATGCAAGATTTGCTGTCACACTGCTTGTGTTCGAATCACAGTTCAACCAGCTGTTTGCTATATGACCTTGAACAAGTTACAGAAAGTCAACTTTTCTGTGGCTCAGTTTTCTTATCTCAAAAATGTGGATGTTAACATTGCTTATTACAAAGAATTGTTGTAAAATTAAATTAGTTAATGCATGAACAACAACTTAGAATAGTGTATATTGCACAATAAAGTCCATATGAGCTTTTGCTATTATTATTATTCCTGTGGTAGGGTTTCTAGTTTATTCTAGTGTATGAACATCATTATATATTATATAGATTAAACACATTATACACCTCTATAATTTAGCTATATGAAAACAAGGAGACACCATTCATTTCTTCCATAGAGATTCACTACAAATTATACTAGGGACATGTACTAAAACAATGTGGCATAAATAAAATTGGACAAGGTAAAATCATGTACAATAAGCTTATCTCCAGGTGAACCCTAGATTTTACTTTGTCCTTTGGAGGTACCATACAATAAGTTACCAACATAAGCAAATATTTCCCTGGTCACTTTAAATTTAAAAGAAGGATATTGTCAACAAAAATTTTGGCACAGGCTTAACACATACTATGTGCTGAACAAATATCAGGTTTCTTTCTTTTTTTTTCTTTTACCCTGGGAATATATAAATGAAAATCATAGGTACACATTTTCCATTTGACCTGGCTCATCATCGGCATTATTGACACTAGGCATTGTCTGCTTATTCCCCAAAATAAAAACTACAGATTAAAGGAGGATGGACAAATGAGATTTGTACATAGAAAGCAATGCAATGGAAAGTAGAGTAAAATATAAGGGAGGAAGTTTGAGGCAAAAGAAAGAACCAGGGGTCATATCGGCCTTCAAGAGTGCAATTGCTGTGATACTGCACATTGAATGATGGAGGTCAGAACTAGTGTGGTGGCAATGACAATACTAAGGGAGAATGTTCATCATATTCATGATAGTTCTGAAGTTCAGACTAGGAAGATTTGGGGAACTGAAAAATAAAATTGGTGATTTGTAATTATGTTGAGTTTTTAATGATGCTTTGATAACCAAACATAATCATCGTGAAGGCAGTTGGCCTGGAACTGAAGTTAAAATATAAAAGGAGGACCATAATACTCATCATTTCCTACAGAAATATGGCAAAAAAGAAGAGTCCAGAAAGAATAAGACTTAGAATTAGTGTATTGTTCAAATTATAGAATCTATTGAAGGTTGTCCTAGGAATGAAAGCATGATTAGCAATATCAGAAGAAAAATAGAGAAAAGGTATGAATTAGCCTTGCACAGAGAACATGTTAGAAAGCTTTGGTATGTGAAATAAATTCACTTTATTTTGGAAGATATTTCTCATCATAGGTATATGTAGTATAAAGGACAATATACATCATCTGTAATTGGCATTTTAAAGGAAGGCAGGAGAGATATATTTACTAATTTGGGAACTAAAAGTAAATTCAGACTTAAAATGCAACATAATTTATAAATAACTAACTTACTCTTGGAAAGAAACATAATATCCTTATAATTTCCAGTCTTAGTTAAAGTGTTGAGTGCTGGAAGTAACTATTTAGTCAGTTCCCTGACATTATTAATTTATTACATAATCTCTGAAAGTTCCTAAATTCTAAGTGCTAACATATATATAGGCATCACATGCAAGACTAAGTAAACACTGGAATAAAAAGAACAAAAAAAGCAGCAAGAGTGAAGTGGACAGAGAAAAAAAATGCATATACCTGTGGCCCAATATCAGCCAAAGTTATTACCAATGTTCTGTGGCAGCATCTAAATTGTCTATCCTCACCTTGTGGCAAAACATGTATTCTACTTTTGAGACAGAGTTTTGCTCTTGTTGCCCAGGTTGGAGTGCAATGACACAATCTTGGCTCACTGCAACTCTGCCTCCCAGGTTTAAGCGATTCTCCTGCCTCAGCCTCCCCAGTAGCTGGGATTACAGGCATGTGCCACCACACCTGGCTAATTTTATATTTTTAGTAGAGACAGGGTTTCTCCATGTTGGTCAGGCTGGTCTCAAACTCCCAACCTCAGGTGATCCGCCTGACTCGGCCTCCCAAAGTGCTGGGATTACAGGCGTGAGCCACTGTACTTGGCCTTAACACTAGCTAGCAAAAACAGATCATGGAAATTTCGTTTTATCTTTCACTACATTGTTTTTTATCAGTTTCTAATTTTAATGGATATAAGTTGTACATGTCATCACCCACAGTTATTCTTAGTAGCAATTAAGGGAATACAATTGTCCTACATTATATTAATAATTTAGTGAAGTTTCAAAAGAGAACCGAAATAAAAACACTGAGTCAATTGATATTATTTCACTGGGCAATTGAATCAAACTACAAAATTGTATCATACTACTAATTTTATGTGGCAATTCTTACAAAATCATGTTAGTATTAGCATTCAAGTGAGTGCATTATTTTCAAAGCAGTTCGAATTATAGAAAGATATTTTATTTTTATAACAAATAATTTGGATTAACATTATTTTAGAAACAATCATTTTAGGTCTTTGATGTGAAAAGGGAGAAACCAAATCAAGAATTTAACAGGTAAGACCAGCCTACATCAATACCTAGTATGTCATTGTTTTAGAAATTGAAATCAATTTGTAAGGCATAAATATGTGGCTATGTATACTTGGAAATACTCTTCAGTTATTAGCAATAAATTATATTAAGTCAATATAATAAGGGAACATGAACAAGGTTAGCAACATATTAGGAGAAAAAAACAATAATGAGGGAGAAACTATGGAATATTCATATTCTTGCATCCAAAGTAAATGAAGTTAATCAAGAATATACCTGGTGTTCGATAAATAGCAGAGCCTGGCTAATTCTAAACCATGAATTCAATGTTCTCAGTTTCTCTGGTTAATAACTCACCTCAGATGTGAAAACACATTGGAAAAAGTCCCACTTGAATACCTAAAAGTCTCTTCTCTGGGAACATTTCTAGGGGTTTTGTAGCTATAATGTTAAAGAAGAATTACATTGGAATTTTGAAGAAGTGTGAGTGGAAGATAAAAAATGAGATTACATGATTTTGTTTACCACTTTCTATCTCATTCATAATTTTCTAACCACACGAATGCCCTTCCTTCCATGTCAGACCTCTATGCTTTTAGGTCTTTCTATTAGGATGCTCTTCCTCAGAGATTTTTGTGACTTTATAGCTGTTAATCCAATATGTCTGAAGCACCTATGAAAAGTCTCCCTTGATAACTCCATCTAAATAAACACAAAATCACTTTCCAATCCCTTATCCTGATTTATCTTTCTTCATAGATCACATCACTATCTTATTCTGTGTATCTAGTTATCTATCTACCTATATCTATCATCTATTTGTGCCTATTCCACTAGAATTGATGCTCCATGAGAAGAGAGATTTTGTCTAGTTCATTCATTCCTGTACTTGTAAACTTAGCTCCCATATGCATATAGATTCATGATGGGGCATTTTGAAGATGATAATAAACAAATAGTATTAATATACTATTTATAATTATTTGATATTAATTATGTATACTGGTATACTAATAACATCCAACTCAAATAATTTTCAAATAAGAAGTTTTAAAAATAAAGATGGCTGGATGCAGTGGCTCACATCTGAAATCTCAGCAGTTCGGGAGGCTGAGGTAGGGGGATCACTTGAGCCCAGGAGTTCAAGACCAGCCTAGGCAACATAGTGAGACTCTGACTCTACCAAAAAAAAAAAAAAAAAAAAAATTGCCTGGTGGGGTGGTGCACACTTGTAGTCCAAGATACTCGAGAGGCTGAGGTGGGAGGCTGAAGTTGGAGGCTGAGGTGGGAGAATTGCTTGAGCCCAGGAGATCAAGGATGCAGTGAGCTGTGATCATACCACTGCACTTAAGCCTGGGTGACAGAATGATATCCTGTCTCGAAAAAAAAAAAAAAAAAGAAAATTAATAAACAAACAGGATAAAAGAAAAAATATTTACTATTTATTCTTAATTAGCATAAAGGCCTATAACAATTGTAGATATTATTAAACATGTTTTGTATTCAGAGTAAGAGAAGAGTACTATGTGTAGATCACATATTATCTCAGAGGAAGTCATTTCATTTGGAAGTTCTTCATTTTTATTATCCATATGGGTAGAGAGTCTAGGTGAACAATGCCATTCTCCAGCTAGCCTCATTCCATAAAGTTAATTTCACATAAGCAATTTAAAGAGTACAATCTAAAGAGATTTGATTAAAACATTTTTAGGTAAGAACTTCCTAGGTCATCTTCTTGTTAACCATAATCTAAAGGAATTCTGCTAAAGCTATCTTTACCAGAATTTAGCAGTATCCTTCCTCCCTCCCTGTAAATATTAAGTTCAGTCCCTCACTACATTAGTGGTTTCATCAAGTGCAAAATAATGTGTTATCATTCACTCTCTCTCTGCATGGATTCAGCAAACCAATGTTTGTCATTTCATCAAACAAGTTAACCAATTGTACTGATCTGAATAAAGTACTTTCATCAGCATTCCAATTCTCCTCTGAGCTAGCAACTGGATATTGATGGCATGTATATCTTTGACACACTTTGATTTCCACAGGAACTGCCTTAAATGAGTATTCTACAGGATAATTTTTTTTTTTAATTTTAAAACTCATTTGCCTAAACACATCACAATGTCATTGACTTCTGGTTAATGGTGGTCGATATCCAAATATGTTTCTTATGCAGTAGCCTAATTGCTAAGCACATTTAAGACTTTTATCTCTGTCTATTTTGTAGATTTATCCTCATTTTTTCCACTAGAATTTCATTATCTGCAAGTTTGTCACCATTCATAACTTTGAATTTAGGAACACCTATCAGTTAACAAAGTAGCATGTTTTTGTTTGGCTGGGTTGAATTCAGACCACCCAGTGAAAGCAGCAGGCTGACCATCCAAGGGCTGTATCACTGACCACAAGACAGTGAGGCACCTGGATAATCAATTGCTCCAGAAATTTCCCCTGTCAAATACTCTTGAATATGTCATTTCCAATTTATCAATAAACTCTCCTGAGCTAGTTCATCACAACTCAGTTATTTATTTACTGTTTTTTGCATTACCCAGAATTATCTGATGCTCTTCCTCAGGGAAAGCAATCTTTTCTCTTCCCACACTAAGTCATATTTGAGCAATTTACTTTCACTAAGAATATAACGACCAGCCCCATTGGGCAGCTTTAACTCTAAGGCCTCAGCAGTCTCCGCTGAAGACCATTATTTGATTTCCTTAGCTCTAAGGCTTGTGTTCTAGACTGAAATTCTTTTGAAATCATTTGTGCGAACAGATTGTAAGGCTGAGTGACTCAGCCTAAGCCACAGACTTCTGAAAATCTGTGATGGTGTCTGTACTGGACTGTATTTAAATCAGATTTTTTTCGGAGGACTTTTGAATATGGCCCAATAGTATTCTAAATAGGAATAGAGTTCATCAGATCCTGTACAATCTTACCAGGCTCTGAACATCCCCAGTGGCAAGGTCAGTATAATACTTTATTTCTCACAATTCAGGGAATGATTAAGAAAAAAAAAGTTTAAAAACTACTTATGGGGAAGGTGATATACAGAAAGTTTGAGAAACAATGGTCTATAATTTTTATTTTTGTATATAGGTATCCATTTTTTTTCTGTACCACTTATTGGAAAGGCTACTCTTTCTGCATTACTCAAACTTGGCACCTTTTTCAAATAGTTCCAATTATGTGCATATATATGTGTGTGTATGTATGTATCTATGAATATATATTGATCTATTACTGGACTCTCTTCTGTCCCGTTAATCTATATTTTCATACTTGCACCAATACTAGGCAGTAATTTGAAAGCAGGAGGTTTAAGTCTTCCAACTTTTTTCTTCTTCAAAATAAGTTATCTATTCTAGGTTCTTTGAATTTTCATATAAATATTAGAATGTTTGACATTAAAAAAAAACCTGGTGAGATATTGGTTAGAAAACTCATCAATCCTTGGTACCTTGTAGAATATTGCTTTTACAGGTAAGCCAAGATAAGACAATATTCAGAAGGCAATAACTGACAGGCTGACTAGTTACCATGATTAGGATTAAATGATGAAAAAAAGATTTGTATAATCTGAAAGAAAGGCAGTATTAAGGGAAAATAGAAAAGACTGGTTCTCCTGTTTCCTTCAATATTTCATTTCCTGAAGAATAAAGTCTAGAAAAGAGTCAGGCCTGCCTTCTTCACAAATTTACCAGTGTATAAATCATACTCTTTTCCAGAAAAGTAACGAATAAAGGCACATAAAGGGTGAGAAAATGTGACTTTAGGGAAAAATTCTTCCTTTGGAAAACAGAAGGTAGAAAAAAAATTTATATCACTCCATAATTCAGAAGTTTCCTGAATAATATTGCCTCATGGCAATATTATTATTTGTCCAAAAATAGTTATAATCTCAGCTAACCCAGGGAAACATCTTGGCTCTTTTCTGTTATTTCACGTTACTTTCAATTTTGCTTCACTTCATACTGACATTACATAAATAAGGGATGGTCAGAAATCTTTTTTCTTTTATATTAATATTGACTAAATTCATATATATAGATAATTTTCTGTAAAATCACAAAGATATTCTTCCAAATTATATAATATTGTATTTCATTTTCCTCAAAATAAGTATAGTTTGATTGTTACATAAAATTTAGTTATGGATATGGAGAAGAACTAGGAAAGAACAATTTTTAAATTAAAATTATCTTGTCAGAATGATGGGAATACAGCTAGATTTTTTTAACGTTTTATATTGCTGCAAGTTGCTTGTGTAAATATTTTCACAAAAGCAGATTCTCAAACTTTTAGAATTCATTTAAGATGAAAATGACAGGCAAAACATGGTTTATTCACTATAGGCTTAAAAATTATTTCAACACTGCTACGTTGAAAAGGTACGACTTGTGCTTCATAGGATAGACGGTGCACTGAGGAACAGTTAAAATGATCTGATAAGGTGAGCAAAATACTTTTTCGGAGAATAATGATAAATTTTCAACAAAAGCAAAACTTGTGAAGGTTACCAGACATTTTATATGTCATGAAAAGTAATTTGTGACAGAACAGCCAAATGGGACAGTGAAAATTGCAAGTTTTCCTCTATATATCGGAAGCTTAACAATGAAGAGAACTATACAGTAGGGAAATAATGGATCAGAACATATAATTTATAGGAGCGCAGGTAAGTTTATCAAAAATATTTAGTGATGAATTATAGATACACGAAATTTATCATTCTTACCTAAGTAAACAGCCAAATATATTTAAAACACAGTATAAATACCAACAAGCCTTGTTATTTAATACTGCATAAAACATTTATACTATGGAGTGATAAAATGAGTCTTTTTTTTTTTTTTTTGAGACGGAGTCTCGCTCTGTCGCCCAGCCTGGAGTGCAGTGGTGCAATCTCGGCTCACTGCAAGCTCCGCCTCCCGGGTTCACGCCATTCTCCTGCCTCAGCCTCCTGAGCAGCTGGGACTACAGGCGCCCACCGCCACGCCCAGCTAATTTTTTGTATTTTTAGTAGAGACGGGGTCTCACTGTAGCCAGGATGGTCTCGATCTCCTGACCTCGTGATCCTTCCACCTCAGCCTCCCAAAGTGCTAGGATTACACGTGTGAGCCACCGCGCCTGACTTAAAATGAGTCTTTATGAAACGATGTAGGTAAAAGGTTAAATTAAACTCAGGGAACAAACTTATGGCCTGTTCTTTTACATATGCTCTGAGGACAATGTACATATTTAGTCTTTTATAACTCAAAGAAGCACCATATTCTCAAAAAATTATTTGACTTGCTAGTGTTTCAATGGTCAGTGAAATAAAAGGTGATGGAGGAATCCAACAGCACTAAAATTTCCTAAATAAGTGAGATTCATAGTTATATTGAATGAGCAAGTTTTGTTGAACTTTCTTGTTTAGGGTTTTTAAACAAATTATTAGCTGCAGCCAGATACAATGCATGGTTTTATCTTTAACAGTAATTAGTTTTGTCACTATTTTTTGTGATCTTAATTTGTAAACTTTTCTCTGGGTTATGGTTTCATCAACAAAATATAAGAGCTAAAATTATATGTTACAAAGTTACATTATCAAAAATGATTAGGGGTGAATTATAGACATGTGAAATTAATCATATATTGTTAGCTAAGTTGCTGGGAACAGGCCCCCAAATCTGGCCATAAACAGGCCCCAAAACTGGTCATAAACAAAATCTCTGCAGCACTGTGACATGTTCATGATGGCTATGATGCCCAGGCTGAAGGCTGTGGGTTAACCGGAATGAGGGCAAGGAACACCTGGCCCACCCAGGGTGGAAAACCACTTAAGGCATTCCTGAACCACAAACAATAGCAAACTGTGCCTTAAGGACATGTTCCTGCTGCAGGAAACTAACCGGAACCCATCCCTTTGTTTCCCGTTTTAATCTATAATCTATAGAAACAATGCTTATCACTGGCTTGCTGTCAATAAATATATGGGTAAAACTCAGTTCATGGCTCTCAGCTTTGAAGGCTGTCAGCCCCCCAATTTCCCACTCCGCACTCTATATTTCTGTGTGTGTATCTTTACTTCCTCTAGCACCACTGGGTTAGGGTCTCCATGACTGAGCTGGTCCTGGCAAGTGGTGCCCATACTTGGGGCTCGAACCCAGGTTGAAGGGTCACCAGCGCCATGGTTGGAGAACGTGGAACTACACTGGAGGACACCCCAGTACTCTTAAGCAATCCATGTGGTGAGTAAGAAGGGGAGCTCAGAAGCATCAGGGTAACAATGAGACAAGTGTGGGCTGTGGTTCGTTCCACCATGGAACCTTTTCACACTGATGAACAGGAGGAAGGAGAGTATAACAAAGTAACAGAAGAGGTGACAGAGCAGGTTTGTTTGCCAGCTAAAGCTAAAGTGGCAAAGGAGGGAGAGGTTTGTCCCTACACTTTTGCACCCCCTCATTATTTTGAAGTAAAAGAGTGGGCTGACCCTCCAGATCTTCCTTTTCTGGGGGACCCTGGGCAAAAAGTAGTTGTCCCAGGGACTGTTCAAGCAGCGCCTCCAGCAACCACTCTCAGTTCTATTCAGGCAGGAATTCAGCTAGCTAGACAAGAGGGTGATATAGAGGCTTGGCAGTTTCCTGTTAGGATACACCCCTAGATCAACAGGGAAACATTATAGCTACGTTTGAGCCTTTTACTTTTAAATTACTCAAATAATTTAAACAAGCTATTAATCAGTATGGACCAGTTTCTCTTTTTGTAATGGGACTGTTAAAGAATGTTGCTGTTTCCAGTCGGATAATTCCTACTGACTGGGATGCTCTTACTCGAACTTGCCTGACTCCTGCTCAGTTCTTACAATTTAAAACTTGGTGGGCAAATGAAGCTTCCATTGAGGCTGCTCACAACGCCCAGGTCCAATCTCAAATTAACATAACTGCAGACCAACCTTTGGGGGTTGGCAGCTGGACTGGTTTAGATGCACAAGTGGTCATCCAGGATGATGCCATAGAGAAGCTTAGAGGAGTGTACATTAGAGCTTGGGAAAAAATCACTTCAGGAGGAGAACAATACCCTTCCTTTAGTGCTGTAAAGCAGGGACCAAAAGAACCGCACACAGATTTTATAGCTCAGTTACAAGAATCTCTTAAAAAGGTGATTGCAGATTCGGCTGCTCAAGATGTAGCATTGCAGTTATTAGCTTTCGACAATGCTAATCCTGAGTGCCAGGCTGCTCTGCAGCCTATTAGAGGGAAAGCACATTTAGTTGACTATATTAAAGCCTGTGATGGTATCAAAGGTAATCTGCATAAAGCTACTTTGTTGGCACAAGCCATGGCAGGACTAAGGGTGGATAAAGGAATTACTTTGTTTCCTGGAGCTTGTTTTAACTGTGGGAAGCATGGTCATACTAAAAAAGAATGCAGAAAAAAATCAGTGAGTCAGGCCGCCAGTTGTGGGAAAAAAGGAAACTGCTGAACCTGGAATATGTCCAAAATTCAAAAAGGGAAAACATTGGATTAATCGATGTCACTCTAAGTTTGCTAAAGATGGGAACCTGATTTTGGGAAATGCCATGAGGGGCTCGTCCCGGGCCCCATTCCAAACTGGGACATTTATGGCTCAGGCCATTCCTTCACCCCTGTACAATGCCTGTCCCCCACCACAGCCAGTGGTGCTGCAGTAGATTTATGCTGCACAAAAGCTGTGAGCCTTCTGCCTGGGGAACCCCTGCAAAAAGTACCAACAGGAGTCTGTGGACCCTTACCAGTGGGGACAGTAGGATTACTTCTAGGTAAATCTAGTTTAAATTTAAAAGGAGTGCAAGTACATACAGGACTCATTGATTCAGATTACAATGGGGAAATTCAAATTGTTATATCTACTTCTGTTCCCTGGAAAGCAGAGCCAGAAGAGTGTATAGAACAGCTCCTGATTGTGCCATATGTAGAAATGGGGAAAAGTGAAACTAAATGAACAGGAGGATCTGGAAGCACAAATAAACAAGGCAAAGCAGCTTATTGGGTAAATCAGATTACTGATAAATGTCCTACGTGTGAAATAACTATTCAGGGAAAGAAATTTAAAGATTTGGTAGATAGAGAATCGAACGTTTCAGTCATTTCTCTACAGCACTGGCCGTCCACGTGGCCAATTCAAGCCGCTCAATTTAACATAGTTGGAGTAGGTAAAGCCCCTGAAGTATATCAAAGTAGTTACATATCATATTGTGAAGGGCCTGATGGACAACCTGGGACTATTCAACCATTTATAACGTCTGTACCTATAAATTATGGGGAAGAGATTTATTACAACAATGGGGAGCACAAGTTCTGATTCCAGAACAATTATATAGCCCTCAATGTCAGCATATGAAGCATGAAATGGGGTATGTCCCTGGTATGGGACTAGGAAAAAATTTGCAAGGTTTGAAGAAACCGCTTCAAGTGGAAAGACAAAGTTCCCACCAAGGTTTAGGGTATCATTTAGGATATCATTTGATGGTGGCCATTGTTAAGCCTCCAGAACATATACCTTTAAAATGGTTAACAGATAAGCCAATTGGATAGAACAGTGGCCACTAAGTAAAGAGAAACTGGAGGCTTTAGAGGACTTAGTTACTGAGCAATTTGAAAAAGGACACATAGCTCCAACATTTTCCCCTTGGAATTTTCCAGTTTTCTTAAGAAAAAATCAGGTAAATGGAGAATGTTAACTGATTAAGGGCCATTAATTCAGTTATACAACCTATGATGACATTACAGCCAGGATTGCCTTCTCCTGCTATGATTCTGAAAAAATGGCCTTTAATAGTCATAGGTTTAAAAGACTGTTTTTTTTTACTATCCCCTTAGCTGAGCAAGACTGTGAATGATTTGCATTTATAATTCCTGTAGTAAACAACGTGCAGCCTGCTAAACATTTTCATTAGAAAGTGTTGCCACAAGGCATGTTAAACAGTCCAACAATGTGCCAGACTTATGTAGGGCAAGCAATTGAACCTACTTGTAAAAAATTTTCACAGTGTTACATTATTCATTATATGGATGATACATTTTGTGCTGCCCACACTCGAAAAATATTACTCCAATGTTACGATCACTTGCAAAATTTAATTTCTCGTGCTGGTTTAATTATAGCTTCTGACAAAATTCAGACTACTACTACTCCTTATTCCTACTTAGGGACCTGAGTAAATGACACTACAATAGTGCCACAGAAAGTAACCATACCTAAAGATCAATTGAAAACATTAAATGACTTTCAAAACTTACTAGGGGACATTAATTGGATACAACCTGCTCTAGGCATTTCTACTTATGCCATCAGTAATCTGTTTTCTATCCTTAGAGGAGATCCTAGTCTCACTAGCCCTTGGCAATTAACAAAGGAGGCTGAGGCAGAGTTACAACTAATTGAGAAACAAGTGCATAAGACTCAAATAAATAGAATAGATCCAGAGGATACTCTAGATTTGCTAATTTTTTAAACTCAGCATTCACCTATTCATGTTGTTGTTCAAGAGCAAGATCTTGTAGAGTGTCTTTTTCTTCCACATACTAATTCACGGACTTTGACTCCTTATTTGGATCAAATCACTACTATGCTATGAAATGGGAGAATTCAGATTGTTAAATTACATGGATATGATCCTGGAAAAATTATTGTCCCCCTTAAAAGGGCACAAATACAACAGGCTTTTATAAATAGTCTTTCTTGGCAAAACCATTTAGCTGACTTTGTGGGTATTCTCAATAACCATTTTCCAAAAACAAAACTGTTTCAATTTTTGAAATTAACTAATTGGATTCTCCCTAAAATAACTAAATTTAAACCAATTTAAGGTACTGAAAATGTCTTCACAGATGGGGCTAGTAATGGTAAAGCTTCTTGTTCTGGCTCGAAAGATAAAGTTTTCCAGACACCCTATACTTCAGCTCAAAAAGTGGAGCTTGTAGCTGTAATTGAGGTATTGACTGCTTTTGATATGCCTATTAATGTGATTTCTGATTCTTCACATGTGGTTCATTCCACACAATTAATTGAAAATGATCAGCTACGATTCCATGCAGATGAGCAACTGATGACTTTATTTACCCAATTGCAAACAGCAGTTAGGAGTGGAATGCACCCTTTTTACATCACTCATATTAGGGCTCATGCACCTCTTCCAGGACCTTTGACTGCAGGGAATCAAATGGCTGATCACCTAGTTGCTACTGCAATATCTAATGCTAGACACTTTCACAATTTAACCCATGTTAATGCCTCTGGTCTCAAACGCAGATACAGCATTACCTGGAAAGAAGCTAAAGCTATTATCCAGCAATGCCCAACTTGCCAAATGGTGCATTCCTCATCTTTTACAGGAGGAGTTAATCCTGGAGGATTGGAACCTAATTCTCTTTGGCAAATGGATGTCACACATGTTCCCTTGTTTGGGAGACTAGTTTATGTACATGGATGTTTGGACCCCTTTTCTCATTTTGTCTGGGCTACATGTCCATCAGGAGAGTCTTCTTCATGTGTTAAATGTCACCTTTTGCAGGGTTTTGCGGTGATGGGCATTCCAGCTTCTATTAAAACTGACAATGCCCCAGGCTATACTAGCCAAGCTCTAGCTACATTTTTCTCTATATGGAATATTAAACACATTATTGATATCCCATATAATTCTCAAGGACAAGCCATAGTAGAAAGAATGAACCTCTCCCTGAAACAGCAGTTGCAAAAGCAAAAGGGGGGAAACAGCGATTATGGGACTCCACATATGCAATTGAATCTAGCATTATTGACTTTAAATTTTTTTTAGTCTGCCTAAAGGCCAGAGGCTATCAGCAGCTGAACAGCATCTACAGAAACCAGCTGCAAAGACAGAAGCAGAACAACTGGTTTGGTGGAGAGATCTGATAACGAAAAGTTGGGAAATAGGTAAAATAATAACTTGGGGTACAGGTTATGCTTGTGCTTCTCCAGGACCGAATCAACTGCCAATTCTTGTGCCTTCAAGACACCTGAAACCTTATCATGAGCCAGATGCCAAAGAAGAGATTCTGGGAGGAACCTGAGGACCCCCGGTTGCAGCCATATCGAGACTGATGCTGAAGAGGATCTTAAACTGTCACAAGCAACACGTGTCCAACACAGCCACCTACCTGGGGACAGATCAAGAAGCTGTCACAGATGGCAGAAGAAAACCTGAGGAAAGTGGGACAACCAGTCACAATGAGTAATTTAATGATAGCTATGATAGCAGTGATCACCATTGCCATGAGTATTCCTTCAGCAAGGGCTGACACAGAGAACAATTATACTTATTGGGCATATTTACCTTTTCCACCACTTCTACAGCCTGTAACTTGGCTAGACCCCTCCAAAGGAGGTATACAGTAATGATAGCTCTTGGATGCTTGGTCCTACAGATGATAGAGGCCCATCTCACCCACATGAGGAAGGAACTGTTATGAATATTTCTTTAGGATTTGAACATCTGCCTATCTGTTTGGGAAAGGCAACTAGTTGCCTACCCCCTCACTAGCAATCTTGGCTGGCAATAATGCCTGGATGTAATCACTCTATGACACAGTTACACATGCTTTCTGGTCTCAGTATTTACTATAATAAATCTACTCCTATAATTGAGGCATACTGCCCTCAACAACCTATTTATAAACAGAATTGGACCTGGCCAGAAAAATGAACATACTTACTTGGGAAGGTTGCATTGCAAAACAGGCAGAGGTGCTGTGCAATGATTCCTATGGAATCATTATTGATTGGTCCTCTAAGGGGATGTTTAGTTTGAATTGCACCTCTCAGTCTGCATGCCACGACCACACTGTGTTCAGCTGGTCTGAACAAAATGGTCAGATGGTAGAAATGGTAAGAAATACAGCAAGAGTTCCTATTATCTGGAAACATGGTGATATAGTGACACTTCGACCTCAAATGATATGGCCCACTCTAGGAGCTAAACATCAGGATTTTTGGAAATTATTAATGGCTCTTAATAAGATTAAAATTTGGGAAAGAATAAAAAAACATCTAGAAGGACACTCTACAAACTTATCTTTGGATATTGCAAAATTAATAATGAAAGAACAAATATTTAAAGTATCCCAGACACACCTGACCTTAGTGCTAGGAACTGGAGTGCTTGAAGGAGCTGCAGATGGATTAGCAGCTATTAACTCATTAAAATCAATAAAAACACTTGGAGGCTCCGCGGTTTCAATGATGATTGTGCTTTTAATCTGTGTTGTTTGTCTTGTATATTCTGCAGAATGCAGATTCCGACTCCTACGAGAAGTAGCTCATTGTGATAAAACTGCCTTTCCTTTTATTGTCTTCTAAAAACAAATCTGGCCATAAACAGGCCCCAAAACTGGCCATAAACAAAATCTCTGCAGCACTGTGACATGCTCATGATGGCTATGATGCCCATGCTGAAGGTTGTGGGTTTACTGGAATGAGGGCAAGGAACACCTGGCCCACCCAGGGCGGAAAACTGCTTAAGGTGTTCCTGAACCACAAACAATAGCAATCTGTGCCTTAAGGACATTTTCCTGCAGCAGATAACTAGCCAGAGCCCATCCCTTTTTTTCCCCGTTTTAATCTATAATCTGTAGAAGCAATGCTTATCACTGGCTTGCCGTCAATAAATATGTGTGTAAAACTCAGCTCGTGGCTCTCAGCTCTGAAGGCTGTCAGCCCCCTGATTCCCACTCTGCGCTCTATATTTCTGTGTGTGTGTCTTTAATTCCTCTGGCACTGCTGGGTTGGTGTCTCCACCACAGAGCTGGTCTTGGCACTATGTAAATAAACAGACAAAGACATTTAAAACACAATATGGATACTGTGTTTGTCAGTATCTTTGTAGGATAATAATAATAATGATTACTTAATAATAGAAATCAGCATAGAAATAAGTCATGGGTCCAGTTTTCTACTTATTAAATGTATAGTCCTGGAAAAGTAATCATTATTGTTATCTCTGTATGCCTTTTCTTAATTAGAAAATAATTTGATGAAGACAAAAGCCATTTAGAATTATTTATAAATTCTAAGGCACTAATGTCAAGTCAGGAAATAAAGACAAAGTGGCCAAGACCACACAATAAAGAAGGAAATACAAAAATATGAAAGCAAAATAAATGGAACAAAAGAGAAATGTTTTTATGTCTTCACATTTAGATATCTTAAAATATTCAAAATCAGATGACCATTTGATTATTCCCTTTAATCATATATACTTTCATTATGTATTTATAGTTTCATTAATTTAATATGCATTCTTACAAATCATCATGTGCTATAAACTGAGATATGCACCAGAGTAGCAAAACTGTACATGAGTCATCATACATGCTTTGGAATATATAGTAGTATAGTAAGAGAAGAAGACCTGTACATGTCAGGATTATTATATAGGTGTGAAGATAATGGATTTTTACACAATAAAGCAATGACTTAGGTGTCTAGAGGATTTGAAAGAAATATTCACAGAAGAAAAAAATTTGAGTTGGGTATTAAATGGTGATATTTCACGTAATATTGCTGTGTAAAAATCTACCTCAAAACTTAATGCTTCAAAACAATGAAGAATTGTCAACAACAAACAGCAATCAACAAGTATTCATATCTGAAATCTGCAATTTTGGCAGTACTCAGCAGGAAAGTTTCATTTCACCTGCATGTGGCATTAGTTGGGGCAGCTTCACTAAGTACTGAAAGAATTATCCTGAAAATGGCTCACTCACATGGCTTGAAAGCTGGTGCCTGCTGTTGGTTAGATGCTAACTGTGAAGTACAATCAGGAGTCTGGGTATCTCATGAGATCACCTCTTCAGGTGAAATTTTCTATATTTTCATGGGTTCCTGACAACATGGTGGCTGGGTTTTAAGAGTGAATATCTAAAGACAGCTGGGGGGATGGCCTTGTATGAGCTGACAATAGAAATTACATGATACCACTTTAGATGTAGTCACAGAGCTGCATAGATGCAACTGGAAAGTATATAAGCCATAGAGGAGGAGTATAACAACTCATTTTAAAATAACATGTAAAATAGGAATGTTGGTCTATGTCAATCCTAGAAAATACAGTCTGCCACAAATTATCTGGTTTCTGTTTTTGATTTCTTCAGATAAAAGATAAGTAAGAAATTTCAAGTGAATAGATCATCACAGACAAAGGCGTAGAATAAAGATATTTGTAAGAAACTGGATTTATCAACAAATACTTGCAAAAATTATCAATGTTCCCATTCATTCTTGATAAAATCACATAAAGGAAAATAGAAAACATCACAAATTAAATCTCTATTTTGTGATAACCTTATCCCCTTTAGCAGCAAATATATATTTAATAAAATCTAATTTTTGGCAATAAGGAGAAAATGTCATATTGATAAACATCTCAAAGGTAAAATTGGAAAAAATAAAAGAACAGTATTTTGTAATGAACTATAGAGTAATCTGATGCCAGCAAGGATTTATGATAGAATGGAACACAATATGGTTAACAAAGTGGGATATTTTAAAGTTTTAAGACAGTAATTGGACTTAGAAAGGAAGCAGAAGTGATGCTGACTTTCTTAAATGCAGATAGAAAGATCATGTGTCTCTAGAATACACTGTGTTATTTGTAGCTGCACACATTCCCCAGATAACTAATATGTGTGGGAGATATTTTGATGTTATCATTAAGCATCTTTATCCAAGCTAAGATTGGAAACCATATAAATAACGGTATTAGAAGTCAATCAATTAATGGTAATTTTAAGACATTTTCTTTCGTTACTTAGAACATGGTAAAACGCTTGGAAAAAAATAAAATGTTAACTAAGTGTTTTGCATTCATTTTGCTCTGGAACTTATTTTTATCTCCCCTATTAACTTCTCTGTCTCTTTATTTTTAATTTAAAAAAATTCAAAGTATCAGGAATGATTGAAATATCAGCTTAAACTTTATTTTTATTTGACAGCCATTTTATATGACAGATCTGTCAAGGAAGAGTTATTTATTTATTTATTTATTTTACATGTGGCATGAATTTTAACAGCACTACTCCCTCTACAGTAACACACCCACACAAACACACACATAATCATGCAGCACATAGACATTTTTTCAGTGGAGGGACTTTGGTTTGGGTCCTCAAAAAAACAGATACAAAGATCTGACTGGGTGATTTGATAAGCAAGAGACTTATTGGAGAAAAGGACTGTGAGCAATAAATGGTGAAGAGGAGTAGATAATGTGAGGATAGCCTTTACACTTTAATGCAGATTTGACATCTATAACAGAAGAAGATGAAAGAATGAGAAATGGGTAGAAAGAGTCTCAGACACAATTCTAAAAATTTCAAACAGGTGAATGCAGATACCCAGAGCCAAAGTTACAAATTATAGGAGTTTCCTGCCCCATTAGAATGAGTCCACCCTACTGCTGTTGTTTCTTCAGCTATTCACTGAAAATAGCCCAGGAAATACACAGGCTTGTCATGAAAGCAGTTGTGGATCTGGAGGATTTGTGTGGCATCTGGAGCTGCTGGTTTATTATGCTCCACAACAGGGGATTGGAGTAATGCACATTCATGAGTGCCACAGGAAGATAGAATAAATAGGTAGATGATAAAAAGTGAGACTAGAAAGAAAATCCTCTCAAAATAACATTATAATTCTGATATAGTTGGGATATTTGTCCCTGCCCAAGTCTCATGTTGAATGGTAATCCTTAATGTTGGAGGCGGGTCCTAGTGGGAGGCGTTTGGATCACGGAAATGGATCCCTGATGAATGGCTTGGGACATCTCCCTTGGTGATAAGTGAACTCTCACTCTGAGTTCACACAAGATCTGGTTGTTTAAAAGTGTGTGGCGCTCCTTACCCCAACTCCCTCTCTCTTGCTCCTGCTTTTGCCATGTGATGTGCCTGCTCCCGCTCCACCTCCTGCCATGATTGTAAGCTTCCTGAGTCCTCCTCAAAAGCCAACACTGCTATGCTTCCTGCACAGCCTGCAGAATCATGGGCCAATTCAATCTCTTTTCTTATAAATTACCTCTTCTCAAGTATTTATTTATAGCAATGCAAGAATAGCCTAATACAAATTGTAGATCAAAATATTGGTTTCCTAGCTCAAATTTGGAGCCAGCTACCAGATATCATTCTTTTGAACCATATTTTTGTATAGCAAGCACAACTGAAAATAAAGAATCAAATCATAGAAAATAAAGAAGCAGAAGGTATTACATTTTAGTAATTCACAATAGCTGATTTGTAGGAACATTAGTAAACTCCAAACAAATTTCTGGCAGTGAATGAACACAAAGGATATCTTCCATGTTAAAGGTGACATAGGGATTAATGTTATGAGTTCAATTAGAGAAGTTTAGAGTCATCAGGTGCATAGTAGATCAGTAGTTGGGAAACCTGTACCCTTCATGAATGGCAATATGGTATAGATCCGGGAAACACTGGAGGAAGTTTGAGTAGATTTTGCCCAGCTGGCCAGAGAAGGACAAACATAATAGATTTCTTCTGGGTTCCATGGACTATACCAGAGAAGGGAGCTTTGAATTAAGGAGATTTTGTTAAGAATAGCAAGCTTCTTCCCAGCCAGAGTAGTTTAGAGAGCATCCTAAGTACTGTAACAATGGATAAGGCATAGCAGGTCTCAGGTTTGAGACCATTTAAAAATCTGTCTCTTTAAGAGATTTTTAATTTTGCCCTGGTGTATATACATGTGGGTTTGTTTTCACTAATTCTAGTCAGTATCAGTGGAACTTTTTAATCTCAAGACATATCTTTTTCAGCTATGAAAATTTTCAGCTTTGGAAATTTAAATTGTTATCTTCATCTTTTCTACAAATCTCATTGTAGTGCAATTTTCGTGATGAGTATTTTATAGAATCTCTGAGCTTGTATGTTTTCATATGTTTCATTGAAGTATAATTTATATACAGTGAAAATCAAGTGCACAGTATGATAGAATTTGGCAATTGTATACATTTTGTACAACCCATGTCCTCATCATGTGGAAATTTCACTTACCTCCAAAAGAATTCCTGTCTCTACAAACTTAACCACTTTTGATTTTTCCACCATAAATCAGTTCCTTTTCTGAATATTTGATATAAATTGAATAAAACAGTATGTATTCTTTCCTATCTGGCTTCTGTTACCTTATGTTTTTGGTATTATTGTAAGGAGTGTCAGCAGTTCTTTTTTCTTCTTTTTTTTTTACTACTGAGTACTATTGTTGAATGCTTTTCACTTTTTGTGGATACATAACATTAAAAAATATTCATTTATTGGGCATGGCATTTTTTTTCCAGTTTTGAACTGCAATGAACATTTCTGTATTCTTTTCGACCTTTCTCCCTGCCCCCTTTTTAATGTGTGATTTTATTAATCTTGGGTAGATACAAAAGGATGAATCATAGGGTAAGTATGGTTATCTTTATGAGAAGCTAGTAAATAAATTTCAAAAGTGATCAAATAAACTTATTCTCCCACCAGTAATGTATGAAATTTTAGTTGCTAAACATTCCTGGCAGCATCTAGTGTTGTCAGTCTTATGAATTTTTAGTAACTCATAATTGTGAATTTTTTTTCACAATTTCTCCATTACTAATGACCATGAGCAATTCTTCTTGCACTGAATGACAGTTCTTGTATTTTAATATGTAATTTTAAGGACTTTTGCTCATTTATTTTCAATCAATTGGTGTGCTTATGTTCAAAGCCTCTAATAAATGTCTATACGAGAAGGGAACAAGTTATAAAATGAAACATAATTTCTTTATAACAATTCAAAAAGCCTAAAATGCTTACAATTTTTTTTTAAAAAGACATACAAGACTTCTATACTTAAAGACTACAGAACTTTGATGAAAGAAAATCTAAATTAATAAAGAGTTGTAGCATATTTAAGGATTGGAAAACTCAACATTGTTAAATGCTAATTCTCTACAAATTAATTGCAGATTTTGAAAAACTCCTACCAAATTTTCACTAGGGCTTACTTTAATGGATTAAATGATTTTAAGAGAGAAGAAAATGCAAAGGAAAATGTCCAAAGTAATATTGAAGAAAAGATAAAATATGAAGATGTATAATATCTGATTTCAAATTGTAATGTAAAGTTATAGTAATCAGGTAATGTGGGGTTCTTTTGGTGACTATGTCAATGGAACAGGATAAAAAGTTTAGAAACAATTTTTTCCCCATTAAACCCCTAGCATCAAGAAGTATTTATTTAAACTAAAATTTGCAATACTTTTCTCAATAATATTGTATTTAAGTATGTGCTTCCACTTAAGTTTTCCTTTCAAGTCAATGTTTTTATTCTGACTGAATCCCAATAGATTGCAAAATTATAACATCTTTTTTTATGTTTCACTTTAGAATATGAAAAATAAGACAAAAATAAGCACAGGATAATAAGCTTTAACTCAAATTTAAGTATAATTTGATTTATTGTTATTATAGTCAAAATAATTAAAGGTTAGTACTATAATAACTTCATTTCTTCATTTTACACATTAGACATACTCCCCAGTTTGAAATCCTGAATACTTAGTGCATATAATTTAGGTGATGAGATACTCAGAATGTATTAGTAGTGTTTCTGTTCAAATTTATTTGGACATTTATTTCACTCATTCTTTACCAAGCAATTAATTATAATAACAATATTAGCTAATATTGAGAGAGCTTGTAATGCAGTAGATGCTATAATGATTATTTTAGTGTATCTTTCACTTATTTAATTATAGCAAAAATACAATCATAGAGGAATTAATATTACCTAAGTTTTATAAATAAATAAATAAATGTTTGAAACTTAAACAACTTGACAAGTCCAAACTGAATAAGTAGTTGCACTTACACTAATATTTAGAAATATTTGGCACAAACCTGTTATTTTTAACCATTGGATATTGAGGATATTTGACACCCTTAATATCACTTTGTCATTTTTAAATCCTCCATAAGTTAATAGACCAATATTTTAAATAGAGTGTAAACAGAATAATTTCCTTATGATGTCATACAAATTAAGTGACTGGATGGATAATATTGTATCAAAATATTTAAAATGTAATTAAGCATTTTATTTATTCTTCAATAATTTTCTCGAACGTTGGAAACATCAAAATCACATTACTAAGCACTATTGGGAATTCAAAGATAAGTCATTCACAAGATAAACAATCACAAATTTAGAAATAACAATGATGCCAGGTTTGGACATAGCTCACACAACTTGTATCTTCTATTATGATCATAACATATTTATCAGTTATAATATTATTAGGGAAAAACATAAAATTCTGTCAATAAGTGATACTCACTTTGAGTGTTAAAAAAGTATTGAAGAGTCATTTAACAGATTTATAAAGATTTTATGAAGAAATCTTATTGTGCATCTCTCAGAGAACTTTTACATATTTTTACTGTGCTGATGGATGGATGCAGGTCTGGGCAATCGAGGATGAGAGGCTGAGTTGACCCAAGGCAACAGATCAAATAGTGCAAATCCCAAGGTCAGAAATAGAAGCTGTGTTGGAAAAATGAACCTGAATTTATCTTAAAAGTTCCACTCAAGAAGTCTCTTGCTAGAGAGGATGGAGACTGCAATACAGAGAGCTCACAGGATCAATCCCCGGAAAACCAAATGATGAATTAGGTGGGCCCAGCAAGGAAGAATGCACTAATCCACAAGAGAATGTGATAGTTTTTTTTTTTTTCAATAAGACAACTGGCAAGCCTAGAGATAATGTGAACCTCCCTTAGCACATAACAAATGTTATGTGTTAATGTGCAAATGATATGCTTAGGACATATCAAATAAGAAATTTCTGTCTCCACATTTTCTTTATCTTTTTTTTTTTTTTGATCCAGGCTTGGGAAGTTATTAATTGCAAAATGGAGGAAGATGAGCCAAATGTCTGACAACCTCAAAAGAGCCAGCCTTAATCTAGGAAAAGAAAATTTTGTTCCAAATAATGTTTAGAGTATTAATTGCTATATTGAACTGGGCCCTGTAAACAGCTGATACTCTGTAATTCAAGTGATGTTGGAACCATTACTTAGGCATATACTACAATGACAGTGACATGTGTAAAAAATCCTTCAATAAATATTTAAGAGAAAGTGGGAGACAAAAACAGATTGTGTTTGGAAATATCCCACGTTATATGTGGAGTATAGCCTTACCTACGTTTAATAGCCCTTCAGTTAAAGTATAATCATTGATTTAGGGCAAATTATAAACTCACCAAAGGTAAAGAACTTCTTTCGTTTGTTACTCATCTCTCAAAACATAGATCTTAAATGTAGGGAAACCAACATAACAATATTTCTATATGATTAAAATTGAGTCATTTTAACTTCTAGATTTTTGTAAATAACAGTTTTATGTAAAAAAAAGAGCCTGATTATTAAAACTAAGAGATGCACTTAAAAGGTTTTGAAAAACATAAACAAATTAGCAGCTCTGATTTGAGAAATGTTTTATTTTCTTTTAAAATAATGAATAATTTAATAATTTTATATAAATGTTGATCTCCAGCAACACTATTTTACTGTTTTAATTCTTTTCAAATATTTCTTCCAATAAATTTCACATCTCTTTCACATTCTTTTCTATTCTCATCCATTTTTATTCTCACTTGAATTCTCTTGACTTGCAGTATTTTTTTTTCAGGTACAATAGGTAATAGGTCTTGAGAGTTGGCTTTTACATGTGACTTGTATTTTGCAATTTGATTCGATTTTCTTCTTGGAAATGTGATGGAATGTCTAGCTGTAGAGGATTATATTAAAGCTGTAGATAATGTACTGAAAGACAAAGTTTAAAGGAAGAAGGGGTTTCTAAGCTTGTGTACAATTATGTGTCTCCCCCTTTGAAATAAAAAATATATTGTTTGCTCCCTGTCAATAAAAATCAAAGTTTAAAGAACTGGAGTTTAGGAGGACATACAAATGGGAGAGGGTAGTCTAGAAGGAGAGAATGGCATGAAAAAAGAAACTAGGTACAAAATAAACCTTGGCAGTGACAACAATGGAGAAGGGATGTTGACTATACCATAAAGATTTTTGTCTAACATGTTAAGTCACTTACATGCTATTCTCCTTACACATTTCTATATGATCTGAGATGTTAAGCAAGCATAAAGGGTCTTAGAAGGCTATGTTGACTTTGTAGATAATGACCAAGAATGTTTTGAGGCTAAAGGTTAAAATAAATGGTAAAGTACTCTAATGATAGTCTCTCTGAGAAATGATGGGATCCTAAACTAAGGCTGTAAAAATAAAATGTATGACAAAATGGATCAAAGGCAGAGAAGAATGGAAAAATATTACAATAGTGTCATATAATAAAGTGATAGAAAGGCAGAACATAAGTTAGAGATATGTGTTGTATTCCCTAAAACAAATAATAGAATAACTAAATAATTAGTTATAGGAAATAGCCAAAAAGAGAGATAAAATATAATCACACAATTAATTCAAAAGAAGGCTAGAAAAAATGGAAAAAAGAAAGAGTAAATGTGGAAAATATAAAAATAAAGAAGAAAATAATAGGTTTAAACTAAATGTGTACATTTTCCATTGCTGTATAATATATTACCATAAATGCAGTGGCTTAAGCCAACCGTGATTTATTATCTCTCAGCTTCTTAAGGTCGGAATTTCTGGCAGATTGCTGGGGGGTAACCTGCTCAGGGTTTCACAGTGCTGAAATTGTGCTATTGTCCAAAATCTGTGTTCTAACCTAGAGACTGGGTTTCCATTGTAAACTTCATGTTTGTTGGTGGGATTCATCATCACTTTCAATTCCTAGAGATCTTTGTCAATGTTACTCCCTCCCTCTTCAAAGCCATCAATAGAGAAGAATATCCCTCATGTTCAAGTTTTTTTTTTTTTTTTCCAGGATAACCCAGTTCATTTTAAGGGCACAAGTGATTAGATCACAATTATCCAGGAAAATCTTCCTTTCTTTAAGTAAACTGTGTGATAAAACATAACATGATAATCGTATTAACAAGTACTGTCACACTCAAGAAGACACTGTACGAGACATTAAATAGATGTAGGAATCTTGAAGCCTGTCTTAGAATTCTGCCTACCACACTAAACATATCAATTGTATAATTACATGTAAATGATATAAACACTCAAGTTTAAACTTGGTGAAAGGAGGCCATCTTAATTTGAAACGTAATGCCAAAAGTACTATGGGCAGAGGCGTTGTCAAAAACAATAGCAATTTCAGTGAGAAATAACTAGAGAAGGCCAACATCACTGCTAGTCTTACATCTTAATATTGGTTGGGACAAGCTATACACTAGATTAACTAGAAATTTAGAAAGGAGATGTAAAGACTGAGACAACGAAAGTGGAGACAATTGGTTAGGAATTTTCTGCATATATCATGAAAGCTTTTGTTCCACACTATCCATCCAAGAATATTTGTGTGTCAAACTGCCTCAAGAATAAAGTCCTAGCCTCTGGTGCAGAGGGCAGGTTTTGCAGTTCAGGAAAATAAAGACAGTATCTGTCAGGCCTCTGAGCCCAAGCCTGCTTGTATACATCCAGATGGCCTGAAGCAACTGAAGAATCACAAAAGAAGTGAAAATGGCTGGTTCCTGCCTTAACTGATATTACCTTGTGAAATTCCTTCTCCTGGCTCAGAAGCTCCCCCACTGAGCACCTTGTGACCCCCGCCCCTGCCCGCTGGAGAACAACCCCCTTTGACTGTAATTTTCCACTACCTACCCAAATCCTATAAAACAGCTCCACCCCATCTCTCTTCGCTGACTCCTTTTTTGGACTCAGCCCGCCTGCACCCAGGTGATTAAAAAGCTTTGTTGCTCACACAAAGCCTATTTGGTGGTCTCTTCACACGGATGCGGGTAACAGTATCTCCCTCTGAGAAGAGATCGAGAAGGTTTGATATCAACTTCTTACCAGAGTAGGGAGTTCCTAAGCATGGATGGGGTACATTAGCTGTGACCCATGCCTGCTGAATGCCCGCTGAATGTTATCCCATTTGAATCTGGTTCTACCTTGTTTCCGTCAGTCTTAGGGGACAATGGGATATGATGCAAACATAAACCACGTGATGTCTGTAATGCCATGATGTCTATTATAATTTTTTGTCACTGACCAAGTGGTCTTGCATTATTGCTATGATACATGTCTAGAGTACTATGGCAAGCTAACTGGTGAGCTGGCAATTAGGATAAAATATCAGATGTATCATAGTTTTTGACATAAAATGGACATTGATGAGGAATAAATTCAAGAGATCTATTGCAGGCCGGGGCAGTGGCTCACGCCTGTAATCCAAGCACTTTGGGAGGCTGAAGCAGGTGACTCACCTGAGGTCAGGAGTTTAAAACCAGCCTGGCCAACGTGGTGAAACCCTGTCTCCACTAAAAATACAAAAAAAAAAAAAAAAATTAGCACGGTGTTGTGGCAAGCGACTTTAGTCCCAGCTACTCAGGCGGCTGAGGCAGGAGAATAGTTGGAACCCGGGAGGCAGAGGCTGCAGTGAGAGGAGATCGTGCCACTGCACTCCAGCCTGGGCAACAGAGCGAGCCTCCATCTCAAAAAAAAAAAAAATCTATTGTATAACACAGTGACTATAGCTAATAACAGTGTATTGTATATATGATTTTGCAGTGAATGTTCTCACGGCAAAAAAAAAAATGGATAATTTATGTGAGGTAATGCCTATGTTAACTAGCTTGATTTAGCCATTCCACAATGTATACATACTTTAAATCATCATATTGTACACAGTAAATGTATATAATTTTTGTCAATTACAAATAATAAATTAGATTAAAAAATTTAAAAATTAAGAATACATCATACGCCTACATAGAAGAACTAAAATTATAAAACTAAAAGAATCTATGCATAGAATATTTTTGATCTTGAGGAAGACAAACATTTCTTAGATACAGCATGAATGCATGAATAATAAGATAAAAATTGATGACTGCATGTCATGAAAATTAAAACCTTTTGTGCTTCAAAAGACACCATTAAGAAAATAAAAAACAAGCCAGACTTTTCTCATTGTTAGTTCTAGAGTAGCCGCAACATGATAAACAGAATGTTTCTTTTTTAAATTTTTTTATTTGAGACAGTATCTTGCTCTGTTGCCTAGGCTGGAGTGCAGTGGCACAATCCTGGCTCACTGCAACCTCTGCCCGCCGGGTTAAAGAGATTCTCCTGCTTCAGCCTCCTGAGTAGCTGTGATTACAGGCACGTGCCACCACGCCTGGATAATTTTTTATCTTTAATAGAGACGGGGTTTCACCATGTTGGCCTGGCTGGTCTTGAACTCTTGACCTCAGGTGATCTGCCTGCTTCGGCCTCCCAAAGTGCTGGGTTACAGACGTGAGCCACCATGCCCGGCCTAGAACATTTCTTTTAAATGCAACTTTGAATATGTACCTTGTTCAAATCTCTTCAATGCAATCCCATATTTTTCAGAATAAAATCTGAAGTCCTTACAATTATTTACGGGGCCCTTTCTGAGCTGTCCCCTTATGGCACTGACCTGTCTTATTTCTCACAATTTTATTAGTACTCTCTGTATTCCAGGCTGACTCAGCAATTTGGGATACATGCCAGGGACATGCCTGGTACATATTTTAGGGCCTTTGCATTGCTTTTCCCTCTGCCTGGAATGGTTTGTCTCCTCCCTCAGCCCTCACATCCACATGGGTCATTCTTGTAGCTCTTTCTTTCCTTTTCTCAAATGTTTTCATCTCAAAGTCTCCCCTGACCACGTTACTTGAATTAATACTCACCCCTGTCTACTTTTTCCTTACATCTTCTTTTGTTTTATTTTCCTTTATAGAAAGTTTCATGTTCTAATATACCATATTATATACACATTGATTTTATGTGTTGTATATTTCCCAAGTAGATTCAAATTTCCACAAAGACACATACTTTTGTCTGTTTTTTTCCATGCTATATCTGAATTCTAAACAATGTTGGGCTTATATTAGGTACACAATATGATGTGTTCAAAGAATTGAATTTTTTCCTCACTCATTTCTTTTACCAACATAGAAGTAGTACATTATTTTTTTTTTCCTTAAGTCTAACATAGCTATATTCATGTGTAGGTAATTTATGATTAAACATTATTTTTATCACCCTCCTTTAAGAACCACTTTTCTTGTCACCCACTCTTGAATAGTATAAAGTTGACTTCAGTATTTTACTTTCAATACAATTTCAATCTGAAAAACCAGAATATTAACATTCTTTTATATAATCAATGTTTCCTTAGTTTTACACATATATTGCCACATCGTTGCTCATATCTTATTGTTCCTGAAGCATTCATTTACTTTTTTTTTGCTGAAGAATTTTTCTGATATTTTTAATTTTTATAGTGCAGAGAATTCCCATATACCCTTCACTGATTTTCATCTAGTTTTATCATCTTACATAATATCTTAGTTGGTTCTGGCTGCTGTAGAAAAATACCATAGACTGCATAGCTTATGAAAAACAGAAATTTAATTCTCACAGAAAATAATAAGTCTGGGGCGTCTAGGATGAAGGTGCCAGCAGATTTGGTGTCTGGTGATGGCTTGTGTTCTGGTTCAGAACTAAAGCCTTCTCACTGTTTTCCCACATGGGGGAAGGGGTGGCTGTTAAGAAGGAGGAAGGGGGCGGGGTGGCTCTTAGGCCTTTTGTATAACGGCCCTAATTCCTTTCATGGGGGCTCTGCCCCATGACCTAATCACCTCTCAAAGGCCCCACCTGCTTTGGGGTGGGGATTTCAACACAGGGATTTTGGAGGGACATAGACATTCAGATTATAGCACATATTGTGACATATTTTTCAAAACTAAAAAGAAAATTATGTTGGCATATAACTAAGAACTAAACTATAGACGTTATACAGCTCTCCTCAGTTTTTCCATTAGTATTATTTTTCTGTTTCAGTATCTAGTCCACATTTTTGCATTTAGTCTTCATGACACCTTAGTCACTTCTGAATTGTGACAGTTTCTGTCTGCTCTTGTTTTGGCAATTTTGTCTTTGGCAACTCTGTCTGTTCTGGCAATTTTGTAAGATTACTAGCCCAATATTTTGTAGAATATCCCTCAATTTGGGATTTTCTGATATGCTTCCTGAAGATAAGACTGGGGCTATGAGTTTACGGGAAGAATATCAACAAGGCAAATTACCTTTTTTATTATATCATATTAGGGGTACACACACACACACACATACATATATATGTATATAAAATGCTTTCTTGACACAATTTTGAGGCCCTGGCTAGAGGCCTAACACTTCCCCTACTTGAGCAGCTGAGTAAGTACATGCCCCAAACGCTTCCCTCACTGAACTCTCACACTCCAGGATACTGTGCACCTACCCTCATCACCCCAGGGCCAGTTCTCTGCCAACTACAAACAGTTCCTATACCTCAGAGCCTGAGATATTCTTTAAAACAGCCAATCCACATGAAATAGTCACGATTTGGCTAACCCCATCCCTCTTGCCATATATAAGCTGCCCCTACAGTTTTAGTCAGCTGTTACCTGTACTTGGGCGCAACCCTATGTGTTTCTTTGTGTGGCAGACTTTTCTCATTTACAGCCATAGGGAACAAAAAGTTATGTTATTTTCCTTACCCTGCTTGTCATGATATTGTGTCCTACTGTCAGAAGAATTTTTTAATCTTATAAAACAAGGGGACAAATGATATCAATATGCTTTATGATAAATGATGTTAACCTTGTTTGCTTGGTTAATGTAGAGTCTGATATGTTTCTCTGCTATAAAGTTACTTTTTTTCCTTTCTATTCTTTATTCTCTGGAAAGAAATCGCTAAGTTCAACTGACAGGAGAGGGGAGTGGAGGCAAGTTAGTTTCACCTGCTGGAGGGGAGTATCTGTGTATACTATTAGGACATTTTCTATAAAAATAATTTCTCCCCTCATTTATTTATTTATTCTATCATTTATTTATACTAGTGTATTCTCCTAGATATTTATTTTAAATGTGGTTTATAATCTAATACTGCATTCTTTATTTTGCTGCTCAAATAGTTCCAGGTTTGAAAATTGGAAACTGAGGATTCTGGCTCCAGGCCAAAATTGTATGCTTGAACCTTCAGACCCAATCATTGGCAATTACAAGATTTTGCCTGGCAGTTGCTACGGGGGAAGCTGCCCTTTCCACACCATGCTGGGTGCATAGTAAGGGTGTTCTTATCTTTCAGAAGAAGTTGCAGTCAAGGACTCAGGACTCTCAAAGCTCATAAGTTGAAGAAATACAAATCTGGTATGGGGAGGGCAGCTTGCCCCATGAGGCCTGCCAGACAAAGCTTTTTTATCAGCTGTTGTAGGATCAGACTTCCTGCTGGTCAGCCTAGAAGGGGTCTGCGTGACTGCCAACTCCTCGGGAACCTAAGTCGCCTTACAGAGACTTAGGAAGTTTGGTCCTCTGTCTTTCTAAAAAAATTGAAATAATTATGTATTACTGTTCACCCTTGGGGAAGGCAGATTAATTTTTTGTCTAAATTTGTATAGTAATAACTCCCCTAGCTTCATATCATGGGAAGAAAGAGGTATTTCATAATTCTTATCTTTGGGGAACCATAGGCATTCTCTTGTCACCTGGCCCCAGAAAATAAGAATGTGAAAGTTTAGGACTTTCAGAGCTTATAATGAATCTTCAGAGTGAAAGAAAACTTTGTACTTACCTATTAAATTCTTCTTTTTAATTTTTGGCTATAGTAAAATCCTTCCTATAACATCAGCTCTACAATGTATTTAAAATGTTTGTATTGTATGTAGCATTTAAATTGTTTTATCTGATAGGCTCATTTAGAATAACTAGACACAAGTTCTTATAATATAGTAAAACATTTTGGGCGTAGACCTGTTCTTGTTTACTGACTTTAAATTTTCATCAATTTAATCAATAACAACATGAGGGGGCCTTTACAACAATTATGAAATACAATGGAAAATATATCAATCATATTAAATTAAAATTATTTTATTCTTTAATCTTCAGGAAAAAAAGTGATTTCGTGCATCCATTTTTCTCTGTTAAGTACTTTTTTTCCCCCCTCCGAGGCCAGGCCCATCTGTGATGTTATGGTGTTTCAATACTGCCCTCTCGTGGACATAAGTAGAATTTTTTAATTTTCTTTTTCTGACCAACCTTGTTGAAAAAGTAATTTCTAGTTAAAAATTTGAGTTTTTTTTTCTGTTGAATCGGTTTGAATTATATGAAATATAAAACACTTATTCTTTATAATTAATTTCATACCTTAAATAGTATATATATTCAAATACGCATTTACCTCATTGAATAAATTAATTTCTATAAATGTAAGAAAAGATTGTCTGAGAGTTTTAATTTAGCTCCTCACTTTTCTGTTGTACCTTCTCCCTCAGGCTTATCCTTAGTCTACATATGTGTCATTCCAATTGCCAAAAACTTCATGATGTAAATTACTTCTGTATGATCTTTTGAGAATATTATTACCAATCGATAATTTAAAGTAATTATCTCCATGAATCAACAGCGATTCACCTATGTCTCATATTTTCAGAACTTTACTAATTGATAAGAGGATAAGAATTCAAACATTATTTAATGTATTAAATATGTGCTGCTTCACAAGAGGGCCATTTCCATTCTAACAATTAGGACTTAGTGGGTGAAAAAAAAAAATCAATCCTCAGAGTTTGAAAATTTAAATAGAATGTAATATGACTTAAATATAGAAATTAAATGTGCATGTATGAGGTAGACTGTCATTAAAAAATAATGTATAGGACATATAGAAATAGAGAACGAGCAGTAAAAATATGTCTTGCTACTTTCTGGTTGAATGACCTTGGGTAAATTACGACTGAACTTCTATTGTCATTTATGATAACATTGACAACATTAATCTTACAGAATCATTATAAGGATTGAATGGCATAATACATACCGGCCACATAATTCAGTGTCTGATATAATTTATTTTCTTTGCAAAAATTGATATTGTTCCCCAAATAAAAATAAAAACATGAGGCATTTTAACAATAGAGGCACTTTTCATTAGAACCATTAAGTTAGGCAAACAAATGATAACAACAATAATGACAACAAAAAAGCTCCACACAATCCACAGGTGTATGATTCAAAAGCACAGAGAATTTATTTAAATAATGAAAATATTCCACTTTGTTAGTATCTCCAAAGAGACTAAAAAACCAACTTAAAAAGTATAAAACATATGTGAGTGAAATATTTTTCTTTCTGGTTTCTGCATAGTCACATTTCACTAACAGGCTTATTTATACAAAGTTATCATAATATTTATACTGTTAATAATATAAATAACTATACCTGGTTTAAGTATTATAGTAATTTTGATTCTATTTTGTACCTATTTATTAATATTATCAACATATAACCACATTGCTATTGGAATAAAATGTTTTCTTGCTGACAGTCTAATCTTTACTGATATTTAGTTTCATGGACTCTGTAGTATTTTGTCTCATTAAATAGTTTTGCAACTACACTTTTGGCTGGCAAAGTATAACTAATATACATGCTTCAAAATCTTTCAAATCCAAACTAATAATTTTTAAGAGATTGAATAATTTAGTCTAATACATGAAATAATAATGTATATGTACATTGTTCAAATGGTATAAATATCACCCTCAAAAATATGTTTAAGAGAATGACTTTTGTATGTGTGCTATAGAGATACAGTGGAATTTACATGAAAAAAATATCTTAAAGGCAACCCATAGGAAGTATTAAACTCATAGTAACTGTTGTTAAATATTTAAAATGCATTTTAAAATAATTAAATAATTTTAAAACAATATTACCTAAAATTTAGAATGTAACAATTATTTAAAATCTCATGTGAGATTTTATTTTATATATATAATATATATCATATAAATATATATATTATATATTTATATGATATATATTATATATATTATATATAAAATATATATATTTTATATATAATATTTATATAATATATATATATAATTGCTCAGGTTCCATCATGTTCAGTGTAATTAGAAATTTCAGCTGTTATTTCCCAGGTTGTTTCTTTGATCACTTGTTTTCTTGTTCACACATTTATTGAACATTCTGACAATGCTGTTTGTTTCTTGCTCTCTACTAACAGATTTACACATTAGAAGGTTTACACAATAGAATGTTTGACTATAGTAGATGGTATAATGCATGGAGACCAACAATGAAAACCAGGTAAAAAGACCTGCTATGAGACTGTTAGCATAATCCTGTGATCATTGTTTTCCCAGGAAGAAAGAAAATGAAGATATTTGAAAGCAGTTTATTAAAATAATTGGTAAAAGTAAGAAAAAATGTGAAATTTCTGTTTTGAGCAACTGGATATTTAAAAATAGAAACATAGAAAAAGAAAATTTTTGAGGAAGCAAAAGAGTTTAGTTTCGTCATGTCAAACAGTTTACAACAGAGAGTGTAACTAGTGTATTCTCAGGGAGTAGTAGCTGAGGAAAGAAGAAAGGTTTCCAAAAGGAGGAGTCACAGTTAAAATAATTTATCAAGGTTTTGCTTGCATCCCTCTGGATAATGCCTCATTTGGCCAAAGGTAGTTATGGAAGTAAACCAGTGTTAATACACGGGGCACTACTCAAGGTATGAATACCAGGAGGTCTGGAACATTGGAAGCCGCTGACATGTCAGCCTACCACAAAAAGCATGAAAGAAAATACAGATCCCTGCTATAGAATTTATTGTTGAAAGCTTCTGAGGCTGTAGTTGTCATTTAGAATTCCCTTCTTTCCAAATTGATTCTATTTCCTTACCTCACAGGCAGAAATCAACTATTGTTGTTTTCCCTCCTTGTCAGAGAGACCTCAAATTTTATTATAGATGTCTCTGATTCATTCATGGTCATGTTTATTTTTGATTACTGTAATTTTCCCTTAACTTGTGATATTGGAAATGAAATTAATGAATGGGGGCTTAGAAAATCCATTGAAATTCAGAAATAGACACTTCTCAAAATAAGACCTGCAAGTGTCCAACATTTATTTCATGTCATCAAACATGAAAAAAATGTTCAACACCACTAATCATCAGAAAAAGGCAAATCAAAATCACAATGAGCCACCATCTTACACCAGTCTGTCGGCTTCTTTCATAAAGTCAAAAAGTAAGAGGCTGCAGAGAAAAGGGAATGCTTATACACTGTTGGTGGGGTATAAATTAGTGCAGTCACTGTGAAAAGCAGTTTGGTGATTACTTGAAAAACTTAGAACAGAATTATCATTCATCCTAGCAAGCCATTTACTGGGATATGCTTTTCTTACAGCTTTGACTTAAGAGAATATTTTCAGTTTATTTTCAATTTGGGTCCTGTCTTTCTTTGACATTTATTTTCCCAAAAGAAAATAAATCATTCTACCAAAAAGACACATGCACTGGTATGCTCGTCTCAGCACTCTTTACAATTGCAAAGACATGGAATCAATCTGGATGTCCATTAGTGGTGGACCGCATAAAGAAAATATGGTATATATACATCATGGAATACTATACTGCCATAAAAAGAACAAAATCACGTGGATGCATCTGGAGGCCATTATCCTAAGTAAATTAATGTGGGAACATAAAAATAAATACCACGTGCTCTTACTTAGAAGTGAGAGCCAAACATGGGGTACACATAGACATAAAGATGAGGAAAATAGACACTGAAGACTAGTAGAGGGGAAGAGGGGAAGGGGAAAGGGCTGAAAAACTACCTATTCAGTACTATGCTCACTACCTGGGTGACGGAATCTTTCATACTCCTAGTTTCAGGATCATACCACATACCCATGTAACATAGCCTGCACGGGTTCTTTCTGAATCTAAAATAAGAGTTAAAATTATATAATAAATATTCAGAAATGATCCTTCTTGATCCTATTGTATAATAGCATCCACATTTCTTCTTGCTAATAATAATTAAGCATTTCAAAACATACCACCTCATTCCTTGCTTGTTGATTCATTTTAACAAAGAACACAAAATGGCAAGGTGGCAGTTTCAACTTCTAATACAAATGAATTATATTTGTCATCTCTGTTAGAGGTATTCCTTCCATGGAAACCATGACCTCCCACTGAGAAGAAAGCAACGTTGTGAGAGCAGAAAGCAAAAATTCTGTGGGTGGGTTATTAGTTGTAACAATAAAAGAATCTACCCTTTTAGATGTGAATGAAATCTCACATCCGTGTAGTCTGGCTACAGGACCTGGTCCTGTTCCTGCTAGGTAAGTCTCCTGCACTTGGTTTGTCTTCCACTAAGAGTAAAAGCTCCTGGGGCCCTTCTCACAAGCAGATGCCGTCATGCTTCCAGTACAGCTTGTAGAACCATGAGACAATTAAAACTTCTTTCTTTATAAATTACCCAGTCTTTGATATTTCTTTATAGCAATACAAGAATGGACTAATATAGAAAATTGGTACTGAGAGTAGATATTCCCATAAAGATATCTGAAAATGTGGAAGCAGCTTTGGAATTGGGTAATGGGCAGGGGTTGGAACAGTTCAGAAGACTCAGAAGAAAACAGGAAGGTGAGGGAAAGTTTGAAACTTCCTGGAGACTTGTTGAATGGTTGTTACCAGAATGCTGATAGTGATATGGGCAGTGAAGTCCAGGCTGAGAAGGTATCAGATGAAGATAATGAACTTATTGGAAACTGGAGCAAAGGTCACTTTTTTATGCTTTCTCACAGAATTTGGAGGTATCGTGCCACTGCACTAGGGACCTGTGGAACTTTGAGCTTGAAAGTGATGATTTCGGTTATCTGGAGAAAGAAATTTCTAAGCAGCAATGCATTCAAGATATATCCTGGCTGCTTCTAACAACCTAGCTAATATGTGTGAGTAAAGAAATGACATGAAACTGGAATTTATATTTAAAAGGGAAGCAGAGCATAAAAAGCTAAAAATTTTGCAGCCTGGCAGGGCACAGTAGCTCACACCTGTAATCTCAGCACTTTGGGATTCTGAGGTGGGTGGATCAGCTGAGCTTGGGAGTTTGAGACCAGCTTGGCTAACATGGTAAAACCCTGTCTCTACAAAAATACAAAGATTAGCCAGGCATGATGGCAGGTGCCTGTAATCCCAGCTACTGGGGAGGTTGAGGTGGGAGAATCACTTGAACCCAGGAGACAGAGGTTGCAGTGAGCCGAAATTGCACCATTGCACTCCAGCCTAGGAGATGGAACAAGACTCCATCCCATCTAAAAAAAAAAAAATAACATTTTTTTTTGCAGCCGGGCCATGTGGTAGAAAAGTAAAGCCTAGAATTCTGCTACCCTGTGCAGCTTTGGGACACTGTTCCCCACATCCCAGTTTGTCCAGCTCCAGCCATGGCTCAAAGGGGTCCAGGTACATTCTGGGCTTTACTTTTCTCTCTCAATCATCTCTTCTCAACAGTCCCCCAAATTCTTAACTCATTTCAACATTAACTTTAATTGTCTCAGATGAGAAGACAAGTCCAAAGTCTCATCTTAGACAAGGCAAGATTCTTCTGCCTATGAGCCTATAAAATAAAAAAACAAGTTAATTATTCCCAAGATACAATGGGGAGACAAGCATTGGATAAATATTCCCATTCAAAAAAAAAAAAAATGAAATCAGCCAAAAGAAAGGGGATATAGACCTCCTGTAAGTCCAAACTCAGCAGGGCAGTCATTAAATCTTTAAGCTCCAAAATAATCTCCTTTGACTCCATCTCACAT
This sequence comes from Homo sapiens, assembly GCF_000001405.40. Taxonomy (NCBI): domain Eukaryota; kingdom Metazoa; phylum Chordata; class Mammalia; order Primates; family Hominidae; genus Homo; species Homo sapiens. The sequence goes on from NC_000004.12 coordinate 64,590,799, forward strand.
TCAGGGCACACTGGTGTGAGAAGCAGGCTCACAAGGCCTTGAGCACCTCCACTCCTTGGGTTTACAGAATTCAGCCCTCACAGCTGCTCTCACAAGCCGGCAATGATTGCCTGTGGCTTTTCCAGGTGCAGGATGCAAGCTTCCAGTGGATCTACTATCCTAGGGGATGGGGGGGTGGTGACCCCTTTCTCACAGCTCCACTAGGCAGTGTTCCAGTGCAGACTCTGTGTGGGGGCTCCAACCTTACATTTCTCCTCTGAAATGCCCTAGTAGAAGTTCTTCATGAGGGCTCTGCACCTGCAGCAGGCTCCTGCCTGGACATACAGGCTTTTCCATATATCCTCTGAAATCTAGGCAGACTCCCAACCTTCAACTCTTGCCCTCTGTGAACACACAGAATTAACACACATGGAAGCCACCAATGCTTACAGTTTGCACCCAGTCTCAGGTATTTCTTTATAACAGTGCAAGAATGGACTAACACAGTAAAGTGTTTGGTATGTTCATGAATGGTGTAGCTTAGCAGAGGCATCATGGTCAGGGAAGATAAATATATGTAGTTATATATCTGTTACAGTGAGAACAATCCTTCAACTACTCCTTTATGGACTAGTCCCAATGTAATCAACTTGCCACCAGAAGGTCAGCTTGATTCTTGGTGAATGATGAATGGTGCCATATCAGAGGCTCACTATTGGTATCTGCTGTAGGTAGATGTGACACTGAGGTATACTGGTACCAGTTTAATATTGGTAGAGATAAACTTATGTCATTTTATGAATCTCTATATTGATAGCCTTTATTGCAGAAAATGCCTTTTTTTGAATATTCACATGTGAGACAAACATATTCACACTCTATGTCCTTTCTGAAATTTATGCCTATGTAGCCTATGTGCCTTAATCTACACCATTCTAGTACTAAACCTCATCAAAACAATAGAATGGCTCATGTCTTTGGCAGTTAGTTCAGATTTACAATGTTCTGTCCTCATCACACTAGATCTCTGATCAAACTTCAATAGCATTATGACAATACTTATTCTTGAAATGGCTTTTTTAGAATTTAGTTTTACAACAATTAGTAATAATAGTAGTAAAAGTAGCAATAGTAGTAGTAACTCCAGCACTTGTGAAGTGCATTCTGTTGATTAGGCAACGTGCTGAGTATTTTGCATATACTATTTCTTTCAGTTCTTTCAACACAATATTGGATATATTAGAAATGAGACCATTGAGGCACAAAGACACCAAGTAACTTCCAACATGTCACAAAATGGGAACATATTTATTGAGTTCAACAGCCTAAATAGAATAAGTTTTTGGGGTGGGTTTAAATAAAGCAGAAAGGAAAACAGAAGTAAAAATGGGTATGGTGTCAAGTGTTAATTTAAATTCAAACAAATATTTAAAATCAGGAAAGGGAGAAGAGAAAAGATCCTACGGCTCGTTTCTGAAAAATTCCACCAATAAGACATTTGGTATATTCTGGCTAAGGAAACAAAAAAGTGGTCACAGAGATCAGAGGACGGTCAGGAGATATTCTTAGGCTTAATTCCGTGCTGAGAAATTTGCCAGTGGAAAATGTGATTCCAGCAAAGGATCCAGAAATCATTTTTCATGAAAAGTATGTTCTTCTAGACAAAGAGCGTGCTGAAATCTTGGCTCAATCCACTGGTCAAACCTTACAGTTGTCTCAGCAGTGTTAACTTGTATGCTTGTACTTCACAGTATATTTTTCTAATATAGTTCTCCAAGAGGGACTTGTCTCTGAGTTGTAACTGCCAACTTTTTGGGGGAGTTGAAAATTTGGAAAATGAGAACTTCTACTCTGAATAAAATCAGGGTAGTTCACCACAGCATCCACTGGGTAGAAGCAGAAGAGGAGAGGAGCAATTGAGAACAGAGCTGAAGTTTATAGAGAAGAGGATGTGGGAGTGAAGTATCTAAGTGTTTGTGAAATGAAGAGAGTTGTGGGTTAGGGTGAAGAGAGGAGCACTACACACAGGTGAAAAGCAATGCTCCACAGCCAGCTTTGCCAGAGCCAAGACAGAAGTCCTCACCCACTAGGGGATAAGTGGACAAGAACTAAGTAAGGCAGAAAATCTCCCTTGCACCTTCATCCCAGTTGGATGCCACGTAGATTGCTAAAGGCATCATAAGCCTCACAGATTACCCTTTGGAAGCAAGTCACTGTATAAGGCCCATACTCGGTGAAGAATTAAAATGTACCATCTTGAGAAGAGGATATTTATACAAATCCTTTGGAATCCTTCTGGGCAAGAAATGTGTCCCTTCTTCTCTAAGTTTCAATTTATAAAATTATTTATTTATATTAGTATGAATTCAAAAACATGTTATTTTATACTTTCAGTTGTAATCCAATGTTACAGTACTCATTTCTCAAATTGTCCCAGCTTTGGCCTATAAGAACATTTTCAGTTTATTATCAGTTTGGCTCCTACTGTCCTATGACATGTTACTATCATTTTTTGAACCCTTTTTTACTTTATGGCACACAAGAGTTTATGTTGTGTGATCTCTGCCCCAGCTCTAGAGTCAACTATTTCTCTAAAGAGCTCTTGTTCCTTTTTGGGGGAATAGTATTAGAATGAAGACCTGAGTGTGCTTTCCATGACTAGCATGTTATTACATCTAGGCCTTCTTAGCGGACAGAGTACACTAAAACACACACATACACATACACACATATATGTACACATATATCTAGAATTATCATTGTGTGTATTCATCCATATCTATATATCTGTATTAAGCTATACATGAGCTCATATTGATGTCTCCAATTCTAATCGAACATCACATGACTCACTTTGCAACCCTCCCTTGATTATCTGCAACCTCTAAGAATGCGAAACTTGGCTCCCAATACTTGCCATTCAGTTAATCATTAGTTGATCCCAGAATTTATACAGCAGTTTCAGAATTCAACTCTTATTCTTCTGAAATAGACCTTTACTAACTACAGTGTTTATATATAGTTCCTTCTGTTTTTTCGACTTACAGTTTCTAGTCCAAACACAGTTTTACATAGTTGTTTAGGTCAGCACCTTCTTCTTCACTCCCTTAGGTGAGGCAATGTCACATATTTTAATACAGTTAAATTCTGTTTTTCAGAGTCAGCATTCCACCCTGAGACCTCCTGTCATTCTTGTTGTCTTTTTAAAATGTACATGTATTAACGTTCACTCTTAATGTTGTATGAAGTTCTACGGGTTTTGAAAATGCATAGCATCATTTATACCCCAGAAATCCATTTTGAGAGCAGGTTTACAGGTTTTATGATGGAATCAGTTACTTAGTTTAACACATAATGAAAAGAAACTATTAAAAGTACTATAAAAGAGATAAATATATAAATTTATAATTAGAATGAGAAACTGCAATATTGTCTCAGCAGTTGATTAAATAAGCAGACAGTATTACTAATAAAATAAATCTGATTAATACAATTAAAATTTTGGCTTAATTGATATATATAATATTACACTTAAGAATGACAAGGTTTCAACAATGACATAAAACATTCACCAAAGCATACTATGTTAGGTTAATAAAATCCCTGAACACATTTGAAAAGATTAAAATATTTTAGAGTATGTGCAGCAGATTAGAATTAAGCTAGAAATATACAATAAGTTTTAATTCATGACCAGACCATATCCAAATCTCTGCTAATAGTAATGTACTTCTAAATAACTTATAGGTCAGAATTAAAATAAAATTTAAAATTTAAAAATATTTTAAGTGAAAGATAAACATATGCTAAAGCAAAATGTTGAAAATAAGGATTAAGCAGAGTATAAAATATATTAGGGCATTGAATGCATCTCTTAGAAAGGATGATACTAAAAAGATTTAATATCAATAGTTAAAACAAAACAAACAAACAAAAAAAAAAACAGAGAAAAAACAGCAAGGCAACATGAGAAGAGAAGGAAAAGAAAGTTAATGGAATGAGAAGAAATCACAGAAAGAGAAACTAAATATGCAGTAGAGAAAATGACAAAGCCAAAGTTGATCCCTTGAAAAGTTTGATACAATAGATAAATAGGTAGCATGACAAAGAAGGATAGGATAGGGAGAAAAAGAAAGAGACAGAGAGATAAGAAAGTATCAGGAATGAAAAAGGGTAAAGGTATTTACAGGCATCTACATGATAAAAAAGATACTCTGCATGGCTTGTTGGTGATATGGTCAAATACTTCAAATAAAGGAACTTACTAAAATCTAATAAAAGAACAATGCAAAATTATTTCCTGGTATATTTGTTGGCATTGCATTGAATCTATGAATTGGCAGCTAACTAACTTATTTAACTATTAGTTGTGTAATTCAGGAACATGAGATATCTTCTTATAGGTTGAGATCATTGAAGCTGCTGCTACAGAAAACTATGGGAAGCATTAATGTAGATTTTATGTTATTGCAATATTAAGGTCATTTTATGATAAGTATCAAGAGAAACAATTCATTATAAGGTAGCCATCATCCAAGGCCCAAGTTGAATATAACTGCAGAAGACAAACACGCAAACACTGAAAAGCAAATTTGGGGAAAATTGTTCCTAGACACATGGAAGAAGAAAAATCATCCAGCAAGAGAACAAATAACAGCAGATAAATGAAAAGTAACTATAAAATGGCACTTTTTATTTTTAAAAGGACATTTCAGAATGTTCCTAGATAATGAATTTAATTGGTTAATGAATATCCAAATAACTTTTTATGTTGGGTAAATTGCACAGATTCATGATCTTTCCCATATGTAAAAAAGTTCTATTTAGGTACAATTATTTACCAAATGACAGCTAATAAATGTAAGACATAATTACAGTGATCATATCTTCTGGAAAACATGTCAAATAATTTAACAAAAGCCTTTTGTGCAATATCCAGAGATAATTATCAGGCTTGATGATATTTATATCAAAAGATCAATCAAAGTTGTTCAAATACTTAGGAAAGTTCTATGTCACTTGTGGGGGTAATGTCACTTATTATCTAGTTCAATGGTGTGTCAACGCTTGATGGATATCATTCTCAACCAAACCAGTGGTAATATAGATTTTAGTTAAGTGCTTCCCATAATAATTTTAAGTTCTCATTTTAACTTTAGGAAATGTGACTTTTAAAAATTTTTTAGTTTTTATTGAAATTAATAATGTTATAGGAAATATAAAGTATGGCCAGCTGTGGTGGCTCACACCTGTAATCCCAGAACTTTGGGAGGCCAAGGTGGGTGGAACACCTAAGGTCAGGAGTTCGAGACCAGCCTGGCCAATGTGGTGAAACCCTGTCTCTACTAAAAATACAAAAATATTAACTGGGTGTGGTTGCGGAAGCCTGTAGTCCCAGCTACTCAGGAGGCTGAGGCAAGAGAATCACTTGAACCCAGGAGGCGGAGGTTACAGTGAGCCAAGATTGCGCCACTGCACTCCAGCCTGGGTGACAGAGTGAGACTCCATCTCAAAAAAAAAAAAAAAGAAAAAAGAAACAAATAAAATATAAAGTATATAATATCCCAGAAATAATTACTTTTAGCAAAAAAATAAATAAATAAATAAATTGCTAGTAAAATAAAGACTGTCATCAGACTTTGAGACCTATACAGAAAAGCTATTAAGAAATAAATATGTCAGGTTATCCTAGATTGAAATGTGGTTGAGTAAAACCATTAAAAAGCAGACGTCAAGTGAGAGACTTCATAAAATACTCATCTATTTTAATACATAGGTAACCTATGCTACTGAGTTAGTAAAAAAATAAGTAATTGACAAGCCAAAATTGTAGTTTTACAATTTATAGATACATTGAGGAACTTTAGGTAAATATTAGAAATTTGTATTTTATAGTTTCTATAAAGGTAATGGTAGGAAATGGCTATCGGTAGTTTTTATTTTTCACAGTAGTTTATGCTTTGTATTTTATTTTATAATAGTATAATAGCCATTATGTGGAATTTGCCAGTGTTGAAACACCAGTATGCCCCAGTGATATTTTATTTATCAAAAATATTCTGATAGGTAAGAGGGTAAGATAATCACATTAAAAGCAATTGATACAATATATTAGACTTGAACACTATTCAATTTTTAACTAAAGAACTCAGGTATGATTTCTTCAAAAGAGACATAATGTGTCAAATAGAGTATATGATATGTTTTCGTTTTTCTTGCCTGATGCAATAATAAATTCTCTATTTTTTTATAATAAATAAATAGTTTGGAGCAACTTATAATAGAATTCTTTTAAGTTTGGACTGAAATAAAATACATTTTGATTTAAGAAGATATATATTCTCGGCTTTAAAAAAACTATTAGGCAATCTTTCTGTTTGCAAAAAAAAAGAATCTTCACTTTTTAAACTAGTAATTGGAATATAGAGAGGAATATTTAGAAGGATCACACAATGTGATTCTATGTATTAATAAAATAATTTAAGAGCCTTCATTTTCGATATTGAAATTTACATAAAAATCTCCTGTTTTTCTTCCAAATGTATCTGAAGTAATGTTTAAAACTAAATGGCATATACTTTTGAAGCAAAATATAATATCAGGCCAATTAGTATTACCATTTATTTCCAATAAATTATCTAAGAGTTTAACGACTATTTATTCTGTGTTAAACACTGATCACTCCTTGTTTCCCTTGATCTCTTGCATAGGCATAGGACCTTCTTGTGGCTGTCAGCTTTGTCACAAATCTATCCACTTTTCTATTTTGTAGTAATTGACTAACATTTAGTACAGTCTAGGAGGATAAAAAATAAAGAAACCTAGTTGTCACTACAAAATTAGTTTATAAAATTCTGTGTATTGTTAAATGAGCAGGAAGCCATTAGTCTGAGGCTGTTCTGTACTTTCAGTTCCTATGTAAAAAATCACAACCTAGATTAGCATTGAAGCAAACTGAATCCTAACTCAGGAGTATATTTGTTGTGTAAGAAATCCGTGGATTTGGCTGGGCGCAGTGGCTCAGGCCTGTAATCCCAGCACTTTGGGAGGCCGAGGCGGGCAGATCATGAGGTCAGGAGATCAAGACTCTCCTGGCTAACACGGTGAAACCCCGTCTCTACTAAAAATACAAAAAATTAGCCAGGTGTGGTGGCCGGCGCCTGTAGTCCCAGCTACTCGGGAGGCTGAGGCAGGAGAATAGCAAGAACCTGAGACGAGGAGTTTGCAGCGAGCCCAGATTGCGCCACTGCACTCCAGCCTGGGCGACAGAGCGAGACTCCATCTCAAAAAAAAAAAAAAAAAAAAAAAAAAGAAAAGAAAAAATACCTGGATTTCAGAAATACCAGCACAAACAGTGGAGCTTCAGCCAATGACAAGCAGCCAACTTATCATACCATGCCTAAAAGAGGCAGAAGCCCAGCTGTAGCCAATCAGGTGATGTCTCTACCTTGTTTTCTCATTTGGCCTATAAATGCTCACTACTCACAGTATTGGCAGAGCTCTTTGAGCTGCTTCTAGTTCTAAAGTGCTGCCTAATTAATAATTCATTGTTTGAGTTTTTCTTTTAACAGTATGAATCATTTCTCTTTCTTTGGTATGTGGCTATGGAGAAATGTAACACGTGGTTCTGATTAAACTTCAACTTTAAAATGTTTGAAAATATTACTGTTGAAACATTAGAAATATTGCCAATATCTCTGTTTTGATTTTTGATTCTAATTTAATTCTTACCCATGCAGTGTAAAGGGGTTATTAACACAGTGCAAGAGATGGGAAATTACAGGTAGTGACAGACTACATGCATTAATTTCACCAACAGAATTTTCTATGACTATCATGTTTAATAAACAATAGCAGCTTTTTAAATAATCTAAATTTTAAAGATGTTTTTATCAGGAATAATGTCAGCAAGAAAGGAAATTTACCCCAAATGATTCTTTTAAAGAGACCGTGATAAAGAAACTACTCATTAATGAATGTGGCTTCCTAATCTAGTATATAAACACCCTTTGCAAATAGCTTGGTCCAGTAAAAATTATTGATTTTTCAGTGTATAGGTCAGGGTTTTGAGTAACTACTATAAGTCTAGAACAGCTGTTTTAAGGTAATTACCAGATTCAACTGTGAAATGTTAAAATAATTGATATGCTTGGGGTCAGTCACAGACATGTTGAATTTGAATCCCTGCAAGAGCAGAATTTGGTGCAAATCCAGGTTTAGAGACCTGTATTCTCCAGAAACGTTTTTACTCAAAATGAGAAAAAACCGTTAATTATTCTGTCTAGAAATAAAAATACACATATTTTTAGAAGACAGAGTTACTTTAAGCATCACAACTAGAAAATATAATTTTCTGTTACTATTATATTTCTAAATGTACTATAGGCATCTATTTCTTAGGTATTAATATGTGTAACCTTTAATCATTCATTTCATATTCGAAATTAGCAAATGCATATTAGGTACTCTGTTTTATACTGGAGATACAAAAATTAAAGTAATTCCTCACGCTTTCAAAGGAATTCACAGTTAAGTAGAAGGACCATTTAATGCCATTTACATGACTGGTGTGGTGTAGAATAATAGAAGCTGGTAAATCACACTAAATTATTCTGAATTGTGATGGCATAACATTTGGGCACTTTTCAAAAAATTTGTAGTTATTTATTTTTACGGACAAATTTTAATTATTTATTCTGTGGGGTACAATGTGATGTTTGATATATGTATACAATGTAGAGTGAGTAAATCAAACTAATGAACAAATCTATCACCTCATATATCACTTTTTTGTTGATGAGAAGATTTGAAGTTCACTCTCTTAGCAATTATGAATGATGTAATACATTATTATTAACTAAAGTCATAGTTTCAACATGCTTTTCTTGTGACTTATAATGAGGCAGGTCTATAAAAATTATAGAATTATATCTTTATTCCAACCACATATATAATAAATGGACATGAAATCTATGCTTGTACACTTCTGGTAAAAGAAACATTTCAATCAGAATTTTGACACACTAAATGTTCCTTCTGATGAAAGTTTGTATTTTCACTGATATTTAATTTCTTCTCATATAAAAGATATCCAATTCTTATCTTTCAGTGTGTTTTTTCTTTCTTTTTTTTCCCTTGGTCAACATTCCCAGGCTTGAAATGGTTAATTGGGTTGCCCAAAATTTGACCTTTAGCTAACCGGAAAATTATATTCATTTCTGAGACTTCCCAAATAGAGGGAAAAAGGTACTATCTGGCTAAATATAAAAAATATAATTAATGATCCAAAGAGTGGTTTACCATCTGCAAAATATAAAGAACAAAATTATAAATGGTATAACACTAATTTTCAGAAAGAAAGTAAGATTCTAATAAAGTCCTGAAGACCAAACTACTTTTGTTTATGGCATCATTAAAGGTAATACACATGGATGCAAAATTACTTACTCTAAATTATTTTAGTAGCTGGTTGATGGCTATTCTCTTAACCTGTGGTTTCATAATGAAGCTCTTTTCACCTTTAAAATAATCTTGAGCCCAAAAGCACATCTGCAGATAATAACAATTGAAAGGTAAGATAAGAACATCCCTGGGATAATGATGGTTTAATTGAAGCATTCTGCCATTAAATTCCTATTACTGTGCAATGAGGCTTCACAAACCACCTAGAAGAAAATGAGTCATCTCAGGAGAATGAAATTGTACATTTGGTGGGTCTTATCAATATTAATACAATGGATTTTAAAAATAAACGTTCAATTATTAAGACATCTAGAAGAAGCAAAATAGATTTTATTAACTGAGTAATGTATGTATTTTAAGATTTTTTAATAGAAATTCCTAAAAACTTCTGATCTATATAAAGGTCTGGCTTAATGACTAATAAATCAAATTGGAGAGAATAAATAACAGTAAAGCATTTTAATCAAACCTCTAATAATATATTTTTATAGTTTCTTTCTGTCTTTTTGAATCTGTGATAGACGGTAAAATACAGGCCCTACAACAAAACAAAGTATATCCTAATTCCTGAATCCTGAGGATACTCTGTTACAAAAAGGGAATTGGAAAAGGTGATTAAGCTAAGGATCTTGAGATTGGGAGATTTATTCTCAGTTCTCTGGATGGCTCTAATATACTCACAATGGTCTTTATAAAAACAAAGCAAGATGATTAGAAAAAATATGACAAGGAAAGTAGAGATTGGAGTGATATGGAGTGACAAGATAAGGAATGAAGGCAACCTCTAGAAGACAGGAAAAACCAGGAAACAGATTCAACCCTAGAGGCTCTAGAAGGAAAGCAGCCCTACTCTCTCATTTAGAGCATTGACCTCCTATAAGATAAGAAATTCATGTTGTTTAGCATACCAAGTTTGTGGTAATTTGTTTTAATAGCAATAGGAAAGTAATACAGACTCTGATAAGCAGACGGTGTGTGTTTATGTGTCTGTATAAACAGATATACATATATATATATAACTTACTATGTGTATATATATATGAATGTCTCTAAAACCTAACATATTGCTACAGTAATATTATGTTATACCATTTATGTGTGTATGAACGATAGGTTCTACTCTATAATGTGTTGATTTTGTTTACATATTTTAATTGTGTATTGATAGGTTTCCTACAGAAAAATAAAAAAAAAGTTTATTTCCATAGTGGTATACATATGGAATCGCACACTGAGATGTGAAAAGCTCATGGTCTTATATTAAAGAGGTAAAAGGAATTGTTTTCTTCTCAGATCTCTTTTTTCTTCTTGGATCTCTCATTGTACAAGCAGCAATTCCCAGGTCCAAGTCACTGTTAGCTTTCTAGACTATGGAACATTTCAAGGAATAGGATTGAGGAACCACGCTAAATCAAGAAGACTGAGTCTTTTAGATGGGGACAAAAAGAAGGGCCTGAATAATGAGTGAAAGGTTTACAGAATGTGGAATTAAGAACCTGTGGGATTTGAGTTTTCCTACAGGTTTTCTTTCTGATCAGCTTTATGCTCTGATACTATGTTTTGATAACATGCTTATTTTCTCATTGAAGCTTCATTTCATTAATTGCATTTTTTGTTTTGCCCTTTCTATGTCAGTCTGTGCTACATTTACAACATTAGTTGTTTTGAGGTGAGTCCTTCCTTCAGTGGTGCATGATAACTGTCCTTATACTCTGCCAAGTTTCTGAAAAGAATTGACTATGCTTGTTTTTGCTTTCTTACCTAACATTTCCCAACACTGTGGATGAATCTTAAAAAGACAACTAAACTTTACAAAGGCCAAGTTCAAAGGATATTTCTCTTCCCTTTTCTTACTAAGCATTTCTGTCTGATACTGATAACCACAGCTTTTTTTTCTAAAATCTCTCTTTGCATTTGCCAAATGCTTCTCTTGTAGTTTTTCATATTTCTTTCATATCTTTTCTTCAAGGTTATTTCTTTTCTCTGCTTCAACATCCAGTTAAATAATGGTGTTTTCCTCAAGATTAATTTCCTTGACTTTGTCTCTTCTTTATACACCCAACCTGGGGAAATTTGTGTATCTACATGACTATCCATATCCTAAAATATGTTTTAGCTCACATCTTCCTTCTATATTCTAGACTAGATTTTCCCAATTTGTACCTGGCAATCCCCTCAAGGCTTGAAAAACATGATGAAATCACTTGAAAATCACTTGAAAAACATGATGAAACTTATTAAACTTCTAAAAATGTTCTTCTATTAGAAAACATTGGTAAACATGACATGAGAATAGATATTATCCAAATTTGAACACAGAGGATAAGCAAAAAGTAAATGAATAAAATATAAAAAGCCTCAGTGAGCTGTGAAACTATACAGGCTGAGTATCACTTATCCAAAATTCTTGGGACCAGAGGTGTTTCAGATTTTGGAAATTTTTTGGATTTTGGAATACATTTTGCATGTACATAATGAGCTATGTTAGGGTTGAGACCCAAGTATAACCACAGATTTCATTTACATTTCATATATGCCTTCTACACAAAGCCTGGAGTTAATTTTATATAATACTTTAAATAATTTTGTGCATGAAACAAAGTATTGGCTGTATTTTGACTGTGCCCTGTCACATGAGGTCAACTGCTAACTTGTCATGGTCAGAATTACAATAAGAATGTCTGCTGTTTTCTTACAAGAAGAAAATGGAATAATGTACTTTCAACCTACATTGTAAATCCAGTAAGCCTAGTTCAAAAATGATGGTAAAATAAAGATGCTTCAGCTAAACAATTTGAGAAAATTAATCAATGGCAGATTTACTCTTCTGGAATTTTCTTAACATTTCTAGAGTGTAAATCTGGAGGGAAATGAAGAATATAGATGGGCACTTGGATTAACATAAGGAATGTGACACACTAGAAGTAAGAAATTTGTAAGTAAATATGGAAAGTTTCCTTTTATTTTTAAAATGTCTTTAAAAGGCATAACTGTCTACAAAATGACACTGCATTGTCTGATTATAAAAAGAAAAGCAGATAAAGTGAATGACAGTAAGGAAAAAAGAATAAGAGCAGCATAAATGAAAGATTATTATCTAAAATTAATATGGATGAAGTAATTAATATTAAGTCAAGGTAGACAAATTAAGATGACATATTCTAATCAATGATGTGAGCACTAGACAGATTAATTTTTAAAAATATAAATAAACATATATAAAACTAAAACTTTAACAAATACTTATAATTTAAATAAGAAAAAAATGAAATAACAGATAATATTTGATTGATTAAAAAAACTAGAAAGAAAGAAAAACAAAAAGATGGGACAAATAGCAAAACGAGAGACTTAAATACAATAATATAAAATACTATAATAAATTCAAATAGAAAAACACTGCAATTAAAATCAGATATTGTTTAATGTTATTCATACAAAGATGGACTGTTAGTTCAATTCTGAAGAAAAAAGCAGTTTATTAATCTGATATTATTTCTCTGATAAAGGACATACAGAATTCCACATTGAGATGCCAAAACCTCAAGTCATTTTCAGGAAGAGAAATATTCTGGCCTCTTCTCCCTGACAGAATAGCGGTAGAAAATTCCCCAAATCCAAGTTCCATGTTTTTTCATCTTTCTAGTTTTGCATAGGTGGTGTTTCAACAAGTACAACCCTGCTCCTGGGATAAGACCAAAGTCTTTTCTGATAGTTTGGTGCCCTGAGCCATATTAGGGATCCAATTCCAGTCTAAAGATACAAATAATTTTGATTTTTGCCTGAATTTTGTTGTTTTCCCAAATGTTATTCAAAAACAAGTAGCTTAGCTTCCCTGTCGTTGTATGGTTTTGAGAGTTCCTCTTGGTATTGATTTGTATTTCTAGGCTACTGTGCTCCAAAAACAACCTTGGTAAAATTTCTGTTTTTTAAATTTATTGACAGTTGCTTTATGGCCAAGCATGTAGTGGATTTTAGAGCATGTACCATGTGCAGATGATGAGAAGAATGTACATGCTGTGGTTGCTGGTTGGAGTATTCTATAGATGTCTGTTAGGTTCAATTTGTCAAGTGTTGAATTTAAGTTCAGAATTTCTTTGCTAGTTTTCCGCTTTGATGCAGTTTCGGCCTTGATGCAGTTTAATTTCAACACTGTCAGTGGGGTGTTGAAGTCCTACACTATTATTTTGTGGCTAAGTCTTTTTGTAGATCTAGAAGTACTTGTTTTACAAATCTGGGGCTCCAATGTTGGATGCATCTGTATTTAGGATAGTCTTCTTGTTGAATTGAATTCCCTTCTTTGTCCTTTTTTACTGTTGGGGGTTTAAAGTTGGTTTTATTTGATACAAGAATAGCAATCCCTGCTTTTTTTTGTTTTCCATTTTAATGAGTGTTGCTCTTTTCCCATCCCTTTACTTTGAGCCTATGGGTGCCATTACCTATGAGATAGATCTCATAGGTGAAGACAGAAAAAGATTCAGTCATCGTTTTTTTTGTTTTGTTTTGTTTTGTTTTTTTTTAGTCCAACTTGCCACTCTGTGTCTTTTAAATGGGGCATTTAACTATTTACATTTAAGATTAATATCAATATGAGAGGTTTCGTTATTGTTGCAGTGTTGTGGTTAGCTGGTTTCTTTGCAGTCTTGATTGTGTAGTTGCTTTATAAGGTCTGTGGGCTCTATATTAATGTGGTAACAGATATTTTCTTTTGTTTACATGTTTAGAACTTCCTTAAGCATCTCTTGTAAGACCAGTATAGTGGCAACAAATTCCCTTAGAAATTGTTTGCCTGGGAAAGGTTTTATATCGCCTTCACTTCTCCTTAGTTTTTCTAATGGAGCTTACTTTAGCAGAATATGATATTCTTGGTTGGAATTTTATTTATTTAAGAATTCTGAAAATAGGCCCCCAATCTTTTCTGGCTTGTAAGGTTTCTACTGAGAAGCCCATTCTTAGCCTGATGGGGCTCCCTTTATAGATGACATGAACATTTTCTCCAGCTTCCTTTAAGATTTTTTTTCACGTTGACCTTGGAAAGTGTGATAACTATGTGCCTTGGGATGATCATCTTATAAAAATATCAGTAAAATGTCCATACTACCCAAAGCAAATGACATATTTAGTGCTTTTCCTATCAAATTGCCAACATCATATTTCAAATTAGAAAAAAAATTATAAAATTCATATGGAATAAAAAATATCCCAAATAACCAAAACAATCCTAAACAAAACGAGAAAAGCCAGAGGTATCACATTATTCAACTTCAAAATATACTATAAGGCTATAATAACCAGAACAGCATAGTATTGGTACAAATATAGACACATAAATCCATTGAATAGACTACAGAACTCCAAAATAAAGCAGTATATCTAAAACCAAGTTAACTTTGACAAAGTTGACAAAAATAAACAATAAGGAACAGACACCTTATTGAATAAATAGTGCTAAGAAAACTGGTTAAGCATATGCAAAAGAATAAAACTGGACTCCCCTACCTCTCATCATATACAAAAATTAACTCAAGATGGATCAAAGACTTAAATATAAGACCTCCAACTGTAAAAATTCTAGGAGAAAACTTAGAAAATACTTTTCTGGACATCAGTCTTGGGAAAGAATGTATGACTGAGTCCTCAAAACTAATTTCAACAAAAACAAAAACTGACAAGTGGGGCCTAATTACACTAAAGAGCTTCTGCACAGCCAAAAGAAAAAAAATAACAGAGTAAACGGAATCCATAAGGAACTTAATTCAGCAAGAAAAAAACAGATAAAGTGTCTACCCAAAGGAAAATAATTCATTATATGAAAGAGACACATGCACACAAGTTTACGTTTATATTATAGCAGCAAAATTTGCAACTGTAAAAATATGAAACTAAACACTCATCAGCCAACACCTGGATAAAGAAAAAGTGAAACATACACACACACACACACACACACACACACACACACACACATATATACATATATCTTTTCCATTCCTGAATTTCTTCACTTAGAATAATGGCCTCCAGCTCCATCCAAGCTGCTCCAAAGGCCATTGTTTCATTCTATTTTATGGCTGAGTAGTATTTCACGGTATATATATATATTTCAAATATACTGTGAAATACTACTATATATATATATTACATTTTTAGTAAGGCTTTACCTACACGACAATACTTAATGACCCACCAATCATATGTCTACCACATGTTTAAAATCAGCCCTTGACCACTAACAGGGACCCTCTTAGCCCTCCTAGTAACATCCAGCTTGGCCATATGATTTCACTTTAACTCCACCACCCTACTAACCCTAGGCCTACTAACCAACACACTGACCATATATCAATGATGACGCGGCATTGTCTGAGAAAGTACACCAAAAATGCCTCTGATATGGAATAATCTTATGTAAAACATAGACTTGGATAAGGGCGACAGCAAGCTCGAGGAGAGTTAATAGGATTAAAATTATACAGCTTAAAGATAAAAATTTAGGCTCTGGCTGAATTGGATTGAGGCTTTTTGTTTTGGGGGTTTGGCAAAGGTGTCTTTCCTGGGTTAATGACGTCAGAGATGGGGGAGGGGGGTTTGCAGAATTTTACTGTAAGGTTCGGTACAGAAAGCAGTTATAAGTCTACTTGATAATTATTGTTATGTCCTACAAGCATGAATTAATTAACACTTTATGGTATTTATGCATGGCCGGAATATTGAACGTAGGTGTAGGTACGATCAAAAGGAGTGTGTGCCAGGAATCAAAGACAGGTCCTGCGGCATACGAGGTGTCTTATTTAAGGGGAACGTGTGGGCAATCTTAGTTCTATGGCCGTGAGGTAAGAACCAGATGCCGGATACAGTTCAGGGTAGTCACCCCCAAGCGTTATGGGCCCAGAGTGAGGAGAGTAGGACACTTGTGCAGGATATTGATTTCACGGAGGATGATGAACAAGAAACCAATATCTGAGGGTGGTATCCGTGGTGACAGGGACTGGTTTAACTTGGATGTGCTATGTCCAGTGAACGACTGAAGGTACTATGTAATATGAAGAAATAAAGGTACTTGTCAATGCCCCTGGGGTGGGAAGTTGGTATGGGGGATACAGACTCAATGTGTTACAGTCAGTGAAGGGTTAACAGTTCTGGCTTGTAAGCATGCCTTGTAAGTTATGATTGTATGGAATATCTTTGTATGTACTATGTACAGTTAAACACTTATAGGACTATATAATATTCATGTTGGCTAGCAGTAATGCACAATATACAGAAAATTATTAATGGGGCAGGTCAATACTTGCGTTATACCCAAATGGGTGCTTTATCAGAATACAGAGAGTAGTTTAAATTAGAATTTTAGCTTTGGGTGCTGATGGTGAAGTTAAGTCCTTTCTCTCTGAGTTGTCCTGGGGAGGTCTCCATTTCCGGTTTACAAGACCAGTGTATTGGCTTATACTACAAGGGCAGGCTCATTTAAGTAGTTTATTTTCGATTCGAGAGGCGAGTGGTATTAAGGTCAGAATTATAGTGAAGTATATTACGGATGCTGCTAGTCTAATGGTAATAAAGGGGTGGCTTACTGGCTGCCCTCCCATTCATGTAAAGACTAGTAGGTCTGTGACTAAGAGTCAGTATAGGAATTGACTTAGTGGGCAAAACATTATACTCTGCTGTTTAGATGTGTGAAGTGTAGGGATGGCTGCTAGAATAAGGATTGATAGCAGGAGGGCTAGTACACCTCCTAGTTTATTAGGCATAGATCGTAAGATTGCATATGTGAATAAAAAATATCATTAGGGTTTAATATGAGGTGGGGTGTTTAGCAGGTTAGCTAGAGTATAATTGTCTGGGTCGCTCAGGAGGTCAGGTGAAAATAGCATTAGAATTATGAGAGTGAGAAGGAGAAAGATTAAACCTAGGATATCTTTGATTGTGTAGTAAGGGTGGAAGGTGATTTTATCAGAGTGGGAGGAGACTCCTGAAGGGTCATTTGATCCTGTTTCATGGAGAAATAGTAGGTGAAGGGCTGCTAGGGCTGTAATGATAAAGGGTAAGATAAAGTGAAGGTCGTGTGAGGGTAGGCTTGTCAACTGAATATCCACCCCAGACTTATTAGAGAAGGTTAGTTCCAACGTGTGGAATGGCTGATAGTAGGTTTGTGATTACTGTGGCCCCTGGGAATGATATTTGGCCTCATGGAAGCACATAGCCTATGAAGGCTGTTGCTATGGTTGTGGGTAGGAGAATAATACCAGTATTTCAGTTTTCTAAAAATAAGAATGAGCCGTAGTACAAGCCTCGGCCAATATGTAGGAAGACTCAGATAAAAAATATTGAAGCTCCATGGGCGTGGAGGCAGCAGATGATTCAGCCGTAGTTTACATCTCGGGTAATGTGGGCGACTGAGAAGAAGGCGGTTGAGGTATCTGGTGAATACTGTCCAGACAGGAATAGGCCTGTAATGGTTTGAAGGATTAGGCAGGTGCCGAGAAGTGAGCCAAGATTTCATCATATAGAGATATTGGATGGGGTGGGAAGATCAATGAGTGAGTGGTTAATTATTTTTATTAGTAGGTTTGTTTTACGTGCTGCGGTCATTAGTGTTCTTATAGTTAAAATACAATGACGGTTTTTCATATCATTAGTCATAGTTACAATCCATGTAGGAATAATGACATATGCTTTATTCTTATTAAGTATACTTTTAGTTATAGGATTTGTAGGTTTTTCTTCTAAACCTTCTCCTTTTTACGGGGAGCTTGGTGTTAATAATTAGTGGCGTAGTAGGTTGTGTTATTGTTCTGAATTATGGGGGAGCTTATATGGGTCTAATGGTCTTTCTGATTTACTTAGGGGGAATAATAGTTGTTTTTGGTTATACTACGGTGATGGCTATTGAGGAGTATCCTGAGGTATTAGGGTCAGGAACTGAAGTTTTAGGGAGTGCCTTGGTGGGTTTAGCAATGGAAGTGGCATTAGTTTGATGGGTAGCAGAGTATGACGAGGTGGTGGTAGTAGTTAATTTTAACAACATGGAAAGTTGAGTGATTTTTGAGGGGGAGGGGCCGGGGTTAGTTCGGGAGGACTCTATTGGTGCGGGTGATTTATATGACTGTGGAAGTTGACTGGTGGTAGTTACTGGTTGAATGTTGTTTCTTGGCGTATATATATAGATTGAAATTGCTCAGGGTAATAGACTATGTGATTAAAAGTAAAGTTAGGAGGAATAGAATAAAGAAAGGAAATAAAATTTAATTATGACTTTTTGAGTGGTAGTAGTAATGGAGGCGGTGATTTGGGTTTGTGAAATTGTTTTAGGCATAGATTTTTCTAGTCAAATTAAATCTAGTAGCAGTGAAGCCAGATTTTGGCTTACAGATAGATTTAGGTGAGGGGTTGTGCGGTGAACTGTGATGGGATAGAATCCTAGCATGTTGGAGAAATTAAACGTGTGGAGTGGGGATTTTACTTTGAGTTTGTTGGTTATAAGGCTAAGCTCTAGAGCCACTAAGAATCCTAGAATAGTTACACCTAGGGCTGTAAGTTTTAGGTAAGGTGGCATTGTTGTTTGGGGAAGTGAGGTGGGGAACATACTATTGGTGATGAGAAATCCTCCGAATAGGCTGCCAATTGTGAGGCTTTTAATTGGGTTTATTAGGGCGGGAATATTTTCGTTAATATTAATTGTGGTTGGGAGCAGGTTTGTCCTGTTAAGGTGAGAAAAATAATTTGAGCGCTATAGGTGCTTGTTAGGAAAGTGGCGATGAGAGTAATAGATAGGTCTCAGGCGTTGGTATACGACGCGTTTGCTGTTTCGATGATGAGGTCTTCAGAGTAGAAACCTGCAAGGAAAGGTATGCCTGTGAGTGCTAGGCTGCCAATAATAAGGGAAGCTGAAGTAAGGGGTAAAATTTTAAATAATCCTCCCATTTTCCAGATATCTTGCTCGTTGTTAAGATTAGGGATAATAGACCCTGAGCATATAAATAGTATGGCTTTAAAGAAAGTGTGAGTACAGACCTGTGGAAATGCCAGGTGTGGTTGATTAATGTTGATTGTAATTATTATTGGGCCTAGTTGACTTGAGGTGGAGAAGGCTACGATTTTTTAAATACCATTTTGTGTTAGAGCACAGATTGCTGTGAGTAGGGTAGTGATAGCCCCTAAGCATAGCGTGAGGCTTTGAATTAGCGTATTATTTTCTATTAAGGGGTGGAAGTGGATGAGTAGGAAAATCCCTGCCACAACTATAGTGCTAGAGTGCACGAGTAGGGCTGAGACTGGGGTTGGGCTTTCTAAAGCGGAGGGATTGATTCAGATTATATGGTTCTTAGAGAGCCATGTTATTGGTAGTAGTATAATTGTGGGGATAATTATTTTTAGCATTGGAGTAAGTTTAAATTGTATACATAGTCTAAGCCACATGTGCTGGAGATCGAGACTAGTAAAGCAAGGCCTACTGCTTCCTCGCAGGTGGTGAACACTAACAGGGCAATAGGCATAATACTGATTAAGGGTGAGTGTATATTTAAAGTTGTAAGAGTATTTATAATAAATAATGAGAATATTATTCCCTCCAGGCATAGTAGGTAGGATATCAGGTGTGAGCAATAGATCAATATCCCTAGAAGTGAAATGGTAAATGCTAATACAATGTTTATGTAGATAGAAGGCATTTGGTAAGTATGACTACCATAATCTAATGAGTCAAAATCATTTATTTTTGTTTAAACTACCTACCATTTAGGCCCAGTCTAACCCCTTTTGAGTTCATTCATAAGTCAGACCTAGTACTAGTATAAGGGATGAATTAATTATTAGTGGTAGGTTGGTTGTTTGAAGGGCTCATGGTAAGGATAATACTAGGGCAATTTCTAAGTCAAATAATAGAAAGGTGATGGCAATTAGGAAAAATTTTATAAAGGAATGCGGGTGGAGGATAATAGATCAAACCCGCATTCATAAGGGTTAGACTTTTCTATGTAAGTATGGAGTTGTGATAGTCAGAATGTAATAATAATTATCAGTAATAGGGCTTGCAAGGTGTTGATTATTAAAGCTAATGCTAGGTTAATTACTCTTTTTCTAATGCTGTCGAAACTAATTGGAAGTCAACGGTACTGTTTATACTAAAAGAGTAAGATCCTCATCAGTAGATAGAAACATACAGGAATAGTCATACTACACCTACAAAGTGCCAGTATCAAGTGGTGGCTTCGAAGCCAAAGTGGTGATTGGATGTGAAGTGACATAGCAATTGGCGGATAAGGCAGGTGGTAAGGAATGTTGATCCGATGATGACATGAAATCCGTGAAAGCCTGTGACTATAAAAAATGTTGAGCCATAGACC
Organism: Homo sapiens; assembly: GCF_000001405.40. Lineage (NCBI taxonomy): Eukaryota > Metazoa > Chordata > Mammalia > Primates > Hominidae > Homo > Homo sapiens. The sequence continues at coordinate 64,611,585 of NC_000004.12, forward strand.
CTGTCAGAAATAATAAAGTGGGCCTCAAAGTATTCTGAGATTTGTAGGAGGGTGAAGTAGATACCTAATATGATTGTGATAAGTAGTGCTTGAATTACTTGTTTTCTATTAGACTGTGATGGGCTCAAGTAATTGAAACTCCTGATATGAGCAATACAGATGTGTTCAGGAGTGGTACTTCTAGGGGGTTTAGAGGAGTAATGCCTGTTGGGGGTCAATGTCCTCCTAATTCTGGAGTAGGGGCTAAGCTAGAATGATAAAATGCTCAGAAGAACCCAGCGAAGAAAAAGACTTCTGAAATAAGCTTGGAGGAATGGAAAAGCAAATATCCTATGTTTTCACTTATAAGTGGAAGCTAAGCTAGAAGGATGCAAAGGCATAAGAATGTAGTAGATTTTGGGGACTCAAGGGAAATGGTGGGAGGGCTGTAAGGGATAAACAAGTACATTTTGGGTAGAGAGTACACTGCTTGGGTGACAGATGAACTAAAATATCATAAATCACTGCTAAAGAACTTACCCATGTAACTGAAAACAACCTGCACCACAAAAATGTTGAAGTAAAATAAAATAGAATAAATGAAAATAAAGTGAGCAAAAGACATGAACAGACACTTCTCAAAGGAAGACATACAAGTGGCCAAGAAATACATGAAAAAAAATGCCATCATCACTAACCATCAGAGAAATGAAAATAAAAAGCACAATTATAACATATCACACCAGTCAGAATGGCTTTTATTAATAAGACAAAAAATAATCCTGCTTGTGAGGCTATGGAGAACGGGAACACTTATACACCATTCATGGGAATGTGAGTTAGTTTAGCCGCTATGGAAAGCACTTTGGAGATTTCTCAGAAAACTAAAAATGGAATGACCATTTTACCCAGCAATCTCATTACTGATTATATACCTCAAGGGAAACAAATCATTCTACCAAAAAGACCAAGAAGTTGCATGTTCATTACAGCACTATTAACAATAATGAAGACATACAGTCAACCTATGTGTCCATCAGAGGTGGACTGGATAAAGAAAATGGAGTACATATACACCACGGAATACTACAAAGCCATAAACAGAATGAATGTCCTTTGCAGCAAAATAGGTGCAGTAGGAAGCCATTATCCTAAGAAAATTAACAAGGGAACAGAAAACCAAATACCACATGTTCTCACTTATAAGTGGAGCTAAATCTTGGGTACAAAAGGACATGAACATGGGAACAGTAGGCGCTGGGTAACTGAAAGTTGGGAGGGAGGAGAGAAAGGGCTGGAAAACTTCCTTTTGGATACTATGTTCACTACCTGCATGATGAAATCAATAAAAATCCAAATCTCAGCATGACATGATACACCCTTTTAACAAATGCTCACGTACCCCCTGAATCTAAAACAAAAATAGAATTAAAAAATGATACAGGTAGGTTAAAAGAAAATAATGAAAAGTTGGATAAGGCAAATGTTAATCATGAGAAACCCTGTGTGGCTGTTTTAATATTAAACAAAAAGAGACATCAAGACAAAGAATAAGTCTAGACAAGGTTTTCCAAATTCCTCAGTGAACACTGGAGTTTCCTTTCCTCTGTTGACAGCAAAAGAGAGCATATGATGATAGTACATGTTTCAATTTAGCAAATAATTCATTAGAACCACAATATGTAGGCTCCTAGTAACAGCTCCAATTCACAAGGAAGTGGTACATTCAAGGATTGCAGCATGAGGTAGGAATGTCCAATATCTAAACAGAAATGGAATTTGAAGCTTCTGGTAACACCTATCATGGTTATAATATTGTTTTATATTCTCCGTTGGATTATAAACACCAATGTGAATCCAGAAGAACGTGTCTTGCCATACTTGTGACAGACAGTATTAAAGATAATTTTGACTTTCTAGGGCTGAGTGGTAAGAGTTCTGGTAGCATTTGATGTCTTCAGAATTGTTTTCAGTAAATTATAACTATTATAACTTGGTTGAACATAGAGTATACCAATGTTCCATATAATGCTTTACAGTACTCTCACTGCTAGATGCTTAATCTATCTTTTGGTGAGGATCTTACTTATTCTACAATATATAAATTTAAATGATGTACGGTAAAAAAAAAAAAAAACATTACTAATATGATCCAAGTGGTCCAACAATTCCTTCTCTCTTTGTTTTCTATTCCTCTGGTAAGACTTGAAAAGTCATGCTATATTGATGCTCCAATAAAGGCTTATGTTTAATCACTTAATTTGCCTATATTGGAAACATAATTTTGCTTTTCCCCCAGCTTTTATCACTGAAGCACTAATTGTATCCAAAAAATGCAAGCCTAACATCATTATTGATCTATGTAAATAGTGCTAAAATCACATTATAGAAAATCTTTTAAAAGTCAGAGTGCATCATGCATTAACAACTATTTTTACTTATTGCCATTTTAGGCAATTAGCTTTGTGATCACTATGATATTTCCCCATAGTATACCAGGTATAAAAATCACACAGAATTTATTACCTGTTTAAGGACAAGCATTTTAAATGAAATGCATTAAAAATGATTGAAGTAGTTCCAGTGGCTACATATGATTATAAAGAAGTTTTACAGTAATAGAGGTAGTAAATTATATTACAGATCCATGCCTGCAATGTTTGAGTAGTGATGATAATAGCTATTCAGTGTTTTTCTTTTAGTTTTTATAAAGAGCATGTCCAACATATATGCCCTCAAGTAATTAAAAAAGGCAATAATATACAGCAATAATTAAAATACCATAAAGTGCTGCCTTCCAAATAAACAAATGCCAGTGTTTTATTAGGGAGTTTTGTAAAGAGTATAAAGGTCTTTGAATCATTATCACAAATGCCAGTCCAGGTTGAGTCAATATGCAAATGAGATTGTGAGTCTCTGTAGAATTCGCAGTGCACTGATGCCCATCACAGGCTTAAGTATTAAAGAAATATAAATAGAAACTGATGAGCCTCACATATTGCCGGAAGTAATTTTAAACGCTTTGCAAAAATAAGATAAAATTTCATTTAAGTAAGTTATCAGGCAGCAGAGCATAGTTAAAACTCATCGGCCTGTTCAGTCATAGACATGGTAATAGGTTGTATAATTTACTGTAAGAAGGATTTTTGCTTAATTCAGATGTTTTTTGATAGTTTCAAAGGCTCTAATGAGAGTAAAACTCCATCTTGTACAAATTACCCCTTCCGCATATTTTCCTAGTCTCTCACTGTAATTTTAGAGGTCAAATCACCAAGTTGGGGTTTTCATATTGTGAGAAACACATTGAATAGCTGGAAAAGTGGCTATTTACATAAAGTTATTTCCATAGGTAAATGGGATACCTTGAAAAATGTTTACATCAGTGGGAACAAAACAGTAGAAAATTGGAGAATAATGATTAGATTACCCTGAATCTATGGAAACAGGTACTTGTTCAAATAGCTCACTTGCATATACTCTCTTAATTATAGTGCTACAGTAAAACTAAATAAAACTCAAGAATATTTATTTTATACCTAAAAGTATGTCATAGTCAGAAATCCTTCAGTTGCTTCAGTTGAAAATGACAACACTATTTCAGCAGATTTGAGCTGAAAGTGAATTTGTTTGAAATATAATGGGAAATATTTGATACGACATACAGAATCAAAATTATACATTTAATGTCAACTATAAATGAAAACAAGCTCAAAAAGTCAAGCTTTTTCCTTGATTAACAAATAAAATGTATTTAGCAGTAGTTAAAGGTGGTGATGCTTCAAATGTTGTTTGTTTCTTGGGTGATTTAAGGTGAAATTCCAGTTTTTAATGTTATGATATTACCAGTTATATGTTAACCAATTTTGCACTTTCTGTATGAAAGTAAAGAAAAAAAAAAGAAAAAAGAAAAAAGAAAAGAAAGAAAGATTTGCAATTGTCTTCAACACTACGTTAACCTCTTTACAGGAGCCCTGCACTGTAAGACAGTTCAATAAAAGAGCCAAAAGTCTACCCTTATTATTTTTCATAGCCTAATGATAAAGAAAATTGAAATAAGTCCGGGCACGGTGGCTCACGCCTGTAATCCCAGCACTTTGGGACGTCGAGACTGGCGGATCATGAGGTCAGGAGATCGAGACTATCCTGGCTAACACGGTGAAACCCCATCTCTACTAAAAATACAAAAAATTAGCCGGGCATGGTGGTGGCTGCCTGTAGTCCCAGCTACTCGGGAGGCTGAGGCAAGAGAAGCGCGTGAACCGGAAAGGTGGAGCTTGCAGTGAGACGAGATAGGGCCACTGCACTCAAGTCTGGGTGACAGAGTAAGACTCCATCTCAAAAAAAAAAAAAGTAATAATAATTGAACAGAACAAGAAGAAACCTACGTAAACAAAAGAAATATGCATTCCAGTAATCTTACCTTTATCATTGATAACCAATTTGGTTGGATTCTCTTATAGGGGAAATTGTGTGGCATTTAATTTTCTCAATTTTTCCAAGAGTAGTAACAGTTTAAATCTTATGTTCACTCTTGTTCTAAATAACGTATTTGAAATAGTTGGCCATTGACTTGGCTTTGCTTTTCTCTCTGAAGTCATTTGGCTGAATTCTGATTTTCAGTAATCGTCCCCAGAAAGGCATTTTCACTCTGATTCTAGTCTTTTAGCTGTTATTCTGAAAATAAAAACAAGAAAAAACATTGGTTTTATGAAACAAAAATGTGTTTTAGATATACTGTTTATTTTCATAATAAATTTGAAAATTAATGAGACTATTACATGTAAATACAAGCTAACTGCAAGTGGCAAAAAGCAAATGAGGTTCTCAAAGATTTTAAAGGCTTCTTATATTTTCTGTCTTCCTTTCTTTTTCCATTCCTGCCTCCTTCCTCATTTCTTCGGCACTCCTTTTTTAAAATTTCTTTCTTCCTTATTGCAAGCTGAATAAATAGATGTACTTGATTATTGAGTAATTTCTTTGTTCTAAAGAACAACTTTTTTTTTTTTTTTTAAGACGGAGTCTCGCTGTCACCCAGGCTGGAGTGTAATGGCACGATCTTGGCTCATTGCAACCTCTGCCTCTCAGGTTCAAGCGATTCTCGTGCCTCAGCCTCCCAAGTAGCTGGGATTACAGGTGCTGTAATTAGCCAGGTACACCTGGCTAATTTTTGTATTTTAGTAGAGATGGGATTTCACCATGTTGGCCAGACTGGTCGGGAACTCCTGAGCTCAGGTGATCTGCTCACCTTGGCCTCCCAAAGTGCTGGGATTAAAGGCATGAGCCACTGCACCTGGCCAAGAACATTTTAATTTACAAAACTCAGTTCAATTTATATTCTAAAGACCTTAATTTTCTTTTTATGGGTCAAGATCACCTTTTAAATAGAGACTTGTGATAGTTGAGAAACATAAAATTTATATGTAAAAACTGATGTGCAAGAGTATCCTTGATTTTCAATACATAAAAAATAATTTATAATGTTATTTAAAAACTAGTGATTTGTTAGTGTAAGTTGCTGTCATGATCTTAATGTTAAGCAAGTATCCAATGATTCTAACCAATCATTTTGAACTTTTGATCCAATATTGAAAAAGTTAAAATACAGATCTCTGTGTTACATTCTTATCAAATAATGCAAATACATAAAATAATTTTTATACCTTTGATTAATTATTATGTCTACCAAGAAAATATTATTCTATATGAACACATTTTTTTTTAAAAAAAAACTATGTTTCTTTGTGAAACATAAAAGTTTAGAATATAGGTCTATTTAAAATGGCAATATAATAAATAAGGGCTATTAAATAATTCTGAGACCTGAAAGAATAATTATTGTTAGTCAAATGCAGTTCAAATATTTCAAGATAGTAAATAGCTGTGAGAAAGGGAAGGGTATTAGTTTATTGTTTCTTAATAGTTATAAATTGAAAATATTTTTATCCTTACCTCTAACTTCATAAATAATACATTTACCTGGTTTGCAAAGAACCACATTGTTTATACCTGAACTACAATATCCAAGAATAAATAATTTCATATCATCATTGATTCAAATTTCTTGCTTGTAGCTATCTAGCCATTTATAAGGCCACTAGAAGAAAATTAGACAATTATTATTTAACTCCTTTTTGTAAGGCCTACTCTTCAAATTTTTGACTATGCATATAAAAGTCTTATGTAACATGTATTAATTTAGGCTAATTTGTATTTATATATATATATACAAATAAGTAAAATTATGTTGCTATGATAAATAGCTAAGAGTCATTCCATGTGAAAGTCATATTGAAATTATTTAAAGCCCTTCCTCACTAAGCATGACTTTTTATTGCAAAGCACTGTTGAATATTACACTCTGTATTATGTCATCAGAGGTAATTTACCACTCCCTACAATCTATCAGTTTAAGCAATTTGGCAAAGATCCTTTCAAAGAAATAGTCCTGAATATTCACAAGATGGCAGTAGTGTAACACTAATGTTAATAATGCCTGTCATTCAAAAACAAAACAAATATCTTGAGCTCCTAATCTTGAAAATATCTTCAAATACTAAACATGAGACGTAAGTGTAACTATAGAGCATATCGTAAAAGTAGATGAATTTGATATAAATTTAATACATTATGCCTACGGGAGGCAGCTTAAGTGCAATCATTTTTTCTTGTGTCAATTTCTTTTCTACTGACTTTCTTTTCATGGGAGAGTGATGCAAAAGAGTACTTTGGATCTTTAGCCTCTAATGCAAGCGTGGTAAAAGAGAGTAAAATCCTGAATACATTTTCACAAATTTATTTTTATAATTCCAACAGCAGAGTAAATTTTATATGAAACAAAAACAAACAAAAATTGTTACACTTTGTTTTCAAATGTTAATAGAAGTTAGGAATGAGTAAAATTACTCACCAAGGTCACTAAAATCAGAAAGACCCATATAAAAATTGTGGCTTCTTCACTTTAGGTGTTACTTAAATTCTCTAAGGCTTCGTTTTCATATATATAATGCAGAGGTAATAGGATCTACTTTTCAGAACAACCTTGGGAAACAAATGGAACATAGCTATTATTATTGCCATTGTTATTAATGTTTGATGCATGTTTACAGCATATACTCAGATTGATGCATTTTCTATCAGTGTGAGATCTTTCCAGCAAAAAAAAAAAATATATATATATATATATGTATATATATATATATATATATATATATTCTTATGTGCTTTTGTGGCAAAATTTACTGCATTGTTCTGGGACACCCACACTGTTTTTGTGTTTACCACCATTTCTCCAATTCCTTTCTATAGCCCATCTGAGTTATTCAGTCAATATTGGTTCCAATACCTGTGCTATTATCACAAAGATATTTCTCAGATGGGTTTTCGGTCAATTCTTCAATGATATTTATTTGGACTTATTCTTGTTATTCCTGTTGACCATTTGTTACTCTGAGAAACATTGGGGACTTCCTTACTCCTTTTCCTTAATATTCAGTCCATCTCAAAAAGAGTTTTTGAGAAAAAAAAAGCCTCAATTTTGTCTGTTTTTTTTTTTTTTACCAATTTTCCAAATTCACATATATGTGCAGATTGATGACAAATATTAAGAATTTTGTGTACTTGAATTTTTATTAGACATACACATAAAATATCTAATGTAGCATATATTGCTGTGCTTGGAGGTACTCTTTTCCATCCAAGGAAAAGTTTTTCCTAGTTGTTGGAAAAAACATCAATTGTGTAATATCAATTACTAAAGTATAGACGATATACAAAAAAGCGATATATAAAAATAATTCAGCTCTAAGAATTACCATAAAATAAACATATCGGTATAACCACTGCCAATGTCAAGAACAAAAAAAGCATCCCACAAATGTGCTTTATGCTTTATCTAATCATTTCATCCTTCCTCATTCCCAAAAGCAAATCAGTACTGATTTTTAAAGCCATAGATTAGTTTTGCCTGTTTTTAAACTTCATATAAATGGAATCACATACTAACTACATGCTTAAATTTGGGTGTTTTAGTCAAACTTACACTCGTAATGAATCTTGATTTTTGTGTATAGTTCATTTTGTTTCATTGGTGCAAAATAGTGTGTTAAAGAGACAACTATATATAGGTGTGTGTGGATGTGTGTGTGTGTGTGTGTGTATTTATTATACAGTGGATGGAAACTTAGGTTGTTTCAAGTTTGTTACTATTATGAATAACGCTGCTATAAAATGATTTATAATTACTTTTGTGAACTTTTCTGGTGTATATACCTATGGATGAAACTGCTATGTCATAACATACTGCATATGTTCAATTTTGTTAGAAAATGAAAGAATCTTCCAATGCCATAATATCAGCTTCTCAATAAGCAGTTTGTAAGACTTGAGTTTGCCTCACAGGTTGTTTTAATTTTAGACATTCTTGTGAGTGTGTAGTTTCATCTCAGTATAAAGTTTATTTTTATTATAAAACATATAAACATTCAAAAAACTGGAAAGTAATATACAGTTAACTTCCACAGTCACTACATAAATTGTACAGTTAATATTTGGCAATATTTGCTTTAAAACATATCTATTCACCAATCATTCTCTGTGGCTATCCATTGTCCCATCGTAAATTTTTCATGCAATTCAAAGTAAGTTACAGGCATCACTATAACAACTTCTAAACACTTTTACACGCCTATGACTAACTAGAGTTTGCTGCTTATGTTCTTTTTGATAGAAACGTATAAATAAATAAAATCCAAAATTCTTAAGTTTATCAATCCATGAATTTCAACCAGTGTAGGAACTATTTAAGTGAAAAGCCTGTAAAGATATAGAATAACACAAACACTCTAGAAATTTTTCTCATACCCCTTCCCATTAATTCCTGGCCTTACATCCTCCCAGGAGAGACAACCATTGTTTTGCCTGCTTTTGAATTTCAAGTCAATAGAATCATACTTAATATTTTTTTGGTAAGCCTTCTTTGCCTCATCAAAGAATCTGTAACAGCTTTACTTAGGTATAATTGACATTAAAAACTGCACATAGTAAGTTACACAACTTGCTAAGTTGTGACATATCTTCGTACCCTCTTGCAATCCCTCCTTTTTGTTTCTCCAAAATCCCCATTTTCAGAGAACCACCAATCTGCTTTTGATCACCCTATGTTTACAAAGTCTGGAATTGTAAGGGTGGTTAACACATGAATTATTTTTTTGTTTTTGCTCATCTTAATTATTTTGAGATTCACTCCTATTACTATCTGTGCCAATTTTATTAATTATAAATAAATATATATTAATAAATATTCCATCATACACACACATACATATTATACACACCACAATATGTATATTTTTTCACACATTGATGGACATCTGTGTTGTTTCCATCTTTTGTCTATTGCAAATAAAGCTACTGGAGACATTTGCATACACCTTATTATATAAAAATATACTTTTATGTCTCTTGGATAAATATTTAGGTGTGGAATTTTGGAGTCACATGGTAGATGTAGGTTTGAAAGAGAACCTGCCAAGCTGTTTTCCAAATAAATTATAGCATTTTAATTCTAACCAGCATTGCATGATATTTCAGTTTTTGCACAACTTACCAACATTTGATGTAGTCACTCTCTAATTTTAGTCATTCTATTATATGCATAGTAATAGATAACTGTGTTTTGTTTTGTTTTGTTTTTTCATTTTTTTGAGAAGGAGTTTTGCTCTGTTGACCAGGCTGGAGTGCAATGGCGCGATCTCAGCTCACTGCTAACTCCGCCTCCCGGGTTCACGCCATTTTCCCATCTCAGCCTCCTGAGCAGCTAGGATTACAGGCACCCTCCATCACGCCCAGCTAATTTTTGTATTTTTGTAGAGATGGGGTTTCACCATGTTGGCCAGGCCGGTCTCAAACTGTTGACCTGAGGTGATCCACCGGCCTCATCCTCCCAAAGTGCTGGGATTACAGGCGTGAGCCACCATGCCCAGCCTGTGGTCTTATTTCATTTGCTTAATGACTAAGGTGTCAAGCATGATTCTATGTGCTTTTTTGCCACCTGTATATCTTCTTTTAAGAAGTGCCTGCTTAAATCGTTTGCCCATTTCTTGCATCTTTTGTTTGGTTTTCTATCACTAAGCTCACTAAGCCTTTTTTTTTTGGCTAAGTTTTGAAAGTCTCCTTATATATTCTGTATACAAATTTGTTATCACGTGTGAGTTGTGAATATTTGATCTTAGTCTGTAAATGGACTTTTGCCCACAGTTTTGCTCTGATTTTGTATAAATTTTATGGTTTTAGGTTTTAAGAGTAAGAACTATAGATCTATTTTGCACTAAGTTTTGTACACAATGTGAGATGTGGATTGAATTTTATTTTTGCATATACATATCCAATTGTTCCAGTACGATTCGTCAAAAGACATTCCTTTCTAAAGGCTAAATTGTCATTAAAATTTGTCAAAAATCAATTGACCATTAAGTGTATTATTGGATTATCTATTTTGTACCCTTAATTTATATGTTTATGTTGATGCCAATACCAATACCTTTATTAGTGTAGCTTTATATAATAATAAATATAAAGTCAAGTAGTATAAATCATCAGCATTTATTCCTCCTTTTAAAAACTATGTTGGCTGTTCTAATATTTACATAAATTTTAAAATTTAGCTTACCAGTTTCTAGTTAAAAAAAAAAAGCCAGTTTAAACTTTAATTGGGATTGCACTAAATTTTTACAACAAGTTTTGGAGATTTCACATATGAGTAATATTGAGCTTTCTGATCTATTAATATGGTATGACACATCTTTTATTAAATAGGTCCTTTTTAATTTTCCTTATGACTGTTCTGTAGCTTTCAGTACACAGATATTTTACACTTTTTTGAATATATCCCTAAATATTAGATATTTGTAAAGCTATTATAATTGGTGTCTTCAAATTTCAGCCTCCAATTGTTCATTGCTAGTATATAAGCAATATATTTCCATTTATTGATGGTATACCTTGCAACTTTTCTAAATTCATTAAAAATTTTTGGCCAATTCCAATGGAGTTTTTTATATAGGTGATTTTGCAATCTGTAAATACAGTTTTACTTGTTCTCTCTAAATCTGTAGTTTTTACATTTTTTCTTTGGTTTATTGCAATGGCTAGAATCTCTAATACAATATAAAAAATATTTACAGTAAATTTTCATGCCTTGTATCTGTTAGTTGAAAAATATTTAGCTTTTATCAAATATGTTGTTAATAGTTTTTTTCATAGCTTGAAAAAATTTACTTCTATTTAAGTCTGCTGAGGGCTTTTGTGGTTTTTTTTTGTTTGTGCTCTTTTTTTTTTAAATCAGAAATGGATATTAGATCAACTGCATTGCAAAGATGATCATACAGATTTTTTTCAATCTGTCAATGTGGTATATTGCAGAGGGTTATTTTTAAATGGTAAGCCAACCTTGCATTCTGCCAGGTCCGTCCCACAGGCCCTGGTTGAGCGACGGATGAAAGGAGTACTCAGACACAGGTATGCAGTGTAAGAGCAGCTTGGGGACTGCCTGGCACTAATGGCTGAAGAGTGAGCAGTCTTGAACAGCTGAAGTTGCTTGCTTTTATTCAGTACAGACATAACGCTGAAAGCCTGGAGCCAACACAATCTGTGAGTAATTAACATTACTGTCCCCCCATTCAGGTAGCAGTCTCATGCAGGGATGATCAAAGGTTGGTTTCCAGACAAAATAAGTAAACAAGGCTGTTTACAATAAATTCCCCAACACTTCCTTGTACCTATCCCTCACCCTCTGCCTCAGGGTAAGAGAACAGCTGCCTTCAGCTTATTCTCCACCAAAGTTATGCAGAGCCTTCCAACCTCTCAAAAGGCCTGCTCCTTTCCCTGTAGCTGCTCTCACCACTCTGACAAATCTCCTACATCTCCCCCTTTTCTGTTGTTTGCATCAGGTTTTTTGATTCAAGAGTACAGATGTGTCCAGCAACAGGTTTGACAGGCTTAGCAGTTACAGCTCATGTTCCGGCTTTGCATCCTAGAATTAGTAAATAACATAAGACAAACAATAGCATAATCAGTAATATTCTTTTCCAATCACAGAGTGGTATGTAGCGTTACTTGGCACCTCAGTCCAATGTGTGCTGTTACTAAGGAACCCCACTGAGGGTATGTCAACCCCTCCCAAATACTCAAAAGTATTTGCTCTGTTGGAGCTGCCAGTAAGACATCATCCAGATAATGGATGATCTTGCAATTAGGAAATTCTTTTCTACCGGGGGGCAAAGCCTGATTTGCATGATACTGACACATGGTAGGACTGTCTGGCATTCCTTGAGGAAGTACTTTCCGATGAAATCGGCAAGCTGGGCTTTCATTATTGATGGCTGATATTGTAAACACAAATTTTTCTCTGTCTTGCTTTGAGAGGGGAATAGTATAAAAGCAGTCTTTTAAGCCAATAATGACTACAGGCCAATCTTGAGGAATCACTGCAAGGCAAGGGAGCTCCTGTTGAAGGAGCCCCATAGGTTGCAAATTAGCATTGATAGCATGTAAGTCATGCAAAAGTCTCCATTTATCAGACTTTTTGGGAATGGTGAAAATGGGTGAATTCCAAGGGCTGTTTGATGGTTCTATATGGCCAGCTTTTAATTGTTCCTCTGTAATTTATGGGCTCACTGTAATTTATCTCCCTTTAAAGGCCACTGTTCTACCCAAATAGGATTTTGAAAGAGCCATGTTAGGGGTAGGGGAGGAACTGTGGCCAGTAATAGAAAGGGGTCATAAGGAAATTTTCTGCTATGGCCTCACCTCAATTAATCCTTTTGCAAATGGGATAGTGGCTCCATTTTTTCTAATGCTTTTTCTTATTTCATTGTAAGTGTTGAAAGTAATGGGTTCATATACTAGATTGCTTTGTTGATCTTGCATCACTGGGCAGGCCAAGAGCTCCCCTTGTAATGCTGCTTGCCTAAGACAGGGTCCCATAACTGTAGTGTATCCCTTGTCTTTTTTCCAATTTATTGGAGGAGGGGGCTCTGGTAAAACCTCCATTTCCTCTTTTGTATCTTTACCTGGTAACAGTGGGGCTGAGGGAGGAGGAAGAGGCAGTAAGGTAGGTTATGGTTCCTCCTCCCTTCCCTTTTTAGGTTCTTCTTTGTAGAGCCGGGCCAAAGCATCCCTGACTAATGCCCACAACGTTAAATATATTACTGGGCCCCGTTGCCCTTGTGCATGATGTTGTTTAAGATTTCTCCCCACTTGCTCCCAGAGCTCTAGGTCTAGCGTGCTTTCTTCTGGGAACCATGAGTTATGAAAAACAACAGTTTGCATTAGGTCCCTTAATTGAGCCTGTGAAACCAAGGCTCCACTAGCTTTAAGCAACTGTTTCAATACTTTTATATACTGTTGCTGTTGAGCTGATAACTGTTGTCCCATGATGAATCCCTATCTTGAATATTCCCTTGAACTTGAAAGTCATGAGCAGGCACCAATTATTTACTGACTGTGCAGTCTCTTCACCTTTGTTTTTGAGGGTTCTGTCACAATCCATTGCAGGATTCCTCAAACAGGGCACCATCTGCTGGGTCTGTCCCGCAGACCCCAGCCGAGTGATGGATGAAAGGAGTACTCAGACACAGGTATGTAGTGTAAAAGCAGCTAGGGGACTGCCAGGCATTAATGGCCGAAGAGTGAGCAGTCTCGAACAGCTGACGTTGCTTACTTTTATTCAGTACAGACATAATGCCAAAAACCTGGAGCCAACACAATCTGTGGGTAATTAACATTATTGTTCTTCCATTCAGGGAGCAGTCTTGCACGTGGATGATTCAGACAACGTAAGTAAACAAGCCTGTTTACAAAATATTCCCCCACATTTTCTTGTACCTATTCCTCGCTCTCTGCCTCAGGGTAAGAGAACAGCTGCCTTCAGCTTATTCTCCCCCAAAGCTATGCAGAGCCTTCCAACCTTTCAGAAGGCCTGCTCCTTTCCCTGTAGCTTCTCCCACCACTCTGACAGATCTCCTACAGCACTCATGAGATAATATCCAGTTGGTAAAAATATAGAGTTTATTTTGGTGGTTATGTTCTATAAAGTCAGTGTAAATATTGAGTTATCAAAGATTGACTCATTGCTTTTAGAGGAAATACAGATTTAGCTTCTCGTGTGCCACTGGGAGCAACATTTTCATTGACCAATCAGTACATAGCCTTGTTTTTCATGTGTTTCCGTTTAAGGCCACTTTGCTTAATCAATATTGTGGGTTCATTAAAATTATGACTGTCAACACCATAACTTTAATGAAGCTTATCTAACACACACACACACACACACACACACACACACACACACACACACATTTTCCATTAGCCTTCTTGCAATTTTGCAATTAAGAAATAAGACAGTGGGGTGTTGAAGTTCCCCACAACTATTGTGTGGCTAAGTGTTTTTGTAGGTCTAGAAGTACTTGTTTCATAGACCTGGGTGCTCCAATATTGGGTGGATATATAATTAGGACAGTGAAGTCTTCTTTTTGAATTGAACCCTTTATCATTATGTAATGACCTTAATTGAGCTTTTTTGCTGTTGTTGGTTTAGTCTTTTTTTATCTGATATAAGAAGACCACATAAATTTGTGCTCCATTTGTGTGACAGATCTTTCTCTACTCCTTTACTTTAAGGTATAAGTGTCATTAAATGTGAGATGGGTCTCTTCAAGACAGAGGATGGAGGGGTCTTGTTTTCTTATTCAACTTGCAATTCTGTGTCTTTTAAGAGATAACCTAGGAAACACCATTCTGGACATTGGACTTCAGGATGAATTTATGACTAAAAGCAATTGCACAAAACCAAAAATTGACAAGTGGGACCTACTTACACTAAAGAGTTTCTACAGAGCAAAGGAAATTATCAACATTATAAACAGGCAACCTACAGAAGGAAGGAAATACTCACAAACTGTGCATCCAACAAAGGACTATTATCCACAATCCATAAAGAGCTTAAACAATTCAACAAACAAAACCAAATAACTCCATTAAAAACTAGGCAAAAGACATGAATAGACACTTCTCAAAAGAAGACCTGCAAATGGCCAAGAAATATATGAAGAGGTGCTCAATATCACTAATCATCAGTGAAATGCAAATTAAAACCACAATGAGAAATGGTCTCACACCAATCAGAATGGCAGTTATTAAAAAATCAGAAACAACAGACAAACAAAACATTTGCTAGGAAGGCTATAGACAGAGAAAAGGGAGTACTTATGAACTGTTTTTGGGAATTTAAATTAGTTCAGCCACTATAGAAAGTAGTTTGGGGATTTCTTAAAGAACTTAGAACTACCATTTGACCCAGCAATCCCATTACAAGCTATATATCAAAAGTAAAACAAATCATTCTACTGAAAAGGCACATTCACTCATATGTTCATTGCAGTGCTATTCACAATAGCATAGACATGGAATCAACCTAAGTGCCCATCAATGTTGGATTAGACAAAAAAAACATGAAACATGTACACCATGGAAACCTGTACAGGCATAAAAATTAACAAAATTATGTCCTTTGCAGCAATATGGATGTAGCTGGAAGCCATTATCCTAAGCAAATTAATGCAGAAACAGAAAACCAAATACCGCATGTTATCACTTATAAGTTGGAATTTACTCATGGACATAAAGGTGTCAACAGTAGTCACTGGGGACTACTGACAGGGAGGTAGGGAAAGGTACAAGGGTTCAAACATAAACTGTTGGGTATTATGCTCACTACCTAGGTGATGAGATGATAATAGAAGTTGAACTTATTTAAAAAGTTTTTAAAAAATTTTAAAAACAAAGAAACAAGACAGCACTTCAGCACCATACTCAGGACCATTTTAAACAGCAGTTACCAAGACAATGCACAAAAATTGGATGAGAAAAGCAAACATTCTGCACTACTAAGTAGAAAGATAATAGGACATTTATTTACACTAGGAGAGCAGAAACAAGAAGGTAGAGCATCACTTTAATTTTATCTTAGGTGAGAATATGAGTGTCAGGTAACTCATATTTTTGACCTCTCTGTGCATGTCTATAAATTACTGTAATAGCAGAGTATTAAGTATGAGGTTGATAATAAATTTTAGCCAGTAAGCAAACTAGTAAGTATAAAATCCATGAATAATGAAGACCAACTGTGTACATACTTCTGTATATCGTTGGGGTTTGTTAGCTATACTTAAAAGAATAATTGCATCTGTGGTGATGAAACATATTGGAATGTGATTACATTTTATTTATCTTCTTGATGTATTTATTAGGTAACAGAGTAATGCAGACACCATAAAATAAAAAAGTATGCCCTCCCCCTCAATCTTTTCAAGAAATGTGTAGAATTAGAATGATTTCACTCTTAGTTATTTGGCAAATATTGTTTTCAATATTAATCAGCTGAGTCTTGAGGGAGTTTTTGTTTCTATATTTGTTGAAGGGTTTTAACTGTAAATTTATTTTCTTTAATAATTTAAAGCCCTATTCAAATTATTTATTTCTTCTTGAGTGAGAATTTTTAGTTCATATATTTTAAGTAATATGGCCATTTTATATCGGTTATTGAATTTGTTCACCTAAATTTGTTCATAATATTTTCTTCTTATCCTTTTAATATATGTAGAATCTATCATAATGGCATCTCCTCATTTCTGATACTGGTAAATTGTGTCTTTTCCCTCTTTTTAAACTTGGTTGGGTGAGAGGTTTATAAAATTTATTATCTTCCCAAATAACAGACCTTAATTTCTAAATTGATTTTCTTCATTATTTATGTTTTCAATTTTATTAATTGCCACATGCTTTCTAATATTTTCTTTTTTTGATTACTTTGGGCTTCGTCTATTCTATGTCTGTTTTCTTAAAGTGGAAGCTGAGATAGCTGACTTTTCTTTTTAGATATAAGAATTCAGTGTGATAAATTCCCTCTTATGTATTGCTAAGTTCAAAGCACTTTTTAATTTTATTTTGGACTTCTTAGGTACATAGTAGTATAGACTGCATTGTGTTCTTCTGAAATTCTCATGATGAACTATGAATCCCTGGTGTCTCAGAAAGTGACTATATTTGGAAATAGATCCTTTATAGTGATAATTAAGGTTAATGAAGTCATATGGCTCTATTCCAATCTGACTGGTGTTCTTACAAGAAAAGGAAATTGTAATGTATAAACACCAGGGATGCATTTGCACAGAGGAAAGACCTTGTGAGGACACAGCAAGAAGGTGGCCATCTGCAAGTCAAAGAAAGAGGTCTCAGAAGAAACCAACTGTGAAGACATTGATCTTAGACTTCTAGCCTCCAGAACTGTGAAAAAATAAATTTCTTTTTTTTAAGATAACTAGTGTGTCGTGTTTTGTATGGCAGTCCTAGCAATCTAATATATGTAGGTAATTTAGAAGTGTTATCTAGTTCTAAAATATTTGAAAATTTTGTAGACATCTTTCTGTTGGTGATTTCTTAATTCTACCGTGGTTAGAAAACATAGTCCTTTAACTTGATTGACAGAACTTTTATTCCCCACTACGTGGGCTCTCTTAGCAGTCACCCAGTGTGGACTAGGATAAAATATATTTTTCATGCTTTTTATGTGGAGTAAAAGCAAAAATTTCAATTAGGTCAAGTTGATTGTAGGTGTTGCCCATGATTCGGCTCTCTGTTTGTCTGTTATTGGTGTGTAGGAATGCCTGTGATTTGTGCACATTGATTTTGTATCCTGAGACTTTGCTGAAGTTGCTTATTAGCTTAAGGAGATTTTGGGCTGAGTCAATGGGGTTTTCTAAATACACAATCATGTCATCTGCAAACAGAGACATTTTGACTTCGTCTCTTCCTATGTGAATACTCTTCGTTGCTTTCTCTTGCCTGATTGCCCTGGCCAGGCAATCAATTTGCCAAATCTCTGTCTAGTTGGTCTCTCAATTTTTGAGACAGAGATGTTGAAATCTGCAACAATTATTGTGGATTTGTCTGTTTCTTCCTTCCTTCAGTTCATGCTTCACGTATTTCAAATTTCTGTTATAGGTACATAGTCCTTTAGGATAATTAATTCCTCTGGATAAATTGCCTAATTTATCATTATAAAGCAAGCTTTTTATCCACAGTAATGTTCTTTGCTAAAATCTGCCTTGTCTGGTGTTAGCATTTCTAGCATCCTTTAGTTTGATGTAATTGTGGTATGCCTTTTTGCATTTCTTCACCATTAAATGTGTGTGGCTTTATTATTTAAGTTTGGTTTCTATAGGCATCATATAGTTGGAACTTGCTTTTTTATAATTTAATTTGAAAATCTCTACTTCTTAATTTTGTGTTTATATTACCTACGTTAAATGAGATGAGATTGCTGATGACTGCAGTGCTCAGGGGTTTCATGTGGTGGTTAATCAATCTTCCCAGAGGTGACTTCTCGACTTTTGTCTGATTAATGTCAAAGATGAATCCTAGGAGTTTTAGGCAACATCTAATGCCGAGGCAGTTTATTATGACAGCACTTTTACAAGATGGCTAGCAGGAGCACGTGGGTGGCAAGGGCCACATAAAGTTGGGATTCAGCTGTTCACCTGACTGGGAGAATCTTTGTCTGGAGACCTTCCTCAGAGAATGGAGAGTTTTTCCCTCTTTCTTATACCTGAATTTAATCTGAGTCAGTAATCAGGTGTTTTTCTTTTTTTTTTTTTTTTTTGTAAAGGGAACTTTAACTATTTTTTATTCTATTTTGTCCAGTGTTTGTAAAACTTATATATTTTCTTTCAGTTATTTAAAATTTATTTCAGTATGCAGCATATATCCAGTCCCTATTACTCTATCTTGTTTGGAGATGGAGGCCTATTTTAATAATGATTTGAAGCAGCTATTATAAATGTATTCAAGGATTCAACTTGCTTAGTGAATATCATCAAAGAACAGATAGGAATCCTAAGCTGAGAAATGAAAACTATGTAAAATAACCAAATGAAAAATTTAAAAATAAAAAATTCAATATCTAAACATTCAAAAATTAATTTGATGGGAGTAACAGCAGAGTGGAGATTACTGAAAAAACATGGTCGGTAAACATGATCATAGATAATACATATTATCCAATCTGAAAGACAGAGAAAAATATTTGAAAACAAAATGCAGATTGTCAGGGACCTGAAGTACTATATCAATAGGTCTAAAATATATGTACTATTTGCCCATATATAACTTAAAAATATAAAGCTATACATTGAAAATTTGCAAAGAGGTAAAAGAATGCTAGAGTTTATGTATGTGTGTGTGTTAAGTTCTGGGTTACATGTGCAGAATGTGCAGTTTTGTTACGTAGGTATACATGTGGCATGGTGGTTTGCTGCACCCATCAACCCGTAACCTACATTAGGTATTTCTCCTAGTGATATCCTTCCCTTAGCCCCACACCCCCCCACAGACCTTGGTGTGTGATATTCCCCTCCCTGTGTCCATGTGTTCTCATTGTTCAACTCTCACTTATGAGTGAGAACATACAGTGTTTGGTTTTCTGATATTGTGATAGTTTACTGAGAATGATGGTTTCCAGCTTCATCTATGTTCCTGCAAAGGACATGAACTCATCCTTTTTTATGGCTGCATAGTATTCCATGGTGTATATGTACCACATTTTCTTAATCCAGTCTGTCATTGATGGACATTTGGGTTGGCTCCAAGTCTTTGCTATTGTGAACAGTGCCACAATAAACATATGTGTGCCTGTCTCTTTATCGTAGAATGATTTACAATCCTTTGGGTATACGCCCAGTAATGGGATTGCTCGGTCAAATGGTATTTCTAGTTTTAAATCCTTGAGGAATTGCCACACTGTCTTCCATAGCAGTTAAACTAATTTACACTCCCACCGACAGTGTAAAATCATTCCTATTTTTCCACAATCTCTCCAGCATCTGTTTAACTTTTTAATGATAGCCATTCTAACTGGCGTGAGATGGTATCTCATTGTGGTTTTGATTTGCATTTCTCTGATGACTAGTGATGATGAGCATTTTTTCATATGTCTGTTGACTGCATAAATGTCTTCTTTTGAGAAGTGTCTGTTCATATCCTTTGTCCATTTTTTGGTGGGATTGTTTGCTTTTTTCTTGTATATTTGTTTAAGTTCTTTGTAGATTCTGGATATTAGCCCTTTGTCAGATGGATAGATTGCAAAAATTTTCTCCCAATCCGTAGGGTGCCTGTTCACTCTGATGATAGTTTCTTTTGCTGTGAAGAAGCCCTTTAGTTTAATTAGATCTCATTTGTCTATTTTGGCTTTTGTTGCCATTGCTTTTGGTGTTTTAGACGTGAAATCTTTGCCCATGCCTATGTTCTGAATGGTACTGTCCAGGTTTTCTTCTAGGATTTTTATGGTCCTAGGTCTTACGTTTAAGTCTTTGATCCATCTTGAGTTGATTTTTCTATAAGGTGTAAGGAAGGGGTCCAGATTGAGTTTTCTGCATATGGCTAGCCAGTTTTCCCAACACCATTTATTAAATAAGGAATCTTTTCTCCATTGCTTCTGTGTGTCAGGTTTGTCAAAGATCAGATGGTGGTAGACGTGTGGCGTTATTTCTGAGGCCTCCATTCTATTCCATTGGTCTATATATCTGTTATGGTACCAGCACCATGCTGTTTTGGTTACTGTAGCCTTGTCATATAGTTGAAGTCAGGTAACGTGATAACTCCAGCTTTGTTCTTCTTGCCCAGGATTGTCTTAGCTATGTGGGCTGTTTTTTGATTTCATATGAAGAGTAGCTTTTTCCAATTCTGTGAAGAAAGTCAGTGGTAGCTTGATGGGAATACCATTGAATCTATAAATTACTTTGAGCAGTAAGGTCATTTTCATGGTATTGATTCTTCCTATCCATGATCATGGAATGTTTTTCCATTTGTTTGTGTCCTCTCTCATTTTCTTGAGCAGTGTTTTGAGGAGGTCCTTCACATCCCTTGCAAGTTGTATTTCTAGGTATCTTATTCTCTTTGTAGGAATTGTGAATGGGAGTTCACTCATGATTCGGCTCTCTGTTTGTCTGTTATTGGTGTATAGGAATGCGTGTGATTTTTGCACATTGATTTTGTATCCTGAGATTTTGCTGAAGTTGCTTATTAGCTTAAGGAGATTTTGGGCTGAGATGATGGGGTTTTCTAAATATACAATCATGTCATCTGCAAACAGAGACATTTCAACTTCCTCTCTTCCTATTTGAATACACTTTGTTGCTTTCTCTTGCCTAATTGCCCTGGCCAGAACTTCCAATACTGTGTTGAAATAGGAGTGGTGAGAGAGGGGATCCTTGTCTTGTGCTGGTTTTCAAAGGAAATGCTTTCAGTTTTTGCGCATTTAGTATTATATTGGCTGTGGGTTTGTCATAAATACCTCTTATTATTTAAAGATACGTTCCATCAATACCTAGTTTATTGAGTGTTTTAAGCATTAAAGGCTGTTGAATTTTGTCGAAGGCCTTTTCTGCATCTATTGAGATAATCATGTGTTTTTTGTCATTGGATCTGTTTATGTGATGGACTACATTTATTGATTTGCATATGTTGAATCAGCCTTGCATCCCAGGGATGAAGCCAACTTGATTATGATGCATAAACTTTTTTACGTGCTACTGGATTCAGTTTGCCAGTATTTTATTAATGATTTTCACTTAGATTTTCATCAGGGATATTGGCCTAAAATTGTCTTTTGTGTGTGTGTGTGTATGTGTGTGCGTGTGTGTGTGTGTGTGTGTGTGTGTCTGCCAGGCTTTGGTCAGGATGATGCTGGCCTCATAAAATGAATTAGGGAGGATTCCCTCTTTTTCTATTGATCAGAATAGTTTCAGAAGGAATGGTACCAGCTCCTCTTTGTACCTTCGGCAGAATTCGGCTGTGAATTCTGCCGGTCCTGGACTTTTTGTGGTTGGTAGGCTATTAATTATTGCCTCAATTTCAGAATCTGTTATTGGTCTATTCTGAGATTTAATTTCTTCCTGGTTTAGTCTTGGGAGGGTGTATGTGTCGAGGAATTTATCCATTTCTTCTAGATTTTATAGTTTATTTCATAGAGGTGTTTATAGTATTCTCTGTTTGTAGTTTGTATTTCTGTGAGATCAGTGGTGATATCCCCTTTATCATTTTTTATTGTGTCTATTTGATCCTTCTCTCTTTTCTTATTTCTTAATCTTGCTAGAGGTCTATCAATTTTGTTGATCTTTTCAAAAAACCAGATCCTGGATTCACTGACTTTTTTGAAGGGTTTTTTTGTCTCCAACCTCAGTTGGAAATGCAGAAATCACTCGTCATCTGCGTCGATCTCCCTGGGAGATGCAGACCAGAGCTGTTCGTATTTGGCCACCTTGGAAGCGACCATAGGATTTTCTATACTATTACTTTGTTTGGGTGACGTTGAGAAGTTACTGTCATCTGTTCTTATAAGTAAAATGTATTAACATAAAAACTTGTAACTCTTTATAATATGCATAATTTGAGCATATATATCGCTAAAATCCCCATCACCTACAAATGCAATATTTAAATTATCTATACCATAAAGACTCAGAACATGGAGCCCTACTGAAGCATTAATAAAATAAATGACTCTTTTTAAATATTTTTGAACATAACTTTAAAATTAAATTGTTTTAGATTTGTTGAAAGAAATAATTCTCATTCAGGATATATTATTAATACACACTTAAAAATTAAGAGAAAAACTCTAGTGTTCTTGGAATAAAATAATCATTTCTATTACTTGTTATTTTATTCTGAAAGCAATAGACTTTCTTTAGAAAGTGAATTTTATAAAGTATATAGACTATTGAAAACCTACTGAATTGATCACTCTGAAAGTGACCATGAAGCAATTATCTTAAATTTAAATCTAACAGGGTTAAAACAATTTCTGAGCATGGCATATTGATAAATATTGGATACAATCTGCATTATAAACTAATGTAAATGTTATAGATTTGTGTGTTTGCTATTTTACTGTTGCACATATTCTATATACCTATATTCCTTTAGCATATATTTAAACATTGTTATAAATGTTTTTTGCTTAATTTACCCAAGATTTTAAGATATTTAAAGAAGAAAAATTAAGGAAGGGACAATGAAAATGTTATATTATGGGTTTTATGAAATGAATTAAGATTACAAAAGTAGTATTGAGTTGGCGGCTTTCACAGGATTGTTTGGAAAATGAATGGAGTCAGGAGTATTGCAACATAATACAATATTTGAAACATGATCAAACGTGGGAGTTGGTAGAAAGAATTGGCAATGGAAGAATACTGCTATGGCTTGAATAATGCTGTTTCCTGAACAATTCTTGTAAAAAATTAATCCTTAAGGCAACAGAGTTGACAGATGTGGCCGTTAGTAGACAATTGTATCACAAAGCCTCTATCCTCATAAATGGGATTGGTATGCTTATAAAAGAGTTCAAGGTTAAAGCAAGTGCCCTCTTACCTTTCTAATATATAAAGATACAATGTTCTTTCCCTCTGGGGGAAGCAACAACAAAGTGCTGTTTTGAAAGGAGGGATGTCAATCATGCTGCTATAAAGACACATGCACATGTATGTTTATAGCGGCACTATTCACAATAGCAAAGAATTGGAACCAACCTAAATGTCCAACAACGATGGACTGGATTAAGAAAATGTAGCACATATACACCATGGAATACTATGCAGCCATAAAAAATGATGAGTTCATGTCCTTTGTAGGGACATGGATGAATCTGGAAACCATCATTCTCAGCAAACTATCGCAAGGACAAAAACCAAACACCGCATGTTCTCACTCATAGGTGGGAATTGAAATATGAGAACACATGGACACAGGCAGGGGAACATCACACACCAAGGACTGTTGTGGGGTGGGGGGAGGGGGAAGGGATAGCATTAGGAGATATACCTAATGCTAAATGATGAGTTAATGGGTGCAGCACACCAACATGGCACATGTATACATATGTAACAAACCTGCATGTAGTGCACATGTACCCTAAAACATAAAGTATAATAATAATAATAATAAATTACAATAAAAACACAAAACAATAAAAAAAAAGAAAAGAAAGGGAGGATGTCATCATGGAAGGTCCCTCACCAGGCACAGAATCTACCAATGCCTTGATCTTGTACTTTCCAGCATCTAGAACTAAATGAGAAATAAATTTCTGTTTGTTATAACTTACGCAAGCTAAGGTATTATGTTAATAACAGCACAAGCAGACCAACAGATACCTAAGAAACATACTTCAAATGAAGAATTTATAGGACTTGGTCATTCAAAAATAAATTTGAGATGACTTGTCAGGTTTTATATTGAGGACACCATGATAATGGAGAAGCAAATTACAGAGACAGGGACATTGATAGTGGGGTTTCAGTTAAATGGGAAGATGATGGTTTTGTTTTAGATATTAAGTGGATATTTACTTTGCACTTAAGTATTTCACATGGACATAAAGGGAAGGTGGCTGCTCTTGCTATTTTAGTATGGCGAATATGAAAATATACTTTTTAGCTTTAAAAACCAGCTGTAAGACTAAAAACCATGTAAAAATGTAGAAACCCAAATTATAATGGCTTAGATTTTTAAGTGGCTGTAGAGAATATTTAGTTGGGGTCTTTTATTGAACAGGAAGATAGATTGTCAGCAACTTTAAGTGATGCTTCTCATATCTACACAAAGAGACGTTTGCAGAACTGGGACTGTAACCAACCTCTCATGGTTCTCTGAGTTCAGAGCTATTTCTTCACTACTGTGCTGCTTTCCAATCTTGTGAGAAATAAATATCAATTTAGTGTCTCTGGCTTCGAGTTGTATTTGATTCAGTCTTATGCAAATTGGATTTCAGAAAAAATGTGGCAATGATTGTGGGTAACATTTTATATTTTTAGGTGTTTTGTAATTTATCATAAAGGAAGACAGCACTGAATTAGATAATTTGGAATAACATAAAAAACAGACATTTTAAGCTCAGGTATCAAGTTGGAATGAAATGGACAAATGAAGTTATAGCTATATAAACATATCTAAGTATTTTGAGAACAAAAATTCAATTAGATAAAATAGGTGTTTTTAATAACAAATATTAATATCAAATAGCTCAGGTTTTACTATTTACCTAGTTGTTTTTGTAACTTGAGGGCAAAGTATAGCTATTTGTTTTTAGTATAATTATAAAGTATTTAATTTTACAGCATCATATTCTCAAAAATTGGTGTGGCTTAATGTACAGTAAGATGGATCAATAAAAACATAATTCAAGTAGCTAGTTATTTTCTTCTTTACCAGGATTACTAGTGTACATCAGTTAAAGTCAATTTCTAATTAAAATATTCTCTCTGAAACTATGGGCATAGAGTAAAAATATACAAGATAAATCTTTTTATCTAAAGGTAATTAAGATTTAGCTGCCACATGTTAAATGCTCCAATATGTTATAAAAAGTGAAGGCAATATCACTGCCAATTTAAACACTCCATGTTATCATTTTAATTGCAATATAGCAACAGGATGTTGTGATTCTGTTAATATATGTTAAAACTTTAGAAAGCTAGTGAAAATTAGAGAATAAGAGTACTATATCTGGAGCCAGACCATCTGGGTTTGAGTCATGCCTCTGTCCTTTTCAAATTGTGTGACCTTGGGGAAATTACTTTAGTTCTGACTATTTCTATTTTGTCTTCTGTTAGGTAAGATTGATAATGTATTAATGCTACTACCATCCAAATAAGATTTCTGTGGTAATTAAGTAAATTAATACGTGCTATGAGCTTAAAGCTGTACTAAGAACAAAAAGTATTATCTTATTATTAGCTATTAATACAATTTCTTCTTTTCTGTATATATTGATGCCAAGTTTTCATCATGTTAATGATGCGGAGAGAAAGATTTGGAAGGGCAGTATGACGTGTTTTAATGTAAGCAATTGAAAATACATACAATACCTTCTTTAGAGCTACTCTGCATTTTTTTTCAAAGAAAGATTCAACATTGCCTTTACCAAAATAATAGTTAAAACTCAATTTCAAAACTTATATTAATGATGTAACCTGAATGAGAACACATGTGAAATAATTTGATATTGTACTTATGTTCAAAAATATTTAAACAGTGGAATTCATTTTCTTAAAGATGCATGAAGGCTCTATGTTCTGAATGTTTATTGGTATAAATAATTTAAAATATTGCATTTGTAGGCCATGGGGATTTCAGTGATAAATACATGTGCCCAAATTATACACCTAAGGAAGAGTAAAATGATTTTTTATTTCAGTACATTTTACTTGTAAGAGTAGAAGTATACAATGGTAACTTCTCAATGTAACCAAAGCAAAGTAATAGTATAGGAAACCCTAGCATTTTCTACCTATTTTCAAAATTTAAGTTTATTGTTTCATATTTTTAAATTACCTTTAAACAAATGTGTATTATGCATACTTTACTATGTGCAAGATAATATACTGGAAAAAAATTGAGTATTGACGATGTGTTATCATGGATCAGTACAGAAACATAATATCTATTTTAAAAATTAGTTAAAATTAAACATTTATGCCTATCTCATCATTTCTAAATTTTTCTGTAAACTTGAGAAAAGAATTATTTCTATTGATTTTTACAAAGATGCATATTTTCCAAAATATTTATTCTAACTAGCTACTCTTTTCTTGTAATTTTATGAAAGCATTATATGTATTTTATGTTTATATCTTACATAGTTTAGCTATTTTAATGGAAAAAATATTAAGTAACTATTTTAGAATTTAGGTTATGTTTATTTAATTATATCTGAAACCAAAAAGAGATAGTTGTGACGCATTTGCCTATTTAATTATATTAAATTTCCAAAGTTTCTAGTAGTGCTTGGCCTGTAAAAGACTTCCAAATAAAATACAAGCATCACTAGTACAGAGTTGCAACTATTGCATCAAAGTGCATCAACTTATTTTAACAGAAATGTATTTTATTTCTTTGCCTTTTCTCTACATTGTAAAGGAGGTAAAAATTTCAGGGCAGAGATATATTAGTGAATAAAAAAAATTGCATCGCATGCAGAACATTTTATGTAATAAATCTCTTTGGAATTACAGAGTATCAAATGTTGAAGAGTAAAATGGACCAGGACAAAATTATGCCTTTCTATTTAACTGTAGCTTATGTAAAATAGATTTGAGTTAGTGAGAATATTCCGTGTCTCTAGCCCTAGTAAATTTGGAGGATTGTTTTCCTTGTCTTTAATATTATAGGAGCATGTTTCAAGGTTCACAAAACACAGTGAAGAAGTTTTTCAGAACTGTAAGTATTGCCAGGCCATAGTAGCTTGAATTTACGTGCCAAAGAACTATTTTTAGAGAGAAGTAATAAATTGTCAATGTGTAGTCTTTCGTTTTTTGTTGCTTATGAATTACTCACATTTAATAGGTCCAAGATTGTGATTTAATTTTTTTCTCAGTCATTTTTGTATTACATTGATGAAGTATTTCTTGTGTTCAAAGATACAAGGTTTAGGTAAACAATTAAATTAACAACATTTATGTAGAACTAAAAACTGTTTTTTCATTTAAGTACTTCAATAGATAAAAGTATCCTTTGAGAAAACATTATGGGTGACATTTTCTGAAAAGTTTGTCATTTTGTAAATATGATATTTTCTCAAATTTAGCCAGATAGAAAATTCTAGTATCAGTTTGTTTTTCTCTGACTTCTTTAAATATATTCTTTTCTGCCTTTTAATGCTGTAGATGAGAAGTCTTAACAGCTATTACTCCACCTTCTGTAGGTAAAAACAACTTCTCTTTCTCTAAAAGTTTTGTCTAACTCACAAAAACTCTTACCAGCATATGTACAGTTTTAAATACTGTTTTCCATTAAGAAAAAGGGCTTTGACATAATTCTTTGAAAGCTATGTTTGAATCTGATTTTATTTCAAATTTTTAAATTTGGTTAATATATTACATGCTTTTTGTTAGTAATTGTGTAGCAAATAAAAAATACAACTTAACTAATGATATTGTGTCCGGAATTGGTGGGTTCTTGGTCTCACTGACTTCAAGACTGAAGCCGCGGACCCTGGTGGTGAGTGTTACAGCTCTTAAGGTGGCGCGTCTGGAGTTTGTTCCTTCTGATGTCCAGATGTGTTCTGAGTTTCTTCCTTCTGGTGGGTTCGTGGTCTCGCTGGCTCAGGAGTGAAGCTGCAGACCTTCGCGGTGAGTGTTACAGCTCTTAAGACAGCGTCTGGAGTTGTTCATTCCTCCCGGTGGGCTCGTGGTCTTGCTGGGTTCAGGAGTGAAGCTGCAGATCTTCGTGGTGAGTGTTACAGCTCATAAAAGCAGCGTGGACCCAAAGAGTGAGCAGTAGCAAGATTTATTGCAAAGAGCGAAAGAACAAAGCTTCCACAGTGTGGAAAGGGACCCAAGGGGGTTGCCACTGCTGGCTCGGGCAGCCTGCTTTTATTCTCTTATCTGGCCCCACCCACATCCTGCTGATTGGTAGAGCCGAGTGGCCTGTTTTGACAGGGCGCTGATTGGTGCCTTTACAATCCCTGAGCTATATACAAAGGTTCTCCAAGTCCCCATCAGATTAGTTAGATACAGAGTTTCCACACACAGGTTCTCCAAGGCCCCACCAGAGCAGCTAGATGCAGAGTGTCGATTGGTGCACTCACAAACCTTGAGCTAAACACAGGGTGCTGATTGGTGTGTTTACAATCCCTGAGCTAGATACAGAGTGCCGATTGGTGTATTTACAATTCCTGAGCTAGACATGAAGACTTTCCACGTCTCCACCAGACTCAGGAGCGCAGCTGGCTTCACCTAGTGGATCCCGCATGGGGGCTGCAGGTGGAGCTGCCTGCCAGTCCCGCGCCCTGCGCTCGCACTCCTCAGCCCTTGGGTTGTCAATGGGACTGGGCCCCATGGAGCAGGGGGTAGTGCTCCTCCGGGAGGCTCCGGCCGCACAGGAGCCCTTGGAGTTGGTGGGAGGCTCAGGCATGGTGGACTGCAGGTCCCGAGCCCTGCCCCGCAGGAAGGCAGCTAAGGCCCGGCAAGAAATCGAGCACAGCGCTGGTGGGTCCGCACTGCTGGGCGACCCAGTACACCCTCTGCAGCCACTGGCCCGGGTGCTAAGTCCCTCATTGCCTGGGGCCAGCAGGGCTGGCTGGCTGCTCCGAGTGCGGGGCCCGCCAAGCCCACGCCCACCGGGAACTCCAGCTGGCCCGCAAGCACCGCACGCAGCCCCGGTTCCCGCTCGCGCCTTTCCCTCCACACCTCCCTGCAAGCTGAGGGAGTGGGCTCCAGCCTTGGCCAGCCCAGAAAGGGGCTCCCACAGTGCAGTGGGGGGCTGAAGCGCTCCTCAAATGCCACCAAAGTGGGAGCCTAGGCAGGGGAGGTGCCGAGAGCAAGCGAGGGCTCTGAGGACTGCCAGCACGCTGTCACCTCTCAATATTGCTCTTATTAGTATGTCTCTATTAATGTTATACAATTATGATAAAAATTAAACTAAAATGCAATTAGGAAATGAAATATAAACTAATTACTTATCTTTGACAAGTTAGAATATAATTTTAAATGATGATGAGAATACTATTTTGTTCATAAACTAATATTTACTGAATATCAGGTATT
Organism: Homo sapiens; assembly: GCF_000001405.40. Classification (NCBI taxonomy): domain Eukaryota; kingdom Metazoa; phylum Chordata; class Mammalia; order Primates; family Hominidae; genus Homo; species Homo sapiens. The sequence continues at coordinate 64,641,221 of NC_000004.12, forward strand.
GCATTCCAGGCACTGTTAAAGTCCTGGATAATGCAGCATAAAATAAAAGAAAGTGTTTGGGCCAGGCACCATGGCTCATACCTGTAATCCCAGGACTTTGGGAGGCCGAGGAGGCCAGAGCACCTGAGGTAAAGAGTTCGAGATCAGCCTGATCGGCATGGAGAAACTCCGTCTCTACTAAAAATACAAACTTAGCCGGGCGTGGTGGCGTGCGACTGTAATCCCAGCTACTCAGGAGGCTGAGGCAAGAGAATTGCTTGAACCCAGGAGGCGGAGGTTGCAGTGAGCTGAGATCGTGCCACTGCACTCCAGCCTGGGCGACAAAGTGAGACTCTGTCTCAAAAAAAAAAAAGAAAATGTTGGATCCCAGTGTTTAATATTCAACTGAGAGGAGATTGGCAATAAACACATTAACAACAATGATAACACAAAAATAATTTAATTAGAATTTTAAAAGACTAGGAATGGCGGAATATTCTCCTGGGTGAGCAGCTTTATCATATTTAGGCATAGGCAATATTTGGAGGTTATATGAACAACTGAAATTTAATAGTGGTTTCCTGAATGGAGAGTAAGTGAAATTCTTTTAAAATGAAAAAACAAAAAATAAAAAACACATTTTTGTGGATGAAAAACAAAATATTGATTTGTTCTTTCATTTTATTTTTCATATCTATTTCATGTATTATGAGCAATATAATTTTATTAATTATTTTGGTTAAAAAAAAGAAGCAGAATGACAATCATTCCATCTATGATGATCATACCACTTTTTGTTCGGTTTCTTACAAACAGCCTCCTTTAGGAATACACGGTGGTTAGATTTGTGTATACGATTGCAATGTGCAGCAGAGCTTTCAGAAAACAGCTCAAAGCTCAGGCAAAACTAATTCTTCCCTATTTAGTCTTTATTGTGTTTTCAGTAACATTTGGGGGGAAGGGTGATGAATGGCTAAAATTCATCTGACTCTAATAATTTCTTTGGCCTACACTTTTGATAATTTACCAAATGGGTAAATATTTAAGTAAAATTATTCTCCATGAAAAACACAAATGTAAAATTTTTAGTCCTTTTTTTATTATGGCATCTGTATAAATACATTTTTTATTATGGATTCCATAAAAAGTAAATTTAAAGGCCATAATTGAAAGGTAACAATTCTGCAGTTCTTAGTCTTAAATCACTAGACAGTCAGGCGCGGTGGCTCACGCCTGTAATCCCAGCACTTTGGGAGGCCGAGGAGGGCTGATCACGAGGTCAGGAGATGGAGACCATCCTGGCTAACACGCTGAAACCCCGTCTCTACAAAAAAAAAAAAAAAAAAAAAAAAAATTAGGCGGGCGTGGTGGCGGGCGCCTGTAGTCCCAGCTACTCGGGAAGCTGAGGCAGGAGAATGGCGTGAACCCGGGAGGCGGAGCTTGCAGTGAACCGAGATGCGCCACTGCACTCCAGCCTGGGCTACAGAGGGAGACTCCGTCTCAAAAAAAAAAAAAAAAAAAAAAAGAATCACTAGACAATAAACATTATTTTAACTAAATCTTACTTGAAACTAAAATTAACTTAATGTTAATGTCTTTTACTGTCTAACTAGATCCTGAATGTCATTTCCTTTGGACCTACTGGAAATGTACTAACTGCAAGAGTTTGGATCTGGGACTAGGTTGAAAGGACAATGTCACTTTCCACTGCAACACTGTTATCCAGATAGGAGTGACATGAGCATGGCATCAGCCTCCTGCCTAAAGAGAAAATGAGGCCAATTGGCACATGTACAAAATAGACATTTTAAAGTTCATTAGGAAAAGAGCTGGCAAGCAGCAGTCATTTTCTCTGATAAAAATCCCTTGATCTTTTTAGAAGAAATGTCTTTTAATTGTATGTAGGAGTTCAAATGGACCACAAACTATCACAGTGTATCAAATCTCTATGCACTCTTACTACTGCTTAAGTGTAACATTTCCATTACTTCTAATTTAGTTAATTACACTGTACCTACCTAAATTCCCATGGCAATTTTCGTTGGATGTAGCAGTTAATTGCCTTGTTCCAAACAGACATTATTGGGGGCTGTTAAACTACTACTGTTCTTAACTTCAGAATGGTTGCTTTCAATTTTGCTTGGAATGGGTTCCTGGGTCTCTGTCTTAGAAGCCATTTAAAAGCTTAGAATCTATATGTTTTAATTCAGTTCTAATGGTTTTAATATGTCAATTAAGGTGTATATTAGTTATTGAAATGTTTTATCTTTGATCACACTTTTTTTTTGCATTAAGGTAGTGTAAATTAAGTTCCAGTGTTTTCTTTAAATTTGGGAGATATATTTATGGTATATATGTGTATGGACAAATAGCTAAAAAATTCAGTAGGAATTATATATAAGATGAACATGTTTTTCAATTTGGTTATAGTATAGAATTTAAACAGAATGTATAGTAATGGTAACCTGACACAGGTTATTTTTTTTACATGTTAATTAAGCATAAATGTGGTACACATCATGTAAATGATGACATTTCACTTTTACATAAAAATCAGACACAATGTATTCTAGGAGTCAGGTGTAGTGAAGAAAAAATGAACTATAAAAAAGAAAAAGTCAGCTCCATAACCACAACTGAGACTCCTTAACCTATGCTGACAGAAAAAAAGTGGGTTTTTCCAGGGATTTAGCAAGAAGTGGCTAAGAACATAGAAATAAATGGTGCCTAAATTTTGCAAGTCTTGACCACAAACTGGTGGTCTCTCTGTCTCTTTCTCCAAAGTTCCTAGCCATAGCAGAAAGCAATACCAGCAACTGTTTCCCTTATTACTGCTGACTGGGCACTATTTTGTTGGTGCCTGAGGCACAGTCTTCTGTAAACTATTTTATGTTATTTTATCGATTTGTTAGACATTCATTTTAGGTTTACGGTACATGTGCCGGTTTGTTGTACAGATAAATTGCATGTTGTGCAGATTTGGTGTACAGGTTATTTTGTCAGCCAAGTGATAAGCACAGTACCTGATAGTTTTTTGATCCTCACTCTCCTTCCACCCTCTACCCTGAAGTAGGCCTCAGTATCTATTTCTCCCCTCTTTGTGTCCACGTGTACTTAATGTTTAGTTCCCACTTACAAATGAGAACGTGGTATTTGGTTTTCTGTTCCTACATACAAACATATTTTAAAGAAGGAGAATACAACTTTTAAATTAAGAAGTAGGGGGCATTTTGTTTTGAGTTTCTGGCAATTGTTCTATGTGTCTCCCAACAGGCGGGTAAGAAGTACAGTTTCAGCTTTCCCAACTCTAGATGACATTTTGCTAAATACTGAACTTTGATGTCAGCTCCCATAACAAATGAAATAACCAATTATCTTTCTTTCCACAGCATCTCTTCCCATCTCATATTCTAGCCAATTAATTCCAAATTAATATAGAAATTTTTATCCAGCATTCAGACAACTAGATATCTTTCTTTCCCTCAAACCTTATCTACTATCACTTTCACACAGCAGCCCTTGAAACTGCAGACCACCTCTGATCTTCTAGGCAAGAGGCAATAATTCTTTAATTTAAAAAATAATGTTTAGTTATTATGAATACATAATAGTTGTATATGTGCATGGAATACATAGGATATTTTGATACAGGCATATAATATGTAATGATCAAACCAGGGTAACTGGGATATCTCTCACCTCAAATATTTATCATTTCTTTATGTTAGGAAAGTTCCAATTCAGCTCTTTTAGTTGTTTTGAAATATAATATAAATTATTGTTAACTAGAAAAGCCCTAATATGCTACTAACCACCATATTCATTTCCTTCTGTTTAACTGTATTTTTTTTACCCATTAACCATCTTCCCTTTATTTCCACCCTTCCCTACCCTTCTCACCTTCTGGTAACCATCATTCTATTTTCTGTCTCCATGAACTATTCACAGTAGCCAAGATATGAAGTCAATGTAAGTGTCTTTCAGTGGATGAGTAGATAAAGAAAATGTTGTACACATACACAATGGACTATTATTCAGTCATATAAAAGAATGAAATCCTGCCATTTCCCACAACATGGATGGAACTGGAGAACATTATGTTAAGTGAAATAAGCTAGATGCAGAAGAACAAATATCATAATTTTTAATAATATGTGGAAAGTAAAAAAATATTCTTTTCCTGACCTCATTGCTATTTTTTTTATATTTAATACCCATCTTCTACCTTCTATTATTTGTGCAGAAACCTTATCTCCTAGACTGTAACTCTCACAGGCCCAATAATTCCTCATTTCATTTTTCCTAATAGTCACTGCATCAGGTTAATAAATGAATTATCAATTACTTTTTAAAATATGTTTAAGGGATTATTTAATGATATGCTTAATCCCAACCATGTACTAACTTCTAATGCTGGTATCTGACAACAGACTGATGTAGGTAAAAACTCAAAACTGAAAGATCATTTCAAACCTGACCTCTTTCTTGGCCGATCTGGTATGAGCTCTGTTTCCTTTTCTGGGACTCACTTAGGTTAGAATACCTAGGAAATTGACTTTGAGATGTATACTAGCTAGGAGAAAGTATACTGGGGAATGCTTTCAGAGAAAGAGGGGAGACTGGGAAAACAGGGAAACTGACTTGCAACTCAATCCCAGTAAAGTTCTCAGATAATCCAAAATCTTGCTTGAAGGTCAATGGTCCTTTAGAGTTGTCATGAATTGAAGCAATGGAGAAGAGATTTTTGTACTTCCAGGTTAGTTAGTCATCCCATAGATGGCTATAGCCATAAGTGAGACAGCTAGAAACTCTTTTCAGTAGGAAACTAACCCAGGAAATTTCATTCTTCAGCAGCCAAAACTACTGGCAGCTGAAGAAAAGGGTACCTAGATTTCAAAGCATTCATTTGGCAGCACATCCACTGTATGGGTTCCTCTCTGCTCACATAAATCTGCCACCTATATCCAGGCTTCACTCCTTTCAGATTTGGGACCTGGACGAATCCACACCTCTATCAATTCTACAGTAGTATGACGAACCTCTCTTCTCTCTTTGTGTTTCACTACACTTGGTCTCACCACTGCCTTCAAGTTGGGAAATACCTTTATGAAGATAACAATACTTTAATAAAAATCCTCTGTCTAACAACACCCTTTGTGGGTGGGGCAGATTATCACTAATGAATTACATTGACTTTTTTACATGTAACAAATTCTTCCCAAACAAAAGTTTAATTTGTTTGAAAACTCTACTGAGCATTATTTATTTTATATTTTTTAATATAAATATTAAACTAAAATGGAAAGATAAATAATGGGTGTTAAATCTGTACTTCTTATGCATCTTTATTAGTCCATTTTCATGCTGCTAATAAAGGCACACCCAAGACTGGGAAGAAAAAGAGGTTTAATGGACTCATGGTCCCACGTGTCTGGGGAGGCCTCACAATCATAGCAGAAGGCAAGGAGAAGCAAGTCACATCTTACATGTATGGCAGCAGGCAAAAAGAGAGAGCTTGTGCAGGGAAACTCCCCTTTTTAAAAACCATCACATCTCATAAGACTTATTCACTATCACCAGAACAGCATGGGAAAGACCTGCCACCGTCCATGATTCAATTACCTTCCACCAGGTTCCTCCCACTAATGTGGGAATTCAAGATGAGATTTGTGTGGGAACACAGCCAAACCATATCATCATTTCATTACAGGAAAGGAAAGTGGGTATTTGAAAGAGAGTCCCTGAGATAGCCATAGGACTGAAGAAGGAAGGAGTCAATGACTTATATGAGTGACAAAGTGAAAACAATTTTAAAAAGCCTGTTTATCTGAAAATCATTTTCCTGAAACCTAACCATTATTTACACTGATGTCATAAAAATATGAAGATAAATTCTGAATAAGTTTTTAATGAAAGTAAAATGTAAGGAAAAATTATTTATTGAACTAAATAATAACTCCTAGCATCAAGGTAGTTCAGGCAATATGGTTATTAGGCATTTCTACATGAAAACACTAAATTAAAGTTAAAAGTGACACAGATGATTGACTTTCACAAAATATCACATAAAACCGGTCCAGAAATATTAAGACACATATTTAGGCATTGAATTCCTATATAAGGGGTCTACTAACATTACAGCTTGAACTAAATATCATCTTTAGTGGTGCGTTGGAGCAGATTTCAATAGAGTACTTTGAGATTCAGGTGTAGTGGGGAAAAAATGAACTATTTGTCTCTTCAAAAAAGTAAACTAAACTATTGTTTTGGGAGAAATTCAATCTTTGTTACCGACACTGTTTCTGTATATTTCTTGTTTAAACAACAAGTTTGTTGCATGTCTTTTTCCAGCTAGGAGGTTAATTTAACCCTGAAGATTTTAATGTAGCACCCAGCACAAATGAGATCCCTTAAGTAGACTTATCCTACTGTTTTGTGGATGTACTGAACCTTGCTTTTTCTTTGAAAGACATGGCCCTTTGCTTTCCTATTCCTTGATATCACATTGAACACCCAAGAGTAAATGTTTGATACCAACCATCTGGCTCTTATTACCTAAAAAAATAACAACCCAAACTTCCTCTTTGATTACCTTTTAAGGATAAAAATAATTAAAAAATTTATATCATATAAAAATATTATATATCCGCTGGCATAATGTACATACAGTAATGAGATATACTCTTGAGTTTATGTGAGATTATTTATAAGCCTATATTAGCTAATCTTATAAAATGTATTAACAGCTTCAGAGACAGCTAAAGAGAACCATTTTGTCTTACATGTACGTGTATTTGTATATGTCTCTGTGTGCATATCATAGCAGTTATTTATGCTATGAAATTTAAAATATATAAATTATTTTTAGGACTATTAAAGTTCAAAACCTAAGCAGTATCAACATTAGTTTGTTATTTAAGAAACAATTCATTATTCGATTTATGCTATAGTGATTTACTTTTTTAACCACCCCAGGTTAACCTGGATAACTAAAGATCTCACTAGTATTTGGGGGGAAAAGACGTTATTAATATCAGTACCCTAATTTTGCTTTCATAATGGATCAAGTATTGTTCTCCAAAAGTGTGTATCCATGTAGATACCCTCCACCATAAATAAAAGTATTCGTTACGACTCCCAAAGTCATCTTAACTGCACCCATAAGTTCACCTGTGCCGCCATTAATTGTTTACTTTCAAACTCTGCCATTTCTGGGATATACACCTTTGGATGAGACTCTAGTTCACTGAATTGTCTTACAGCACTCCTACTCTTTACAGTTTTTTGGTGAGTGACACAACGGCTGGTATATCTTTCCCTGCAAGGGTTTACATCTCTTTTGAGGGGCAAATTTCTACTGATTTACTCCAATCACACTATCAAAACTCATGATATTTGAGGTTTCTGAGGCTTCATAAAATGGGAAAAATTTTTTCAGGGTTAAATTCATTGGTGGTTGTAAGAGTAGTTGAGGATGTATTTCAATAGCAAGGCTGCTTTGGTACTGAAATGTTAAGAATTTGTTTCCATATTTATTTCAGTATGCACACACATTCGCATACACACACACTTGCACACACCCACACAAACTCACAGCTCCTGATTTTGCTAGAATGCACACTCTGGTTCATGTTGGTAGATCAGCTGCTCTGTGGTACAAAAAAAATCACTGATCCACTTCAACTCCCATGGCTCACTGTGTATAGTCAGTATTCCTACATGATAAACTTTATTTCATGGGCTCTGTGAAGACAATTTGTTGGCTTTCAGATCCATTTCTTACTCTATTCTTATTCTGCTCTGTATTGTGGCTGAAAGAGGGGGAAGAGGGGGAAAACAAATCTGAAAGAATTTGCTTTACAAGTCCCTTTGTAAAATGGCTTCCAACTGTATTCAGTCCATGGAAGGAATCGGCAGGAGGATGTAAAGCCAAAGAAATGGAGAAGTCTGGTATTTCTTGTTCTTTCTACTTGCAGTGGCATCACTCTAAGTAGTAGCCAGTGGCTGTGTTTCCAACATGTTTTCAGCGTTTGATGGAGCGATCCAACTTTGATGGACCCAGCTCTTTCAAGAATCCCCAGTTGCAACTCTAGTATCCACCAGATGATCTGAGTTTGGACGCACAGGCAGTATCTTCTCCTCCCTGTGTCTCCTTAACCCTAAGGATGATGGGAACTTCCTGCTATTGTTAATCTCTGGTCCGCCCCACCATTGCCAGTTCTAATTTTCAACCTGTTCATTATCTGTGTATCCAATTCCCTGTATTTTATTATTTCTGTTTGAAATATCTAGAGGGATCCACATTTTTTGGCTGGATTCCAACTGAAACACACTGAGTAGTGTGCTGTTAATATTTAACAATACATTCAACTGGGATAGAAATTTACCCTCAGAGATTTGAAATTTGCCAACTTTCAAGGTGTAAATACTCTCATTATGGTTAATGTTAAGTTACTAAGATGATGTCATAGAACCTGGACTTGGGAAGAGATGAGCACGATCAGTTCTTGTGACACAGCGTGAGCCAGCTCCTATACTTCATTGTCACACTTTAGTCATCAGCTGAATTTTCATTGATCATGTTCTTCTATTTTACAGACATTTCCGAACTTTAAGAATTAAAATTGTTGCTACATTGTAAAATCTTCTAATAGGCTTCCTTCCTCAATGAAAATGAGATGACAAATAGAAATTTGGCTAGGAGTTAAAATTTATCTAATCCTAACCGTTAATTCTGCCCGAATATCAGATAGAGCAACACCAGTTCCAAATAGAAATTTGGCTAGGAGTTAAAATTAATCCAATCCTAATTAATAATTCTGTCCAAATATCGGACAGAGCAACACTAGTTCCCTTTGTATACCCAATGCATCAGTACATTATAACTATGCCATTTTATTGCTTCACCTTAAGAACAAGCAAATCAGTGATGAGAAAATATGACTGCTTTTTGCCTTCAGAATTTGATTAAGACATAAAATTAGGAGAAACATTTATTAAAATGATTGTAAAATTGTAACATTATTGTCAACAGTTACACTCAATAACTCATTTAAGGAATTTATATACAACATATGTAAATTGATATTTGTAGAAATAACATATATGGATCTTAAATCACTCCTTACATTTTTAAATTTGGGAATATAATAACTATCAACAATACTCCTCCAAAAGATAAAATTTTAAATGCTTTTCTTGCATCATGAACTGTGCTAAGATATTTGCATGCATAATCTCAACTTCCAATGGGTATTTGATTCAGGAATCCTACTACTGGGTATTTACCTCCCCCCAAAAATTATTATATCAAAAAGACACCTGTACTTGTATGTTTATTGCAGTACTATTCACAATAGCAAAGATATGCAATCAACTTAAGTGTCCATCAACAACTGGTTGCATGAAGAAAATGTGGTATATATGTATAATGGAATATTATTCAGCCTTAAAAATGAATGAAATTATGTCTTTGCTACAACAAGGATGGAACTGGAGGTCATTTCCTTAAGTGAAACAATTGACACACTGAAAGCAAAATATTGCACGTTCTCACTTAAAAATGGGAGCTAAATAATATGTACACATGGGCATAGAGAATGATATACAATGGAGACTCAGAAGGGTGGGAGGGAGTGGAAATGGAAGACGAGAAATTACTTAATGGGTACTATGTATGTTTTTTGAAGGCTGAATACCCTAAAACCTCTGACTTCACCACTACGCAATCTATGCATTAACAAAATTACCCTTGTCTCTCATAAAATTATATAAATAAATAAATAAACGATAACAGAAGGTTACAAAGCAAATGTTTCTATTTATGCTATTTTGTAAATAATAAAACAGGCACAAATAAGTTTAGAAAATCTGTCAAATCACATACATAGCAGTGAACACATATTATATTATATTAATTTCATCCTATAAATCTTTTAGTCATTGTGTTTTATAATCTCTGACCTATTACAAATCATTGCTATATTTAATATACTGCTCTGATTCTAGTGATTGATAAATAAGAACAGTGGTGAATTTATCCTCTCACACAAGAGGAAAATGTAACTCTAAGCAAAAATGAATTTCCAAAATGCTGAGTAAATTGTTCAATATTTTGTCCTTTTGTTTTTGTTTCTTCATTTCTAAAATTTCTTTAGAGATTATATCCTCTTGTGCACCTCAGATATCCTTGAAAATAAAATTGTTCTTAATTTCTTGCCTCCATCCCTTAATTATTCTAAAGGAGTTGAATTACCTGTTGCATATATCATTAAGAGTCCTAACCTCATTGCAAATAAAGGAAAAAAATGCAAAGTGAGTTTCTTTTTCAGTACCCATGACTCTCATTAAAGAACAGTCTGCTTTCAAAGAGTATAAAATTCTTAACAATTAGAGTCTGACTTTTCCACCTGGAGCTGCTGGCAAAGGTTAGCATCAAGGTGTGCTGTGACATACTTGCCTTTTTCTGTTTCAAATTGGGATAGGAAAGAGATTCCCACTCTATGAACAAAGGTACATTTTCTGTTGCATGACTTCCAGATGGAGAGGAGCCAGCAGGTATGTTCAGATGATATGTTTGACTTGCACAGCAGGCTCCAGAGCATTCTTTTAAGCAGTAACTCTGTGTCATTAAAATGTTCATAGGCTTTTGTCACCTTTAATAATAGACAAAATGCCAGGAGCTTCCTATCAATTTTGGTTTTCATCCGTTTTGTAACCATGTCTAGAGAACATGAAGATAAGATTGGGAATTATAGATCATTTATTTTCTTAGCCACATCAGAATAATTCATTTTAATGCTTAAATAAGTTAGCTTTTGCTACAAAACATTTAAAGCAACGACCATTTTTTGAGGTCACAATTTTGCAATCTGGAAACCTGGGCTAGCCTCATATAGGCACACCTTCTGGTCTGGTTCAGGTTCAGCTGATCACAACTGAGGATGGTTCATGCCTCTGTAGTCAGCTGCTGGGACATGCAGGGCCTGGCTGAGTGTAGTCTGGAACACTCAAATCTGCTCCAGTTGACCTCTCATCCTCCAGCATACTATCTCATTTTAAGCTCATACTTGTTCTTAGCTTTCCAATAGCATCAAGACCCAGCATACAGCTCTTGTCACCCTCTGCTTGTGTTATATTTGCTGATGTCCCATTGACCAAAGGAAGTCCCATGACCTGCACAGATTCAGTGTGTAGGAAACAACCAAAAGGCTTGGATAAAAAGGAATGATTTGTGGTCATTTTTGCAATTACAACATGTCCCTAAAGTTCAAACTAATTGAGTTTTATAACCTTAGCATCCACAGTAACCTATCATTTTGTTCTGTTTCTAAGAAGGAAGCTAATGTTCTTCTTTTAGACTGGCCTATAAATGAGTGACGCATATCCTTTGTCCTTCTATCTGTTTGAAAACTTTCTTTTTCAAGTCTCCACTCCTTCCTTTTTGTTGTTGTTAGTTTTTAAAATATTGTATCCACAATCAAATCCAACTCCTGTAAAAATTAATAGTAGTATTGTTTTCTAAGCAATTTCTGTATTTTATTTAATAAAATTTCTTAAATTTTCTTTACTTCCTAGTCAAGGATTTTCTTAATAAGCTAAAAAATTTGCCTTTATCAAATACTGCATTGCTTTGATTGGTTTCTGTCTACATTCTACTCACATTCTATGTCTTTTCTTAGTTTACATTCTTCCTAGGCTCCCCATACTTGTGCTGCTATTGATTCTGAGATTATAAGAGCTTTATTTTGCTCCTTTTCACATACTACTATTTTTAATACAAATATTTGTGCCTTCTCAATTTATTCATCCAGTTATTGGCCTTAACCTTAGATTGTTCTCTAAACACACTGGTCTTAAGACACAATAAACTCATTTTGATACCTTTTACCTTTACTCCATTAACTTAAAAGCGATATGTTCATACCAATTTTTTCCACTGCTCTATTTCAAATATTTTTCTGTGAAATAAGAGGCTGCTTGACTTTTAGTTATGCTATTTATTTTTCAGTGCCCAACACCATAATAATAAGGAAATATAAAACAGATTTAATAATGTTTTTGAACTAACCAGATATAAGCATAGAAAAACAAGATTCTATCCACACCTCAATCGTATGTGTAGTGACAACGAAACATTAAAAATCAGTTATATTCTAGCCAATGATGAACACATATTACAAGAAAAGATAATGAGAAGGAAGAAACAGAAATAGGAAGCCTAGCATTATTTTGTGGTAAGTAGAAAATGTAGAACCATGAGACAAATTCTGTTAAGGTAAATACATTTTTAAATTTAAAGAAAATAAAAGGGCTGGGCACCGTGGCTCACGCCTGTAATCCCAGCACTGTGGGAGGCCAAGGTGGGAGGATCACGAGGTCAGAAGATTGAGACCATCCTGGCTAACACGGTGAAACCCCGTCTCTACTAAAAATATAAAAAATTAGCCGGTTGCGGTGGCGGGCACCTGTAGTCGCAGCTACTCCAGAGGCCAAGGCAGGAGAATGGCGTGAACCTGGGAGGTGGAGCTTGCAGTTAGCCGAAATAGCAACACTGCAGTCCGGCCTGGGCGAAAGAGCGAGACTCCGTCTCAAAAAAAAAAAGAAAAGAAAAGAAGATGTCTTTATAATTTTGTAAATACAGTTGTCAACAATTTCCAATTATCTCATCATCATGATGAACTGGAAAGCTTCATCACAAGCTTCCTGATGAGGAAGCTGCAAAGTTCACTATCTTTGACAGTGTTTGTGAACTGGATTGTGATTGTAAGATTAATGGCAGCAATATGGTTAGGCTTTGTGTCCCTACCCAAATCTTGTTTTAAATGGTAATCCCTATAATTCCGAAATGTCTAGGGAGAGAACTGGTGGGAGGTGATTGGATCATAAGGGCAGTTCCCTCCATGCTCTTCTTGTGATAGTAAGTTCTCATGATATCTGATGGTTTTACTGGGGGCTCTTTCCCCTTTGCTACTCACACTTCTCTTTCTTGCCTGCCACCATGTAAGACCCGCCTCTGCCCCTTCTGCCATGATTGTAAATTTCCTGAGGCCTCCCCAGCCATGCAGGATTGTGAATCAATTTTGTTGATAAATTACCCAGTCTCACGTATGTCTTTATAGCAGTGTGAAAATGGACTAATACTGGCAGCTTGCTGTGTCTATTTTATTATACTGGAAGGAAGGTTGAGGCCATTGTTCACAAAGTATAGTGAAGAGGCTAAAAACAGATAACCTTCATATTTTTTTTTAAGACCTGGAACTGAGAAGGGCTAAAAACTTAGCTCTTATTAGTTATAACAATTCATATTTAACTATTAGCCTTTCAGAAATTCTAACTTCTATTCTTTATTGTGTGTGTGGTGGTGGGGTTGGTGGCTGTTTGTCAGTACACACACACACACACAAACATTCCACTTTTTCAAGCTTCAGTATCTAGGTACTCAACCAGTACTGTCATAATTGGGTTGTGTGTAGCAATACTAGGGAATGATAGAAAACAGGAGATAGGTTAGTTCTACTTTTTACTTTTTTCAACTTCAAGGGACAGGAATCCAATTATAGAAAATAGGCATTTAGCTTTTTAATAGTTTTTTTTTTATTTTCTATGTGTGTAGATACAGACATAGATGCTAAATTTTCTACCACTCTTATCAAAAGACAAACCATTGTCTTCCTGCTTCTGAAAGATTGTGTTATAATATGGTTGTTACATGTTACCCTGATTACTTTATCCTGATTATTATTAGTTTTCAGGAATTCAATTTTTTTTTAAATTTTTCTGTTTTACTTTAATTTCTGGGATACATGTGCTGAATATGCAGGTTTGTTACATAGGTATACATGTGCCATGGTGGTTTGCTGCACCCATCAACCCTAAAAATCACCCTGAATGCATTAGGTACTTGTCCTAGTGCTCTCCCTCCCCTATCTCCCCACCTGCTGACAGGCCCCAGTGTGTGATGTTCCCCTCCCTGTGTCCATGTGTTCTCATTGTTCAACTCCCACTTATGAGTGAGAACATGCAGTGTTTGGTTTTCTGTTCCTGTGTCAGTTTACTGAGGATGATGGTTTCCAGCTTCATCCATGTCCCTGCAGAGGACATGAACTCATTCTTTTCTATAGCTGCATTATATTCCATAGTGTATATGTGCCACATTTTCTTTATCCAGTCTATCACTGATGGCCATTTGGGTGTGTTCCAAGTCTGGGCTATTGTAAATTGTGCTACAATAAACATACGTGTGCATGTGTCTTTATAGTAGAATCATTTATAATCCTTTGTGTATATACTCAGTAACGGGATTGCTGGGTCAAATAGTATTCCTGGTTCTAGAACCTTGAGGAATCGCCACGCTGTCTTCCACAGTGGTTGAACTAATTTACACTCCCACCAACAGTGTAAAAGCATTCCTATTTCTCAACATTCTCGCCAGCATCTGTTGTTTCCAGACTTTTTAATGATTGCCATTCTAAGTGGTGTGAGATAGTATCTCATTGTGGTTTTGATTTGCATTTCTCTGATGACCAGTGATGATGAGCTTTTTTTTCTTATGTTTGGTGGTCACATAAATGTCTTGTTTCGAGAAATGTCTGTTCTTATCCTTTACCCACTTTCTGATGGGGTTGTTTTTTTTTCTTGTAAATTTGTTTAAGTTTCTTGTAGATTCTGGATATTAGCCCTTTGTCAGATAGATAGCACATCAAAAAGCTTATCCACCATGATCACGTCAGCTTCATCCCTGGGATGCAAGGCTGATTGAACATACACAAATCAATAAATGTAATCCATCACATAAACAGAACCAATGACAAAAGTCATGTGATTACCTCAATAGATGCAGAAAAGGCCTTGGATAAAACCCAACACCCCTTCATGCTAAAAACTCTCAATAAACTATGTATTGATGAAACATATCTCAAAATAATAAGAGCTATTTATGACAAACCCTTAGCCAATATCATACTGAATAGGCAAAAGCTGGAAGCATTCCCTTTGAAAACCAGCACAAGACAAGGATGCCCTCTCTCACCACTCCTATTCAACATAGTATTGGAAGTTCTGTACAGGGCAATAAGGCAAAAGGAAGAAATAAAGCATATTCAAATAGGAAGAGAGGAAGTCAAATTGTCTCTTTTGCAGATGACATGATTGTATATTTGGAAAACCCTATTGTCTCAGCCCAAAAACTCCGTAAGCTGATAACTTCAGCAAGGTCTCAGGACACAAAATCAATGTGCAAAAATCACAAGCATTTCTACACACTAACGATAGACAAGCAGAGAGCCAAATCACGAGTGACCTCCCATTCCCAATGTTTTTTAAGTTAATAACTAAGGGTCTCATTTATATAAACCACAATTCCTTTTAATTGGAATACCAAAAGCACATTTTACATATTTATGTTCTTCTTGAAGACTGAAAAGTCAAGAAATTAAGATGCTTAATTACCTAAAATACTGTTTTCTCTGTTTGGGCAGCCTATATATTCTCATGTAGCTATCTGTCTGATATATTCTCAATGTCTATGACATCATTTTACCCTCTCAAAATTATATATATTTGGCTAGGCAAAATTATAAAATTTTGAGAAATGTATTTAAAAAGATAGATTCTTATCAAATCTAATCTCCCCTAAGTTTTTAAACAAATACCATATGATTAAAATATGTATGAAATAATCCACTTACTTTCTGTTCAAATCAGGAAAAAAATAAACTGAAACAAATATCAAATTCTTATTCCTCACAGGTGACTAAGAGTAACTTCATTAAGTCAGAGAGAGTCCTGTACAGTGCATGATACACAAATAACAGACCCATGTTTCATGTAATGGAATGAGAAAACTGTATAAATTGATTAATTATGCAAGTTCTTGTGACTTCATGCTGGTGTAGACTTATACAAGTTAGTGTAATTAAAAATTAACCTTTTGTTACATACAAGTAAAATTATTTGACCAATTTTATAGAAAAATATCCACAATTACATCAAAAAAACTATCTGAATAAGTATCAAAATTTTACACTTTATTTGATATTATAGAAGAAGAATGGTTTTGAAACAAAATATAAGTTGAAAGTAGCCTTTTAAAGAAATCTATTAGGGGTATTTAAGTTAAGTTAAAGTTAAAATAACTGAAGCCTTGAAATATTTCATTTCTACATATTTTCACTGTAGATATTCATGCTATAATGAATGTAAACCAAGTTTTTACAAGCAGAATTTCAGCATACTGGGTACAGTATTTATCTTTATTTATTATTCACCACAATTTCAGTATTATAGATATTGAATATATGTATAAAAGACCATTAAAGCAAGGAAACCAGAATTTCCACTAGAAAAAAATTCATACTGGGTACTTCTTCAAGAAAATATTCATGTGGCCATTTCAGAAGAAAATAGAAATGTTTGAATTCCTTATAGTTTTACTTCAGCTTTGTGTGATTTTATTTTGAATTATGTGTTGAAGATTGATGTATCTCCAATGTCAAGAGCTACTTAAGATTTTCTGGGTACTTCACTCTTTCCTTCTAATTTCTTAATTTACTGTACCCCTAGCCAATGCCATCATGCTTTGTTTCTTATTCTTTCTGGAGAGAAGGAATCTTTATTTTCTTTCTTCATCTGAGAAATTTTTATCTAACCTTAAACACTCAATTCAAGTAGTGAAGTCACCCTTGATTGTCTGTATCATATTCTTATAACACACAATTTTACAATAAAAATTAGCAATTTAAAATATAGTTTCTGCTGTAATTATTTGTTCTTAGATCTGTATCCCACAGAAGACTGTGAACTCAGTGTGTCAATGATAAAATTTTATTTCTGTAGAGACTATTATAAGTTACTGGTGCATAGTGACAAGCAAATATGTGCTGAAAGAATGAATTCATTAATATATGAATAAGCTAACTAATTAATAACTGAATATATGAAACTTGAAAGGATGAAAACATGCATAAATAAGTGAATATAGATATTGAGTTGTATTAGTTTGGGCCATATTAGGCTGCTATTTTCTTTTATTACTTCTTATTTTTAAAAAAGTTAGATGAAGATGAAAGAATCCCAAGATTAAAGGTTTCTTCAATATTCTTTGATTCCACTGGTGTCTTGTTTGTAGTACTCATATGTTCCTCTCGAATCACAGAAAATAAAATAAAAAAAAATAATTTAAATATTCTCTAACATTTTATCAACTAAAACTTTCAACAATGTGTATATACATGCTTTGGTTTGTGTGTGTCTGTGTGTATGTATGTGTGTGTGTATATATATATATACCCACATAAAATATGCTATGATATTGAGTAACTCTGGAAAGAAAATGTATAGAAACATAAAAGAAATAAGGTCAATCTCATAATGTCATAAGGGTTATGATTTCCACTATAGACAATGTTATAATGCCTATATCATAAAACGAGAAAGGTGAATATATCTTATTAACACTGTTTTCCTGCAGACATCTTTTTGGAGAAGAAATAATATGTAAAATTAATATATGACCACTCTAAAAGGCAAATAATGAATGAATTATTAGTAGTGATAAAATGTATTTTTTAATGAAAATAAAAATATATAGGGCAGTGCTTGTCTATTAATTTCTCCTCAGTCTAAATCTACTCACGTACAAACCTGGCTTGTTGATTGAGTTGTTTCATTAACCATATGAAATGAGACACATGAAACACTTGGGAAAACAGCAAGATTTAGAAGCAAAGAGTGAATTCAAAGAGATGATTTGAAGGTTATGTGGTACAAGTTCAGTTTCTTCAACTAATTAGGGCTGTTGGGACTCTTACAATATTTAGTTTCTAGGTCAAATTAAGTTTAGTGGCTTATTCTGTAGCCAAGTGGAAAATAAAGTTAATAAATATTTTACAATACAATTATTTTCAGTTGGTAGTATGTCATCACTTATTATTTCCTTTTTACTTTCTTATTTTCTTTTTTTCATCAAAAAGAATAGCAGATAGTAAAAAAAGTAATTTGCACTACTACATTTTCATATTTTGAATTTCTATTTTAAGAAATTTAATAAATGTTAGTGTGATATATCATTTAAATTGCTGGCTGTATTTTTATTATTAGAATCTAATTAAAGTAACTGCCATAAATTAATTGCCATTCAAAAATTCTTTATCAAAGACATGTATGTTGCAAGAGAACTAAACCCAAAATTGTTTTACCCAATGATTTTATATCTAGAGTTGAAACTCCAGCAGAATAACGTCATTGGTTATGATCAATGAAAAGCATTTTGATTCTATCACATGTGTCTTATTATTGGGGGGTTGGACACTTCCAATTTTCATTCTATTTCTTTTGTTCTTTAACAGTTTTATTGTGACACAAAAAAGGCATTCAGACAAAAGTATAAAACATAAATGCACACATGAACAAATTATCTTAAATCAAATACCCAAATAAAACCTTCTGTCTGAAGATACAAAATATTGTCAGAAATCCCAATTCTGCCAAAATCTTCTGACAAATCTCAATTGACAAATGTCAATTATCTACTTGACTGGGATAATTATAGTATACTTTTGGTAATCACTTTCTTTAACCACCTAAATATGCAACTTTATACAAGGCAAGTTTGGTTTTGCCAATTTGATACTTTAAAAAGTGGAATCATACGGTACATTTTTTGTGTATTCTGCTTCTTTTCCTCAACATTGGATTTTTAAAAGACATTTATGTGGCCAAAAATCATATGAAAAAAACCGCATTATCACTGGTCATTAGAGAAATGCAAATCAAAACCACAATGAGATACCATTTCATGCCAGTTAGAATGGAGATTATTAAAAAACACTGCCCTATACATTTCTATTTTCATTAAAAAATACATTTTATCACTTCTAATAATTCATCATCATTTGTCTTTTAGAGTGAGCATATATTAATTTTACATATTTCTTCTCTAAAAAGATGTCTTCCAGAAAACAGTGTTAATAAGATATATTCACCTTTCTTGTTTTATAATATAGGCATTATAACACTGTATATAGCTGAAATCATAACCCTATGAAATTATGTGATTGAGCTTATTTCTATTGTTATGTTTCTGTATATTATCTTTCCAGAGTTACTCAATATACTATGATATATAGATATATTGATATACATAGATGATATAGATATGACCATCATAGCACAATGTGTGTCATTTTGGTTTTAGTCTTCATTTAAGATTTTCTTCATTACAAATGACATAGAATATGTTTCATATTTTTCATATTTCTCAGTATGTTTGTTACCCATTTGGATTTTCTCTTTTATAAAATTCTTACTCAAGTCTTTTGCATTTTTTTCTATTGAGTTCACTCTCTTTATATAATGATTTGTAGGTATTTGTTGATTCTGCACATAGATTCTCTAACTATTGTATGTATTGCAAATGTATTGTCTTGCAATTTGGCTTGTGTTTTGTTTTTCCAACTTTGATATGTTTTGATACACAAAAGTTTCATCTTAATTAAAAATGTATCAATCTATTTTTATATTTTGTGCATTTTATTGTCTTGTTTAATAATATATTCTATTTTAATTATGCCATCCATCATATGGATTTCAAAAAATGTTCTGAGGAATGTGTTCAAATTGTTTTTATTTCCTCCATATGCATATTCAATTCTCTCAATACTATTTACTGTGAAGACTGACAATGTTTTACTGTTCCACAGTTCTACCTTTTTCACAAACTTTATTTCACATATATGTTGGTCTGATTAGGTGCAGTTCTACTCCATTCTGCTATTCTATTTTTCTTGAATACTTGGGAGAGAAAAATATCTCACTTTGGATTTTCATAAATATTAGAAAATGTTTTCACTTTTTCAATCGTGACTAGATGTTGAACATCATCGGCAACTATGTCTCTTCATCCATTGTTATGACTGATGTTCCTCCTTAATTCTGCTCTACTCATCTGCAGTTCCTGAAACAATTAACTTGGTCAGGATATATGACCTCTGTCAACCATAGGGGATTCATTTTGCTAATCATTTGTTAACAAATTTTGCATTATGTCCATGAAAGAGTGGCCTTTTTTCTATTTTCCCTTAACTTTCTTGTTTTGATATAAAGTTTATGCTAACATCATAAAATAAGTTACTTAAGTACTTTAAAATAAGATACTAATTTTTTTTCTAGTCCCTGGAAGACGTTGCATAAATTTGATTATTAATTCCTGGAACGAATGTTTTTGCATGTCAAAAATATTTTAACTATAGATTTGATTCCTCCTTGCTGGTTTAGAGCAATTCAGTTTACTGGGGGTGGGGCGGGGGTTGCATCATGTGTATTCTCCTAAGCATTTAATTTTAAATACAATTACAATATTTTGGTATATAGTGTGTAAATTTTTTTATCTATATCTACATGAAATGTACCCATGTCAGATTGTCATTTCTGATATTTGACTTTTTGAGTCTTCTTTTTTGTTTTAATCAGTCTTTCCAGAAGTCTATCAATTCTTTTTTCTTTTTTTTTCCTGAGATAGAGTCTTGCTTTTTTTGCCCAGGCTGGAGTGCAATGGTGTGATCTCGGCTCACTACAACCTCTGCCTCCTGGGTTCTAGCAATTATTCTGTCCCAGCCTCCTGAGTAGCTGGGATTACAGGCGCCCACCACCACGCCCAGTTAACTTTTTGTATTTTTAGTAGAGACAAGGTTTCACCATGTTGATCAGGCTGGTCTCAAACTCCTTACCTCAGGTGATCTATCTGCCTTGGCCTCCCAAAGTGCTGGGATTACAGGCGTGAGCCACTGCACCCGGCCAATTCTCTTTTTTAATAACAACTTTTAACTCTGTTTATCCTCTAAAATGTTTTCTTCTATTTGCTTATCTTCTTCTGTTTTCCTTATAATTTAATTTTTGTCTGCATTCTTTTGTGATATTTTACTCTTTATCTTTTTGTAATATACGCATATGTCATATATTTTATCGCTTTTTTTACTAGTTGCATTTTAAGCTATAAATTTTTATTTAAATCCTGCACTCAAATTTTTATATACTGTTTATTATAATTTAATTTCAAATATTTTCTAACATGCATTGTCATTTTTTCATTGATTTATGAATTAATTTATTTTTTAATTTTTATTAGTAATTTTCTTGAGATGGGGTCTCACTCTGTTGCCCAGGCTAGAGTGTAGTGGCATGATCTCTGCTCGCTGAAATCTGCCTACCAGATTCAAGTAATCGTCCTGCCTCAGCCTCCCAAATAGCTGAGACCACAGGAACACACCACCAAACCCAGCTATTTTTTTTATTGTATTTTTGATAGAGATGTGGTTTCACCATGTTTCCAGGGTGGTCTCAAACTCCTGAGCTCAAGTGATCTGCACACTTCAGCCTCTCAAAATGTTGGGATTACAGGCATGAGCCGCCACACCTGGTTACATATGAATTAATTTAGAAATTTATTTCCAAATTCCAACTATATATAAACATTTTATACTTATGTTTGGTTATTTTATTGCATAGTTTTATGCAAGAAAAATTAACTACTTGAGTCTTGTTATAAGTAATTATTGCTAATTTGTCACCCATCTTTTCATCTACCCATGTATGGGAAAATGTGATATTTTTTAGGAAATAATTTTATTTATCTCCAAAAAAATCTTACTATAAGTGAGAGACTTGAAATTTTTAATGCCAATCATTTAATAAAAAGCCAAGAGGTAGCCTATGCAAGCCCTCATTTATTTGGGATTTACTTTTAAGCCCATCTCAAAGTAGTGATTAGATCACCTGGGTCCTCAATCTCGGCAGCCACAGATTCTTCTAGTTCTGAAAGGCTAACATAAGGACAACTTAAGCTGTCAGGGGCACCTCCAAGTTTCCCAGTGATTTGCTTTGCTCATACTTTTAAATACTAGAATCTCATACTGGTTGTTTTTGTCACATTTTAGCCTCTGTAACTATAGTCAGTAGAAAGGGATGGTCTAAATGACATAATCAACCATCATATAAAAAAAAGAAAATAAAGTCATTTTAATTATTCTCAATCAGGTATGATAGCCAGCAGATGACTTGCACATTTTTTGCTATGAATTCACAGAATATTCAAGTAAAATTTCTCTTTGCACTTTTACCTCAATTTTTTTTGCTAACTCATGAGTAGAAGCTAAAAGATGAAATCTTCCCAGAAATACTCATGTCTTTATAAGTGATACACATAATTTTAAAAAGTCGTAAATATGCAAAAATGTCCTCAACATCATTAGATTTTAGGGAAATGCAAAGTAAAATCATTGTAATATTACATACCAATAAAGTAACTAAAATAATAAGATTGATAATATACAATCTAGATTTATTGTGGAGAACCTGAAACTCTCAATTCTGCTGATAGGAATGTAAAATGATAAAAACCACTTTAGAACATAGTTTAGCACTCTCTTAGAGATTAAACATATAATGACCTTATAACCTAGAAATTTCCCTCTTAGGACAATTTTTTAATGCACTTTTGTAGAAAGACATATAGAAAAAGTATAAAAGATGGTTTATTGTTTAAGGATAGGGAGTGGTAATCAACTGGAAAATAGCAAGAAAAGACATTTTGGGGATGATGGAAATATCTTTTATGTTGATTGGTTTTCTAAGAGTTACACCAGTATATACTTGCAAAACTTATTCAAGTCTAGAATATATATTTTTTTCATTTCTTTTTTGTGGAGTAGGCACATTAAATCTCAATTTAAGGCATGAGAACTACGTGATGAATGCACAAGCCTCAGTAGCTGATTTGATCAACTGGAAGAAAGGGTATCAGTGATGGAAGATCAAATGAATAAAATGAAGTGAGAAGAGAAGTTTAGAGGAAAAAGAATAAAAAGAAATGAACAAAGCCTCCAAGAAATATGGGACTATGTGAAGAGACCAAATCTACATCTGATTGGTGTACCTGAAAGTGACGGGGAGAATGGAACCAAGTTGGAAAACACTCTGCAGGATATTATCCAGGTGAACTTCCCCAATCTAGCAAGGCAGGCCAACATTCAAATTCAGGAAATACAGAGAACGCCACAAAGATACTCCTCGAGAAGAGCAACTCCAAGACACATAATTGTCAGATTAACCAAAGTTGAAATGAAGGAAAAAATGTTAAGGGCAGCCAGAGAGAAAAGTCGGGTTACCCACAAAGGGAAGCCCATCAGACTAACAGCTGATCTCTCGGCAGAAACTCTACAAGCCAGAAGAGAGTGGGGGCCAACATTCTTAAAGAAAAGAATTTTCAACCCAGAATTTCATATCCAGCCAAACTAAGCTTCATAAGTGAAAGAGAAATAAAATCTTTTACAGACAAGCAAATGCTGAGAGATTTTGTCACCACCAGGCCTGCCCTAAAAGAGCTCCTGAAGGAAGCACTAAACATGGAAAGGAACATCCAGTACCAGCCACTGCAAAATCACGCCAAATTGTAAAGACCATTGAGGCTAGGAAGAAACTGCATCAACTAATGAGCAAAATAACCAGCTAACATCATAATGACAGGATCAAATTCACACATAGCAATATTAACCTTAAATGGAAATTGGATAAATGCTCCAGTTAAAAGACACAGACTGGCAAATTGGATAAAGAGTCAAGACCCATCAGTGTGCTGTATTCAGGAAACCCATCTCATGTGCAGAGACACACATAGGCTCAAAATAAAAAGATGGAGGAAGATCTACCAAGCAAATGGAAAACAAAAAAAGGCAGGGGTTGCAATCCTAGACTCTGATAAAACAGACTTTAAACCAATAAAGATCAAAAGAGACAAAGAAGGCCATTACATAATGGTAAAGGGATCAATTCAACAAGAGCTAACTATCTTAAATATATATGCACCCAATATAGGAGCAGCCAGATTCATAAAGCAAGCCCTTAGAGACCTAGAAAGAGACTTAGACTCCCACACAAGAATAATGGGAGACTTTAACACCCCACTGTCAACATAAGACAGATCAGTGAGACAGAAAGTTAACAAGGATATCCAGGAATTGAACTCAGCTCTGCACCAAGTGGACCTAATAGACATCTATCTCCACCCCAAATCAACAGAATATACATTCTTCTCAGCACCACACCACACTTATTTGAAAATTGACCACATAGTTGGAAGTAAAGCACTCCTCAGCAAATGTAAAAGAACAGAAATTATAACAAACTATCTCTCAGACCACAGTGCAATCAAACTAGAACTCAGGATTAAGAATCTCACTCAAAACCGCTCAACTACATGGAAACTGAACAACCTGCTCCTGAATGACTACTGGGTACATAACAAAATGAAGGCAGAAATAAAGATGTTCTTTGAAACCAATGAGAACAAAGACACAACACACCAGAATCTCTGGGGCACATTCAAAGCAGTGTGTAGAGGGAAATTTACAGCACTAAATAACCACAAGAGAAAGCAGGAAGGATCTAAAATTGACACCCTAACCTCACAATTAAAAGAACTAGAGAAGCAAGAGCAAACACATTCAAAAGCTAGCAGAAGGCAACAAATAACTAAGATCAGAGCAGAACTGAAGGAAATAGAGACACAAAAAACCCTTCAAAAAATCAATGAAACCAGGAGCTGGTTTTTTGAAAAGACCAACAAAGTTGATAGACCGCTAGCAACACTAATAAAGAAGAAAAGAGAGAAGAATCAAATAGATGCAATAAAAAATGATAAGGGGGATATCACCACTGATTCCACAGAAATACAAACTACCATCAGAGAATACTATAAACACCCCTACGCAAATAAATTAGAAAATCTAGAAGAAATGGATAAATTCCTCGACACATACACCCTCCCAAGACTAAACCAGGAAGAAGCTGAATCTCTGAATAGACCAATAACAGGCTCTGAAATTGAGGCAATCATTAATAGCTTACCAACCAAAAAAAGTCCGGGACCAGATGGATTCACAGCTGAATTCCACCAGAGGTACAAGGAGGAGCTGGTACTATTCCTTCTGAAACTATTCCAATCAATAGAAAAAGAGGGAATCCTCCCTAACTCATTTTATGAAGCCAGCATCATCCTGATACCAAAGCCTGGCAGAGACACAACAAAAAAACAATGAACTCAAACAAATTTACAAGAAAAAAACAAACAACCCCATCAACAAGTGGGCGAGGGATATGAACAGACACTTCTCAAAAGAAGACATTTATGCAGCCAAAAAACACATGAAAAAATGCTCATCATCACTGGCCATCAGAGAAATGCAAATCAAAACCACAATGAGATACCATCTCACAACAGTTAGAATGGCAATCATTAAAAAGTCAGGAAACAACAGGTGCTGGAGAGGATGTGGAGAAATAGGAACACTTTTACACTGTTGGTGGGACTGTAAACTAGTTCAACCATTGTGGAAGTCAGTGTGGCGATTCCTCAGGGATCTAGAACTGGAAATAACATTTGACCCAGCCATCTCATTACTGGGTATATACCCAAAGGACTATAAATCATGCTGCTATAAAGACACATGCACACGTATGTTTATTGCGGCATTATTCACAATAGCAAAGACTTGGAACCAACTCAAATGTCCAACAATGATAGACTGGATTAAGAAAATGTGGCACATATACACCATGGAATACTATGCAGCCATAAAAAATGATGAGTTCATGTCCTTTGTAGGGACATGGATGAAATTGGAAATCATCATTCTCAGTAAACTATCACAAGAACAAAAAACCAAACACCGCGTATTCTCACTCATAGGTGGGAATTGAACAATGAGATCACATGGACACAGGAAGGGGAATGTCACACTCTGGGGACTGTTGTGGGGTGGGGGGAGGGGGGAGGGATAGCATTGGGAGATATACCTAATGCTAGATGACGAGTTAGTGGGTGCAGCGCACCAGCATGGCACATGTATACATATGTAACTAACCTGCACAATGTGCACATGTACCCTAAAACTTAAAGTATAATAAAAAAAAAAAAGAACCACACACACAAAAAAAGAAGAGTCCTGCTTGCCGATCAGAAAAAAAAAAAGCAACAAAAAAACCCCAGAATTTTAGACCAATATCCCTGATGAACATCGATGCAAAAATCCTCAATAAAATACTGGCAAACCAAATCCAGCAGCACATCAAAAAGCTTATTCACCATGATTAAGTGGGCTTCATCCCTGGGATGCAAGGCTGGTTCAACATAAGCATATCAATAAACCTAATCCAGCATATAAACAGAACCAACGACAAAAACCATATGATTATGTCAATAGATGCAGAAAAGGCCTTTGACAAAATTCAACAACCCTTCATCCTAAAAACTCTCAATAAATTAGGTATCGATGAGACGTATCTCAAAATAATAAGAGCTATCTATGACAAACCCAAAGCCAATATTATACTGAATGGGCAAAAACTGGAAGCATTCCCTTTGAAAACTGGCACAAGACAGGGATGCCCTCTCTCACCACTCCTATTCAACATAGTGTTGGAAGTTCTGGCCAGGGCAATCAGGCAGGAGAATGAAATAAAGAGTATTCAATTAGGAAAAGAGGAAGTCAAATTGTCCCTGTTTGCAGATAACATGATTGTATATCTAGAAAACCCCATCATCTCAGCCCAAAATCTCCTTAAGCTGATAGGCAACTTCAGCAACATCTCAGGATACAAAATCAATGTGCAAAAATCACAAGCATTCTTATACACCAAT
Organism: Homo sapiens; assembly: GCF_000001405.40. Classification (NCBI taxonomy): domain Eukaryota; kingdom Metazoa; phylum Chordata; class Mammalia; order Primates; family Hominidae; genus Homo; species Homo sapiens. The sequence continues at coordinate 64,667,892 of NC_000004.12, forward strand.
AATAGACAAACAGAGAGCCAAATCATGAGTGAACTCCCATTCACAATTGCTTCAAAGAGAATAAAATACCTAGGAATCCATCTTACAAGGGATGTGAAGGACCTCTTCAAGGAGAACTACAAACCACTGCTCAAGGAAATAAAAGAGGATACAAACAAATGGAAGAATATTCCATGCTCATGGGTAGGAAGAATCAGTATCATGAAAATGGCCATACTGCCCAAGGTAATTTACAGATTCAATGCCATCCCCATCAAGCTACCAATGACTTTCTTCACAGAATTGGAAAAAACTACTTTAAAGTTCATATGGCACCAAAAAAGAGCCCGCATTGCCAAGTCAATCATAAGCCAAAAGAACAAAGCTGGAGGCATCATGCTACCTGACTTCAAACTATACTACAAGGCTACAGTAACCAAAACAGCATGGTACTGGTACCAAAACAGAGATATAGACCAATGGAACAGAAAAGAGCCCTCAGAAATAATGCCGCGTATCTACAACCATCTGATCTTTGACAAACCTGACAAAAACAAGCAATGGGGAAAGGATTCCCTATTTAATAAATGGTGCTGGGAAAACTGGCTAGCCATATGTAGAAAGCTGAAAATGGATCCCTCCCTTACACCTTATACAAAAATTAATTCAAGATGGATTAAAGACTTCAATATTAGACCTAAAACCATAAAAACCCTGGAAGGAAACCTAGGCAATACCAATCAGGACTTAGGCATGTGCAAGGACTTCATGTCTAAAACACCAAAAGCAATGACAACAAAAGCCAAAATTGACCAATGGGATCTAATTAAACTAAAGAGCTTCTGCACAGTAAAAGAAACCACCATCAGAGTCAACAGGCAACCTATAGAATGGGAGAAAATTTTTGCAATCTACTCATCTGACAAAGGGCTAATATCCAGAATCTACAATGAACTCAAACACATTTACAAGAAAAAAACAAACAACCCCATCAACAAGTGGGCGAAGGCTATGAACAGACACTTCCCAAAAGAAGACATTTATGCAGCCAAAAGACACATGAAAAAATGCTCTTCATCACTGGTCATCAGAGAAATGCAAATCAAAACCACAATGAGATACCATCTCACACCAGTTAGAATGGTGATCATTAAAAAGTCAGGAAACAACAGGTGCTGGAGAGGATGTGGAGAAATAGGAACACTTTTACACTGTTCGTGGGACTGTAAACTTGTTCAACCATTGTGGAAGTCAGTGTGGCGATTCCTCAGGTATCTAGAACTAGAAATACCATTTGACCCAGCAACCCCATTACTGGGTATATACCCAAAGGATTATAAATCATGCTGCTATAAAGACACATGCACACGTATGCTTATTGTGGCACTATTCACAATAGCAAAGACTTGGAACCAAGCGAAATGTCCAACAATGATAGACTGGATTAAGAAAATGTGGCACATATATACTATGGAATACTATGCATCCATAAAAAATGATGAGTTCATGTCTTTGGTGGGGACATGGATGAAGCTGGCAACCATCATTCTCAGCAAACTATTGCAAGGACAAAAAAGCCAAACACCACATGTTCTCACTCATAGGTGGGAATTGAACAATGAGAACACATGGACACAAGAAGGGCAACATCACACACTGGGGCCTGTTGTGGGGTGGGGGGAGGGGGGAGGGATAGCATTAGGAGATATACCTAATGTTAAATGACGAGTTAATGGGTGCAGCACACCAACATGGCACATGTATACATCTGTAACTAACTTGCACATTGTGCACATGTACCCTAAAACTTAAAGTATAATTAAAAAATAAAAAGTTACTTGGAAAATATTTGTGCACCTGAGTATTGCAAAATTCAATTTCACTCTAGCTTATTGCCATCACATTTTGCCTTATAATGTGACATTTGAGTGAATCTATTTTAATCCAAATATCAGGAAAGTTTTATTCATTCATTTATTTTGGTATAGATAGTCTGCATATTTAGTCTTTCAAGTGGACTTTCAAAATACATAGGTAAACAACGTCTAATTTATTACATTTGCCATAGTCCATATTGAAGATAAATTTGGGAAAGAAAATAACATAGTCAGGAATGATAACAACACCACAGTGTAAAGTAACCCAGAGATATAAACTATAGAATCAGTTTTAATTTTTTAAAGAACCTGTGTACTGTTTTCCGTAATGTCTACACCCATTTACATCCTCACCAATAGTGCACATGGTTCCCTTTTCTCCACATCCTTACCAATACTTCTTATCACTTGTCTTTGTGATAATAGACATTCTAACAGGAATCCGGTGATAACTATTGTGGTTTTGATTTGCATTTCTATGATCATTAGTGATGTTGAGTAAATTGTCATATACTTGGTCATTTTTTATGTCTTCTTTAACAAAACTCTTTTTTTTTTTTTCTTTGAGATGGAGTGTCACTCTGCCACCCAGGCTGGTGTGCAGTGGCGCGATCTCAGCTCACTGCAAGCTCTGCCTCCCAGGTTCACGCGATTCTCCTGCCTCAGCCTCCCAAATAGCTGGGACTACAGGCGCCCGCCACCACGCCTAGCTAATTTTTTGTATTTTTAGTAGAGACAGGGTTTCACCGTGTTAGGCAGGATGGTCTCAATGTGACCTCGTGATCCGGCCCCGTCAGCCTCCCAAAAGTGCTGGGATTACAGGCATGAGCCACTGCGCCCAGCCTAGTGATTTTTCTGCTTTGAATTCTGTGAGGTTTTAAAATGTATTTTGGATATTCACCTTTTATCAGATACACAGTTTGCAAATGTTTTCTCCAAATCGTTGGGCTGCTTTTTTATTGTTGTCACAGGATTTTTAGGGTGTCGCTTTGCCACCCTGAGTTTTGCTTGGGCCTGCTGGGCTCATTTTGTCCACTTGCCTTGGCAGGCTGCCCATGGCTCACATTACTGGCCTGGATCCCACACCGTCCATCAGCAAGCAAGGCATGGAGCAGCGAGTGGTGTGTGAAGGAACATAGCATCTGATCACTGTTCAAAGCCAGGCAAGCCAGCTGCAGCAGGACAGGCAGCTCCAAGTGTCAGCATGGGCACTGGCTCTCTGCAAGGCTGTGGCTCAACCAAGTGCACTGTAAGCAGCTTCCATGGTTGGCACGAAGGAACGTGGTGACACCTGGAAGCTTGGAGACCCCCAGGAACCACAGAGCCCTAAAAAGGGTGTGACAGTTCTGGCTTAGGGAGCTCCTAGGTCTGGGCTCCCCAGAGGGCCACAGCTCTTCTCTCCTTCTCTCTTCTCTCCTTCTTGTCTCCTGCAATGTGGCAAACAAGAGACATGTTTCAACTCTGTTTGTGTTATAGCTCTTTTAGCAACCCCATTTGGCAGGTCCCAAGTTATTGTCCTGCATCTTGAAAGACTAAGGTATGTGGACAAGTGCAAGGTGAACAAGGCAAAGAGGAGCTTTATTGAGTGACAGAACAGCTCAGAGGAGATCTGCATTGGGTAGCATCTCTCCCCAGGCAGGGTGACCCATTGTCTCCTCAGCTCTCAGCAGAGAGGAGACACTTAGAGTGTGTAGCTCCTCTCTGCAACTGACAGGTCATTGTTGTCTCAAGTCTGGCTGAGTGCAGGGCTTTTATGGGTCTCAGAGGGGAGGAAGTTCATGCTGATTGGTACTTGGGTGGCCATGGGTGGACTGAAAAAAAGCACCACAAATTTTCACACCAGTTCACAGTGCTGGCAGCCCTGCCCTCAGGCTTCAGGCCCTCCCCAACTTGAAGTTGAGGCTTCATTGGGGACATGCCTACTTCTGCCCAGGAGCCTTTCTGGCACCTGCTGCCATTTATGGTGCCCAGGCTGTTCATGCAAAGGGGCACCTGCAGGCCTGAGCCAAGGTGCCCTCAGCTGCCCCCCCTGCCAGCCTCCCTACTATACTTGATGACCAAAGTCTGGAGGGGGCCAAGGTGGCAAGGGCCTGGCATGTCAGTGCTGTCTGTAGTGTTTGCACAACAGGCCAGTCTACAATAGCACCCAGACTTGGCCCCAATCTTGTTCTGAGATTGTAGCAGGTGCTGAAGGTGGGAAGAGGCCAGGCAGCAGCAATAGGCCCCCTAGAGTGCACAGATGCCCAGGTCTGCAGCAGTGGCTTGGGTGGCTGCAGCTGCACCTGAGAGGGCAGGGCTCTTGCCTGCTTCTATCCTTTGCTGGCTTAACTTATATGATCACAAGGTCCCACAATAAGCCATTTGGAAGCTGAGAAGCAAGGAGAGCCAGTCTGAGTCCCAAAATTGAAAAACTTGGAGTCCGATATTTGAGGGCAGGAAACATCCAGCATGGGAGAAAGATGTAGGCTCGGAGGCTAGGCCAGTCTAGTCTTTTCACTTTTTTTTCTGTCTGCTTTATATTCTAGCTGTGCTGGCAGCTCATTGGATGGTGCCCAACCAGATTAAGGGTGGCTCTGACTTTCCCAGCCCACTGATTCAAATGTTAATCATCTCCTTTGGCAACACCCTCACAGACACAGCTAGGATCAATAATTTGCATCCTTCAATATAATCAAGTTGACACTCAGTATTAACCGTAACAAGTCCACCTCTTGTCAACTTGAACATGTACACATCTCCTGAGATCACACATAATATTTAAATAAAGACAATAATAAGGTCATAATTACAGCTAACCTAATATAATTACCCTTTGTACAACTGGAAACACACCAATTCCCAACACAAACACTATTACGTAAAGTTAACAATACTTACATGTTGATATGAAGTCAATAAATCTTACGCCACATGATAAAGGAAAAAGGAAATGAAATGAAGATATTTTATTTGTACAAGTGTATACATGCACAAACATGTTTTTAACAAAAGAAGGAGGAAATACTTATGACAATTACAGTCCGCATTTCTGCAGCTGGTCACGTGCTTGTAGCTGGTATTGACGACTACCTTTTACTACTACCCATTCTGTATTCCTTTTGCCTTTAGCAAGCACTTCAGCAGGCCGTGTTTTTTTTTCCTGGGGAAGTGTCCCAAACCTTCATTCCTGAAGGGTCTGGGCCCTTTGTAATCCTGCCTAGATTGGGCTGTTGTAGTTTCTCATTGACCTTAATCACAGGGGACGGTAAAACTAAGAGATGCTCTTAATGGGTTTCCTGTATTGCATGCATACTCTTCCTTACCTCCGTTGTTGAGTAGTAGACTGATTTCAACTTGATAGTCTGGGTCAATCATCCCAACCAACACTGTAATTCCTTTCTTAGCCTGTTGACTTAAAGGTAGGAGGAGCCCAAAGTGTCCAGATGACAATCTTAACTTGCAGTTTAATGGAATTGTTGTTGTGTCCGCTGGTGGCAGTGTTCCTCCCTCTGGAACTAAGACCTCTAGGCCTGCAGAACATAATGTCACGGGAACAGGAAGCAAAAATTTTGCTAGTGGATGACTAAGGGTGATGGTGGGTGATGTCACTTCCACTTCCACTCCTTGATTCCTGGACCCATGAATCTGGCTATGGGAAAAACAGTATCATATATTGGACACTGATTCAGAGCACACATGACCTTCTGTAGAACTTTGTCCCAGCCCTGCAAAGTACTGTCACCTAGTTGGCATTGTAATTGTGACTTCAAAAGGCCATTCCACCATTCTATCAACCAGCTGCTTCAGATGATGAGGAACATGGTAAGATCAGTGAATTCCATGAGCATGAGCCCACTGCCACACTTCTTTATCCATAAAGTGAGTTCCTTGGTCAGAGGCAATGCTGTGTGGAATACCATAATGGTGGATAAGGCATTCTGTGAGTTCATGGATGGTATTCTTGGCAGAAGCACTGTGTGCAGGATAGGTAAACCCATATCTGGAATGTCTATTCCAGTGAGGACAAGCCTCTGTCCTTTCCATGTTGGAAGAGGTCCAATATAATCAACCTGCCACCAGGTAGCTGGCTGATCACCCTGAGGAATGGTGCCATATCCAGATCTCAGTGTTTGTGGGCATTCAGCAGTGGCTGTAGCCAGGTCAGCCTTGGTGAGTGGAAGTCTATGTTGCTGAGCCCATGTGTAACCTGCATCTCTGACACCATGGCCACTTTGTTCATGGGCCCATTGGGCAATGACATGGGTGGCTGGGGAGAGAGGCTGAGGGGTGTTCACAGAACAGGTCTTCTTATCCATTTAATTATTAAAATCCTCCTTTGCTGAGGTCACCCGTTGGTGAGCACTCACATGGGATACAAATACTTTTATAGTTTTTGACCACTAGAAGAAGTCTATCTACATACCTCTTCCATAAATTTATTTGTCACCAATTTTCCAATCATGTTTCTTCCAAATCCCTGCCTATACAGCCAAACCATTGGCCACCACACACGAATCAGTATACAATCGCCCATCTGGCCATTTCTCCTTCCATGCAAAGTCCACAACTGGGTGCACTGCTCAAAGTTCGGCTCACTGGGAAGATTTTCCTTCACTGCTCTCCTTCAGGGATATCCTAGAAAGGGGCTGTAGTGCTGCAGCTGTCCACTTTTGGGTGGTGCCTGCATATCGTCAGAACCATCTGTGAACCAGGCCCCACTCTACTCTCCCTCTGTCAGCTGATCATAGGGAATTCCCCGAAGCCGTCAGTTCAGGCTGGGAGAGAGAAGTCAAGATGGCAGGAGTAGAGACCATAGGCATTTGAGCCACTTCCTCATGTAACTTACTTGTGCCTTTGGGACCTGCTCGAGCCCAATCATGTATATACCACTTCCATTTGATGATGGAATGCTGCTGTGCATGACCCCTTTATGGCTAGATGGTTCAGAAACCACCCAGTTCATGATGGGAAGTTCAGGTTGCATGGTGACTTGATGACCGATAGTCAAGCATTCAGTTTCTACCAAAGCCCAGTAACAGGCCAAGAGCTGTCTCTCAAAAGAAGAGTAATTATCTGCAGGAAATGGCAGGGCCTTGCTTCAAAATCCTAAAGGCCTCCTCTGTGATTCACCTATGGGGGCCTGCCAAAGGCTCCAATCAGCATCCCTATCTGCCACTGACACCTCAAGCACCATTGGATCTGTTGGGTCATATGGCCCAAGTGACAGAGAAGCTTGCACAGCAGCCTGGACCTGCTGCAGAGCCTTCTCCTGTTCTGAACCCCACAGAAAACTGGCAGCCTTTTGCATCACTTGATAAATGGGCTGGAGTAACACAACCAAATAAGGAATGTGTTGCCTCCAAAATCCAAATAGGCCCACTAAACATTGTACTTCTTTCTTGGTTGTAGGAGGGGCCAAAAGCAGCAACTTATCCTTTTTACCTTAGACGGAATATCTCGACAGGCCCCACACCATTGGACTGCTAAAAATTTTACTGAGGTAGAAGATCCCTGAATTTTAGTTAGATGTATTTTCCATCCTCTGGCATGCAAATATCTCACCAATAAGTCCAGTGTGTTTGCTACTTCTTGCTCACTGGACCCAATCAGCATAATGTCATCAATGTAACGGACCAGGGTGATATCTTCTGGAAGCAAAAAGCGTTCAGTCTCTCCAAATAAGATTATGACACAAAGCCAGAGAGTTGATATACTCCTGAGGTAGGACAGCAAAGTCATATTGCTGGCCCTGGCAGCTGAAGGTAAATTGCTTCTGCTGGGTGTAATGGACAGGAATTGAGTAAAGGGCATTTTCCAAGTCAGTGGCTGCATAACAGGTACCAGGAGATGTGTTAATTTGCTCAAGCAATGAAACCATATCTGGTACAGCAGCTGCAATTTCAGTAACCACTTGGTTAAGCTTAAAATAATCCACTGTCATTCTCCAAGATCCATCTGTCTTCTGCACAGGCCAAATGGTAGAGTTGAACAGGGGTGTGTTGGGAATCACCACTGCTGTGTCTTTCAAATCCTTGATGGTGGTACTAATCTCCACAATCCCTCTAGGGATGTAATATTGTTTATGATTTACTATTTATCTAGGTAGAGGCAGCTCTAATGGCTTCCGTTTGGCCTTTCCCACCATAATAGCCCTCACGCTACCAATCAAAGAGCCAATGTGGGGGTTCTGCCAGCTGCTAAGTATGTCTATGCCTATTATGCATTCTGGCACTGGGGAAATGACCATAGGATGAGTCCAGAAACCCACTGGACCCACTGTAGGGTTAGGCCTGAGCTAATATTACATTAATTACCTGACCTCCATAAGTCCCTACTTTAATTGGAGGACCACAATGACATTTTGGGTCCCCTGGAATTAATGTCAGCTCAGAGCCAGTGTCCAGTAGTCCTCAAAATGTCTCATCACTTTCCTTTCCCCAATGCACAGTTACCTTGGTAAAATGTTGGAGGTAACCTTGGGAAAAGCTGGGAGAAAGATTAAGTGCATAAATTTGTGGTAGTGTAGTGGGGTCCCTCCTCAAGTGGACCCTGCCTGACAGGGGCCTGGGTCTGTAAAGTGGCTCAAGTCTGGAAATAGATTGATGGGTCGTGAATCTCTGTTTTTATAATTCAAATTAGTCTTTTGTCCATTTGACCTAGAAGTTATCTGCTTTTATATAAATTAAGTAGGAATGCAGTAGGCTTCCTATCAATGTCACTTCTAGGAACACCATGATTAATTTGGCCAATTCCAGAGCTCTACATGAGTTGGGATTATTCTGATTGCTTCTTTGCTTCTGTGTGCTGCCATTATGTTAGCTACACCCACCTTGCTTTTGGTGGTTGAGTGCTGCCAGTTGACTCTTTCCACCCCAGGATCCAATTATTCCCATTGTATTTAAATTTTGTAGTTGAGTGACTGTGGTTCCCACTGTTAGATCTGACAGACAGAGAAAAGCAATTACAGGGTTCTTCAAAAATGCAGGTGCTGCCCTCACAAATCTATTTTACAAAGCATTGGTTGAGGGCATATCTTCTGGACCCTCCCAGCTGGGATGAATAGATCTAAAGTGACTAATCCTCTCCATTATCCCAATCTTCCTAAGTCTTTGAATCTCTTCCTCTACATTAAACCAACGGAGATCAGGCATTTCCAGGTAACTCGTGTTGGGCCATCTTTTAATCCATAGTTCAGCTAACCAAGCAAATAAAATATTAGAAACTTTTTTACCTCCCCAAGCTGCAAAATTAAATGTAGGGTCTCTACTTAGTGGGCCCAAATCAATAAATTCAGGCTGATCCAACTCTATGTTCCTTCCACCATTATCCTACACCCTTAATATCCATTCCCATGCCTGTTCTCCAGATTTCTGCTCATATAAATTAGAAAACTCAAGCTGTTCTTTTCAAATGTAGTACACCTACTGATGGTTCACACTCTCCACCTCACCTCTAGGGGCCTGTTGGGACTTTAATTTAGTTACAGGCCTCGAAGCAAACAGGGGTGTCAGGGGTAGCTCCTGAGGAGAATCAACATTATCTTGACTTCTAACTGCCTCATAGGAGGCCAACACTGTTGCTTCAGGCAGCACAGAGTTTATATCCTCAGACAAAGGTGGAAACGCTGATGGCAGCATGGGTCAAGAAGGAGGAGATCTTGCCACCACTGGGGATAGGGAATCTTTCTTCTGGCAAAAAAATAAAAAATAAAAAAGATTCATCAGAGTTTACAAACGTAGTATACTCAGCTTCATCAGGTCCTCCCACACATCGCCATTCCAAGTTGCAGGGTCCCATTCTTTTCCAATCAACGTCTTCACTTTAAGAGTTGACACCTGGCAACACTGTGCATGCACCTTTCATTGCAGGTCGGCCACTCACATAATAAGAGCTTGTGTCTATTTTTCCCCAATTTCAGCTTTTTCTATACAGGAGATAAAACTCTTACTCAGGACAATCTTAGCAAATTTGAGGCTCAGTATCTGCTTCTGACACCAGAAGACAGAATCCCTGAATTCATCATTTTCTTTCATTACTTTGTCCACTGAACTTAGGAGCAACCAACCAGCTTCATTACGTTCCTTGTTTCTCCACATATGGTCAAAGTTATTATGTATAGAGTCATTAAACCTGTTGCTTCTCATGAGCGGTGAATTGGGAGTGTGAAATGCATTTATTTTGCTTAATTCTCTAAACAGTTCATGCCAAGGACTATCAGTGTTCTCCATACTATTAAAAGTAGAGTCCTCGGAATTTTTGGGTCTAATCATATTAGACAGCCAACTCCAGAAACCCTAAAACCAACTATAGAACTCCATCCTTAATATTCTGTTCCTCTAGAACCACTCTTGGTACCAAAATCTGTATTAGTCAGGGTTATCTAGTGGAAAGGGACTAATAAAAAAATATATAAATATATATATATATATGAGTTTATTAAGGATTAACTCACACAAAGACAAAGTCACACAATAGGCTGTCTGCAAGCTGAGGAGCAAGGAGAGCCAGTTCGAGTCCCAAAACTGATGAACTTGGAGTCTGATGTTCAAAGGCAGGAGGCATTCAGCATGGGAGAAAGATGTAGGCTAGGAGGCTAGGCCAGTCTAGTCTTTTCACATTTTTCTGCCTGCTTTATGTTCCAGCTGCATTGGCCACTGATTAGATGGACCCCACCCATATTAAGGGTTGGTCTGCCTTTCTTAGTGCATTGACCCAAATGTTCACCTCCTTTGGCAACAACCTCACCAACACATCCAAGATCAATACTTTGTATCCTTCAATCCAATTAGGTTGACACTGAATAGTAACCATCACAATAATGAATGTGACAATTTGCTTATTTGCTTAACAGGAAGAATTATATATATAATTATAATGGAAGTTTTATCTATATTAATATATATTTTTATTTATATAAATTATACATTATATAATTTAGAAATATACATATCTACTTCCAAATTATATGTATTTTTATACTTCCAAATGATATGTATAATTACATAATAATTATATCAATATATAATTATACATAATATACAAATTATATACCAAAAAATTGTATGCAAATTATATATGTTTGAAAACATCATGTTGTATATCTTCAATATATACAATGTAAATTAAAATTAAAAACATAAAGCACTAGGCCAAGCATGGCGACTCACACCTGTAATCCTAGCACTTTGGGAGGCCAAGGCGGGTGGATCACGAGGTCAGGAGATCGAGACCATCCTGGCTAACATGGTGAAACCCCGTCTCTCCTAAAAATACCAAAAATTAGCCAGGCCTGGCGGCGTGCGTCTATAGTCCCAGCTACTCAGGAGGCTGAGGCAGGAGAATGGCATGAACCTGGGAGGCGGAGCTTGCAGTGAACCGAGATTGCACCACTGCACTCCAGCGTGGTAGACAGAGCGAGACTCCGTCTCAAAAACAAACAAACAAAAAAATAAAGCACTAAAACAAAAACAAAAATAAATGTAAATGTTTGGTTATTTCCTTGGCTATGTGAACAACAATCTACTAATAGAGAAAAGTTGAGGCTTCTTAAATATTCTAGAACCTCTATCTTATAAATTTATTTTTACATATTTAACTTGTGTTCAAACAGTATTAAACTTGGATCTCTTTTATAAAACAAACAATCCATTTTATTTTATAAATTTAGTTCATAATGAAACTATAATTTTATCAGTGAACCCATAGATATTTTGATGTAGTTAAAATGTTTTCATCATCATTTGTATAAATGTTTGGTGCTGTGAATATTCATTGTTGATATAGTACAGAACTCTTGTAAGTACCAAAGGCATTGCTAGTTTTAAGGGAAAAACACAACTAGCAGAAAATACAGGTCTTCAATTTGCAAGTATTTTTTGAAAGCTAATTTACTAGCTTAACTTGAATTTTTTAAAGTTAGGTCAGAATAAATTTATTCATTGAATTAAGATTATTTTATTTTCCATATAATTTTATTAGAAAACTTTTTTTTTGCCTACATGTAGGGCTGAATCCAGAATTTTAAAATCTTTCCTGAAAGTGTCATTAAATCACATTAATTAAAAATGCAGAAGGCATTTTTCCAGGTTCCTAATTTGTTGAATCATTCTAACAAAAGTAATGAATTATACTACTACACATTAAATAATTCTGTTTACCTTTTCATGAATGTATCTATTACTCTTAAAATATTAATTTAATATATGAAGTGTCATTTTAACTGCATGATTTCAGAACCACAGTGTAATATTAATTTAGATATCAAACATCTATTTTAAAAATGCATAGAACTCTGTATTTAAAAATAAATATTTTATTTAATAGAAACTCAGAATGCTGCAGTATATATGGTACCAGATGAAGGTTTAATAAATCCTTTCAATTATTTATTAACTTAAACTCCTCAACTTTGGAAGAGTAATATAAATTGATTAAGTGTTTTGCTGGTTATACTGGGAAAACTACATATATATTTAGAAATGTATCTATTATATTTGTCCTAAAATGTTGATCAGAATTATTGTGCTACTAAATATATATATGTGATATGCATGTTAGAAACTGGCTCAGAAAAAAAGTTACTTTTCCATCTAAACTTGTATTAAGTTACTTGTTTTATCTTTTAAAATGACCAGACCTTGGGCTTCTTAAAATCCATTGCACATATTTTAGCTTAGCCACCTACCTAACTCTACCCAGATTCTTTGTACTTTCATTGTTGTGAAACTACTATAATCATTCTCAAATTATTATTATTATTAATTATTATTATTTCTTGAGACAGAGTCTCATTCTATCACCGAGGCTGGAGTGCAGAGGCTTGATCTCGGCTCACTGCAAACTCCACCTTCCTGGTTCAAGCGATTCTCCTGCCTGAACCTCCCAAGTAGCTGGGATTATGGGCATGGGCCACCACACCCAGACAGTTTTTGTATTTTAGTAGAGACAGGGTTTCACTATGTTAGCCAGGCAGGTCTCAAACTCATGGCCTTAAATGATTCACCCACCTTGGCCTCCCAAATTGCTGAAATTACAGGTATTAGCCACCACACTGGGCGAATGATTATTAAATTGTTAAGTACTTGATATTACTCTGGAATGAGGTGATTCTTGACAAATGTTTTACATCTTCCAGAATTAGTCAAAAAAGCTAGAGATCATTTGCACAAAGAGGTATGAGAGAAAAATGGAGCATTCAAGGAATTGAATAGTATATGTGCATAGCACTTCTGTGTGTATGTGTGTGTGTGTATGTTTGTGTTATTTTATCATTATGTGGGTGTTAGCACATATGACTGATGGATAATTAAATGAGTGAGGGAATCAGTAGCATTGGGGTTGCTAGAATACTTAAAGTTGGGAGAGATTTGTAAATATAGGAAAAAGCCCTGGAGTGGTGTCATCCATGGCTCACTTCAGAAAATGAGTATTTTTAATGGAAATAGAGAACAGATGTTGAAGTTAAGATATATTTAAGAGACCAAAATAAAATAATTTTCTAATTGTTTGGATATGAGAAGACAAGGAGTAGAGTGTAGAATGAACTTCAGTTTTCTGGTTTGCATGAATGCATGACAGGGGAAACAAAACAAGTGTGATGTAGGAGAAAGATGAAGAACTTGATGATGGACGTAGGGAATTAGCAACATCTCAAATGAAAAACTAAGGATAGAAGGTAGCCCCTACAAATTGGCTCCACTTCCTCAGTTTATATTTTTCTTTGGCAGAGTACAGACTGATACCCTATCCAACTATTTTAGTGAAACCATAAATGCTAAGGGCAACCAAGATATCAAACCCACCAAATAACAATAAGAATACTGATGGTTGTAGAAATAACCCAAATATACATTTTTAGGCTTGATAAAAAGTTACAAAAATCACAGTACCCATAGAAGGAACAAAATAAATAGGTTTTCAACATGATTTGTTTGTACTTACCATGTATGAATGACAGGAAATCACTCTTTATGTTCTTTTCAGGTTGGTGAGAGCTTGGTTTTAAAAGAGAAGTTAGAACACTAAGAGTTTCAAAAATTCAGTAGGCAAAATTATGTAAACGCTAAAACTACATATTATCCTTTTTCTAATGATTTTTTACCGTTCAGTTTATATATTAAGTATAGTTTGAGAGACATGTAGAATTACAACAGCTTTGCATATTTCATTTAGATAGATTTTGTAAGCTTTCATTTCAAATCACTGCATTGAATCAAAGTAATTCATATCGAATTTTGTTCAAATCATATTTATAGTTTGAATAATATTTTATTAGGCATCATTGCTAGAAGTAAAAACAGTTTGGAAAAGCATAAAGACAAAGAAGGATATATTGAGGGTTTATATGGTATATTTTGAATTCTGCTAAATATTTGTTTTGAGATTGTTTAATTGAAGTTTAGACAAACTGTTGAGGAAGAGAAATATGATTTTAATTTTGAGTTTTGTATTGATCATATTTTTTGAAGATAACCAGTCTTTAAGAGCCTGCTCATAGCCTAAGTTTGATATAAATGGGGAATTATATATGCATATAAAAAGTTTTTTTAAACAGTACCATAATGTAGAATAAAAATAAAGACCATTGAGTCTCAAATATTTCAAAATTGGAAAATCTTCCTAGTTTAATTAAATTTGTGAAACTAAGTATTTCTTGCATAATTACTATTAAAGGTGAGTTAATTCAAATTAATTTTGTTGTAGATTTAGAACACTCCCATGATCCGATGAGTGCTAAAAATATTTAAAAACTGACATGACACAGGATCGCCTAACAATTCAGAAGAGATGACAGAGAATACCAACTCAAATTAACAAATACACAAGCGAAAGAAATTTGGAAAAAACATAATTTGTAATTCCAAGTTGCCTTCTTTTTATTGGTACACCAGAACAATGCAATTTAGTGAAGCTTGAAAAGAAAAATGATGTGTCATTATGTGTCAAGACCAAGAGTTTTATTGCTCTAAGTTTATAAAGCACGATAACATAAATTCTTTGTGGTGACTGGCATAACTGTTTCCATTTTCCTTAATCACAATCTTATTCTTATCTGACCATATTATCTAATTTAAATAAGAAGATTTAGAGAAATATTGTAAACTTTTCTGTTAACAATTTCAAATTGTTTCCAGCCGCCAAAATTAAAATAATAAACTGATTTTTACGTCAAATAATTATATAGTCCCTACAACAACTGTTCAAGACAGGTTTCATTTTCCCTGTTTTATAAAGAGGACACAAAATCATAGAGAGGTTAAGCCGATCACTCATGGTCTCATAGCTAAAGGGTTTTAAACCACTTGTGACCCAGGACTATCTATCTCCATAGTTAGTATACTCTGCTCTGCTTCACAATGCACGACACTGTGGAGAGGCTTTGGGCTAGTGCTCAAAGACCTGGGGAAAAAAAAAATCCAGCTTTCTAACTTGAATAACTTTTTATATGTTACCAGACTTCTCTGGAACTGGGTTTCTCTGTCTAGGTAATTATAGCACTGACTCATAGGGTTCCAGTAAAAATGAAATAAAATTGCCGTAGGCATTCAGTAAATGTGAGTTTCATCTGAGTTACAAGGGCGAACATTACAATAATTTTACTTCATGTTTAAAATATTTTAAGGGTATAATAAAGTTAATCATTTCCAGTGTCTCTGTGATTAATAAAATTTCTCAGGTAATCTCTCCTAATATTTTATTTTATGAATAACAACTGGGTTTATAGGTTGAATCAACAAGGCAACTCAGAAGGAGGGCATAAAGATTGCAAAAATATTAACAGAGACCTATTCAGTACCTTGGGCAATGGAGTCGCTGTCTTCTAAGTGATATGAGTTTTTAAAGTGGCTCAGAAATGGCCCAGAGGCTGCCGGGAGCTACTTAATCCTGTATTCTGCTTCCCCATCTGGTAGTCTCCCTCTGCAGAGCCGTTGTACTTTCTGATGCTATGACATGTAAGATTAAGGGTAATCTTACAGAAATATAAGATACAGATGATATGAATATATCTTATGATGTATATTTATAACATATATTCTTGATATATGACATATTCTTTATCTATGACATATATTTTTCATATACAAATACATATAAATTCAGATTTATGTGGATGAACCATTTATATAATATACTTAATAAATCAAATTATCAGCCAACTAAGTCAAATTCAGAAAAGATAACAAAGTTTTCTTTAACTATAATTGTTTTTACTCAACTAAGATGACTTGAGTAATTATCTTGCTCTCTACTTTTCCATTATTTTTGCTTTACTCTATGCATAAGACAACTCTACCAGATAATTTCCAACAACCATATCCATAATACTTGCATAGAGGTATTATGGCTTCAGTATGTTATGCTTCTTTTGCCTGTTTCAGTGGTACAGTACATTGGCAAATTGCCTTTAACCCAAAGACCTCAATTTGCATAATAATGTGCATAAAGGTTCTAATGAAAAATAAAATCAATTCTGAAATTAATTTGCATCTTCATGATAAATTAGAAAAATTACATGGTAGATGTATACCCCAACAATTAGGACTGTCATTTGGTCAGCATTTTATTTGCTTTATTTTCCCAGGGGATAATTAATATGACTAGGGAAAAGGGGACAATTGGTTAAGTACCAACAAGAATCATTAATATCTTAAAAACCTCACAACATCACTAACAAATAGAACTGAAATTTTAAAATTATGTTATTAACTTCTCTGTACATATAATAAAAACATATTCAGAAATTGATATTACTCTTTTGTACTGAATAAATTTTGTTCAAAAATGGAATAATATTCCATTTCCATTGTATATACATGTTTATATACTTGTATAATAAACAAGGAAGAATAAAGGAAAAGTCACTGCTTTTTAACAGCTTTACTTAGGTTAAAAGATATCTCTAGTAATTAATGATGTCTCCAATTTATAAGCTAAAATTTTAACTATATATTAAAATTCTTCATTAATAAATATTTGTTTTCTCTATTTATATTTAGATGTCAAACCACTGATCTTTCTATAGCTTTATATCTCCAAGTGAATACAGCACACACATAAAATATATTATTAAAGATAATTTTAATTTGGTCCCTTTTATCATGGCAAAGAAGCATATACTGTAAAATTTCTTATTAAGCTAGTGAGACTATTTAATATCCACTTCCTCATTTGTTGTTTTTAAGATTTGAAAATATTCAGAATGAACAACATTTCATAAATCCTCTAGGCAGGATATTTTATATAATCATTTTTATAGAATGACTTTGGGCTTTTTATATTCCATTTCTTCAATTATTTTGTGGAAAATGAATTATACGACTATAGTTTAAGTGATGTTTTTGTTGATTGAAGCAATCTTATTGATAATTTAGTCAAAATAAGAAGAATTTTTGATCATATAATTACAAAATCTCATTCTTAGGAGTACTTTTTAATTTGGCCAAATGAGCTCACAATTTTAATGACCAGAAAATGTATAAAGATTGAGAAAAGCAATATCAGATAGAATACAATCATTAAAAAAATTATATTCTATCTGAATGTAAAATTAAATTAATTTAAAGTGAGCTAAAATTAAATTATAAATATATAAATACTAACATTTTAAATTAGTGAATATGAATACTAGCATATTTTAAATAATTCTTTCGAGTATTAAAGCCCATATGAGAGGAGGAATTGAATTAACAGCAAGCCACTTGTGAAGAAAAATTTTAGTCAAAAGTGTGACATGGAATTTACCAAATAATGATGATAATTTTTTAAAATTATCTATACCACCTCCAAAAACTACCTCATACTATGTGATATTTTGTATGAAAAGAAAATAGAATTCAGATTGGAGAATGCTATAAAAAATTATGGAGGCACTGGGGTATAGAGGTTAAGAGAAAATACTCTGGAGCCAAATGGTCCAGATTTAAATTACATAGCTCTGCCGTGAGCTAGGCAAGCAACTTTGGAAGGTTTGGCTACTCTGTCTGGGCCTCATAATTATCATCCGTAAAATGGAAAATAATAATATCATATATACTTACTTTATACAGTTACTGTGAAGATTAAATGAATTAATACATCTAAAACACTCAGAAAGTTGTCTGGAAGAGATTAAACACTATATATGTAATTTGCCATGAAGACAGTGGCTACCAGTAGAACAGTGTAAAGAACACTGAAGTAAGAACAGGAACCCTGGTTTCTGGTCCTAGCTCTCTAAGTGAGACAGGGTTGTAGAGCCATAAGAAAGTACTGTCATTACACTGATTCTCTTGTCTTTAAAATGAATGAGTTCAAATATGTCAGTGATTCTCAACCCTGAATATAAGTAGAACTTTTATGGCTTCTTAAAATTAAGTACATATATATATTTATGTATATAATATTATACACACACACAGACATGCACACGGGCCATTAAACATATATATAATCAAGAAAACAAAACTCCTGGTTTGGGTCAAGATATCAGATGTTTTAAGAACTCTTAGTGATTCTAAAGAGTATTCAAGATTTTTAACATAACCAAGATGATTAATTAGTTCTCATTTGCTTAAAAAATCCTATCATTCTCAGTAATTTAATTCATTCTTACCTGTAATTTTACCTTATAAAGTAATATATAAGTATATCATGTATCTCATAGCAATTTGCTTAGGATAAATCAACAGTTTTAAAACAAATAATAAAGTAATAATAGGTTCATTAAGAATTTTTAAGTAGTGTTATGCAAATGAAGATGTTGATACTACTTTCCATAAATTCTGTTCTCAAAGGGATTTAGTCATCTGTATAAACTGTAAATGTTAGTAAGTACTATGGTTTCAATGTGTCCCAAAGGCTGTGTTACAAAGTTTATCCCCAATGCAATAGCACTGGGAGATGAGGCCTAATGAGAAGCAATCAGGTGACAAGGGCTCTCATCTCATAAATGGATTACTGTTGTTAGTGAAGAACTGGGTTAGTTATCAAGAAAATAGATGTTTTATAAAAGCACGTTTGGCCCTCTTTTTAAGGTCTTGCTCTTACCCTTTCTCCTTTGTTGTGGGAAGTCAGGGACCCCAAATGGAGGTACTGGCTGGAGCCACGGCAGAAGAACATAAATTGTGAAGATTTCATTTTAATATGGACATTTATCAGTTCCCAAATAATACTTTTATAATTTCTTATGCCTATCTTACTTGAATCTCTTAATCCTGTTACCTTCATAAGCAGAGGATGTACATCACCTCAGGACCACTGTGATAATTGTCTTAACTATATAAATTGTTTGTAAAACATGTGTGTTTGAACAATATGAAATCAGTGCACCTTGAAACAGAACAGAATAACAGTGATTTTTAGGGAACAAGGGAAGACAACCGTAAGGTCTGACTGCCTGCAGGGTTGGGCAAAAAGAGCCATATTTTTCTTCTTGCAGAGAGCCTATAAACGGACTTGCAAGTAGGGAAGATATCGCTAAATTCTTTTCCTAGCAAGGAATATTAATATTAATACCCTGGGGAAGGAATGCATTCCTGGGGGGAGGTCTATAAATGGCCGCTCTGGGAATGTCTGTCCTATGTGGTTGGGATAAGGACTGAGATACGCCCTGGTCTCCTGCAGTACCCTCAGGCTTACTAGGGTGGGGAAAAACCCGGCCCTGGTAAATTTGTGGTCAGACCAGTTCTCTGCTCTTGAACCCTGTTTTCGGTTGTTTAAGATGTTTATCAAGATAATACGTGCACCATTGAACATACACCCTTATCAGTAGTACTGTTTTTGCCCTTTGCCTTGTGATCTTTGTTGGACCCTTATCAGTAGTTCTCCTTTTTGCCCTTTGAAGCATGTGATCTACTCCCTGTACTTACACCCCCTCCCCTTTTGAAACCCTTAATAAAAAACTTGCTGGTTTGAGGCTCGGCTGGGTATCACGGTCCTACCGATATGTGATGTCACCCCTGGCAGCCCAGCTGTAAAATTCCTCCTCTGTACTCTTTCTCTTTATTTCTCAGCCAGCCAAAGCTGAGGAAAATAGAAAGAACCTGTGTTGAAATATTGGGGACAGGTTCCCCCAATACTCCTTCCACCATCAGATGACATGAAGCCCTGCCCAAATCCCAGCACCTTGATATAAATCTTCCTAGCCTACAGATCTGTGAGAAATAAATTTAATCAAAGGATTTAAGTCAGAGACTCACTGATAATCTTTATTTTGATTTGTTTGTGAACAAGTAATTATAGGAATTGTCAAGCAATTAGCAAAGCCTTCATGGCCTATTTAAAGATGTAGACTTAATTTATTTTTTTTTAAGTTGTGGAGAAATGACTTTTTCCTTTTGAGAATTCTATAAAATTTCAAGTTTTGAAATTGATGCTTGAAATGCATCCAGTATTTTCTCTAGATGTGCTTGGCATGCAAATTTTTTTAAAAGTATGTAAAACATCACTGTTCTCTGAAGAACAACTAGCCTAATGACTTGAACACAGGTGGAGTGGATTCTCTGACTGAATATACTGCTATGTATAATGTTGTTTTTGTTCTTCTATAGCTTATCAAGTCAGATAATTTCTGTACTTTTACATTATGCAAGAGATGGGCCTGTTTTCTGCTAAGAATGTGGTATAAAATAAAAGCCAGAAATCTTATGAAGCTCATAAAAATTTGAGATTTAAATACACTCAAGCTAGGCAGTTGAAAATGATGGCACAGGGCAACCCACTTGGGTCCCCTTCCATGCTGTGGAAGCTTTGTTCTTTTGCTCTCGCAATAAATCTTGCTGCTGCTCACTCTTTGGGTCTGCACCGCCTTTATCAAAAAAAAAAAAAAAAAAAAAAAAAAAAAAAAAAAAAAAAAGGGAAATGATAGCACTGCCAGAATAAGCCTTAGGGACTTCAAAAGTCCTCTGTAGTAACAGCGAATATCTAGAGAATATTAGATATTCGGAGAAATAAGCTAAGTAATTTGTTGTGCTATAATGAGCAGAAGATTAGAGTCAAGAAGTCCTAGATTTGAATTATTATCTTTAATAACTAGGATGAGGCTCCAAAACTTATCTGATTTCTCCAACATTCAGCTTTTTTATCTTCAAAAAGTGGGGTTTGGAAACTAACTGAACCTAATGTGTTGGTTCATGCCACAATATATAGTCACATGTTGCTTAACATTATGAGAGATGAATTGTTAGGCAATTTTGCCATTGAGTGCACCTCATAGAGTATATTTACCTATACCTAGATGGTAAAATCTACCATACACCTAGGCTATTTGGTATAGCCTATCACTCCTAGATTACAAACCTGTGCAGCATGTTACTATCCTGAATATTGTAAGCAATTGTAACATGGTAAGTATGGGTGTATCTAAACATATCTAATTATAGAGAAAGCACAGTAAAATTACTGTATTATAATCTTTATAGAACCACAGTCATAGATGCAGTTCATCAGTGACTTAAACATCGCTATTCAGTGCGTGATTATATATTCACAGTGTCTGGCACCACTGCTATATGATGTGGTCCTGGCAGTGCTCAAGAAACATCAGTCTCCTTCACTTTGGCCTTCCTAAAGGGAATCCCATTCTTTGGTGCATTAGTATTAGTTTGGTTTGAGACTTTTTCACCAATATCTAGATATTTATCTCTGTTTTACAGGTAAACAAAGTGAATGATTGTAAGAGTTAACAGAATTTTCCAAGACAAACTATAATGTTTCAACCTTAGCCAGATTTGTTCAAAAAGTCATTCATGTCAAATAAAAAGAAAATGTTGGTCAAGTTCCCAAATGTTTTGAAACAAACTTACTTTATCATGTAAACACATTATATATCTGATACAAGAAATAATTCATTCTACTGAAAACAAATGAATTACACCTTTCTGTTTTGTGTGTGAAGATTAAAATTTTAATGTGCAATGATTAGAAAAAATCTACTAGAAAGCTCTTGCTTCACCTGGAGCAACTCTTCTTCACATCATGCACTGGAAGTAAATCTGACAACTATTTTATATAATTATAATTAATTATTTTTGTTATGTATAATAAATCCACAGAAGTAAAGGCAGAGCTACTTTTATATTAAAGTAGTTTATGATCATATGGGAAAAATATAATGACCTCAAATTCCATTCAAAGTAATCAGATTAATCAATCATAAAAGTAGCAAAATGAAAAAAATCTACCACAAGTTCCAAAGTAATCAGATTAATCAATCATAAAAGTATCAAAATGAGAAAGATCTATAGGTTAATTCTAAATATCTGTATTATTTTCAATTTATTCAAAGAAAAAAGTTATTTCTATAACAGAAAATAAAAACTTCCACAAGAAGAGCCTAAATAAAAGTGCAGTTTGTCTATGGATTTATAAAGAGTTTGGTTCTAAAATAGCCCATAAGCCCTAGTTTTTTTTATTTTTAATATAATGAAATATAATGAATATAATATAATGTATAATATAATATAATATAATGTAATCAATGTAAATGTTTAACATTTTCTTTAAGTCTTGAAAAACATTTAGAAAATTTACCTTGACACTTCTGTTGTTAATGGTATTACAATCAAATTATCTTTACATTCCTTCTAGGCCAAAGCAAATAAGGATTTAGGATTGTGAAAAGTTTTTATTAATTTTTTTTTCTTAACTTCGACCTTCGGCTTCCACTTATTTTTCAAATCGTGACATTCATCCTCAACCCTAAATTTTAAAGTATATCATTCTATATTAGATCTTGGCATTTAAAATACTAAAGAATGCACTCTTTAAACAAAATGATGTTCAAATATTGTTAATAATATTGAGGACTTCTTTTACATTCCTATGTCTGAAATAAGATTTCAACTAGAAAAAAATAGGCTTACTTATATAAGGTGAGTGTATGGATTAAATTACCTAGGAAATATGCAAATTATGATTTAGAGATAAAATTAAATAGGAACAAATTTAGATTAATATTCATTTAGTAGTGTATTTCTTTCCATTTACCATCACTAGGTACTGAGTAAATTCTATTGAAATCTGAATTGCAATAGTAATATTAATTTACAAAATGAATCAAGAAGTACAAGCATTTTATTTGGCAAAAGGATTATAAAGCAACACTTCTTTAAGTGTGTTTTATACAACAATGATCCCGCGGGTTCCAAGAAATATTCTGTGAAGAATATGAACAAATATGCATATTTCATATATTTGAAAGTCCTTCAACAAATAAAACATACACTTTTATTTAAACCAGATTGTTAGAAAATTATTTGGGAGATGGTAAGGGTCATTTCATAAAATTTATTTTCATGAGATGTTTGAGAAAATTAAAATTATTCAGCATTAGCATTAATTCTTTAATGTTATATAATTGTTGTAAGCACATGCATGGAACTTTAGAATTAAATACACATATTTTTCAAAGAATTGTATCACACATAAAGCACAGAAGGCAAAACTACAGTTCTTAGAGGACTACAAAGTCCAAAAGATTTCATGTTATTGACCACCATATGATACAGTGGTAAGACAAATACAATCAAATATAAATTAAGACTATGTATTTGGTTATCCTATATAATAGGATAAAATTTAAAATACAACATATATTGATGAATAAAATCGAAAATCAGAAACAAAAAAAATTATGACCTTGCTAAATATTGTGAAAATCAAGCAGCATTCACCATTAGTTTTACTTCTTTGTCAAAGAGAACAATAATACATTACAGGGATATTTCAGGCAGTTTGGCTTTTGCATAATGTATGGCATCACGTTATTCATCAGTGTGCATTCTTTGCCAATCAATGGGACAGTTTCCCATTGTGTAGTGGTGAAAACGAAGCCTGAATAACTAGAAATAAAAAACAAAGGAAAAAATGGATTTGTATAGAATATTTGTCAAAAAATACCAAGAAAATAATGTTTTATTTTTTAAGATAACATCTACGGTTTAAAGTCAGTTCTCATCCAATATTGGGTTCTATAAGATACAGTATCCAGATCATCACCTCAAAAATTATTTTAACGTCTCCTTAATGTCAGTGAAATTGAGAACAAAGACTGTCAAAATATTTTTCTTGTATGAAAAATGTATTTGAAGATTTTAAAGGTAACTAACTCTACAAATAGGAAACTTTGATTTTTTAAAATCTATCTTTAGTGTTTAGGCATGATAAACTATACACTGCATTGTAATAACTGATCAAAACAAAGCTGACCTTAGAAAAGGAAAAATTCCTTTTAGCCAAATAGGTCTGGTGATTACCTTAGATAAGTTTCCCTTCAGATTTGCCACATTGCTTGATTTTATATTTTGCCAAAGTAACTGTGTTTCAATATTCCCATACAGGTATGTTCCAATATTCCCACCTGTATATTTCCATACAGGTGGGAATATTGGAACACAGTTACTTTGGCAAAATTCTAAGTTATGAATTTATATAACTATTGCATAAAATATAAAGCCTCTTAAAAAATGTGCCATGTACCTTGCAAGTATAACTTGTATGTGGAGTGTGCTTATTTTTTCCTTAACATTAACATCTATTGTTATGCAATATAAAACAGCATTCCTTCCATTTTTTTTCCTAAAATCAATTTGGCAAAATCTACATGTATTATGGATAACTATAAAGCATTCACAGATTTCTATGTTTTTTTTCTTTCACTCTATTTTAAATCTGAGCCAGTTTTTTCCTGGTCCTTTTGTGACTCCCCATACCATTGTGACAAAAAGACAGAACTCAGAGTGACTCCAATGACATTCAATTTTTTATTTCGTAATTTTGACTTTCAATTCATACCACCTTTTAATTTTTTCTCTTAAAAGGAAGATAATTCTTTTTCTTTCTACTGTTTTATTTTGTTGTTGTTGTTGTTTTACTGACATATGGCAATGCCTTTTTTTCCTGCTGGGAAAAAAGAGATTTTATTATTACAAATTTATGATACATAGATTTCATGAAATAACCTGGACAGCAAACCACCATGACAAAAGTTTATCTATATAACAAAACTACGTACCCCTGAATCTAAAATAAAGTTAAAAAACAGTAAATTTTAAATAGATTTCATGACTCATAAATTCAATGACTCTTAGAAGATATATGTTTAAATTAATTTATAAAATACATTTATTTTACTTTAATGATTAACGTTTTTCATAAATTGTAAACATAGCATTATCATTGGGTAGAACAATGAAGTTTGAAGGCCGAATATAACTACATAAATCTTACTGCAAACTAATATTAAGATGTTTCAAATATAGAGAAGCAGAAATGTAATGCTCTGGTCTTTCTTTTTTTTTTTTCTATTGTTTTCTTCCTTCTGAAAGACAGCAATTGATTCTTAAGTTGAACTGAAAATATCCACATAAAAACATTACAGTGGAAGTTAATCATACTTAATTGTTTACTCCACCACTCTTAACCTTTAATTTGGCCAAAAGATCAATGTGCTCCAGATTGAAACTAATTCTGAGTTCCTAAACTTGACCCCTAAAATGAAAACAAACATATACAGAACCATAGATTGAGAAATAAACTGTTATTCTTATAAATGAGGCAAGTAATGCATAGAGGTCATGGAGAAACCACAGTGCTAATCAGGGCTGTCAGAAATAATTTAGGTGGTTTAGTATACAATATGAGATGTTCAGAGCAGTTTGAGGGTGAAAGAATATTGAGGAGAAAATGAAGTATAAAAATACCTTTGAGGCCAGGCGCGGTCACTCAAGCCCGTAATCCCAGCACTTTGGGAGGTTGAGGCAGTTGGATCACGAGATCAGGAGATCGAGACCATCGGCTAACACAGTGAAACCCTGTCTCTACTAAAAATACAATAAATTAGCCAGGTGTGGTGGCACATGCCTCTAGTCCCAGATACTCAGGAGGCTGAGGCAGGAGAATCGCTTGAACCCGGGAGGCGGAGGTTGCAGTAAGCCGAGATCAGGCCACTGCACTCCAGCTTGGGTGACAGAGCAAGATTCCATCTCACAAAAAAAAAAAAAAAAAAAAACTTCGAAAAGTTTGTTGGAGATGATATACAATAATTTATAAGGCAGATCTAAGTATTGCAATTCTTTTAAAATGTATTTTAGGTGGGGCACAGTGACTCACACCTGTAACCCCAGCACTTTGAGAGGCTGAGGTGGGCGGATAATTTGAGGTCAGGAGTTGGAGACCAGCCTGGCCAACATGGTGAGACCCCGTCTCTACTAAAAATACAAAAATTAGCTGGGCATGGTGGTGTGTACCTGTAATCCCAGCTACTCAGGAGGCTGAGGCAGGCAAATTGCTTGAACCCAGGAGGCTGAGGTTGCAGTGAGTTCAGATTGCAACATTGCCCTCCAGCCTGGGCAACAGATCAAGACTCCCATCTCAAAAAAAAAAAAAAAGAAAAACAAAATAAAAACATTATTTTCATTGCTGAATGGTGCTCTTGAAATGGAGAACCATATGCAGTTAAAATAACATGTGGCTCAGGCTTATATTCAGAACATATAAAAACAGCAAACATTTACTGAGTGTTCATCACTTTAAAACCAGGATGTAATGTAATACTCAGGGGATCTAACGTAACGTGATAATCATGAAGTTATATAACTTACCCAAGAAGACAATCTACTAAGCAACAGCTCTTGAATTTGAACCCAGGTCTGTCATACTTGAAGCCTTTTCATTTATTGCATGCCTCCTTTTCAACTGCATTTCTTTACAAGTTCATTAGGCATTCTAATTTATGCAAATGCTTTTAAAGAAGTACATATAGATCAAGTCTGCATTGAATTCAGAATCTTCATTATCTCAGCTATACCAACTCTGCTTGGAAACTCTTATATGTTTGTTGCTTAGTTCTCTCCTCTCTGCCATTTCAAATTATTCCACCCATGTTAAGCATCACACTCTACCTTTTTCCTCATTATCTGAAAATGGTTTTCATGATCAAGTAATGTTTCATCTTCCTTCCATCCCTCTGAGTCTTTTTCCTCTTTTGAGGGTTTTTCTTTGTTTTCATAAATCATATTATACTTCTAGCATAGGTGGTTTGTTTCTCATTCTAAGTATCCTACTTGTGTGACATCACTATCACTCACGCTCTATCTCCAGCCCAGTCCTAAACCTGTGACCTCTCCTTCCAGGATCCTCATGTTCAAATGGAAAAAAAATTTAACCAAGTGTTCCAACCAAAAACTAAAAATTCTATACATTATCCTGTACCTTCTTGTCTTCAGATATTTAATCATAAATCCAACTTTACTCATTCAATCTCTTTTATATCTCTCGAGTCCAGTTCCATGACTATCCCAATACTTCTATTGGTAGGCCATGCTCTTCTCTCACATAGAGTAATAACTTATTGTTGATTGGTGTTCCTGCTTCCTCATGTCCTCCTCTGCAGTTCATTCTTTATCCTACAGCCAGATTAATTTATTTTTAGACATAAATCATATCAGGTTATTGAGAAAACAAAAAACGATTGGGCAGTTTCATTCTTTCGGGGGAAAAATAAATTATTTAATGTTGTTTATTAGATTTTTCAAAATTTGACCCTACCATAACTTCTGAATTTCTCTACACTGTTCTAAGAGGAGAGCCTTAAGTAATCCTGAATATCTTCTAGTTTCTTCTCTGAGCTTTTGAACATAACTTCCTCTTTCTGAAACACTATTTTCTTGCTTTATTCTTTTAACTTGCCTAAATTTCATTCATTCTCCTTGTCTGTAATTCTTAGAAGCCAATTCCCAAGGAGGCATTAATGGGGTATTTTGAAAATAGGTTGTGTATTAGTCTATAGTATATCAATGTTAAATTCCTTTGGTATGTGATGTTAGTCTTGTTGTATGAGAAAATGCCTTGTTCTGGGGTCTTCAAACTTTTCTGTAAATTACCCAAACATAAATATTTATAGTTTTATGTGCCACTTGTGTGACTACTTAAAGTCTGTTGTAGCACAAAAGTAGCCACAAACGACCCAGGAATATATGTACATGGCTTTGTCCCAATAAGATTATATTTACAAAAACAGATGGTGAGACACATTCAGCCTAGGTACAATAGTTTGCTAAAAGTGAAGCATTTAGGAAGGAAATAGCACTTTTCTACAACATCTACAAAATATTTTCCAATGCTTCACCCCACAAAAAATATACATATATATAGATCATTATATGTGTGCGTGTGTGTGTATGCATACACATATACAAAAACATTGAGCACTTGCTGTGTGCTAATCACTGAGGTAGGCACTCAACATGTATCAGCTCATTTAATCTTCAAGGTAATCTCATGAAATACTCCATTGTCATTTACACTTAGCTTGTGAGAAAACAGCACAAACAAGCTAAATTAGTTTTTTGAAAGTAACAGAATCAGTTAGTGGTAAGGCCAGGAGTTGAACTATGAGAATTTAATTCCAGGGTCTGGGGCATTAATGACTTGACTTCTCTAGGAACTATATCTAAAATGTGATTTTTAAGCCTATCGTTTCTCTTTCTCAAGCTTTGTTTTATCTGAACTATACAATTGGGAATATACATGAAATGTATTTTTAGATTTGTTATTGCCACGTCATACACATTTTCTTTTTTGTCTTTAACTCATTTTAGCCTAAGCATCAGTAAAATAAAATGGAGGGGATGTGCATATAATGGCTTTTTTTTTAGCTCTTTTTGAGGTAAAATTGTATAATTTTATAAAAAGTTATTGCATCCTGACCCATTTACTGAGCTGAATGTGAATTAGGTTATCGCTGTTTAATGGACTGCATTCTCTGTAGATGCTCTTGCATTGCCCTTGTATTGAGCTCAGAGGAAAACATCAATTTCTTCCGATGTGACTGGTGGCTTATCAAGATTACTGTGCTTTCTTATGTGTTCTCTCACAAAATGCATGCTGATAGTTATGTTTAATCACTTTACTCAAGAGCACTAAAACTAATAGCCCTTGCTTTAAGCACATGAAAAATCCATAGAGTCTTTTTAGAAACAGTGCATTACCTGGCATTCTGTTTGTAAGATAATATGAATTAATATTAGAAATGCCTACTCTTGGGGGCCCAAGGAGGGGAGAAATCTTTATCAATATCTAAGTGTATATTTGAGGTAAAGCTTCTGTCCAAACAGAAATTGTCAACTGTAGCCCAATTTCTTTCAGCTGTTAAACTGATTTAATGTATCAGTAGCATGAACTCATAAACTATTATGTTATCTAACACTATAAACTAAAAAATATTAAGGTATAATTAGGCAAATCAGTATTGTGTAGTATAAACATCTTAAATCCAGAGTTCTAGCCATGTAATAACTGAACAATTTTAAGTCTCTTATTTCCATTAGTTTTATCTTACTTTGATAATTTTCTTCAGAACATGCCTATGATACAAATAGAAACCTTATTGTGGCAGGGCGCAGTGGCTCACCCCTGTAATCCCAGCACTCTGTCGAGGCGGGTGGATCACCCGAGGTCAGGAGTTTGAGACTAACCTGGTCAACATGGTGAAACCCTGTCTCTACCCAAAATACAAAAATTAGCAGGGCGTGGTGGCGCATGCCTGTAATCCCAGCTACTTGGGAGGCTGAGGCAGGAGAATCGCTTGAACCTGGGAGGCGGAGGTTGCAGTGAGTTCAGATCACGCCACTGCACTCCAGCCTGGGCAACAGAGCAAGACTCACTGTAAAAAATAAATAAATACATACACGCATACATAAACTTATTTATCTATGAAATATCCTTTAAGAAAAATTCTTCTTTTACATATCCTAAGAATAAACAAAAGAAATATTAAGGTTTTCTTTTCTTGTGTCCTTATGAAAAATTCTTGTACATATCCTAAGAATAAACAAAAGAAATATTAAGATTTTCTTCTCTCATGTTTAGAAACATAAGCCAGCCCCAAATCCAACTTTGTATTTCATATTTCCAGCATTTTTTAAAGGCTAATGAATACACCATTATGTTTTTTAATATAATTAGCATGAGTATAAAACATGAAAAATTTTATGAGTATCAACTGTCACTTCAATGGCATAGAACTTCAAACTTTCAAACTCTCCCAGTTCACTCTTTCAAGCTTTAGAGTTTGTCCTCCGTGGGTGGGAACTGAAGCTCAAACTGTGAAACTGCACTCAAAGAACATTCCACAGGCTGAGAGTGCCAAATATTAGCTCAAGGGATAATTTTCTTGTCTGGAACTGAGCCCCCAACACCACAGTTAAGAGGGGAGGGATCTTTGTGGAGCAGGAACCCTCAGTAGAAAATGTTTCCGGTTATTACCCTTCACATCGTATAAGTATGACAAGGCCATTTAGCATTTGGAGATGATTAAGTTTTCACACAGTTTTCTTCCATGTTACCTTCTGTTTTCCTTCATTTTAAACAAAACAGCTGCTCCTCCATTTGCCTCTTAAGGCATTTGGATCATCAAACAGGCATTTGATCTCACATGCTGGTACTCATGGGTTTTGTGGTAATTAAAGATGATAAGGTGAAAGTGGGATAAAGAAGGTCCAAACTGTTCATCGAAGAGTAAGACTGTGTATTCCTCAAAACAAGCAAATGCTACAGTAACTTTAAAGTACCCCCCTGACACTTTGAAGTTTGTCTCTTGTACTGGCAGGTCTAAAATGAGACCCAGCCAAGATAGGCATTAGCATGTCAAAGAATAAGCTTCATTTACACTGTGAGGACTGTATTTGAAGTCAATGGTGTGGTACTCTGGAGGCAGCTGAAATGCGTGCTGTTATTCCAGATGTGCATTGTCTCTACTGAAATACAATTTTGCAGTCATTAAACCTGTTAAGTCCATCAAGAGATAAGTATAGCCTAAAGCCTGTCAGATGTGCTTCAAAATCTTAACAAAAGATTTGCCTATTGATCAGCTAATTGATTTTTATTACCTAGGAATTGGACTGCTATTTAGATGTTTGTTATAATCAAAGGAATTGATTAGCCTTGGCCAATGTTAATATTGAATATTATAGAGAAATATTTTAGTGTCAAATATCCGTAGCATTATGTCTTAGTGTAGTAGTGGCAAGTATGAGCTCTTTCTTTTCTTCCTAGAAATGTAGTCTAGGTGGTTTCTTTTCACATCTAGAATGTATGTGTAGGTGGTTTTTAATCAAGAAAAGCTGTTAGGATGGCCAGAAAAAGCAAACACATGCTGGCATAAATATCATGGCATTTGCTAGATATTTTTATTTAAGATAACATTTGCCAGTTTGGCTTAAACCTGATTTGTAGCTGAATTGAGTAAAAGTCTTGAGAACTTAACAAGTGAACTACTAAAACAAAAATGAAAAAATGGGAAATTATCCTTTAACCCAGAAACCACATTTTTTTTAAATTGTAAAAGGAAAAGGTGATCTTAGGAATTCAGAAAATTCCCAATTATTAAAAATAAATAAACTATCCCTCTGTTAACCACACCGTAAAATCCTGGTAGATCCAGAATCTAAGCTAATATAATCATCTAGGGTGCCTGTAGTCCTCAGTCAATCAACCCTCCTAAGTAAATAAAAGGAATCGTGAATACTGTCTTGATGTATTCCTGACAATTGTACCACTTGCTCCTCTATGGCTGTAGTTAAGAAAACAAATAGTCAGTTGCCACTTGGAACTGAATGCTATGACATGTTTTGAGGAGACAACACTTTATATTAGAAAATAAAAAGGCAATTAACTACAATTTTCTTAGAATCTTGATATTTTACTAAGTATTCTTTTGTTTTGTTTGTTTGGTTGTTTTTCTTAAAAGAAATATTCTTGGACCTAACAGTAAAGAAATAACTGTCAAACTCATTGAATATCAAAGGGCATAGGAAAAATGTAGTTTTTCTTTTCACACTACTTCCTTTTGAAGTTAACGTATTATACTTTTCCTGATGTCATGCAATCTACCTCAAATTTTATTAATGCTATACTAGCTTATCTATCAAATATTATCATGTTTTTAAGCTTTTAACTTCCTCTGTAAGACTAAATTATTATGTATTTTCAGTTCGTTTTATTCTAGATATTTCAATCTGAGTTCAGAAAACAGCAATTCTGATGAAGAGAAAAATTAGAGGGATGCAGAAGAAAATGTACATGACTTGATTAAGATTTACTTTCTAAGTAATGCAAGTAACAGGAGAGAATGCACGGTTAAGGAATGTAAGTAATAGTAACCAAATATAGCTAAATTGCCCAAAAAGGAGAAATAATGGAAAGAGTACAGCATTCTATACACGACAAAGGTAAAAGAAAAAGAAAACCTGGGGAATGAAAATACTTGGAAGCTCTTTGAATATCAAAAGTAGATAGACATGACTTTCCATACTCTAGTATTAGGATAACTCTACTCCAAGGCTCCCAAGTGTCTATGTTTTATTGCGATTCTTTTCAGAGAGTATTTGGTCTAACTTTGTTTATATATGGAACTCTGGATAAATCAAATGTGTCAAGAAGCACAGGGTTAAAAACCACAGCCATGGCTATGTCAACCCACTTTTGTATAATAAGGACATCCTCAGAAAAGAGAAAATTAGTATAAGACTTAGGGCCATAACAAGAAATTGTTTTCTATATTTGTTCATATTTTCAATGTAATATAAAATAATGTATAGACTATTTGTACTGTTGAATTCCATCTTGCCTCTTCCAGCATAAAAGCCTTAGGTAACTGGGACTACAATATAATATGAAGATTAATTTTATGTAGTTACAGAACAAAAATAATTGTGTTAGTAAATGTATACAGAAATTTTTCTTTTGGCATTTCCTTTGGGTGAAAAAAAAATTCATTTCTGTTCAAATTCATTGTATTCACAAATAACGTGTTTTTATGGCAAAGAAAAAATGAGAATACATTCAGCACAATCAACATTTATTTCACTTTACAATCTAATTGTATTTTGACAAAATCAGCTATTACTCATACACATTGTTCTATCAAAATTTTTGGAAAAGTTTTAATCATGTGTTTTGTCTGATTGTAAAAAAAATACTATGTCCACACAGTTAACATTTGGTAAGTACAATGAAGCGCAAAAATCTCATTTAGAGAGCAATGTTACTATTTTGTCTCTCTTTTGTTGTAGTTTTTATTTCTCTGTGTGTGTGTGTGTGTGTATATAATATATAGGACTTATAACAAAATTATTATAGTACAGTTTGTTCATGTTTAATCTTTATTTTTGCCATTTTTCTATAATTATAAGGACAATTTTCTCATGTTGGTAAAGAGTCACCAAATAAGTTATTTTTATGACTACTGAATATTACATCATGCCAACTTACAGATATTGTTGATAGTTCCTCCATCATCAAACTTTTTTTCTGTACATTTTCAGTATAACACATAAAGCTACACTATCTGTGGATTGTTGATCATATTTCTGTTCATATCTCCCTAATATGGATAAAAAAGAGTAATGAAATAAATTTTGCTAATGACAAATATGTCTATTTAACCCAGTTCCTATCGCATCTCTTCAGTCTTCAAGAAGCCATCAATTTATTTAATACAATTTGAAAACCATTTCCATCAACTTTATGCATCTTAATAGTCTTAAAATAATTTTCTCAAGAGTTTACTCTTCCACGGCAACGCAGACTTTACGTGTCAATTAAGTCATCTAAACAACATAATAAGTACAATGTCCATGCATCTCTGAAGTTTTTTAAACTCAAACTACAGCTGTAAACAACACTGAGAATAACACAATCAGGAATTGAGGAGACTCCCTGCTGCTTATCTTTTTCCTTAAAAGCGTAATTCCACAAGGCATAGTGTTAGTGGTTGTCAGAAAAAGCCAGTTTATGACTTCATGTAAGATTTTGTAGTATATATGACGGTACAATGCTAAGTAGTATATTTTCATACATCAGTACAACAAAAGACTTGAAAATCAGCTTATCTAATATTACCATAAAATACAACAAAAATGCATTGAACCTAGTTAGAACAGAGGTATTCATGATATATAATATTTTTTACAGATTTTTTAGTTCTTATGAATTTTTCTTTCTGTTTCGCTTATTTTTTAATGTTTCCTCTATCTTCTCTTCATTTTAACAGTGGAAGATTAGTTTAGTTTAACTGTTTGCATACTTGAATGTGGTGATAAGTAATTTCAAACATAGAAAATGCCTATGTAACAGGGCAAATGCCTTATGAAAGTCATTCTGTTTTTCTCCGCTTGACAAATAACACTACCAAATTCTATTTTATTATAGAAAAAAATTGCTTAAGTAACTTAAATATATTACTCTGCCTCCCAGAATTGGTTGAAAATAAACTTTAGTTCAAGGTCCAATGTGCCAGCTATCAGAATATGATAATAACTATTTAAAATAAAACTTTTAGTTTTTAATACATTATTTTAATTGAGCACTATCTGTAATTGATCTTACATGGTTTTTACATTTATCTCACTGGCTTTAAAATTCTGTTTCTTGGTTGTGTCCTAGGTGGAACTTCAAGAAGTTCAAATATTAATGTCTATATATTAAAGATCTTCCTATATAAAAATAATTGCTCATTCTAACCAATTCTCTTCTCTAAACTAAATATCCACTGATAAGTTCTTAGCATTATTTTCTAATTCCTTAGCAACTTGAATCATACCTAACCGTGAAGCTGTAATTGGACCTGATAACCACCTGGAATGGTTGTTTTTATGGGAACTGCTGCTGGGTTTTCTTCTTCAAGCCACAGAAGAGAAATCTAAATTGAATGACATAAAAAACCTCTGATGCTGTGTAGTAGCATTCAAGCAGAGAACTATCTTGCTGTGTTCACCTTTCTTTCTCATTTTAAAAGAAAATTAGTGAACTATATCTACCAGAACCCCATGAAACAAGTAAGCATGCTCCTGGCCTATGGGGTTTTAGCAGCTTTTAAGATAGCTCTTCCAAGTAGAATTAATAGACAGAAAGGAGAATATATAGCTAAGTTGGAGTTTATTTCAAAGTATTTTTATATTAAGGACATTGATTAAGAACTATGAAATTCAATAGTATCCTAAGTAAAAGGTAGTTTTACACATACAATCCCTTGAATAACCTAATAAAAATAAACATGATGATTTCCTCATTACTTTTAATATTTGAATAATTTATTTTGCCTTTCATATGGGTGGAACAAAATGAAGGCTTAGGTCCTAGAAAATAACTGGTTTTTATTAGAGAACTTAAAATGATAATGTGTATTAACTGAAAAATATAAATTCTAGTAAACACTAAACTTTATCTTCAGAAACTTTGTTACTAACATATTAAGAAATTCAGATGGCCAGTGTGGTGGCTCATGCCTGTAATCCCGGCACTTTGGGAGGCTGAGGCAGGTGGATCATTTAAGGTTAGGAGTTTGAGAGCAGCCTGGCCAACATGGTGAAACCCCATCTCTACTAAAAATACAAAATTAGTCAGGTGTGATGGTGGATGCCTGTAATCCCAGCTACTTGGGAGGCTGAGAAAGGAGAATTGCTTGAACCCAGGATGCGGAGGTTACAGTGAGCCGAGATCTTACCATTGCACTCCAGCCTGAGCAACAAGTGTGAAACTCCGTCTCAAAAGAAAAAAAAAAGAAAAGAAAAATAAATGCCAATGCTCCTACACACTATCTTTCCTTCTGAAAGAGATAAAGTTCATCACATTTAGGGACCATCCATTTAATCTGGGATAATCTTGTTATTTCAGTCCTCCTCAGGCTAGCTCAACTAAAGACCTTTCATAAACAGATTCACCATTCTACCTTCCTCAATCAGCTAAGCACTTCGAAAGAAAGACGGTGTTGAGTCTCATCTTTTCTCTTCCTCCTGACCATTTACTTACCATCCCATCCATACCCAACCCTGATTACCCACTCCTCTGCTACATATACTAAAAGCTCCTGGGCACTTCGCTCCATCCAATCTTTACGGAAGGTAGAATTTACCTGAAAATGGTTCCGTTGAAGATCTGACATACATCTTTCTAGCAGGGATGTGAGCATTAAAAATGGGGAGAGTTGATAAGATTGCAGCAAACTTCAATTCATTCTTCTCTCTTTGTTTACTAAACCATAGGTCTGAAGTTTGCTTACCACTCTGGTTCCATAGTCCATCTAGTCTTTTTCTATCCCCTTCTTTGAAGCACTGAATCTGATTCTATTAGCCCAAATATAATGTGCAGTTCAGATAATATCCTATAGCTACTGAGGAGCATATGAATAGTTTTAACAGGAAAATCATGTAATTATTGCTGTATTTTATGCAATCTGTTGGATTTACTAGAAACAGAGAGAATGTAAGCACTGTATTACAATGGCAGAAGGAATTAATAAACTATTGCAATGTGATAGAGAGATAGATCATATGATTACTTGGAAAGAGATCACCTTTAGAAATTAGCTAGAATATGATCATTTCTAAACCACTTATGATAAAGCAGTACAACAACAGCAAATAAAAAATGCAAAATGACTCTCATCTGTACTCCATGACTTCAGAAGGGAAAAGATGTGTGTTGCTGGATAATCTAACTATGTTAAGAATGAAATATAGGGCAGGGTGCAGTGGCTCATGTCTGTAATCCC
The DNA here is from genome assembly GCF_000001405.40 of Homo sapiens. Taxonomy (NCBI): domain Eukaryota; kingdom Metazoa; phylum Chordata; class Mammalia; order Primates; family Hominidae; genus Homo; species Homo sapiens. The sequence continues at coordinate 64,704,255 of NC_000004.12, forward strand.
AGCACTTTGGGAGGCCGAAGCGGGCAGATCACGAGGTCAGGAGATCGAGACCATCCTGGCTAACATGGTGAAACCCCATCTCTACAGAAAATACAAAAAATTAGCTGGGCATGGTGGTGGGCACCTGTAGTCCCAGCTACTCGGGAGGCTGAGGCAGAAGAATGGCGTGAACCCGGGAGGCAGAGCTTGCAGTGAGCAGAGATCATGCCACTGCACTCCATCCAGCCTGGACGACAGTGCTAGACTCCGTCTCAAAAAAAAAAAAAAAAAAAGAAACAGAATGAGAAGACATTTATGCAGCCAAAAAACACATGAAAAAATGCTCACCATCACTGGCCATCAGAGAAATGCATAACAAAACCACAATGAGATATCATCTCACACCAGTTAGAATGGCAATCATTAAAAAGTCAGGAAACAACAGGTGCTGGAGAGGATGTGGAGAAATAGGAACACTTTTACGCTGTTAGTGGGACTGTAAACTAGTTCAACCATTGTGGAAGTCAGTGTGGCGATTCCTCAGGGATCTAGAACTGGAAATGCCATTTGACCCAGCCATCCCATTACTGGGTATATACCCAAAGGACTATAAATCATGCTGCTATAAAGACACATGCACATGTATGTTCATTGAGGCACTATTCACAATAGCAAAGACTTGGAACCAACCCAAATGTCCAACAATGATAGACTGGATTAAGAAAATGTGGCACATATACACCATGGAATACTATGCAGCCATAAAAAATGATGAGTTCATGTCCTTTGTAGGGACATGGATGAAATTGGAAATCATCATTCTCAGTAAACTATCACAAGAACAAAAAACCAAACACCGCATATTCTCACTCATAGGTGGGAATTGAACAATGAGAACACATGGACACAGGAAGGGGAACATCATACTCTGGGGACTGTTGTGGGGTGTGAGGGGGGAGGGATAGCATTGGGAGATATACCTAATGCTAGATGACAAGTTAGTGGGTGCAGCGCACCAGCATGTCACATGTATACATATGTAACAAACCTGCACATTGTGCACATGTACCCTAAAACTTAAAGTATAATAATAAATAAATAAAAAAGAAATTCAGAAAAGTCTATCGCAGAGAACTAGTCTCCACTTACACTTTACAACTATGTATTTAAATTTAATGACTTTGATTGTGGGAGGAAAAGAAAAAGAAAAAAACCTAGAACCCTCTGGGCATGGTGGTTCATGCCTGTAACCCCAGCACTTTGGGAGGCCAAGGCAGAAGGGTTGCTTGAGCCCAGACATTCAAGACCAGCTTGGACAATACAGCAAGAAAATTTGTCTACAAAAAATAGAAAAATTAGTCAGGCTTGGTGGCATGGGCTTATGGTCCCAGCTACTCAGAAAGCTGTTGTGGGAGGATAGCTCGATCCTGGGAAGTCAAGGCTGCATTGAGCTGTAATCAGGTCACTACACTCCAGCCTGGGCAACAGAAAAAGAACCTGTCTCAAAATAAATTCTCCAGAAACCCAGAAACATAGACATTATTCATATCAAAACATTATTGGGATACATGGTATGACCTTAGGACTGAAAGCACAAAGGATGGGGTTGGGTTATCAAATTGAAATGAAAGACAGTTGTGGAATGATATTGATTAAGAGGGGATTAATCTCAAATATATTATTATGAATTGATGGTGAGGTGTGGTGGCTAAAGGCTTGCAAATAACAGGAAAATAAAAGCTGCAGACTCAACAGCATAATATATGTTGGAGGCAAGAGCAAACATCTGCACTAAGGTAGCTGTCTCACCAAGCTCTGTAAGATTCTTATGAAAATATAACCCAGAAGGTATTTCTCCCCTCATTTCTTAGCAGAATGTGAGCTGTTTAGCAGTACTGTGAATATTGAGGCTTACGTATTTGAGTAAACTGCAGAAATCTGCGTCTCAGTACCAGAACGTCAACTCAGCAGATACTGAGATAATGAAAGTGGCCTCCATAGATTTATGAGTACTGAGAGAAAAGCAGAGCCTTGTGTAGAATCACCATGATGACCATAAGATATGCCTTGGAGATCCTAAAAGGAAATTGTTGGGACAAATATTAATGATAAAAATACTCAAAAAAACTAGAAAATGGAGTGAACATTCTCTACCTAAAAAACAATATCCTTGAGAAAGCTTATAGCTACACTCAATGGTGAAAGAATGGATACTTTTTCCTAAAATCAGGAATAAGGCAAATATTTCTACTCTCACCAGTTCTATGCAACATTATACTATAGGTTCTAGCAAGGGCAGTTAGTCAAGAAAATAAATAAATAAATAAAGGCATCCATATTGAAAAGAAAGAAGTTAAGCTAGCAAATATTAGATGATTTGATCTTATATAAATAAAATCTTAAGGAACCAATTAAAAACTGATGACTAATAAACAAGTTTAGCAAGATTATAGGACATAAGATCAATACATAAAAATAAATTATATTTTTATGTACTTGAATGATTATCCCAAATATGAAATTTAAAACAATACATTCATAATGGCAATAAAAAGATCAAAATACATAGAAATAAATTTAATTTAAAAAGTACAAAACTATGCTGTAAAAACAAAATATCGTTAAAAGAAATTAATGATATAAATAAGTGGAGAAATATCCCATGTTCATCAGTGAAATAATTTAGTATCATTTAGATGCAATAATCTTGCAAACTGATCTATAGATTCAATGTAATACCAATAAGAAGAATCCTGGCTGACTTCTTAGAAAAGAAATAAAAAATGACAAGTTTATTCTAAAATCCATATGGAATTGCAAGGGACCCTGACTGACTAACCAAAACAATCCTGAAATAGAAAAGCACAGTAGGAGAACATACATATTTCCCAATTTCAAAACTTACTACAAAGCAGCAGTAATCAAAACAATGTGGCATTGGCACAAGGACAGAGATACAGATCAATAGAATAGAATTGAGAGTCCAGGAAAAAACCCATACACCCCAGGTCAACCAATTTTTTACTTGTTCAGACCATTCAATGGTGAAAAAAAATAGACTTCTTAATAAATGGTGATTTGACAACTTGATAGCCTTATGCAAAAGATTTGAGTTGGACACCTACCTCACACATTATGCAAAAATTAAGTCAAAATGAATCAAAGACCTACATTTCTCTTAAGACAAATTTATAATATTTTTTTTTGAGACAGATTCTCACTCTGCTGCCCAGGCTGGAGTGCAGTGGCGCAGTCTTGGCTCACAGCAACCTTCGCTATCCGGGTTCAAGTGATTCTCCTGCTTCAGCCTCCCAAGTGGCTGAGACTACATGCAGCCACCACACCTGGAAGATTTTTTTGTATTTTTAGTAGGGACGGGGTTTCACCATGTTGGCAAGGCTGGTCTCGAACTCCTGACCTCAGGTGATCCACCCACCTCGGCCTCCCAAAGTGCTGGGATTACTGGCATGAGCCACTACGCCTGGCCAAATTTATAAAAATTTTCTAAAAGATGTAGGTGTAAATCTTCATGTGCTCAACTTTGCAAATAATTATTACATATGATGTCAAAACACATATAACAAAAGAAAAACTAGATAAATTAGACCTCATGAAAATTAGCAACTTTTTTGCTTCAAAAGACATCATCAAGAAAGTGTAAGACAACTTCAGAATGGGAGAAAATATTTTCAATTCATATATCTGGTAAAGGACTTATATCTAAAATATTTAAAAATTGATACGACTCAATAATCAAAGGACAAATACCCAAGTTTTGAAAATGGGTAAGTGGTCTGAGTATACATGCTTAGCCAAGAAAGATATATAAAAGGCCCTTAAGCACACAAAATATACTCAATATCATTAGTCACCAGAGAATCTACGAGCACTCTCTTAAACCCTTAACCTGTTTGGATATATATTTTTTAATCTTACAACCGTTTATCAACAGGCATAGGTAAAAATATATATATATTTACATATATATAATATGTAAATTATATATGTAATATATGTAAATATATATTATATATATATTTATCATCTATATATGTTTTATATATATATTTATCATCTATATATGTTTTATATATATATATAGATTTATCATCTATTCCCTTATACTAAAACTTTAGCACTGGCTGAGTGAGAAGACTTCTTTGGTTCAGTAATATATTCCCAATGCTTAGAAGAGTGGCACAGAGTAGATGCTCAATAATATTTATTCAATGAATACAGATGTTATATTTTGTAAACCTGGAAAAATGCAAGTTAGAAACAATTTCTTAGCTTGTGTCATAGCATAGATTGCCTATGGGGCTTGTACTATTCTGTTCTTTGCATTTCTGCTTTTTATCTGTGTATATAAAACTTAAAGTTTTTATTTTGTTTTATTTCATTTAAATTATATTATGTTATATTATTTGTGGTATTATTAAATTTTAACACTAAATTTTATGTCTATAAATTACTAATTTTTACTTTTTATTTTCATATATACATATTGAAATTTTAAATTTAAATACCAAATTTAAATAAATATTTGCATCAGCTTCCTGAAGTCACAGTTTAAAGCAAACTATTTTTCTTACTTTGTTTGAAATTCTAATCAAGAGAAAGACAATTGATTTAGAGTACTCATTTATTCAGTAAACATTTATTGGGTGTCTAGTATGTGTCAGATACTATGTTAAATTCTGAGTTAAAAGTCAGATGAATGTAAAAGCATCTGAGATCTCATGGGTATCACATGGAGCCATCTAGGACTTTGAAAATCCTATTGTAAGTCCTTTAATTTGTTTGTGGTGTTGTTTTAAAAAGTTATCCTTTTTTTTAGTTTTTGTATATAGTTTATTGAGGATACCATGTTGATTTTTTTCACTTAATTTAATGAGTTAACCTTTTCTGTTGCATATAATTTAATTCAAAACAGTTATCTTGCTAGTCAGCTTCAAATTTCCACCACTGCTACCCTTCCAAAGTAGTGAATATGCACGTGTAATATAATAAGTTAAAACAAGTATCTCATTATTATTTAACTCATATTTCTATGATTGGAAAGATGTCTGCACTATTGTGAGTTAATAGTTTCTATTCCTTTTTATGAATGTTTTTAAGTTTATATGTTCATTTTTATGGATTAACTTATTTATAATTGCTCTTTATATTCAACAGTCCATTCTACTAGGATATTTACAATGATTGACTTGGGATTCTAGACAATACTTGAGACCCTTGTCCAGGCATGGTGGCTTTTGCCTATAATCCCAGCACTTTGGGAGGCCCAAGGCAGGCTGATTGCTTGAGCTCAGGAATTGTAGACCAGTCTGGGCAACATGGTGAAACCCCATAGCTACCAAAAAACAAACAAACAAAAAAAAAAACAAAAAAAAATTTAGCCCAGTGTGATGACTCACATCTATGGTCTCAGATACCCCAGAAGCTGAGGTAGGAGGATTGCTTGAGCTTAGGAAGAAGAGGTTGCAGTGAGCTGAGGTCGCCTCAATGCACTCCAGCCGGGGCAAGACAGTGAGACTCCATCTCAAAACAAAACAAAACAAAACAAATGCAATACTCGAGACTCTAGACAATGCAACGTAAAACCACAGCCAACTATATAATAAATACAATTAGACAATAGTGAAACCCTCTAATGCTGGTATCTGTCCCTAGCCTCTCTTTTCTTTTTTTTTCTTTCCTTTTTTTTTTTTTTTTTTTTTGAGATGAAGTCTTGCTCTTGTCCCCCAGGCTAGAGTGCGATAGCGCAATCTCGGCTCACTGCAACCTCCGCCTCCCGGGTTCAAGCCATTCTCCTGCCTCAGCCTCCCAAGTAGCTGGGATTGGAGGCATGAGCCACCACACTTGGCTAATTTTTATATTTTTAGTAGAGATGGGGTTTCACCATGTTGGCCAGGCTGGTCTCAAACTCCTGACCTCAGGTGATCCGCCCGCCTCAGCCTCTCAAATTGCTGGGATTACAGGCATGAGCCACCACGTCTGGCCACCTCTCATTTCTAATTGGCCTGATGGAACTGTTTCTTTGACAGCCAGAAGAAAAAAATGAAAAAAAAGAGTTTTTTATTCTTCTTTCAGTGAACATCATGTTGTTTATATGGATCTCTGTAACCAGCTCACTTAAGACTTCGTACTTGGGGCTGAAAGTGGCCAGTCCATAAGATTTACATTACTTTGGGTGAGATTGTTGCTTTGAATCACCAAGGCATTTTAGCATGTGCAGATTTGCCGAACATTCCGAGAACATTCTCTGTGACCTGTAAGTCACTGCTTTTACTTGTCTGGCTTCAAATAATTATGCTTTTCCTTGCTATTATTTACCCAATGCAGTGTGTCTTTGCCCAAACCCTCACATATGTACACATTTTTGTTTTCCCAAATAGCACTGCAGTGCACTATTCAACATTCTAAAAACTATAGTTTAATTAAGTTTTTACACATTATATCTCTTACCTCAAAATATAAAATTGGCAACGCAGCCTATAGGTTATAATTTCATCATCATATACCCACATTTCATTTCTGCATCTGACTTTCTTTTCCTATAATCATATAACCCTTCCATGTTATTATATGATTTAATATCAAACAAACAAGTTAGCCATTTACATTACATTAACTTTCTGTGGTGGCTATAACTCTCACAATACATGAATAAAAATGTGGATTAATTATACATGTCAGATATTCTCTTCAAACATCTTTTTTATGTATTAATGTTCACAACATTCCATATATGTTTATATGTAGATATATGTGTACACAGAAATGCACACATACTATTATTACTTCCATTTTGAAGATGCAGTAAGTACACAGATTGGTTTTAAAAAATGCCCAGCATCATACAAGATTATTAAGTATGAGGGTCAAAATTATCTCCATTTTTACTTCCCATTTAAACTCTAATATTTTATGAGGCTCGATATCTATAAAAGGGAAAGGGATGGTATTCTTATTTACTGCCACAAAAAGTAACATTATAAAATAAGGTAATTGTCTAGATGATTGGTTGACAATTTTGTAATTAATTTGGATTTCTAAATAAGGAGGTTTTTACAGAGAGAATTGAAGGGGTCACTCTCTGATATTATTTTAAGTTAGTGGAATTACTACGTTTTTTGAGTATACCCGTAATTAAAATACTAATTATTTTTCTTAACCAAGGTCTATCAACTTAATAGTTAAGTATTTTAATAAGTCAATCATTCTATCAGGCATATTTTTTTGCTTTTAGAGCCCATTTTCATCTGTGTGTTTGAGCATTCACAAGATATTGGGAGACTGAAAGATTATTTACCATTAAATTGTGGTTAATGGTTAGATTTGATGAGAAAAGAGGAATGTTTGGAGGCTTATTTTGGCTCGCATGGGGGCAAGCATGGGATATCTAACGAATGATCTTTAGTAGAAATTAGAAGTTAATAAGGCAACTTATCTTTAAAAACATTCATCTATTATTTTATTTTTGTTATTCTACTGTAGATAAGCTATGATTCAGAAGAAATTGATTGGAAATTAAAGACTTACTCGAGAACTTATGCTGTTTCTACTTTAATACAACAACTTCTATAAACAAAATCTGTTCCACTACATTATTGTTTGAGGATACTGGATCGTTACATACAGCTAGGGCTTTTTAATGAGCATATTTTTGAGTGGTCATTTGCTATTTTTATCAGCTCAGCATCCAACCACCTTTCTCTTTTAATGGGCAATGAAATTGTGTGAGTCTTTCTTCAGAAACGAACCACTGCTTTCTCTGTAAAACCTAATGTGTTTAATGTTTTCTCCACTACACGCTGGCAGCTAGACATGCAAACCGTACATGGTCAATTAGATATGTTACCAAGATTTTGAATCTGGTGGAAAAAGAAAAAAGAGTTGGAATTTATTCACAGCATGAATCAGTATGGTCATGGTAGACAAATATAAAGTGTTGGTATCCATTGTTAGTGTTTAAATAATACTCAACTACAGTTGTGTCCTACAGTAGTAAAGTAATGATGGTGGAGTGAACAATCGTTCCTGCTCAAACTGGTTTAGTGCCAGTTTGGCAGTTTAGTGCCTCTTGACTACTGTTCTTTTCTGCCCTGTTTCAATACTTTTTCCTTCATTTCTGTGAATCACTCGAACTCAGATTATAATGACCTTATTTTCTGATTACATTAGCCAGAGTTGGTCTCAATTTATTACAACCAGTATCTTTGACTAATAAAGCCTTGTTCCAAAGATAGAAATGTAGGCAACACATCCTCAGAAAAAAAATTGAATTAACTGGAATTAGTTATTTGACCTGGTTGGGACAAAAGTAGTTGAAATTGTATAATTATTATCCCTTGATGTTAATGTTAACAACTGTGACACACACTAGATAGAAAACGAGCCGATTTATGTATTGCCTATGGTCCGCTAGAATGCAGTCCTCATTCAGGGCAAGTTTGACCATATGTGTCATTCACGTTGCCTGTGAAAAAACTGCCCCTCCCGCTCTAGCCTTTTAATATGCAAATGCGAGTGGCCATTGTGTCCTGCACACATGGCCTTATCTGAAGTCTGCCATGACACCTGGCACACGTAGTGACAAGGAGAAGAGGGCAGAAACTGCCATATTGGGTGGACCTGGTTTCTAGCCTCTGACATTTGCATATCAATGCCTGCCGGTCTGGTTTTTCAAGCCATTTTCTATTAGAAAAGAAATGGTTTGGGGTCATTTTTTGTTAAAAGAAAATTCCATCAAGAACTTTTGAGCTGCCTAAAAATTGTTTCTTTATGACTTCTGTATTACTTCCCCCACTCAGGAGAAGTAATAAAAAGTAAATAAAGCCTAAATAAAAATAAAAAGTAATAAAAACCTAACTGCTGTTAGGGGGTGCTGGGTGATGATTGTTTCTGGCTACTTCCTACTGAAAAGGGGCATAATGTCGAGGGACAGCAATTGGGCCTCCTCCTGAGGTTGATCTAAGGGTTCTTGGAAGAATGACATGTCCATGTGTGGCTCTGTCTGCAGCAGCATTTGGAGTTTGATTACTTCTAGGTGAAAAGAGATAAATTTCACAAGAAAGTTTAAAATATAGGGTTAGAATATAAGCATTAAGATTACCAGTTAGTGGAAGTCCTATAGACCATAACTATGACAGTAGAGTTCCATACCTGTAGGTTACGCCAATGGATTGTAATACTGGATGGTCTCCAGTAGATGTCACTGTAAATTACCAGAAACGTTAAGTAACATTTTTTTTTTCCTTGAGAAAAGCATACATTTCCCATTGACTTGCCATTAGAGAATAATTTTAGGCTTAGGCAATTTTTATAACTTGCAATATAATTGGAAGAAATACATTATTGGGTGTCTACAATAACTTTAGTGTTAATCTTGACAATTCCTTTACTTTAATTACTATTTCATAACATTCACAGACCCTGTTACTACATACTCAAACTTTCTGAATTGTCCCAAACATCCTTCCATTAAGCAACCAGTCATTTCCTTTTAGGACAAGAATTTACCATACAAGATCCTTTCTTATATAAAATTTCTTCCTTTATAATCTTCTTTTTATAGCTTAGAGCACACCATACTAAAATCTTCAGTAAACAGTCCAATCAAACTTAATGATAGTAAAACTTTCTTGCTCACTTCTTATCCATGACTATTACTTCTGCTATAAGCAAAACAACCTTGGTGAAATCTTTTCTGCAATTATTAATCTTGTTACAAGGATGAAAATTGGGCAAAATATTATAGCAATTAGAATTTTACAGCCAGAATTCCATGTTGTGGGTGCCACAGTGTACAGTTCTATTGCAAACAGTAGCGTGACTATAACAGTTCCCACAAGAGTGGTGTAGTAAATGATTTCCATTTAAAATTTTACTTGCCAATATATAATATTTCCATTTGGGGATTAACAAAGTTACAAATGTAATTCCATAAATAATTAAAATATTTCTGCAAGTATACATGAAGTTCTAATATTTGGTGGCAAATTTTGAGAGGAAAGGGTAGAAATAATAAAAAGTATCTGGTGAGGTAGTAATGACACTGAGAAAGATGAGTAGCCCTCACTTAGTTGCTTATCTTTTATGATTTTTCAGCTTAAGATCTCCTATTTCTTCACATTGATACTCATGACCTTTCTCTGGCTGTCAGGGATTGCTCCGTCAGCTTTTCAGGCTTTGACTTGAGTGTGATGTATTCAGAAGTTGATACCTGTTACTTTTGCTGCCAAGGTGGTTGAAAGAGAACAGTGCAGGGCCCTTCCCAGCTTGGCTTAGGGAAGGAGAGACAGGTAGGGTTTTCACTAATACCAAATTTCCTGGGTTAAATAAAGGTGGTCCTATTTCCTGGGATTGGGCTTCTGCTAGTTGTATCAATTCTTGTTGGAAGTGAGCCAGAGAGGTTACACGTTTAACCAGCTCAGAGATTTCCCAATCTAATAGAAAATCACTGGAAAGGAAAGGCCATTTATTCAGCTTCTCAAAAGGGCTAAGACCTAATTTTTAAGGGGTATTTCTTATCTGTAGTAAGGCCAAGGGAAGAAGAGTGACCCGAGGAAGGTGAATTTCTTGGGATAATTTTCTGAGGTGTCTCTTGATAATATCATTGGTTTTCTCTATCTTTCCTAAGGGCTGGGGTCTCCAAGCACAATGGAGATGATATTCTATGCCTAGTGGTTTTAAGACCCCTTATGTGACAGCTGCCTTAAGCAAGGGGCCATTGTCACTTTGAAGGAACTTAGGTAGACCAAACCCGGAAGTTATTTCATTAACTAACACTTTTGTTACCTCAGAGGCTTTTTCTGTGTGACATGGAAATGCTTCTACCCAGTTAGTGAAAGTATCTACCCATACCAGCAGGTATTGAATGCCCTTTGTCTCTGGCATGTGGGTAGTCTTATCTGCCAGTTTCCCGTGGACAACTTCCTATTCTTTGGGTTTGAGGAGGAAGGAGCTGCCTGTTTGGGGGGTTATTTTTAAGACAGACTTCACAAACATTAGCAAATTGCTTGATTGTTTTTAGTAAGTTCTCTCCTGAAAACAATCTCTGGGCACATTGATAAGTTTTATCCTTTCCCAGGTGAAAAGCCTGGTGAAGAATTTTAAAGATTTTCCATTGGCTGGAGGCTGGCAAGTGGAGCTTGCCATCTGACTTTAGACATCCTGAGGGCTGAAAAGTGTATCCTAGAGAAGTAGCCCATTCTATTTCTGTAGGGGTAAACTGAGGTTTAATTTCTCTTATGGAACCTTCCCATATAAGAGGGGTTTGAAGTGTGTTAATGTCTTGAGGCTTCCTTGCCACTGACTTAGCTGCCTGATCAGCTAATGTATTTCCTTCGGCTTCCTCATCTGTTCCCTTTTGATGTCCTTTACAATGCATCACTGCTATTTCTCATGGAAGGAAAACAGGATAATAAGCTGTTAATTTCCTGGTGTATTTTATAGGCAATTCATTAGTGGTAAGAAAATGCCTTTCCTTCCAAATGGCAACATAAGCATGGAGAATCAGGAAAGTATACTTGAAGTCAGTGTAAATGTTAGCTACATTTCCTTTGCTTAATTCAGTGGCTCTTGTAGGAGCTATTAGCTTAGCTAATTGAGAGCTTGTGCCTGGAGAGAGAGAGACTTTATTTAGAGTGACTACTGTTTATCCTGCCTTAGGTATTTCTTGATTTACTGGCTGTTTGTTAGCTAAGAGCTCTCCCTAGAGGACAGTAATTCTGCCACATTATGTGGAGTGTAAAACAGTTAAATTACTTTTCAGGGTTAATATGGAGGCTTTCTGACTAGTAGAGCTATCATGGCAATGGCTTAAAAGCATGTGTAAACAGGTCCTCCTAATTGCAACTAAGAAGTTGGGTAAAGTATTGGATTAGAATTTTTCCTGAGAAGCCCCTTATGGTCCTGCTATGGGAAGAGGGGAGGCCTAAATTAGAGAGGAGAAAAGAGAGAGACTGACTTTAGTGTTTAGAAGGCGGTTTACTTTCCTTCCTTTAATTTTCAGAATCACTTAGGGCTCCTGTGCTGTAATGGCAGTTTGAGTCACTACAGCCAGGGTTTGAGCCCTGAGACCCATCAGTCACTGGACCATCTGTGAGACTGGTTCTGAACCCAGTGACTTCCACTTCTGGGGACAGTTTGATCTCCAGTGGTCTCCACCACGGGCTAGACAGGGTCAAGGTGGCTGTTTGGGCATTCCTTCTTAAAATGTCCTGGCTTGCCGCATCAATAACAACTAGCAGAGGCACCTCAGGGATCCTGGATGTTGTAAACTTGCAAAGCTGCTACCAGAGCCTCTTTCCTTCTCCTGAGCTTTCTGTCTTTTGGGCCTCCTCCTGGTCCCTATTATAAAAGACCAAAGTGGCCATCTCCAGTAGGTTCTCTAAGGTGCTATCTGGTCCTATAGCTTGCTTCTGTGGTTTTCTTCTAATATAGGGAGAAGCCGGTGTCATAAACTTATCCTGTAGACTGAGCTGTCCCTCAGCTGAATCAGGGGATAAGGAGGTGTACTCTATTAGTGCCTCAATTAGCCTTTCCAAAAAGGCTATAGGATTCTCATCTGGCATTTGGTCTATCATGGACAGTTTAGAGTAATTAAGAGGTTTAGTCCTGGTTTTTTATAAGCACTCTAATATGCATATTAAGAAGTGCTTCTTTTTCCATTCATCTCCTAAGTTATTCGGGTTCTAATCAGTAGACAACTACTGGAACTGCTTCTCTTCCTGGGGGGAATGGAGTTTCCACTACTTCTTCACCTTTTGTATCTCCTCTTTTCTCCTCGGTCTGCTATAGGAGACATGTTGCTCTTCTCCATATTTTTCTGCTGCCTGCAGAACTGCCTGCTTTTCAGCTGCAGTGAGGGTCTGATTTAGGAGCAACATAACATCTCTCCTTGTGAGGTCAAACACCTGAGTGAAATAATGGAAGTCTATATACCTATAAGGGTTGTCAGAAAATTAACCTAGGTCTCCTTTTATTTTCCTAAGGTCTTGTAATGAGAAGAGAAGTTGAAGGGGCCCCAAATGATGGGGATAATTAGATGGTTCCCTTGAAAGTTGCTTCTCTAATTTTAGGAAATTATTCTCTTTGGGTCTTCCCAATATGATTGCAAAAAGAGCCCTGTTGATGTTACAATGCTTGCAAAGATTCAGTAAAAATGCCATGCTCTTGTGCAAAAGAAAATGAGTCGCTTTTCTTTTCAAAGTCCTAAGGTTAAAGAAGTTCCAGTGTTTCAGAATGCACTCCAGAGTGCAAGCTGAAAATAATCTGTTACCCATCTAGAAAGAGAAGTGACAATAAAAGTTTCCTTTCATCTCCTTCCTTTCTGTGTGACCTAGGGTGGAGAAGACAGTGGGAGTGTACCCCTGACTGTTTTCCCTCCTTAGTTCCTGGGTTCTGGCGCCCAGTTAAATCTGCCTCCCATGGTTGTAGGCATGACCCTCCAAACCATGGCACCAGAGGAACTAAGCCATGCTCACCCCAGTAGCTCTAGTCCTCTGCCTTTGATTTCCCTTGACTTCCTAGACTTGTGTGACCTGTATGCCTCCCTAAAAAAATGAATCTTGGGAAAGACTGTATAAAAGGCAAGGCTCCTTTAACGGAGGGAATGTGTAGATTGCCTGATATTATGGCCCATGCTAAAGCATTTACCTTTAGAAAAATGATTTTAGTTAACTTCCAGACTTAAAATCCCCTTACTAATTAAGTACTGTCTTAAGAGGAGACAGAATAGATTCCTTAAAGGGACACAGGAACCTAATGGTGATTTTCCTGCTGATGGGACAGTACTGAGTAACATTTGGGTGTGGAGGACATTTACTCCTAATAGTTGAAAGAGAATTTTCCCATTCACAGAAGAAGGATAAAGCCTGGTTTCTAGTAGAAAGGCACAAAAAGGAAAAATTGGGAAGCTGCCCTTTACTACAGAGGACCACAATGTGTCTTATGAAAAGGATTTCTATTTCCACTGTGTGGCAATATTGGCTTAGAAATACCATGTGCTCACAAGGAGAATATTAGTGAGTAACCTCACTGCTGGGGAAAGGGAGACCTCTGTTCCTAGAAGATTGCAATGGCATTTTCCTGAGCTGTATCCGCGATTACCGCAGCATTTCCTGATCTTGCCTAATAGGATTACTACCCTGGGCTGTAAAAATTCCCACACATTCAGCAAACAGAGAGAGTAAAAGACACAACCACCATGGACAGGAAAAGAAGGAAAGTTTTGTGACAGGATAGCTGGGGATCTTTTACCAATACCCAGAGCAAGCTGACAGAGGCTGAGTTCAGTCCAGAAGCCTTTGAATAGCACCAGCGAGTGTCCCGGCCAGAAATTCTCATTTGCTTCAGAAATTTTCCTAGCCTTGTAAGATAACTAAGTTTCCCCATGAAAAGAAATTGATTTGAAGCATGACCAACATTCCCAATGACCCGTGGGTACTGAGGCATTTTCCTTGTTCTCACCAGCAAAACTGACATCTGAGTCTTTAGAACAGCAGCCATGAAAAGCTTATCTAGATGGCTGACAGATACCCATTAATTGATTTGATTTTGATTTTAAAATACAGGCCAAGAGCCTCAGAATGATAGGGCAGATTTTGAGTTCACTCCTCTATTTACCACTCCAGTGAATGTTGTACCTTGGTTTCCCAGCCAATACACCAAGAATGATATGGCTCCAATGATTGGAGTAACACCAGGTTCCTTTGTCTTGTGCCAAGAAAATTATCAGCATGGACTTATGTGGAGTGGTTTTAGGGAGGGAAAATTGAATAAACAAAAAAGAAGAGAGCTGTCCCATACAGAGGGAGGAGAGCTCCAACTGGGAAATATCTCTTGCAGTGGAAAACAGTCAATTATATTGGGGGGCTGGAGGAGGTGATGTCTGATTTGCATAAGGCCCAGGGGATTGGTTTAACCAGATGTGTCATTCACATAGCCCATGAAAAAACTGGCCCTCCCACCCTAGCATTTTAATATGCAAATGCAGATCACCGTGATGTCCTGCACATGTAGCCTTATCTGGAGGCTGCCCTGACACCTGGCACACGTGGTGACAGGGAGAAGAGGGCGGGAACCACTATATTGGGTGGACCTGGCTTCTAGCCTCTAGCATTTGCATATCAATGCCTGCTGGTCTAGTTTTTCAAGCCACTTTCTGTTAGAAAAGAAATGGTTGGGGGTCGCTTTTTATAAATGGAAGATTCCACCAAGAACTTTCACCCTTTCTAGCTGTCTAAAAAAACATTTCTTAACAATTCCTGTATTAATTCTATGTAGTCTGAATCTAGAATCTGTGTTTTTCACCACTATACTATATTGCATTATATTATACCACCCCAGAGTGGAAGGAACCAAGCATCATGAGATATCTGGAATTAAGATTATTATTTTCATAGGACTGATAAAAACTGGCAGCCACTTGAGAAGCTTTATATAAACTGCATAACATAAACAAGCTCACATATGATGAATAGAAGCTATAGAAGCTACATGTTTGTCTATATTATAAAAACCTGTAGTCCTCCCACATTTAGGCATCGAAAAGAAAGACCATACTGTGATACTACTAGACTATAAGATGAAGCTTTTCCACACTTCACCAAACAGATTGTGATCTAAGGAATTAAAGTTAGGATGGACTATCTCATAGTTCCACCTTATGATTTACTCTTCATATTGTTTCTTCCACTTTCTGTAAGCCTAGACTGATTCAGATATTTTAGGACCTAAGAAAACAATGTTTCCTCTAAGGTTCCATTCAATGGAAAAGAGCCCAACCTAAAAAGGAATACAATTATTACCTAATAATTTTTGGCCTGGCATTTTATTAGCCAAACTGGAAAAAGGAGACTTCATAGTGTGAGGTGATTCATACTAAATATTTAGGGGAAATATTGTTAGTTCTATAAAAATAGGGACAAGAAAGCATATGAATCAAACCAAGGACAACTAATGATGTGTGGTTTTCTAATACCACCGTATCTAGCAATACAATTAATAGATTGCTAATTTAACCATGTATAGGAAGTACAGTACCCCACTAAGAACTCAAGGTTCCTTAGAAGGAAAAACAGAATTACAGGCATAATTCAGAGTAGCTGAAACATTGACTACAAACTCTACCCAAAGAAATTATTTCTTAATAACTCCTTTATTAATTCTCTGTTGTCTGAATCTAGAATCTGTGTTTTTCACCAGTACACTATATTACATTATGTTATATCACCCCAGAGTGGTAGCAACCAAGTGTCATGAGATATCTGGGTCTCATGATGCAAATGAAGGTAGCCATGATGTCTTGTACATGTGGCCTTATCTGGAGGCTGCCATGACACCTGGCACACGTGGTAATGAGGAGAAGACAGCTGGAACCACCATAGTGGGTGGACCTAGCTTCTAGCAACCTGGCATTTGCATATCAATGACTGTCTGTCTGGTTTTTCAAGCTGCTTTCTGTTAGAAGAGAAATAACTTCAAGTTCTTGAAGAAATTAAATCTAATTTAAATAAATCTGAAACTAGGACACAAGATACGGATAGTAAAAAATAAAAATTATAAGTACCACCAATAGCTACAAACCAGTTCTAAAAATGAGAATGCTAATATCTACTAATGTTCTCATTCTTTTTTTGTGTCATATATATTTGCATATTTTAACAATTATTTTTATGATCCCTCCCTTTTCATGTATGTACACATACACATACACACCTACTATATATAGATATAGATATAGATATTTTTGATGACCTGCAAATTTAGTCCAATAAATTAAAAAATAGTCCTAAATTATAGAGGTTATCACTCAGAAATTTTGCATGTTCAGTTGGAGTTGATAATATATGATTTAGGGGAGGAATTTGGTGTACATTAGTTTTAAAAATTATGGCTGCATTTTCTCTGGCAAAATTGTTTTTTAAGTGTAAGTAAATAAGTAGGGTATAAAAGAAGTTTGACAATGAAAGAAAACAGTTTAATTAGAAGCTGTACTTTTGGTGTTATTTCATTTGGACACAAAGTTTCTCTCAGTGTGAACCTGAAGGGGGCAGTTACTCGCTCTTCTCACACCCAGGCAGTAGGACATAGCTACCTGATATAGACTTAGCCGATTAGAATGTCCACTCAGAATTTCTAATGTAAAGGAAGCGTTGCAAAAGGAAGAACACAAAACATTACAGTGTTAAGTGATGGCAGCAGAGTATCAGAGTGTACAGTGCCAAGTAGAAGCAGCAGTATAAAGTAGCAGTTGTAGCCATTGATATCCATTGATAATGCCAATAGCAATATCTTAACCATCTCAGTGAGAAATTTGTATTTCACTCCAAATCTCTGGGAAAATATTTGGGCAGTATGAGTCAGGTGATAATGCAATGTAACATTTTGAAACCTCATTTTAGCCACCAAGTAGTGAACAGACTGTTGAGCATCAAGAATGGAGACAAGGATAGACATCAGTCATTTCTAATCCAGATGGATTAAAGTTGGTAGCAATTTATTAAGACATGCATAGTAATTACCCCAGGTAATTCTGGAGGAGTTAACAGAAAAATAAACTTTATAAATTTTCTAAGCTTTAAAAAAATTGTTTATTGTTAGTAGTGATGGGATGTAAAGTATGAATATAAATGCTGCCTATTTCATAATATAAAAGGTGTGTTTAGGTCCATATATGATATGAACTAATTCGCTAGCACATGTTAATTACATGCTAAATATGTGCCAGTGACTGTACTAAAATTTGAATATTTGAGGTAAGCAATATATGCTTAATAAACCACAAATTACTAGCACAAAGTAATTCACAATGCCAGCACTATATATCACACTACATTCCTTTTGATAACATTGTATCTATGCAAAGCTGGAATTTTTGCAGTCGAGAAGAAAAAATAATTGTAGAAAAGAAAATTGAAGTACACCCAATTTCTTTGATTAATTCTTTTCTCAACTTTTATACTTTGAAAGTCTTTTTTATTTTGGTTGGTTCTTAACTATTTTAATAAAATCTGACAATCTGTCTTATAATAAGTGAGTTTGATCTTATAATAGGTGAGTTTGATATTTCTCAAAAGAATGAAAATAATAAACATTTTCTCTCAACTAATTTTTTTTGTTTTCACTGAATTTTTTATTTTTATTACCCTTTTGCAAAATTGCTGATTTTTTTCATTGCTCTGTTTTAGAAATTATGGGCTCTATTTCTATTCTTTGTGGTTTTCTTATATAACTTTACAGCACCTATATTCATTTAAATTTTGTCAAATAAAACTACGCCCCCAAACTTGATGGTTTAAAACATTGATTGCATTTTCTCACTATCATAAAGGTCAGCAATTTGAGCAGCTGTCCTCTATAGAGTATTACATGTAAATTCAGTCATACAGTCAATTGGCTGAGGGCTAGTTTAGTGGTTGCCTCACCTAAGAGGGTTTATTTCTACTCCAGATAATCTTCTCCTTTAGTAGGCTGGCCCAGTGTTCATTACTTGATGGAAAAACAGTTCCTAGAAGTCAGAGAAGGACACCTTAATTAACATTAAAAAAAAAATTCTGCTTCAACATTGAGTAAACAAATAAAATGCTCATGGCCAGAGCCAATGTAACAGAAAACTACACATAACTGTGGATACAAGGAGGTACAAGTCATTGGAAGACGGGAAGATTTTACTTGTAACTATGATGACATATTCGTTGTAATCACTCTTAGGAATACTTTAACTACATTCCTCCTTTTTCTAAATTACTATCTTCTGAGATTGTAATGATTAATTTTATATGTCAACTTGACTGGGCGACAGGAGACTCAGATATCTCCTTAAATATTATTTTTGGATGTGATGTGTCTGTGAAGATGTTTCCAGAAGAAATTAGCATTTGAACTAGCAAGTGGAGTAAAAAAGTCACCCTCACCATGCCAGTGAGTATTGTCCAACCCACTGAGGGCCTGAATAGAAGAAAAAAGCTGAGAAAGGTTGGATTCACCTCTCCTCTGCATGACTGTTAGAGGTAGAACATTGATCTCTTCCCCTTGCTCTTCCTGGTTCTCAGGCCCTCAAACTTGGACTGGAATTCACATCATGGGCTCTGTAGCTCTCTGGGCTTTAAACCACACCACCAGCTTTCCTGGGTCTTTAGCTCAAGGTGGCAGATCATGAGACTTTTCAGCATCCAAATTCATGTGAACCAATACCTTATTATATGTATATACATATACTCTATTGATTTTGTTTATCTGAAGAACCTTGATAAGATAGAGGTCCACTATTTTAATTTTGAATCTTCACCTCCAAACTAGGCATTATTATTATATTTGTCATTGTTATTCTTGTTGTTACTTTATGTAGCCCATAAATGCTTTGATTGACTTATACCTCAATAATTCCTTTACTCATATTCTTATTAGAACTTCAATACTTCTTGCAGGAGTGCATTTTCATAAGATTCTGCAATACTGTCTCTTTTAGAAAGGTATTTTAGGTTTTGTTTGTTTCCCTGTTTAAATCTGAAAATGTTTATAATATGTTTTCATTTTTGAAAGATAATTTTTGGCTACAAAATGTAAAGTTAGTATTCATTTTCTTCTAATGTTTTGAGAATATTATTCCACTGACATCTAATTTTAAACTAATTGTTCTTTCATAAATGATGTGCATTTTCCCTCATATTGATTTTAAGATCATCTTTTTGACTTTGGTGCTCTAAAATCAAAGAAATGAAAGTAAAATAGTCACTTGTATGCTTTTAAAGAGAACATTTGGTTATTTGATTAATGATCATTTGGCTAATGGTCATTTTGTAATATAAAGCAAGTTTTTTTAAAAAAAGATGAAAATCTATATTTAGTTTTTTATAATATTGACTCAAGTCAAATATCTTGACTTACCCTCAAGACTTTGTATAAATTTTAACAATCAAAGCTGACCCTGAGTATGATCCTGTCATTCACTTCAAAGAAACATTGCAGTGAAAACCAAGAAAACTAATGAGAAAGAGAAAGAAAACAATATTATATTACATATACATGCCAAATGCTAAATCCATTGTCAATTTGTTCATCTTCATGAAGCATGTATTCTTATATGACAGATATGGCTGAGATATGCTTTTTCTCAAATTGAGTTTAAATACTCTTTAAAAGACAAAATGCAATAAAAATACTATGTGACTATCTGTTGATTTGTTTGTATATATTTTTCTCTGCATTTATTGTGCTTCCTATATATATGATATTTGATGAGTTTGGCATAATTTACAGAACTATTTCTTTGAATATTCTTGCTCCTTCATCTCTATGTTCTCTTGTCCAGAGTATTTATTTGGAAATATGTGTTAGATGTAGGACGTTTTCATCCTATTTTCCATATTGTTACGGGCGAATCTTTGTTCTTAGAGCTCCCAAGATGGTCGTGGGCCACTCCCAAGATGGCAGCAAGCCTTTTGTTTTCTGACCTGGGGCTTTTGGCCTCAGGGATTACAAGGAATGGAACCTTGGAACTTCGGGGCATGCAATGAGTGTTATAGCTCTATTAGAAGCTGTGGGTCATGGAAGAGGACCGTGGAACCCAGCAAATAGTGTTCAGCTCCATTAGGATGAACCCGGGCACTTAGCCATGCAGGAACAATGGCGAGCCTCTAGCCTGATTGGCAGTGGGAATGGGCCCCTCCCTGTATCAGAAGTGCAGTGGACACCCTGCTGGATCCAGAGGGGTGGTAGTCAGTGGCAGTCTGCGACAGTGGCGATCAGCAGTGGTGGACGACGAGTGAAAGCTCAGCTCCAGCCGGCACAAACATGGACCAGAAGAGTGTGAATTTGCAACATTTAGTAGAGTGAAAATAGAGCTCCCATAAAACTCGAGGGGACCCATAGGGGGTTGCCACCACCAGCTGGAATGCCTGGGTTTATATATTCCGATCATTGTCCCTCCCCCTGTGCTCTCAGGTGATAGATGATTGACTATTTCTTTACCTCCTGCTTTTAGCCTAATTGGTATTTTAGTGAGCTTTCTCTACTACCTGATTGGTCAGGTGTGAGCTGAGTTACAAGCCCCATGCTTAAAGGTGGATGCAGTCACCTTCCCCAGCTTGGCTTAGGAATTCTTAGTAGGCCTAGGAAATCCAGCTAGTCCTATCTCTCAATATTGTGTTACATCTATTTTTTTATTTTCTATATCCTTGATGCATCTTTATGATGTATAATGTCTTTAGATTACTTTAATTTGCAAATTTTTTTCAATAACCATTTCTAATATTTTAACAATGTCACTAAATTAATGTTAGAAGAACTTTATTTCTAAAAATTGTTTGTTTTAAATCTGATAATTATAGTAATGTATTATTACTCAGTATATAATTTTTATAATAACATTATATTTTAAATCTGATAAATAATATATATAAAGCCTCTAGGAGTCAATATTCACTGTTGGTTGTTTCTGATTATTTGTATTCGTAGTTATATTTTTGTTCAGGTGGGCCTGGAAATTTTATATTTAAGCTCATATTCTTTATAACTAATCTAAGTAAATATAATATGATTCTTAAAGTATTGAATGAGGAGTCCATTTCTCTACGGAGGCAGGAAAATAAGAGTCTGGAGGCAGAGAGTATAAAGCTGATTAACACTTCAGTTATAACAGGAAATATCCTCTCCATAGGGCATACACCATAAATGACTTTGCAACCTTACTTCATCCTCTTCATTTACATAGGGTGTACCTGAAGTAACCAATGGAATACTCTAGGGGGTAATTAAACTCCCAAAAATTCTGTAACAGGACCTTTGAGCCGCTATGCTCGGTTCCACACCCACACTGTTGAGTGTACTTTCATTTCATAGTCAACAAATCACTTCATCCCTTCTTTGCTTTGTTTTTGTGTTTTGTCCAATTCTTTGTTCAGGACAGCAAGAACCTGGACACCCTCCACCATTAACATATTTTGGTGAATCAGCCAGGAGGAAGAGGTAAGCCCAAAGTTTGGGATTTATTCTTCTCCTTTCCTATTTTTCTTTCTGCTCCATGCAGGGGAATCTTTTTCTCTCTCTTTCTCTTTTTGTTCCAGGACCCTTCATGGGCAGTGCCTAAACATGGAAGCACCTGCAGGTTTCTGGCCGTGGCCAGTGAAACTAAGGGATTTCAATGTGGAGAAGCCCGACTGCCACCATCCAGTTCACTTAAGGAACCTGGGTCTTTTTGATGGTCTTTTCTTTTCTTTTCTTTTCTTTTCTTTTTTTCTTTCAGCCTTTCAGCAGTTGCTTTCTAGTAGCTTCGTGGAAATTGAGGGCAACTGGCTTAGGCCTAGGGATGAATGGGAATAATTGCCATGCCCCAAAGCAGGGAGGACTTTTTTTTTTAATCTTTTCCATTCATGGTCCCTGATCAGTATGTGTGGGTCATCTCGGAGCAAACTTGCACGTTTCAGGCAACTTAAACTTTTCATGTGCTAAATTCTTCCCTCATGATACTCAACTCACTAAGGAACAAAAAGGCCCACTTGGCATCCAGTTCACATTACAATTCATGGCTATTCATATAAAGCTCATAGAATGCTCTGGAGGATAAAACCTGCATGTGGCACCCCCTAAGGCCAGAGATGTCTGGATTGGACCCCACAGGAGGATGTTCCGTGGGTTCTGTGAACCGCAACCACTCCAAAGAGGATGCTCTTGGCAGAGGTTCTGAGGTTCTGAGATCTTAGGCCTCCTTAGTATCTTCTCTCACAGTTGCAATGCTTTTTGGCCCCAACATTGCTTGGAATCTGGAGTTTTCTGTCTATTGGGAAAGTAGAATGATGTTGCATATATACAGGCTTTTGTGCTGTGGTTGTAAACAAGGGGCCTGGTTAAAGTGTGGTGCTCTCTCTTGGTACAGTTTGGCACCAGTGCTCTTCGGAGTCTGGGGAGGTTTTTCCTTTAAGAGTCAAACCTCCATGGAGACTGCTTTACCCAAAATTTTGGTTCAGAGACTTCATTGGGTTATCTATTGGGGCAAAGTAAAACCAGCAAGCTTGTAGTGCTATCTCATGGCTAAGGTTCCAAGCTAGTGGACCTTTGTTTATGTGTGTGTATACACGTTTAGATGTGCTTATTTGTATGTACACTTATCGCTATATGTTGTTGTCTACTAAATTGCCTTATAAGTAAAAGAGTGCTCATAAATTAAGTAAATAAATCTAACTGTAGCAGGACAAGCTGCAGACCAAACTCCTCAGACACCAAGTTAAAGAAGGAAGGGGTTTATTCGGTTGGGGGCATTGGCAAGACTCCTGTCTCAAGAGCCAAGCTCTCTGAGTGAGCAATTCCTGTCCCTTTTAAGAGCTCACAACTCTAAGGGGTGCATGTGAGAGGGTCGTGATTGATTGAGTAAGCAGGGGTACATGACTGGGGGCTGCATTAACTGGTAATTAGATCAGAACAAAACAGGATAGGGATTTTCACAGAGCTTTCCTATACAATGTCTGTAATCTATAGATAATATAACCAATTAGGTCAGGGGTCGATCTTTAACTACCAGGCCCAGGGGGTGGCGCCGGGCTGTCTGCTTGTGGATTTCATTTCTGCCTTTTAGTTTTTACTTTTTCTTTCTTTGGAGGCAGAAATTGGACATAAGACAATATGAGGGGTGGTCTCCTCCCTTATAACCAATTTTCAAGTTCATGTGACTTAAAGTATAACATTACTAAACAAGCTAGCTTTAAAATTCTTGGTGGAATAAAAATAGAAATGCCTTTGTAATTGTCACCATACATTTTGTCTGAATTTTATGTTTGTCTTTGCTAGATATTTTAAGATGTCAGTGTTAATTCAAGCTGGCAGCTGCTTGGGGCGAGCCTGCCTTCCATTCTATTCAAATTCTCACTGAGATAAATGCATATCTGATTGCTTCCTTTGGAAAGGCTAATCAGAAACTCAAAAGAATGTAACCACTTGTTTCCCACCTGTGATCTGAAAGCCCCCAGGCCTCCTCGTCTCAAGTTGTCCTGCCTTTCCAGGCCAAACCTGTGTTCATTTTACATATGTTGATTGATGTCTCATGTCTCCCTTGTTAAAAGTAAAAAAAATGAAGTTCAGAGAATGGGATAAGTGTTTTAGGTAAAATTTTTGTGTAAATTAAAATCTTAAAGTTATTTTCAAAGCTCATTTGATATCTGGGACATTTCCAATTAAGAAAGGGTTGTAATGTGGAGAAATATGTTTCTAAAATTGTGGAATTGTTCTTATCTATAAATGCTCATTTCTAATAGTTTAGGATTTCTTGTATTTTAGGGTTTCACTAAGGTTTTAGGTTACTAACAATAAAATTTTAGTTAACAAATAATTCTGTATACAAAATGTGTCAGAAAGAATTATTAGTGGAAAGAAGTAGAATCATTTTGTCTAATTCAGAAGTTATCTAAAAGTTAGTTCAAATAAATTTGAAAAGGATATTTATGAAACAATGTAGTAAGGAATCATTACATAGGCAAGAAAGATGTGGAAAAAGTTTAGATAAAAAAATTCTCTAAAGCCTGACAAACAACTGGAGACATTTGGCTAATTAACATTTTCATAGTTAAGGCTCTTAGTCTTGATTAAATTAAGAAGTATTGTAAAAATGCACTGACAGTTTGGCAATTCTTTTTTTTATATAGTTAAGCATGAAGTTGGATTTAGAATGAGCCAAATTTCACATACATGCTTGCATAGCTTCACACTATGTTTATCGTTTGGTTTAGATAGTGCTGGAATACTTATTGGTCATGTTCCTGAAGTGAATTTCTTAATTGCACAGGATGAATAATAATATTAGTTACCTTAAAGATATTGAATTCTGTATCATGAATAAAATATTTATTATGTGGGTTTTCTGGGGCCCTAGGTAACAACGTAGCTTTCAGGGTAAATTGAGTAGGAAAATTTAGGGTTGGTTTTTGGTCTATTTGTGTTTGCTTCTAGTTTTCATTTGTTTGCTGTTTATTCTCATCTGGCTTTGGCTGTGTGTCTCTCTACATAAAACCATGATGCTTTTTAGTTTCTAGTGGAAGGCTTTTATTTGATTTTGTGAATGACTATTTTGCTTCCTTTTCTGGCAAGTCATCATTTGTTCCATTTCTCTGGAATTCCTAAGCTACCTTTGTCGGGCCACAGGAATTAATGGAGAATTAATTAATTCCAGAGAAATGGAATTCCTAATCTACCTTTGTCAGGCCACAAGAATTAATGGAGCACATCAGCTTTTTATTCTTATAAACTAACTTTTTGGATTTTAAGCTTTCTAATACTTTAAGTGTGTAATGTCAGCCCTCTGAGCCCAAGCTAAGCCATCATATCCCCTGTGACCTGCACATATATATCCAGATGCCTGAAATAACTGAAGAATCACAAAAGAAGTGAAAATGCCTGTTCCTGCCTTACCTGATGACATTGCCTTGTGAAATTCCTTCTCCTGGCTCAGAAGCTCCCCCACTGAGCACCTTGTGAACCCCACCCCAGCCCACCAGAGAACTACCCCCTTTGACTGTAATTTTCCATTAACTACCCAAATCTATAAAACAGCCCCACCCCTATCTCCCTTCGCTGACTCTTTTCCGACTCAGCCCCGCTGTATCCAGGTGAAATAAACAGCCCTGTTGCTAACACAAAGCCTGTTTGGTGGTCTCTTTACACGGACATGTGTGACATGTAAAGTATACTTTCATTAATATAATTTGAGTCATATTTCTCTCTCTGCCTAATTTCTCCAAAATTTGTAAAGTATTTGTGAATATTCTTAATTCATGGCAATATGTTTGTTTGCATATGGTCAAGCAGGGTTGCTAGGGCTGTTCAAGGAGACAGAACCCAGAAACCTGGCATGCTGGCAAAAGGGTAAGAATTTCTTACCAGTCAGTCTCTGGCCTCTTTCTCTCTGTGCAAACTGGTTAAAAATAAAGTGAAAGTCAGTGTGTATCTGCTTTGTAAAGTTTTAGCTAATTAGTTTAATAATAATAAGTGCTTAATTCAAATATTTTGTCAGGAAAGTAGAAATTGTAATGCCTTTTAATTCTTGTAACTTTAGCAATCTTTGAGAAATAAAGACGGTTTTAAAGATTATTGGTAAAATACAATTGTCTTCAAACTGTAAACGTGTGTTCTAAATTTTGTTCAAATATTAGGTTTGCTAAATGCTTTCAGGTCATGAACTGCTTTGGCTTTTGAAAATTGTTTAACTTGCCTGCATTCTAGTTAGGTAAGGCCTGGGGACATGTGGAGTTAGCCATGCCCTTGTTATGCTGGAAACAGTCTAACCTGATCAGAATATAACTTACCAAGATTTACATTCTTGTTAAACTTGCCAAGAGTCACCACTGGAACATTCAATGAAGACTACTAGAAAGAGTGTTACATGCAAGGTGTGTAAAAATAGTAGTTTTTTTGTTTGTTTTGTTTTTGTTTTTTCTGTAAAAGGTTATAATGGGTTTTTACTTCTTTACAATTTCTGAGTCATCATTTTGGCCAAATAAATAATTATGGTAATCTGGAATTCCAAAACCAAACTTCAGTTTCAAAATTGTCTTTCCTAATGCCTAGCTTTCTTGATGGATTAGAGGGCCCCTGAAAACATTCAGAAAAGAGGTAAACAGAATTATTTGACATGTTTATCTACATGGGATTGCCAAAATGATATTCAATCTTCTTTAGGTTCTATTTTTGTGAATAATACTAATATATATTCCAAAATTGTATGAGATTTCTAACATTCCTTTTTTTTAATTTTATATATATATATATATTTATTATACTTTAAGTTCTAGGGTGCATGTGCACAATGTGCAGGTTTGTTACATATGTGTACATGTGCCATGTTGGTGTGCTGCACTCATTAACTCATCATTTACATTAGGTATATCTCCTAATGCTGTCCCTCCCCCCTCCCCCCACCCCACCACAGGCCCCAGAGTGTGATGTTCCCCTTCCTGTGTCCATGTGTTCTCGTTGTTCAATTCCCACCTATGAGTGAGAACATGCTGTGTTTGGTTTTTCGTCCTTGCGATAGTTTGCTGAGAATGATGGTTTCCAGCTTCATCCATGGCACTGCAAAGGATATGAACTCATCCTTTTTTATGGCTGCATAGTATTCCATGGTGTATATGTGCCACATTTTCTTAATCCAGTCTATCATTGTTGGACATTTGGGTTGGTTCCAAGTCTTTGGCTATTGTAAATAATGCCGCAATAAACATACTTGTGCATGTGTGTCTTTATAGCAGCATGATTTACAGTCCTGTGGGTATATACCCAGTAATGGGATGGCTGGGTCAAATGGTATTTCTAGTTCTAGATCCCTGAGGAATAGCCACAATGTCTTCCACAATGGTTGAACTAGTTTACAGTCCCACTAACAGTGTAACAGTGTTCCTATGTCTCCACATCCTCTCCAGCACCTGTTGTTTCCTGACTTTTTAATGATCGCCATTCTAACTGGTGTGAGATGGTATCTTATTGTGGTTTTGCTTTGCATTTCTCTGATGGCCAGTGATGATGAGCATTTTTTCATGTGTCTGTTGGCTGCAAAATTGTCTTCTTTTGGCCGGGCACAATGGCTCATGCCTGTAATCCCAGCACTTTGGGAGGCTGAGGCTGGCGGATCACAAGTTCAGGAGATTGAGACCATCCTGGCTAACACGGTGAAACCCCGTCTCTACTAAAAAAAATACAAAAAATTAGCTGGGTGTGGCAGAGTGCACCTGTAGTCCCAGCTACTCGGGAGGCTGAGGCAGGAGTATGGTGTGAACCCGGGAGGTGGAGCTTGCAGTGAGCTGAGATTGCGCCACTGCAGTCCGCAGTCCGGCCTGGGCGACAGAGCGAGACTCCGTCTCAAAAAAAAAAAAAAAAAAAAAAAAAAAAATTTCTTCTTTTGAGAAGTGTCTGTTCATATCCTTTGCCCACTTGTTGATGGGGTTGTTTGTTTTTTTCTTGTAAATTTGTTTGAGTTCTTTGTAGATTCTGGATGTTAGCCCTTTGTCAGATGAGTAGATTGCAAAAATTTTCTCCCATTCTGTAGGTTGCCTGTTCACTCTGATGGTAGTTTCTTTTGCTGTGCAGAAGCTCTCTATTTTAATTAGATCCCATTTGTCAATTTTGGCTTTTGTTGCCATTGCTTTTGGTGTTTTAGACATGAAGTCCTTGTCTATGCCTATGTGCTGAATTGTATTGCCTAGGTTTTCTTCTAGAGTTTTTACAGGTTTAGGTCTAACATTTAAGTCCTTATTCCATCTTGAATTAATTTTTGTATAAGGTGAAAAGAAGTGATCCATTTTCAGCCTTCTACATATGACTAGCCAGTTTTCCCAGCATTATTTGTTAAATAGGGAATCCTTTCCCCCTTTCTTGTTTTTGTCAGGTTTGTCAAAGATCAGATAGTTGTAGATGCGTGGTATTATTTCTAAGGGCTCTGTTCTGTTCCATTGGTCTATGTATCTGTTTTGGTACCAGTACCATGCTGTTTTGGTTACTGTAGCATTGTAGTATAGTTTGAAGTCAGGTAGTGTGATGCCTCCAGCTCTGTTCTCAGCCCAAAATTTTGTTAAGCTGATAAGCAACTTCAGCAAAGTCTTAGGATACAAAATCAATATGCAAAAATCACAAGCATTCTTATACACCAATAACAAACAGAGAGTCAAATCATGAGTGAACTCCCATTCACAATTGCTTCAAAGAGAATAAATTACCTAGGAATGCAACTTACAAGGGATGTGAAGGACCTCTTCAAGGAGAACTACAAACCACTGCTCAACAAAATAAAAGAGGATACAAACAAATGGAAGAACATTCCATGCTCGTCAATAGGAAGAATCAATATCGTGAAAATGGCCATACTGCCCAAGGTAATTTATAAATTCAATGCCATCCCCATCAAGCTACCAATGACTTTCTTCACAGAATTGGAAAAAACTACTTTAAAGTTCATATGGAACACAAAAGAGCCCACATTGCCAAGTCAATCCTAAACCAAGAGATTTCTAACATTCTAATGTCTAAAGTATATGCTACAAATCACAATTACAGTTATTATGTTAAGTTATTGTAAACCGCAGAAATAACCAAATTTTCATGTATAAAACTACTCACCCAAGTAAAACAACAAAAAAATTAAATATCAAGAAAATACTTTTATGTTAAATCAGCTAATACCGAAATTGTTTAAAATAGTTTATAACCAATGCTTGATCCCATATCCCTGGGAAATCAATTATAGCTTCATGTACCTTTAGTTACCTGGTTGGCCATTTAAACATTTTATAAAGGGATTTCTTTCCATTGTTGTTTTCAATTCATGCTTTCTTGTTCTATAAAAGCTTTCCCTTGCAGGAGGGCTGATGTTATAACAGTAGATTATTATGCTCGGTGTATTTTCACCAGGTAAAGAAAGCTTTTTTATGGTTTGAATATTCTGGAAACATCAGAGAAAGACTGTCTTTTCTATCCACACTAAAACAAAACTTTGAAACCTTGAACTTTGGGTTCATAATATCACAATTGAGAAAGGTATCTCCATGCTCTTGGAAGTTATGCACCCACTGGAACGCTTAAGGTAAAACTAACCAGGGAAATTTCTCCCAAAAAAAGGATGGCATCCTTGATGCGAACAACTTTTCCTAAGCTCACAGATTAAGACTTCTACTGTCATGAAACACTTATCTTTAATATATATATATATATATTTTTTTTTTTTGCTTAGGCCTCTATGAAAAATAGAAGTGGAAAGGGGGTCTGTTATGTGCACTAATGGGGTGCACTTTTATTTGTGAAGGAGTTTGAAGCCTTATACATGGATAACCTTATACTTTGATACATAAAAGATGAAGGCCCAATGTAGGTAAGGAACTTTAATGGTACATATGTTGTCTCATAATCAGTCAAAAACAAAACATTTGTTCACTCCTCTTAATCCACATCATGGGTTAAAGAGAACATTGCCAGAAGGCCTTTACTATTCTAAATGGGCATCATTTGTTAGGTCCTTTGTCCATGGCTTAAAGTAAAAGAAGCAATGATTAGAAATGTATCCTCGTGGTAGGCTGTATAGCAAATTTTACTGTAAAGGCTATAGTTACACAACAAACTTTAAATTCTCCTGTGAAACTTATGCTAAATAATAGAATTGGCTGAACAGAGGAGAACCTGTGTGGCTGCTGGCACATGTAGCCTATGGGGAAATACATTAAATGAAGATTATAGAAATTTAGTGGTAGGCGATTGATGAAGAAATTGCTTAGTCAAGTGAGTAAACTCTTTCTCTAGCTCATTCTTTGATTTATTTGATTTCAGGAGGTTTGGCTTATTGGGACCTTGGGAAGTAGGGAGAATACTCTAAACTCTTGGTATTATCCTCCCAATAATTATAATAATAGTCTCCCTGGTGTGCTGTATTCTCTCAGAGGTTTTAAATGCTTGCATGCAGCCATATCTAGAGTATCTTATGGTCTCCCTTCAACTGGAATAACAGGAGCTGAAAGAAATGTGCAACCATGAGGACACATATAACCTATAAATGATGTGCTGAGACCAGAAACCCAAAATTATGGTAACTGAGAGTGGCACTGAGGCCCTACATTTTGGTTACACTCTCACCTAAGTGAAAGCCTGAACAAAAAGGGGGAATTTTTCAAACAAAATTATGGGAGGCCATTGTTTTGGACTAAGCTCATGCACTAGGTCCCAACAAACCAAACCAAACCAAAATTGAGTCACTTGTGCTAAAACTTTAAGAAAACACATAGATTCTAGAACAAGCCAGGTTTTGTTTTTTCTCTTGCAAATCTCTATAACAAACATTTCTGTCAGCATAGGTATGCACCCCCTGAAGTCCCATTAAATCTTTTAGCCAAATTCATTTTCTCTCTCCTAGAGACCCTCAAGTTTCATATGATCATGCAACAAAGTTTCCAGTCAGTTCCAGGTGAAGACATCAACCCTGGTCATGAAGAAGCTACCTTGTCCCTACTATAAAGCAGGGTGAGTTCTGTGATCCCCAATAGGTAGGGACTACACCCCAAGCCAACATGAAGCAGTTACAGAAAAAAGACTATCAGTCCCTCTGCCTCCCATGAAGATTTATGGGGATCACATTTCTTAGGGGGGAGATGAGGCAGAAAAATAAGGTCAGGAGGCAGGGAATATAATGCTGATTTACACTTCAGCTATAACAGGAAATATTCTCTCTGTAGGGCGTTCACCATAAATGACTCTGTAGCTTTACTTCATCCTCTGCATTAACATAGAGCATACACAAGTAACAAATTGAATCTTCTAGGGGGTATTTAAACTCCCAAAAAGTCTGTAACTGGGCCTTTGAGCCTCTATGGTCAGGCAAGCTCCCACACTGTGGAGTATATTATTCTTTTTAATAAATCTCTTTGTTCCTTCCTTGCTTTGTGCGTTTGTCCAATTCTTTGTTGAAGACATCAAGAACCTGGACACCCTCCACCATTAACATCTAGGTATTATTTGCTTGGATAAGAGTCATTGAACACTACTAAACATGAATTTTGTAATCTTCTCTTTTGTAAAGTTTGTAGCTCATCTTGAAGCTTCTATCTTACTAGAAAACTTATATTTAATCACACTGCATGGCACAAAGCTTGGTGTAAGACTCTCATTCAGAAGTTCTGGTTTTGACATGCGACCTAAGACAAAAGAACAACCTTAATTTTTGCTTTCTTCTCTGCAAGCAGCTCAAATTTCAGCTTACTATTTCGCTATTCCCGTTTTTGAAAAATAAATCTAGTTCAAAAAATAAAAATGTCTTTATAGATGCACTTTAAGTTTAATGACACTTTTACTCAAGGCTTTGTGGATGGTGAATTTGAAAAGTTTTGTTGAAAATTTACCCAGAACATGGTAATTACAGTCTCATTTGACCATGAAACAAATATATGAAAGAAAAATTAGGAACACTATATCATGTAGATGTTACTTATTGTCATTATTGTTAATTAAAATGCCTGACTTCTCTTTTTATTTTCCAAAATTTTTACCCTTTCTCTTTGTTCCCAAGTAAGATGTTTCATTGATATGAGAGTATAATAATTAAAAATAATGAAAAAATATTTACTTGTATGCTTTAAAAGAAAACATTTGGCTATTTGGTTAATGGTCATTTGGTTAATGGTCATTTTTCAATATAAAGCAAGTTATTTTTAAAAAAATTGAAAATCTATTTTTAGTTTTACATGATATTCAGTCAGAGTCAAGTATCTTGACTTAGTGTTAGGACTTTGTCTAAATTGTAATTGTCAAAGCTTACCCTGAGTATGATCCTGTCATTCACTTCAAAGAAACATTGCAATGAAAACCAATCAAGACAGCAGAAGAGAAAGAGAAAGAAAACAAAATTATATATACATGCCAAATGCAAACTCTATTGTCAATTTGTCCATCTTATTGAAGAATGTATTCTTGTATGATGGTTATGGCTGAGATATGCTTTCTCTCAAATTGAGTTTATATTCTTATTAAAAGGAAAAATGCAATAAAAATACTAACAGCAAAACAAAAGAATTAGGTTGCATTTTTAGGAAAAAAATTAAAAGCAGGTGTTAAACACAGAGAACATTTTTACTCCATATGTGCTGCCCAGTCAGAAACTATGAGAATAAAAAATGTAACAATGAATTAACAAAGATAACTATAATCCACTTCTATCGACATCTATTAAGGTAAAACAACCACAACATCAACACTGAGATTAAAATTGACTTTGTAATGCCATTTTTTGTTTCCATGAAATAAATTCAAAAATAGAGCCAAGAATAATTTGAACATTTATAGAATACATCAATGATACATCATTACCTAGATCTTCTTCAATTCAGTGATTTTAATTTTCTGTTGAACAAGTAGGGTTTATCAGAGAACTTAGCATCTGAATGTAACAGGGGAATTGTAAAATGATTTCTTGAAATTTGCATGTCTTTGGCTCCTGAATAGCCATCAAAGTAATTGTTTCTTAAATGTTATGCAAATCTTTTCTCCTGTGTTGACCCTAATCAAAGCAATTAATTCTATAATGATGTCTTTCTTTGCAGACACCATCTTATTATTATCTTGGCCTAAATTAATAACATCATGATAATAATTAGTAGATTTGAAATCATCTATTTATTTCTTACAGCATGTGGGCTCCTTATAAAAGAGCAACAGGAATGGAAATTAGAGTAAAACATGGCAGCTGTGTTGATTGGTGTGCCCTCCTAACCTTAGCACCTGCAACATCGGCCTTATTTAAATGTGAATGTGATGTGTTTGTAATAGTCTTTCCCTCACCAGACTCTACAAAGTACAAATATATACAGTTAATAGTGTGTGTGTGTTTGTGTATATATATTAGAATATGTATCTTATGTTGACCTAAAAGAAAGATGCTGAGGCAAAATTAATATAGGTAGAGAGTTTATTTGAAGCAAGCTTCAGAGATGCAACTTCAGAGCATAGATTCAAGTTGCCCTGAATATACACTCCAATTAACAAGTACAAGTAGGTTGTTAAGAGGAAAGAAGAGGTAGTTTCTGTCAGGCCTCTGAGCCCAAGCCAAGCCATCACATCCCCTGTGACTTGCACGTATATGCCCAGATGGCCTGAAGTAACTGAAGAATCACAAAAGAAGTGAATGTCCCTGCCTCGCCTTAACTGATGACATTCCACCACAAAAGAAGTGTAAATGGCCAGTCCTTGCCTCAACTGGTGATATTCCACCACAAAAGAAGTGAAAATGGCCAGTCCTTGCCTTAAGTGATGACATTACCTTGTGAAAGTCCTTTTCCTGACTCATCCTGGCTCAAAAACCTCCCCCACTGAGCACCTTGCGACCCCCACTCCTGCCTGCCAGAGAACAAACCTTCTTTGACTGTAATTTTCCTTTACCTGCCCAAATCTTATAAAATGGCCCCACCCTTATCTCCCTTTGATGACTCTCTTTTTGGTCTCAGCCCGCCTGCGCACAGGTGATTAAAAGCTTTTATTGCTCACACAAAGCCTGTTTGGTGGTCTCTTCGCACGGATGTGCATGAAAGTTTCTAAGTTGTTTACCAAAAAATTTTGGTAAAATATGTTATTGATTGATTATACATAGTTATTTGTATCATAAATTCCAGAAAGATGAAGGTAATTGGTGAGGCAGCTAGTCAGGAATGTAATGATTTTAAATAATTGCCCCCAGGCATGGGTATGGCATGGGTATGGAGAGGAATGACTGAAGTACCATACTCATGTCTCTCTGGTCCTGCATACCTCACAGAGTTCAGACTAATCTGAGCCAGTTTTCTTTTCTCACTTATATATACTATATTCATAAAAATTTGTGTACAAATATATGTAATATATAAGCTATATGTAATATATTAAAATATATGTAACTATATGCGTACATACATGACGTACACACACATATAAATACATGTATCTATCTATATAAACATGCCTCCCCATATATACTTATATGTATCTGTTCTGTGATTATTGGAGCATTCCTATATGTTTTTATTTTACATATTTATTTTTCACAAAGATTCATACCTAATTGTGGCATTTATTTATTCATTCTAAAGTTAATATGCTCTTAGCAGGTTGAATCTATAGACAGTAGACAAGTCATATAATATGTCAAGCAATTTCATTTACAAGAACCTTTAATATCAATACAATAATGCCATGAGCTAGACTTCTACATTCTTTCTTGATATCCTTGAAGTAAGTTTTTCTAATTAACTTGTTTTAATTTGATGAGGTATCCTGATATCTTTATAGTTAGTACACTGAGGTCCAGGATTTTTATGCAAACTTTCTGGCTAATTTAGGTGGTCTGTCATCCTGGCAGTTCTCTTCATGAATAGATTTCTCTTAGTGGGTATTCTTATTGAATACCTATCTTAGACACAGTTTTCTATTTGTCCCACCTGCATTTGATGTTTCATCAATTAACTTATTTGTTCCACGTTCTCTGATTTTATGTGTATATATGTATACATATAAAATAATCTAACTCATTCAACCCAATAGCAATTACTACTGCAAATATTTGTACCTATTCTTGTAACATTTTACTTATGTTTAATATTGTACCACTGTAGGTAAAATGTAGAAACATTGCAGCATGTGAGGATATTTTTCAGTCTCAATGATATAATGACAATATGCATTATATTTTAAACCATACAAGACAATTGTATCATATTGCTTTAAAACATGATATATATTTTAGAGATAATAAGAAAATACAATGTTTTACATTTATCCAAGTCTTAGTGCTCTTTATTTCTTCTCCAAAATTGCTTGGTATCATTTTCCTTCAGTCTAAGTTACTTTTAGTATATTTATTCTGCTGTAGTATTCTGTATATTATATTCTGGTGGCAATAATTTTCTCAGTACTTTTATCTAAAAATGTGTTTAGTTCACTTACAAGATATTTGTACAAGATATAATATTTATGAATTGACAAATATTTTTATTTTATTTCTCTCAAAATTTTAAAGATATTATTCCACTGTCTTTCAGCCTCCATAGGTTTTTTTGAGAAGTCACATATTTTCCTGTCATGTTACTCTGGCTTCATTCGGGATTTTTCATGTTATTTTTGGTTTGTAGTAACTTGTCTATAGTATTATTAATTGTTTTAACATTTATCTTCTTTGGGATCCATTAAGTATTTTACTTACTAAATTTATATATTTCACCAAATTGGAAAATTTTTTATCTATTTCATCAAATACTATTTTTCCTACTCCATTCGTCTACTCTATTTTTTTCTGCTACTAAAATAACAGATATTTAAGATGTTTTAATATTTTATCAAAGGTACCTAATCTTGGGCTAATATTTTTCAGTGTTTTTTTCTCTATTATATATATTGAATTAGTTGTGTTAATCTATTTCAATTTTGTTGATTCTTTCCTTTGTACACAACAATCAATGAAACTTAATTTTTGAAATTGTATTTATTGAGTTGGGGAATTGTCATTTGCTTGTTTCTTAAGGTTTCAAAATCTCTTTTTGTATTACATATCACTCTATTTGTTACAAAAATTTTTCTTTCATATTAATGAGCATAATGATTATAGGTGTTTCCCCTTCAAAACTGGCACAAGACAGGGATGCCCTCTCTCACCACTCCTATTCAACATAGTGTTGGAAGTTCTGGCCAGGACAATTAGACAGGAGAAGGAAATAAAGGGTATTCAATTAGGAAAAAAGGAAGTCAAATTGTCCCTGTTTGCAGATGACATGATTGTATATCTAGAAAACTCCATTGTCTCAGCCCAAAATCTCCTTAAGCTGATAAGCAACTTCAGCAAAGTCTCAGGATACAAAATCAATGTGCAAAAATCACAAGCATTCTTATACACCAATAACAGACAAACAGAGAGCCAAATCATGAGTGAACTCCCATTCACAATTGCTTCAAAGAGAATAAAATATCTAGGAATCCAACTTACAAGGGACGTGAAGGACCTCTTCAAGGAGAACTACAAACCACTGCTCAATGAAATAAAAGAGGATACAAAGAAATGGAAGAACATTCCATGCTCATGGGTAGGAAGAATCAATATCATGAAAATGGCCATACTGCCCAAGGTAATTTATAGATTCAATGCCATCCCCATCAAGCTACCAATGACTTTCTTCACAGAATTGGAAAAAACTACTTTAAACTTCATATGGAACCAAAAAAGAGCCCGCATCGCCAAGTCAATCCTAAGCCAAAAGAACAAAGCTGGAGATATCATGCTACCTGACTTCAAACCATACTACAAGGCTACAGTAACGAAAACAGCATGGTACTGGTACCAAAACAGAGACATAGATCAATGAAACAGAACAGAGCCCTCAGAAATAATGCCACATGTCTACAACTATCTGATCTTTGACAAACCTGAGAAAAACAACAATGGGGAAAGGATTCCCTATTTAATAAATGGTGCTGGGAAAACTGGCTTGCCATATGTAGAAAGCTGAAACTGGATCCCTTCCTTTCACCTTATACAAAAATTAATTCAAGATGGATTAAAGACTTAAACGTTAGACCTAAAACCATAAAAACCCTAGAAGAAAACCTAGGCATTACCATTCAGGACATAGGAATGGGCAAGGACTTCATGTCTAAAACACCAAAAGCAATGGCAACAAAAGCCAAAATTGACAAATGGGATCTCATTAAACTGAAGAGCTTCTGCACAGCAAAAGAAACTACCATCAGAGTGAACAGGCAACCTACAAAATGGGAGAAAATTTTTGCAACCCACTCATCTGACAAAGGGCTAATATCCAGAATCTACAATGAACTCAAACATATTTACAAGAAAAAACAAACACCACCATCAAAAAGCGGGCAAAGGATATGAACAAACACTTCCCAAAAGAAGACATTTATGCAGCCAAAAGACACATGAAAAAATGCTCATCATCACTGACCATCAGAGAAATGCAAATCAACACCACAATGAGATACCATCTCACACCAGTTAGAATGGCGATCATTAAAAAGTCAGGAAACAACAGGTGCTTGAGAGGATGTGGAGAAATAGGAACACTTTTACGCTGTTAGTGGGACTGTAAACTAGTTCAACCATTGTGGAAGTCAGTGTGGTGATTCCTCAGGGATCTAGAACTAGAAATACCATTTGACCCAGCCATCCCATTACTGGGTATATACCCAAAGGACTATAAATCATGCTGCTATAAAGACACATGCACATGTATGTTTATTGCGGCACTATTCACAATAGCCAAGACTTGGAACCAACCCAAATGTCCAACAATGATAGACTGGATTAAGAAAATGTGGCACATATACACCATGGAATACTATGCAGCCATAAAAAATGATGAGTTCGTGTCCTTTGTAGGGACATGGATGAAATTGGAAATCATCATTCTCAGTAAACTATCGCAAGGACAAAAAACCAAACACCACATATTCTCACTCATAGGTGGGAATAGAACAATGAGAACACATGGACACAGGAAGGGTAACATCACACTCTGGGGCCTGTGGTGGGGTGGGGGGAGGGGGGAGGGATAGCATTAGGTGATATACCTAATGCTAAATGAAGAGTTAATGGGTGCAGCACACCAGCATGGCACATGTATACATATGTAACTAACCTGCACATTGTGCACGTGTACCCTAAAACTTAAAGTATAATAATAATAAAACAAATTAAAAAAATAAAATAAAATAAAGGATTACTGCTTCGACACAGCAAAAAAAAAAAAAAAAAAAAAAAACAAACAAACAAACAAAAAACCCTTCACTGGTGATATCAAAATCTGGGCCAGTCTTTGTTAATTGTCATTTATTTTTGAGAATGAGTCTCATTTCTCTGGTTCTTTATATGTTGAGTTATTCTGATTTATATTTGAATGTAGTCATAGTGTGGATACTAAGGATTCTGTTAGGTTTCTTTTAAGGATGTTGGGATATTTGACAGGAAATTGGTTAGATTTGAAATTTAAACTCCATCTTTTGGAAAACTGCTGACATCTGATTTCATTGTCTTCATTTATAATTTAGTTGCTTGCATTTTAACACACGCTTCAGGTATTCTCCAGATATTTGGTCATTTTATATATAGGATATGGGCATTTTCTCTCTTGTTCTCCTTCTTCTAAAATTCACTTCACACTTGTCCTTGGCTGCAATATACTGTACTCTGCTTTCTAGTTCATCACACCAGAAAGACTGTGAGTTCTCTTTCTTTCAAACTTGCCAATATCCTACACATAGTGAGGTGTGAGTTTCCTTCCGGCCAAAAGCCATGGCAACAAAAAGACACTCACGTTGTTACTCTTCTCTTCCAAATGGCAGCTGACATGCAAAAATATACCTGCATTGTTTTATACTCCAGAATATAGGAGCAGAAGAGGTGTGGTATCTTTCCTCCCCATCATAAGGGTCATGGCCACCACTAGTATATCCAAAGACAAATTAATGAGAGAAAAGTAAGACAGATTGATTTTACAAAAGTGTCACTTGACATAGAAGACTTGAGAAATGAAAACCTAAAGACTCAGGGAACTATCAATTTTTGTTTTTATGTTAGATAAATAATAGTAAGGTGGAAATGTAATTGTACAAAATGGATATGATCTAATAGTAATAAAGGAAAAGGGAAATCCAACAAGACATGTCTTTTTCAATTTTTTTTGGCTGTTTTGTGTGGCAATCCTTCTCAAGCCTTGAGTGGGATCCCTTCTAGAATAAGGGTTTTATGACCTACTATTTGACAAGGTAGGTCAGATAATTTATTTACACTCAGCACTTACATAGAAAGATAGGGGAAGGTTTTATGGATAGCTTTGAAGTGTAGGTTTTATGGATAGCTTTGAAGGAGAAATGTCCTAGTTTCTATCCCCGCCCAGAGGCAAAAGAATTCTATTTTCTATAGCTTGCCTTTGTTGGGGGGCAAGAAATGGAAAGAGGAAGACAGAAGTCCAGAGAGAAACGTTGCTTCTGACACTGCTTCCAAGGTCTTTTTTTTTTTCTTTAACTTTTATTTTAGGTACAAGGGACATGTGCAGGTATGTTATACAGGTAAACTCTTGTCACAGGGTTTGTTCTATGGATTATTTCATCACTCAGGTACTAAGCCTAGTGTCCAATTGTTATGTTTCCTGCTTCTCTTCCTCTTCCCACCCTTCACCCTCAGGTGTCTGTTGTTCCCCTCCATGTGTCCATGTTGTCTTATCATTTGGCTCCTTTATGATACAACAATTTATATTCCTTTGGGTATGTACTCAGTAATGTGATCGCTAGGTCAAATGGTAGTTCTGTTTTGAGCTCTTCCAGGAATCACCACACTGCTTTCCACAGTGGTTGAACTAATTTACACTCCCACCAACACTATATAGGAATTTCCTTTTCTTTGCAACCTCAGAGCACCTGTTATTTTTTGACTTTTTAATAGCAGCCATTCTAACTGATGTGAGATGGTATCTCATTGTGGTTTTGATTTTCATTTCTCTAATGATTATTGATATTGAGCTTTTTTGCATATGCTTGCTGGCCACATGTATGTACTCTTTTGAAAAGTAGCTGTTCATGTCCTTTGCCCACTTTTAATGGGGTTGTTTGCTTTTTTCTTGTAAATTTAAGTTCCTTACAGATGCTGGATATTAGACTTTGTCAAATGAATAATTGGCAAATATTTTCTTCCATTTTGTAGGTTGTCATTTCAATCTGTCGGTAGTTTATTTTGCTGTGCAGAAGCTCTTTAGTTTAATTAGATCCCATTTGCCAATTTTTCCTTTTGTTGTGATTACTTTTGTAATGAAATCTTTGTCAGTTCCTGTGTCCAGAATTGAATAGCCTATCTTACCTTCCAGGGATTTTATAGTTTTGGATTTTACATTGAAGTCTTAATCTATCTTGAGTTAATTTTTGTAAATGTTTTAAGGAAGGGGTCCAGTTTTAATATTCTTCTTACGGCTAGCCAGTTATCCCAGCACTATTTATTAAATAGGGAGTCCTTTTCCCATTGTTTTTTTGTCAGCTTTGTCAAAGATCAGATGGTTGTAGGTGTGTGGCCTTATTCTGAGCTCTCTGTTCTGTTTTATTGGTCTATATGTCTGTTTTTGTACCAGTACCATGCTGTTTGGGATATTGTAGCCCTCTAGTATAGTTTGAAGATGGGTAGTATAATGCCTCCAGTTTTGTTTTTGTTGTTTAGGATTGCCTTACTATTCCAGCTCTTTTTTTTGGTTCAATATGAATTTTGAAATAATTTTTTTAGTTATGTGAAGAATGCCTTTGGTAGTTTAATGGAAATAACATTGAATCTTTAATTGCTTTGAGAAATATGGGCATTTTAGTGAGATTGATTTTCCCTATTCATGAGCATGAAATGATTTTTCCTATTTTTTATTATGATTTTTCATTTATTTGTATCATTTTTGATTTCTTTCAGCAGTATTTTGTAATTCACATTGTAGAGATCGTTCACCTCCCTGTTTACTGTATTCCTAGATACTTTATTCTTTTTTGTGCCAATTGTGAATGGGATTGCATTCCTGATTTGGCTCTTGGCTTAATTTTTATTGATGTAAAATAATGTCAATGATTTTTTACCTTGATTTTATATCCTGAAACTTTGCTGATGCTGTTTATCAGGTAAAGGAGCTTTTGGACCAAGACTCTGGGGTTTTCTAGATATACAATTATGTCATCTGTAAAGAGGGATAGATTGAATTATTATCTTCCTATTTGGATGCCCTTTATTTTTTTCTCTTACCTGATTGCTCTGGCCAAGGTTTCCAACAATGTGTTGAATAGGCGGGGTGAGAGAGGGTATCCTTGTGTTATACCAATTTTCAAGAGGAATGCTTTCAGCTTTTTCACATTCAGTATGATGTTGGCTATTGGTTTGTCATATATGGCTCTTATTATAGTGAGGTATGTTACTTCTATACCTAGTTTATTGAGAGTTTTTAACACGAATGGATGTTGAATTTTATTGAATCTATTGCGATAAATGGGTGGTTTTTGTCTTCAGTTTTGTTTATGTGATGAATCACATTTGTTGATTTGGTATGTTGAACCAGGCTTGTATCCCAGGGATAGGCCTACTTGATAATGGTGGATTAGCTTTTTGATGTGCTGTTGGATTTGATTTGCCAGTAGTTTGTTGAGGATTTTTGCATCAATGTTTATCAAGGATATTGGCCTAAAGTTTCCTTTTTTAGTTGTGAATCAGCCAGGTTTTTGTAGCCGGATGATGCTGGACTCATTGAATGAGTTAGCGAAAACTCCCTGCTCTGGAATTTTTAAAATAGCTTCAGTAGAAATGGTACCAGCCTTTTTGTACAACTGGTAGAATTCGACTGAGAATCTGTCTGGTCCTTTGCTTTTTTTTTGGTTGGTAGGCTATTTATTACTATTTTAATTTCCAAGATCATTATTGCTCTGTTCAGGAATTCAATTCCTTACTGGTTAAGACTTGGGAGAGTCTATGTGTCCAGGAATTCATCCATTTCTTCTAGATTTTCTAGTTTGCTAGTTTGTGTTCATAGAAGTGTTCATAGTAGTCTCTGTTTTTTTTTTTTTTTTTTTTTATATTTTTGTGTGGTCAGTGGTAATATCCCTTTTGTCATTTCTAGTTGTATTTCTTTGGATCTTTTCTCTTTTCCTCTTCATTAGTCTAGCAAGCACTCTATCTATCTTGCTTGTTTTTCTTTTTTGTTTGTTTGTTTTTAAAAAAAAGAATCTCCTGTATTTGCTAATCTTTTGAATGGCTTTTCATATCTCAGTCTCCTTCAATTCTGCTCTTATTTTGGTTATTTCTTCTCTTCTAGTAGCTTTGGGGTTGATTTACACTTGATTATTTAGATCTTTTAGTTGTAATGTTAGGTTATTAATTTGAAGTCTTTCTGTTTGATTTGGCCATTTAGTGCATATAAATTTTCTTCTTAATACTGCCTTAGCTGTGTGCTGTATTTTGGTTCTCATTAGTTTCAAATAACTTCTTTATTTCTGCCTTAATTTCATTATTTACCCAAAAGTAAATCAGGAGCAGGTTGTTTAATTTCTAGGAAATTGTATGGTTTCTAGCAATTTTCTTCATTTTGAGTTCTATTTTTGTTGCACTGTGGTCTGAGACAGTGGTTGGTATGATTTTGTTTTCCTTTTTTTGCATTTGCTTAGGATCATTTTATGTCAATTGTGTGCTTGGTTTTAAAGTATGTGCCATGTGGCAATGAGAAGTATGTATATTCTGTTGTTTTTTGGTGGAGAGTTCTGTAGATGACTAGCAGTGCCATTTGGTCCAGGCCTGAGTTCAGGTTCTGAATATCTTTGTTAATTTTCTGCCTCAATGGTCTGTCTATTACTGTTAGTAAGTTGTTGACAACTCCCACTAACATTGCGTGGAGGTCTAAGTCTCTTTGAAAGTCTCTAAGAACTCACTTTATGAATCTGGTGCTCCTGTACTGGGTGCATATATATTTAAGATAGTTAGGCCTTCTTGTTGAACTGAATCTTCTACCACATGTAATGTTATCTTTGTCTTTTTTGATCTTTGTTGGCTTAAAGTCTTTTTTTCCTGAAGTTAGGATTGCTCCTGTATCATTTTATTATGATTCTTAGCTTTCTTAGATTGGTTTTCAACGTTCTACTGAATCTTGATAATCTTCATTCCTATCCACATTCTGAATTCAATTTCTGTCATTTCAGCCATCTCAGGCAGTTTAAGAACCTTTGCTGGATAACTACTGCAGACGTTCGGAGGGAAAAAAGGGCACGCTGGCTCTTTGAGTTCTCAGAGTTCTTGTGCTGGTTTCTTCTCAACTTTGTAGGCTGAGTTCCTTCACTCTTTGAAATTGCCGTCCTTTGGGTGAGTTTTTGTTTTGTTTTGTTTTGTTTTATTGTTCTTTCATCCTATTTGATGACCTTGGGTGTTTTATTGTGGTGTAAGATGGGTTCGTCAATTGGTTTTGTTTCTGGAAAATTTAGGGGGCCAAGACTGAGCTCAGGACTCCTGCACTGTGTGCTCGAACTCTGGGAAACTACTCTAGAGACTTGGCTTTTTTATCCTGCTCCTTGAGGTTAAGAACCTGCTGTGCTAGAGGATCTTAGGTGCTCCTAGACCGCTGGTCACAATAATCTGATGGGTAGTGCCAGCCAAAGCAATTCATAGGGCGGTGGCAGAGGGATCTAACCTCATTCACAAGTGCCAACAGCAGTGGTAGTGGCAGTGTGGCGGGTGCATGCTTATTGGCTGTGTCAGGATGCTAGCAGTTGCCAAGATGCCGGCCTCCATGCATGCATTTGCAGCAGAGGCAGTGGCACCACGGCTGGCAGGGCAGGGGACTTCGCCGGTGACTGTGTGTGTATGTTTGCACTACTAGTGGCCTTAGCACAGGAGTGGGGCAATGGTGCGCGCAGGACTGCCCGGGCACTTTATGCATATTCACGTGGGCAGCAATGGCTCCTCAGGGCAAGGTCGTGTCCGCTGTTCTCCATACCTGGTTTCATACTGGTGGCAGTGTTGGCACAGGTTTAGGGTGCTTGTGGGGGTGGGGCTGGTGGGCTCTGTGCCCACC
Organism: Homo sapiens; assembly: GCF_000001405.40. Lineage (NCBI taxonomy): Eukaryota > Metazoa > Chordata > Mammalia > Primates > Hominidae > Homo > Homo sapiens. The sequence continues at coordinate 64,748,300 of NC_000004.12, forward strand.
CAACGTTTCTATGAGAATGGCAGTGTGGAAGGGGTGCACGATGCACTCACACAGGCAGCAGTGGCATTGCAGAGTGCACATGCACACATGCGCTGCTGGGGAAGGGAAGGCAAGGTTCGTCCATGCACACCTGCGCCAGCAAAGCGATTTTGTGGGTAGCCGTGGGCAGGTACATGCAGGCAATGTTGGATGGGGGAGGCTGCAGCGTGGTGAGGTGCATGTTTGCAGGGCTACTCTGCTGGAGCACTCTGCCGGTCAGTCATAGTCCACCAGCACAGGAGCTATAATGTGGGCCCACAAGGAGGTACCTGGGGGTTGCACTGCAAGCAGATATGGTCAAGTTGGGCCGCTGGGAGAGACCAGCAGACCTAGGGGTGCTCATATTGGACAGGCCCCATCTCATGGGCAAGACTACCCTGCATAGATCGGGTCAGACAGTTCCCCTAGGGCTAAAGTCTCCTATGGGAGCGAGGTAAACCTAGGGGGATGAGGTCCCTGGCCGTGTTCCACTACAGATGCACCCACACCAAAACCTTTGGGCTCTCCATTGGCTGGAGTTTTTGCCCCTACCACTTCTCTAAGCAGCTCTCCCTGGCAACTCAAGTGTCCGTGATGGGCAAGTGGGCTCCTCACACTGGGATTCCAGAGGCACGTGGCAAGAGCGGATTACTCCTTGCCTGTTTAACTTACCCCTTCTGCAGGAGTGGCTGGGGGGCCAGAATGAGGCCTAGTGGGTGGTAGTCCCATTCTGGGTTCCACGCCTCCAGCGCCTTCAGCCGAGCCTCTGTATCTTTCATCTGTCCATTCTCAATGCCTTCGCTCTGAAAGTCTGCTAGGAGTGTGCCAAACTTCCCAATGTCCCAGTCCCTTGATGGTAGATGTTCCTCCTGTCTGCATCTAGTCAGCCATCCTGCAGAGCTCAGTTTATCAAAAGAATAAGATGAACACAACCAGACAAAGAGGTACATAGGGCAAGGTCTGGAAGGGACCTAAGCACAGGATGTCCCCATAGATGTAGGGTATGTCTCTGTCCCCATAGATGTAGGGTATGTCTCTGTCCCCATAGATGTAGGGTATGTCTCCTTCCTGGCTTGTGGTTATATTTTATTTAATCAACTCACAAACTCTTGAACCCCTTCATTTAGGGTTTTATGAGCATTCTACTACAATGGCATGATTGACTAAGTCATTGGCCATTGGTTTCCTCCCCAAGGCCTTCTAATCTCTTTTAGTTCAAAGCACTTAACTTGCCAAAGCACCAAATTTTGGGGTATTGTTTTCTTAGCGCCAACAAAAGCATTTGAGTAGATTTTGGTTTTTATTTGTGTTATATGCCAGGTTTAAAATTCATTTCTGCAGGAGAGTCAGTTTGCTAGGAGCTTAGTTGTATATGTTGGATGCTAAACTCCTAATTTGTTTTAAAAATAATGTTGCAGCTATTTCTCTATTTAGTGCCTAGCTTTGGTTTTGTTTTTATCCTGCTCGAGATGTTTTAAACTTTTGAATCTTGTAATTTATATTATTATCATCAGGTATATTTTATGTCCACAAAATTATATTCTATTGTCCAGATAGATTGCATGTGCATTATGTTCTTCTTTCTAAAAATTATCAGTCAGTCAACTTAGACCAATACAGACTCAGAAATTTAGGATTTTAAAAGGAAATATTATAATGATTAGTATAAATGAATAATGTTTTACATAATGTTTAAAATTTGTAGATAAAATAACACAACAAGGTTACTATGGCAAATCTCACCACTTTTTTTTAGAGATGAAGAAATAAAATTGAATAATTTTTTCAGGGTCACAGAATAGGAAAAATCAAGGCAGTATTTTAACTCAAACTAGGTTTACTTATTCTATTCCTTTATTCTATAATACTTCCAGATTCAAAACTATCTCTAAATCTCTTTTAATTACTTCCAATTTTCAGATAAAATCTAAAGCTGGTAAGAATATATACATTAAGTAGGTGTAATGCCAAAATCTATGTCTGCTCTTTATTTTACCTATAGTGTTTAATCATGTTACAGTTGAAATTCAACAGATATAAATATTATACAACAGTTATCTAAAATTTATTATGAATTTAGAAACAAGCTCTAATGAGGACAGGGGTCAATGTGATCAAATATTTATTTGGACTTATAATTTTATCTATGACAGAAAAATATATACTTCTGCTTCTAGAAGGTGGATTACATGCACTATTGTAACCATAATAGGCTCATTGGTCAATATGCATAGCAAGTCAACATTCAGAGACACCAGGTTGTAATAGAGAAAGAGGTTTAATTATTGGATCACCTAAAAAGGAGATGAGAGAAAAACTCAAATGTATCTCCCTGAAGAATTTGGGCCTTGAGTTTTTAAGGGTTTTAGAGTGGGCCAAAGTGTGGAGATCTTCAGTTGGTCTAAGAGTGTATGGGGAAATCACGGGAGAGGGAAATGAAGAAGCTGTATTCTGATTCTGATCCTGTTCCTCTATAATTGTCTTCAAAGTGGTTGCTGGAATTTGGGATCTGAAAAATATCTTAAGCAATTATTAAATAAAAGCCTTATGATTTTAATGTCAGAGATCTTGTGTATTTGGACAATGGGGATGGAAATAAATTCTTAAACACACTTATCACCCTAATGTCAGAAATTCCATCTATAGGAAAAATGGGGATGCAAATGGTCAGTATTTTGTGCTGTGTGACTTTTAGCAACAGAGAAGTAGGTCAAAGAGCAACCTGTTTATTGCTTAATTATAATTATATTTCTGTTCAGAACCCATCATTCATTTCTTGCCAACTCTGTAGCAGTGGATTCACTTTGTCTTGTGCTTTTCCACAATAAGCACACCTAAAAACCCTAGACATTAAATATGAAACAAACCTAAGAAGATTATAGCAGAAGGAGAGAAGACAGACTGATTAATGATCTTAGGTTCTTAGAAAGGACATGGAGATGAGATCTTTGGGTTTTCTTTTTGCCTCATATGTTCTAGATTTGAAGCTGAAGAAGCTGGCTACTCAGAATTGCAAACAGGCACAAACAAAAATGAATGCCCAACAAAAGCCAATACACTCTTACTAAACAAAATAGAATCTGGCTCATAGACAGTTAACTTTTAGAGTATAACCACTCAATTTCAGAAAACATCATAGAAAAACTGTGGCTCTAGCCACATTTACTCTAAACTTATGAGACTGTAATGAACCCCCTGCTGCAGTGGTATCATAAAAGGGAAAGTAAAAAGATTTGGGACTTTCATCCTCACAGGCATAAGTTATAAGACACCCCCTCTACTCAGTGTCAGTGGAGAATATGTAGCAAGCCCGGAATTTCACTCACACTCTGCAATAACAAAGTGCTCCCAAACCCCCAGTGGACAGATGTCAGTAGAGGCTTAACAGAGAAGCAGAACTTTCTTTATTATCTGTGCAGTGTCAGTGAGGACAACATGGGTAGTATATATTCTCTTCTTGCCCAGGAGAAAGGAGAAGCACTCCTACACTGTCAGGAGTCAATGGAAGCTGAGTGGGAAATTTGAACTCATTCCACCTGGCAGTAATAAGGTGGCATTACCCTTCCACTGCCAAAGTAGTATCAGGAAATCCTAGCTAAAACATAACATTTAAATAAGATCCAAAATATTAGAATACAAAAATCCAGGCTTCAATAAAATGTTACTCATTATAAAAAGAACTGGAAAGATCTCAAACTGAAAGAAAAAAGGCCATAAATAAATGCTAATATCAAGAAAATAGACATCATAGAATTATTAGACAAATATTTAAAGCAGTCATGGTAGGATTGCTTCAACAAGCAATTGAAAACACTATTGAAACAAATAAAAAAGTAGAGATTTAGCAAGTAAATGAATGATACAAATAAAAACCAACGGAAAGTTTTGAACTGAAAAACAGTAACTAGAATAAAAAGCTCACTTGATGGGCTCAACAGCAGAATGAAGGGGACAAAGGAAAGAATCACTAAACTGGAGCACATAACAATAAAAGTTACTAAAAGGAAACAGCAGAGATAGAGTAGAAAAAAAAAATATATATATATATATAGGGCTCAGGGACCTGGGAAGCTATAATAAAAGACCTAATGTTGTGTTACTGGAATTCAATGAGGAGAAAAGAAAAGATGGTACTGAAAATGTACTGGAAGAAATAATGACTGAACATTTCTGTTATTTCACAAGAGACATAAGATTCAGGAACATGAATGAATCTTTACTAGGATAAACCTAAATATACCAAGAGACAGCATTCCTTTTCTTTTACCATTTGAATGATATTGTGCCACTTTCTTCTGCCATCCATGGCTTCTAATGAGAAATCTGTTGTCACTTCCATCTTGTTCCCATGTCCTCCTTAACCCCAGAAATCCACTAATCTATTAAGCATTTTGATAATTTTGTCATCTCAAGAATTACACATAAATAATATATTATATAAAATTTTGTGATTAACATTTTTATAAATGAAGATTTATCCAGATTACTGTGTGTATCAGTAGTTCATTCCTTTTAGTAACAGTCCTTGGTATATTTTGTAATTTTTAAAAGAATTCACTTAACACCTGGATTATTTCAAGTTTGCCTGTTGTACCTATAATTGCTATAAATGTTTCTGTTTAGGTTTTTGTGTGAATGTCAGTCTTCATTATTATAGAATGAATGTCCAAGAGTGCAATTGTTTGATCATATGTTAGGTGCATGTTTCGTTTTATAAGAAACTACCCAACTGTGTTCCACAGTGGCAATACATTTTCCCCAGCAATGTATGAGTGATCTTGTTTCTCCAAATTCTCACCAGTAGTTGATGTTATCTCTATTCTTTTCTAATTTCAACTATGCTGATAGCTATGTAGTGATATCTTACTGTAGTTTTAATTTGTATTTTCCTAATGGTTAATAATGGTGAACATCTTTTTCATATACTTATTTGTCATTTGTTTTCCTCTTTGGTAAAATTTTTTCTCCTGCCTTTGACCTTTTACTAATTGATTGTTGTTTATAGAGTTGAGTTTTGTCATATATGTACTTTAAAAATATCTTCTCGCATGAATAATATTTGTAGCACTAGAAATGCTTTGCATTTTGACCGTATCAATGTCAGTACCATAGTTGTAATAGCACGCTACAATTTTTGCAAGATATTACCATTAGGGGATACTGGGTAAAGAGTACGCAGGATCTCTCTGTATTATCTTTTACATTTGCATGTTAATCTATAATAATCTTAAAACAAAAGTGTTAAAATAAAATGTAGGACTTCTAAGGGTAGTATGTTGGTATTATTTTACAAATAACTTTACATTTGGCTCCCTAAGGCCATACTAGCTCCTTTTATGTTCAGGAAAATAAGCTTATGATATCTTTGGACATACTTATGAAGCAATTTCCTATATTGAAAAATAGTCACTTTCAAGAAGAGAGACCTCAAATATTTTTTCTGAAATATCAACTGTCTACTCTTCAAATCACTGGACTGTGACTGTAAATATAGAAAATAATTAGGATGATCAGAAGAGCATAAACAATTTCTAGCTTTATGTCAAGGAGTTTTCCAGGAAAAACCTTGATGAAAAATTTTGTTATTGGAAGCTGATATAGTTTGAGTGTTTGTCCTCTCCAAATCTAATTAGTGAAATGTAATTCCCAATGTTGAACATGGGGCGTAATGGGAGATGTTTGGTTCAGGGAGGTGGTTCCCTCATGAATGGCTTGGTTCTGCTCTTAAGATAGCGAGTAAGTTATTGTGAGATCTGGTTGTTCAAAAGTATGTGGCACCTCCCCTTCCCTGTCTCTCTTGCTCCTGTTCTTGCCATGTGACAGAATGATTATCATCACCTTCTGCCATGATTTTAAGCTTCATGATTGTAAGAATGCTAGCTCCCGTAACATCTTGCCATAACTGTAAGGCCTCCCAAGAAGTTGAGCAGATTTGGCACCATGCTTCTCATACAGTCTTCAGAACGGTTAGCCAATTAAATGTCCTTTCTTTATAAAATACCCAGACTCAGGTATTCCTTTGTAGTAACGTAAATGGCCTAACGCAGAAAATTGATATCAAGGAGTGGGGCATTGCTATAAAAATACCTGCAAATGTGAAAGAAACTTTGGAACTGGGTAATGGGCAGATTTTAGAAGGGTTTGGAGGGCTCAGAAGAAGGCAGGGAGTGGAGGGAAAGTTTAGAACTTCTTAGTGACTAGTTGAATTGTTGTGACCAAAACACTGACAGAAATATGGATAGTGAAGGCCAGGCTGATGAAGCCTTAGATGGAAATGAGGCATTTATTGGGAACTGGCATAAAGGTCACCTGTGTTACACACTGGCTGAGATCTTGACTGGATTATCTTTATGTAATAGGGATCTATGGAAGTTTGAACTTAAGGGTGATTACTTAGGGTATCTGGCAGAAGAAATTTCTAAGCAGCAAAGTGTTTAAGAAGTAATCTCTCTGCTTCTAACAACCTATGATCAGATATGGGAGCAAAGAAATGACTTAAATTTGGAAATTATTTTTAAAAGGGAAGCAAAGGGTAAAAGTTTGGAAAATTCACAGCCTGGCCATGCGGCAGAGAAAGAATCCAAGCAGGCAGTGGAGGAACCCCTTGCGAGAAAAATTAGCATGACTAAAATGGAACCCAGGGGTATTATCCAAGACAATGGACAAAAGGCCACAAAGTCATTTCAGAGATCTTAGAGACAGCCCCTCCCATCACAGGCCCAGAGACCTACTAGAAAAGAATGGTTTCATGGGCCAGGCCCAGGACATCACTGCCCTGCTGCACTGTCCCAGGACTGCTAGGCCTAGGACACTGCTTAATGCATCCTGGGTGCTTCAGCTGGAGCCACACCTCAAAGGGCCCTAGGTACAGCTTGGGCCGCTGCTCCACAGGGCATAAGCTATAAGCCTCAGCAGTTTCCACATGGTGTCAGATCTGCAGATGCACAGAATGCAAGTATAAAGAGGCTTGGCCACTTCTCCCTAGATTTCAGAGGATATATGGAAAAGCCTCGATGTCCAGGCAGAAGCCTGCCACAGGGGCAGAACCTTCACAGAAAAACCTCTACTAGGGCAGTGCAGAGGGAAAATGTGGAGTTGGAGCCCCCACACGGAGTCCCCACCAGGGCACTGCCTGGTGTTGCCAGTGTTGTGGAAATGAGGCCACTGCCCTCCAGGCCCCAGAATGGTGGATTTATTGGCAGCTTGTACCCTGCACCTGGAAAAGCCATAGGCACTCAGTTCCACCCTGTGAGAGAGACACAAGGGCTGCACCACAGGCGTAGAGTTATGCCAGGTCTTGGGATCCCACCCCTTGTACCAGAGTTCCTTGGATGTGGGACATTGAATCTGGGGAGACTATTTTGTAGTTTTAAAATTTAATGACTTCCCTATTGGGTTTCAGACTTGCATGGGGCCCACTGTCCCTTTTTTTTGGCTATTTTCTCTCTTTTGGAATCATAATTTTTACCTAATGTCTGTACTAGAATTGTATGTAAGGAGTAAATAACTTGTTTTATAATTTTACGGTTTCATAGGTAGAAGGAGATAAGTCTCACTTGAGACTTAGGACTTTGGACTCAATGCTGGAATGAGTTAAGACTGTTGGGGATTATTGTCACGGACGACGATATTTTGCAATGTCAAAAGGATATAAGATTTGAGGGGCTATGGGAAGAATGATATGGTTTGTATGTTTGTCCCCTCCAATTCTCACGTTGAAATATGATTTCCAATGTCCCCTCCAATTCTCATGTTGAAATATGATTTCCAGTGGAGGTGAGGCCTGGTGGGAGGTGTTTGAGTCTTGGGGGAAGATTCCTCATGAATAGCTTGTTATTGTCCTTAAGACAGTGAGTGAGTTCTCATGGGATCTGGCTGTTTAAAAATGGATGACTCATTTCCTTCTCTCCCTTGCTCCTGCTCTTGCCACATAACATGCTGGCTTTCTGTTGTCTTCCACCGTGACTGAAAGATTCCTCAGGCCTTCACCAGAAGCTGAGCAGATGTTGGCACCATGCTTCTTGTACATTCTGCAGAACCATGAGCCAATTAAACCTCTTTTCTCTATAAATTACCCAGCCTCAGGTATTGCTTTATAGTGATACAAAGGGCCTAATAAAGAGACTTAATCAGATCTAAAGAAGGAAATGTATCATTACAAAATTTAAAATGTCTGATCATATGTAGGACTCTCTTGTCAATTATTGCTCTGTTTAGCGAGATGAGTTTATTTTCAAATTTTTGAGTTATGTGTCTCTGTGCTGATGTTTAGAGGGAACAAAGGGAAAGATCTGAATTTGTCATTTGAACTAATCTTTATTAAGGTACCACTTATTTTGTGGTAGAAATTGTCAGACATTAGGACTTACCAAAAAGGTATACCTAAGAGGAAACATTCCCCACCAGAAAAGGTCTTAATCATCACAGGGTGCACCTCTCCAATTAGGGTGGCATAGCAAGTGACAGCTACATACGCTTGAGACAATAAAGATTATGCTGCATGCTTTCCAAGTAACAGTGAATTTATTTTTATATTTGTCCTGCACGGAAATGATGAACACTACATTACTAATTCTAAATTAGCATCTAAAATGACAATACAAATCACTAAACATATAGTCATAAATATGATATATAGGACCACCTGTAACAGGGTGCTTACTTTCTAATTAAGGCACAATAGCCATTGGTTAATTTCCAGAATCCATTAGACTTTTGTACATATCAGATTGGGCTATCGTACTCTGACAAAAATTGTTAAGGTATGCATGCATCCGTAAATACTTACAGGAGAGTCACCACTTAAATTTTCTCTTCAGATAAACTATATCTTTATGTCAGTACCTGTTAAATAAGTCTTGATAATTGAAGTGACTCCTGATTGCAGATGTACTCAAATATAACACTGCCTCTGTTTTGAAGGTACATGAAACACCCACCACTATGATAAATTTTGCAATTAGTACTAATGAAAGTTAACATTAGCACACACTGGAAACATTGCCTGGATCTCATTTACTTATGTGGTCTTTGATTCAAGTTGTGGATAAAGAACATGGTAGCCCCCCTACACACATTTTATTGTCCAGAGACTATTATCACTTGAGTATTAGTGTTCAAATGCCTTAAGAACGTGTGTAATCTCTTCTTTCAATGTATGGTTATGTAAAACAATTATACAGCATTTATTGTGTGTGTGTATTTGTTTTTAATTTAGTAAAATACTTTTGATACATATCTGTGTTTTGTGTATATCTGAAGTTTGTTAATTTTTTTTTCTGAGTAGAATTATCATTATATCATGCATTGTATGGATATACTACAATTTGTTCATCCAGTCACATATTGATCAAAATTGTTCCAAATTTTATACAATTTTTAACAAAGCTGCTATAAAGATTTGCATACAAGTGTTTGCATGGACATTTCTTCTCATAATTTTTGGTGAATAAGCTAGTTGTAGAATTGGTTTGTCATATGGTAAGTTCATGTTTAAATTTATGAGAAACTCAGAGTCTTCACCAAAATAATTGCTTCATTTTATATTCTCATTCATAGCTTATGAAAGTTTCAATTGTTTCCTATGTATCTAAAATTTGATATTTTTAGTTTTTTAATTTTAGCCATGTTAACTATACATAGAATTATGTATGTAATTTTTAGTGATATTTATTTATATTTATTGGATGATTAATAATGTTGATATTTTCTGTGCTTATTGGCCCAAATTTTTTTGTAAATATCTGCTCATCTCTTTTGTCAAATTTTGAATTATGTGTCTTATTTTCAAGTTGAATTTGTGTTTGTGTGTGTGTGTATATGGATAGAATACCTATTTATTGTCAGAAGCATTTACTGTGCAAATTTTTCCAGATTGTGAATTTTATTAAAGTATCTTTCAAAGATCAATTAAATTTTAATTTCTTTGGAATCTAATTTATCATTATTTTACTTGTATGTTTTATGTTTTCAGTGTCCTAAAATTCTACCCTAAGATCAAGAGATTTCTTCATACATTTTTTACTACAAGTTTTATAAATTTACTTTAACGTGTTTCCCGTCTATCATCTAAGCCTGAGGTCAGAGTGGAGGTGCATTAAAAATATGTAGCTAAAAAGATATCAAGTGATTCCGGATTTTTTACATTACATTACATTACATTACATTACATTACATTACATTACATTACATGTTGAAGCATGTAACAATTTCTATAGCTTATCTACTGTTTTAATAGCAAATTACTCCCAAAATTAGTAGCTTAAAAGAACACACATTTATTATCTAATAATTTCTGTGGATAAGGGGTCAAGGCATAACTTAGCTAGATTCTCTGCTTCAGGCTCTCTACAAAATGTCAATTAAGATGTTGGCCCAAACCAGGTGTTGGTGGTGCCTCACACCTACAATCCCAGCAACTAGGAAGGTGGGAGGATGGCTTGAGGCCAGGAGTTCGAGACCTACCTGAGCAACATAGCAAGAACGTCTCTACCAAAAAACAAAATTAGCCAGTAGTGGTGCCTTGCACCCCTAGTCCCAGTTAATCAGAAGGCTGAGGCAGGATGATTGCTTGAACCCAAGAATTTGAGGTTGCAGTGGGCTATGATCAAGTTACCACACTCCAGCCTGGGCAACAGAGTGACATCCTGTTTCAAAAAAGAAAAAAATTGGATCTCATTTGAACACTTCAAGCCACTCCCAAGCTCTCTTATGTGACTGTGTGAGAATTCCATGGCTCAAGGTTTGCTGTAATGATGGTGGATGGTGATGGCCGTGGCTGGGTGTCTCTGCAGCCTGCACCCTCGGGTGCCCCAGGAAGGATGCTAATCCCTGCAGGCTCGGGGGTGTTGGCCTGACCTCTCTCCATTCCCAGTGCCTACTCTAATCTCCAAGAGGGAGATGGGGCCAAGCCTGGGGGTCATGAATGGCAGCTGGAGGCAGATTGATTCCTGAATGAAAGGGGCTCGTCCCCAGTAAGGCCCCACCTGTGAGCCAGGAAGGACCTGAATGATCCGGGCCAAGCTGCCAGTCCTGCAGACCAGAGTGGGAACTCTCATTGCTTCTTCCAGCCCGCCCATGGCAGCATGGAGTATCCTCTCTGCTGATAGCTGGAGACAATGGGACAATGAAAGCTGCAGAGAGGAATACCTTATCTGCTGAGAGTTGCAGAGACAACCTGCTGGCAGAGAGGAGCTATGCTCTCTACTGAGAGCTTAAGAGACCTGCAGAGACTTTGGAATGACTTACAGAGAGGAGCTACACCCTCCAGGTTCTCCTCTCTGCTGAGAACTGAATACTAGATGAGGCTACCTGCCTACAGAGAGGAGCTACCCACTCCTCTGGCCTGTTCTGACACTAAATAAAACATTTCTTCTTCATCACCCTTCACTCTTCTTCTTCTTCACCCTCCACTCGTCTGCTACCTCATTCTTCCTGGATGCAGGACATCATTCTTCTTGGATGGAGGACAAGAACTTGGGTAAAGGTGCAGCAGACACAGAGGTTTCAAGCCAGAAAAATCGATGCCCTAGAGATCTTGTAACAATGGCTTTGTTTGTTACTGGCTTTATCTAAGCATAAAGTTAGAGTTCATTCTCAATAGCTTGTCATGTGGGGGTCTCCACTGGACAGCCAACAACATGGCAGCTTTCCTCATCAAAGCCAGTAAAGGAGTCAAGACAAATTGAAAGCTCTTTGTTTTCTCCCCCTCAAGAGGGTAAGAGGTTTCAGTGAAAACTGGAAAACCTAGGTAAATTCTAACAGAACTGTAACACCTATAATCTAATCTTGGAAATGACACCCATTGACTTTGTCACAGTCTGTTGGTTAGAAGCAAGTCACTCAGTTCATCCCCTGTTTAAGGTAAGTGAATTACACAGGGTTGGGAATATAAAATATAGAGTTTATTTGGCTCCATTTTAGAAATTTTCGTATATCACATCCTCATTAAATTATCTTCAAATTTTTAATGAAAACCAATTGATAATATATATGTCTGTTTCTCAATATTTCATTTTGTTCCATTGATCTGTAAGCCAATGTTTTTGTCAGGGCCACAATAGCTTTATTATGGAAGATTTGTAGTAAATCATTTGTAGCAATCTGGTAGTATCAGTCCTCAATTTTAATATTTAATAAAACTTAGCTATCCTTCAGTGCATTGTATTGCCATATGTATTTTATAAACAGCTTAATAAAATCTTCAAGAATAGCCTGTTAAGATGCTAACTGATTTTCTGGGACCAAACATTTGTGGCAGACTTGTCAGATCATAGGATACAACACAATAATTTTATATGTGGATAGGAACACTCAACCCTAGAAGAAAGTTTTAATCATCCCAGAAAGCATTCCAAAAAGTAGTAGAAGATGGCATGTATTAGTCAGATTTTGTGAGAAAAAATGATGAAGAAGTTATCTTAAATATATATACTAACTTGAGGACAATTTTGAGTCTTCAAATCCATAAATTTGGCACATTACTCCATTTATTTAATTCATTTGTATTTGTTCTCTACAATGTGTTGTAGTGTTCAGTGTAATGATCTTGAAAATATATAACATTAGATTTAAGCATGCCATGTTTATGCTATTGTGAGTGATACTAATACTAATTTAAATAGAATTCAGTTTTCAATTTTTTAAGTTATATAAAAATATGGTTGACTTTTGTATATTGACTGCATATCTTGAGACCTTTCAAAATTAATGTATTTCTCATTAATGTCATGGAATTTTTTTTACAAATATATGTCATCTAAGAATAAAGTCAGTTTAGCTTCTTACCTTCCAATTTGAATGGATTTTATTTTTTTTCTGCGTTATTGTACTGACTAGAACCTAAAGTAAAACATTCAATAAAAGCAGTGAGAAAAGATATACTTGTCTTATTCCCAATCATAGGGAGAAATTATTGAATGTTCCTCAGTTGAATAGAAACTACAGGTTTTATTATGTGTGTGGGGATACCCTGCACTAGATAGAGAAATTTGACCTGTTATTTTACTGTTTGTATCTTGAATAGGCATTTATTTTAGTCAAATGCATTTTCTTGCATTTCTTTGATATACACATGATTTTCCATCATTTGATTTACTTTGACTTCTTAAATATATAAACCAATCATAAATTGCTGTGATTAATTTGAATTTGTTTATGATATCTTCAACATTTGATAAGTAGGTGGATTTTTGGTAATAATTGTATTTAGAATGTTGGTATCTATCTACATTCATGAGAAAAATGTCGGTCTTTAATTTTATTTACTTGTAAGACTTTTGTTTGACTTTGATGTCATGTTAATGCTATTCTTAAATTTTATTCTTAAAAATTAGTTGAAGCTTTTTTTATATATTTTATGTTCCTGAATGTATAATTGGTATTATTTCTTTCTTAAATAAATGATAGAATTTACCTGTAAAATTATCTGGGCCAGAAGTATTCATCACAGCAATTTCTTTTTATGAAGAATTCAATTTCTTAACATAAAATGTTAATTTTTTCTACATAATATTTGGCAGCTTGTGCCTTTCAACAGTTTTATTAATTTTATCAAAGATGTACACTTTATTGCCATGAGATCATTTATCCTATTCTTTATTATGTCTTTAATAACTGTATGATATATGGCAAAATCTATTCTTTATTCTTTTTTAAATGATTGTTTTTCAGTTTATGTGAAATTAATATAACAGAAAGTTAACTATCTTAAAATATTAAATTCAGTGGCATTTAATGCATTCCCAATGTTATTCAACAACATCTTCCCTCTAATAAAAAAAAATATCACTCCAGAAAAAATTCTGTATTCATTAAGTAATCACTCCCAACTACCACATCCCTAGCACCGAGCCACCACTCATTAGCTTTCTGTCTCTATGGATTGGCCTAATCTAGATATTTTACATAAAAGGAGTCATATATGTGATATTTTCTATCTGCCTTCTTGCCCTTAGTATAATATTTTTAAGGTTCACTCAAGTTGTAGCATGTCATTCATTTTTATAACAATAATATTTCATTGTATGTATATACCACAATGTGTTAATCCATTTGTCCATTGATGGATATTTGGGTATTTTCCACCTTTTAACTATTATAAGTAATGCTGCTGTTAACATTGGTGTACAGGTTACCGTGTGAACATATGTTTTCATCTTTCTTGCACATACCTGGAAGTGGAATTGCCAAGTTCCATGGTCATTCAATGTTTAACTTTTTACAAAACTGTCAACGCATTTTCCACCATGCCTACATCATTTAACATTCCCATCAACAATGTAGGAGGGTTTCCATTTTTCCACATCCTCACCAATACTTTTTTATTTTTTATTTTTTTCTAATTTTATCTTTATTATAGTCATCATAGGGATGTGTGAAAGAGAATAAAATCTTGGGACTGCAAACTCACTATGTCGAAGAGATAGTTAAGCTTGGTAACTGAGTCATGCAGTACTGCCTTCTCCAGATAGCTGTAATTTCACAATGACATAGTCTTACCTTATGCCTAAGCCAGGTACTCAAAGGGATAGAAAGTCATATACCTTCCCCAGATGGCCTCTCTCACACATTATTCACAAATAAATTCCTTGTGAGCCCGTAAGTCTGCCAGGATAAATATTCCTCTATAAACCAGTTCTAAGTCAGAGTTCTGTTAAATCTCAAACTGATTATATGTTGATTATGAGCTTATCCTCACAGATACAGAACAAGGGCAGGGTCAGAAATCATCCTTCTGTGTACCTTGAGATGGAAGCATAATTGACTTTTTCTTCTACTTTCTCTTTTCATCTTCCCTTATCTTGTGTAAAATGTAAATTCACTGAGCACTTATTAGATCCTTACTAGAAAGTAACCATTTGCCTCACTGTCTTCTCTCTCTCCCTTTTCTCTACACTGCTCCTTCTTTCCCCTTTAAATACTGAGTTCCACAAACCATATACGGAAAAGCACAGGTAACAAATGTGACATGTGTTTTTCCCAGGTGCATCCTCAAACTTTAGTTCAATAAACATCTATTGATTGAGACTCCCATCTTAGTCACTTTGTGGCTAACAGGTGTAAAGCAGTATCTTACTGCGGTTTTGATTTGCATTCTTTTAATGATCAATGATGATAAACATCTTTTAATGTGCTCATTGTTTATTTTATATTTCTTTTGGAGTAATGTCTATTTGATTTCTTTGTATTTTTTAGTTGAACTGCTTGCCTTTTTGTTGTTGAGTTGTAAGAGTTATTCATACGTTCTGAATACTAAACCCTTATCAGATATATATATTGCACATATTTTATCTCATGTTGACTTTCTTGATTGTGTCTTTTGATACCCAGTGGTTTTTTAATTTGATGAAGTTTAATTTATCATTTTTTCTTTTGTTACTTATGCTTTTGTTGCTGAATTGGCAAGTCATTCTCAAATATAAGGGGGTAACGGTTTATTCTAATATATTCTTCTATTAGTTTTATAGTTTTAGCTCATATATTTAAGTAATTAATCCATTTTGAGTCAATTCTTTGTGTACAAGTGAGGTAGCGGTCCAATCACTTTTTTTTTTTTTTTTTTTTTTTTTGAGATGGAGTCTCACTCTGTCACCCAGGCTGGAGTGCAGTGGCATGATCTCGGTTCACTGCAAGCTCCACTTCCTGGGTTCATGCCATTCTCCTGCCTCAGCCTCCCGAGTAGCTGGGACTACAGGCGCCCGCCACCATGCCCAGCTAATTTTTTTTTGTATTATTTTAGTAGAGATGGGGTTTCACTGTGATAGCCAGGATGGTCTCGATCTCCTGACCTCGTGATCCACCCGCCTTGGCCTCCCCTAGTGCTGGATTACAGGCGTGAGCCACTGCCCCCGGCCCCAACCACATTTTTTTTTTAATGTGGTAATCCAGTTGTCTTAACATCATTTGTTGAAAAGATTTCTCTCCTTACTGAATGGCCTTGGTACCCTTATCAAAAATCAGTTTGTTTAGGTTTATTTCTAGACTGTCAGTTCAGTTTTACTTGTTGATATGTTTATCCTTATGTCATTACCACAGTGTTTTGATTACTCTAGCTTTACAGTAAGTTTTGAAATTGAGAAATATAGATTTACCAACTTTGGCTTTCTTTTCCAAGATTATTTTGGCTACTTGGAGTCCCTTCAAATTTCATGTGTATTTTAGTATATTTTTTCCTACTTCTGCTTAAAATGACATTTGGGTTTTGGTAGGAACTGCAGTGAATCTCTCCAATACTGCTTTTGTAAATGTTTGATTGAATTTTTCCACTGTACCATTTGACTCCTCTTTTATTATCTTTTTTGTTTTTTAAGTTTTTTTTTAGTGGTTACCTTGGAGATTGCAGTTATCATACCAAATTTATACGTCTATTTTTAATTGATACCAATTTAGCTTAAACAGAATACATTCACTCTGTTTCTATCCAGCTCCATGCCCCCTTATGTTGTTATTGTCATAAATTTACATTTTATACAACGTTTGTCCATTAGCATTGACTTATAATTAGTGTTTAACACATTTATCTTTTAAATGAAATAGTAAAAAAGGATGAATTACAAACCCAAAATATAATATTACCTTTTATATTTGTCATTGTGGTTACCATTACATGAAATCTTATTTGTATTTTTTTGTTTTCATTTATTTAATTATTTTCTTCTTGGGATGGAGTCTTACTCTGTCGCCCAGGCTGGACTGCAGTGGGGTGATCTTGGCTCACTGCAACCTCTGCCTTCCAGGCTCAAGCAATTCTCCTTCCTCAGCCTCCTAACTAGAATTACAATCGCATACCAGCATGCCTGACTAATTTTTGTATTTTTGGTAGAGAGAAGGTTTTACCATGTTGGCCAGGCTGGTCTCAAACTCCTGACCTCAGGTGATCCACCTGCCTCAGCCTCCCAAAGTGCTGGAATTGCAGCCATAAGCCACTACACCAACCTGTATTGTTTTAAACAACAAATCTTTGTTTCAATGCATATGAGGTGCTTTTTATTTTTTTCTTTGCTTGCATTTAAGATTTTCTGTTTGTTAAGATTTGGTGTAGATTGCTATATGTTTTTTTTTCTTCCTTTGGGTTTATTGAGCTTCTTGGGTAAGTCATTATTAGAAATTAAATTTTTGTGTATCAGCAAAATTAACATTTTGAAATCTAATCCCCATTGTGATGGTGTTTAGAGGTGAGGTGTTTGGGAGGTAATGAAGTCATGGTGGTGAAGCTCTCATGAATAACATGAGTGAGTGTCTCATAAGAAGAAGTTAAAGAGCTAGCTTGCTGTCTTTCTACTACATGAGGATACATTGCAAAGTCAGCAATCTACAACTGGAAGAGTGCCCTCACTAGAAACTAACCATGTTGGTATCCTGATCTCAGACTTGTAGCCTCCAGAATTGTAAGAAATAAATTTCTATGATTTATAAGCCACTCAGCCTATGATGCTTTACTCTAGCAGGCTAAAATGGCTGACAGTGATTTTAAAGATTCACTGACATCTAAGAATGTTTGGCTATTATTTTCTAAAATATTTTTGTAATTATGCCCAATTCATCTGTATAAATTGGTGATTCCAAAAACGTGTGTGTTTTCCCACTTGAAATTGTTTCCAAACTGATGATATA
Organism: Homo sapiens; assembly: GCF_000001405.40. NCBI lineage: Eukaryota > Metazoa > Chordata > Mammalia > Primates > Hominidae > Homo > Homo sapiens. Next base: position 64,765,931 of record NC_000004.12, read on the forward strand.
TTATTTTAATTTTAGACATTTTCTATGTTTCATTTTAGTTAATTTCTTTGGTCATGTCTTCAAGTTCACTCTCTTTTTTTTGCAACAGGTAATTTACCATTAAGTGAATTCACTGTATTTTTTCTCACACATTAGAGTTTTTACATCTAATTGGTCACTTGTGACCCTTTAAGCATATCCTCCTCAACTTGACTAACGTTTTTAATATTTCCCATACGTTTAATATTTCCCATACGTTTTTAAATTTATATGATATAGTAATAATTAATGTTAAAGTTTCCAAACTTTAACTAAATCTATATCTACTAAATCTATAACTGTACAATTTCTGAGTTAGTTTATAGAATGGTTTTATGAGTTGAATTGTGACACTCCCCCCTGCGGAAAAAAAAAAAATGTATGTTGAAGTCCTAACTTTCAGAACCTCAGAATGTGACCTTATTTGGTAATATGATTATTGTATTAATAGATGTAATTAGTTAGGATGGGGTTATACTGGAGTAGATTAGGCCCCGAGTTCAAAATTAATTCTGTCCTTGGGAGAAAATGGCCATGTGAATACAAAGAGAGGACACTATATGAAGCTGAAGGCAGAGATTGGAGTGATGAGTCTACAAGCCAATGAATGCCAAAAATTACAGATCATCATGAGAAGGTGGAGGAGAGACATGGAACATTACCAATACCCTGATTTTATATTTCTGACATCCAGAACTCAGAGGCAATACATTTCTATTATTTTAATTCACCAAGTTTGTAGTACTTTGTTACAGCAGACCTGGAAAATTAATAAAATTGGCTTTACCCCTTATTATGTATTGTATTTTGCTGATTCCTCATTTTTTTAAAGATATGAGGTCTGGTCTTATTTACTTCTGTATTATTATTAATATTGAGACAGAGTCTTGCTCTGTCACCCAGGCTGCAGTTCAGTGACACAATCTTGGCTCACTGCAACCTGTGCCTCCTGGGTTCAAGTGATTCTCCTGCCTCAGGCACCCAAGTAGCTAGGACTACAGGTGTACAGCACCACGCCTGGCTAATTTTTATAATTTTAGCAGAGACAGGCTTTTACCATGTTGGCCAAGCTGGTCTCGAACTCCTGGCCTCAAGTGATTTGTCCGCCTCAGCCTCCCAAAGTGTGGGGTTACAGGTGTGAGCCACCACTCCTGGCCTTTATTTATTATTATTAAAATATCTTATTTTTGTGTTGGACTCAGACTTACAAGTAGAAGCTGTTAAAGAGGTCAGCCTGTGTCTTTTCGCAATTGGTAATGGCATTTTTCTTTGGTCTCCTTCATTCTCTTTGGCCTCCTTCATTCTCTTTGCCAAAAATTTACTATAATCTGTGACTTTTTCCTTATTTTTCTTTGTAAGCTATTTCTCCAGTGCAATCTGGTGTTTGTGTTACAGGACATGTGGCGTAACATAATGTGGAATCTTGGACGCTTTGGTCTTAGGTATCTTACCTTCTTTGCTCAAGGTCTTTCCCACAACATATTGGCAGACATCCTCTTCTTTGGAAAGATGAAAAAAGTTTACAGATTCTGCTAGGTCTTTTGGACCCCAGCTGATGAGGTATTGTAGTATTATTCAGTACAGGAATATATTTCTCTTCCTTTTTTTACAATAACCAAATTGAGAACACTCAGATTAGCACCAACAATTCAACTCCAAACAGATTTTTACTTTCTTTAGCCAATTCTTCGGAATCTATAACAAAAATGTTCCTTACTCAATAGCAGATGAAGATGGCCATAGGTCAAGGCACAGTGTTTCATGTGGAAACCTCACTTGTCATTCTCATTACTGATTCAGACCACATAACCCTTCCGTTTTTCACCCAGAGTAACAGCAGCAACTTCTATGGCTTTATGTTAATCATAAAAAGTACAACATTTATGTTCACTATCCATGTCAGTGAGTTTCTGGCAGCCAGTGGCTGGGAAGAAAATATTCAGCTTCATCTTGAAGCAACTGATCACCTCTGAGGTGCTAAGAAAAAAAGATCTTTCTTATGGATTTTATTTTGCTAATTCCTAATTTTTGATTGGAGGTCAGACATTGCAAATTTTCCTCTGTTGGGGGCTGAATATTTTTGTATTCCTATCATATTAGGATTTTATTGTGAGACATGGACAGTTACTTGGAAACAGTTTGATGTTTTAGCATCTTGTTTTAATCTTTGGTAGATGGGTTCAGAAATACATTTAGTCTAGGGTTTCTTTTTTCCTGATTACTAAGAGAAGACCATTACATTAAACTACTCCCTGAATTATGAGTTTTTCTACTTTGTGCTGTTGGAAGGAGGCACTATTCTTCACCCTTTGCATACCCCAAGCAATGTTGCCATAATCCTGTTAGATAGTTTTTTTCTCAGCCTTGAATATTTTACTCACACAAGTGTTGTGTATTAGTCCATTTTCACACTGCTGTAAAGAACTGCCTGAGACTGGGTAATTTAAAAAGAAAAGAGGTTTAGTTGACTCACAGTTCTGCATGGCTGGGGAGGCCTCAGGAAACTTAAAATCATGGTGGTGGGTGAAGGAGAAGCAAGTACCTTCTTCACAAGGCGGCAGGAGAGAGAGAAAGCACAGGGGAAACTGCCACTTTTAAAACCATCAGATCTCGTGAGAACTCCCTCACTATCACGAGAACAGCATAGGGGAAACCACCTCCATGATCCAATCACCTTCTACCAGGTCCCTCCCTCAATACTTGGGGATTACAATTTGAGATGAGATTTTGGTGGGGACACAGAGCCAAACCATATCATTTGGTAAGCAGTACTTAACTGAACATTCCCTGGAATTTTCTCTCCTGCAGTTCTCTCTTATTTGTGAACTTTCACCAGTTTTTGTCTGGCCACATGTCTCCAACAGACTAGCCAATGGTTCTTTGCATTGTTACTGATTTCCAAAAGCAACAAGCAAAAGAGGACAAGCCCTATTGTACAAGCACTCTTTGAGCCTCTTGGGTCACTTTTGCTACAATCCCATTGGCCTAAGCAAGTCACATGGCTAAGCCCAGAGTTAATGAATGAGGAGATTAAATTAGTGAATAGATGGAGAGAGAGGTGATTTATTAGAGGCCATTACAATAATAGTCTATCACACAGTAATTATAATAGCTGAATAACAAGTTCCAGAGACTATATTTATTTAATCCAATAAAAAGACCACATCTGGAATAGCAGCTGCAATGGAAGATACCATCTGGTATGACGTACATTACTTTTCTCTTCTCCCAAGACTCATCTGTCTTTTGCAGATATCAAAAAAGAAATTTTAAATTGAAGGTATAGTGTAATGGGAATCACCACCTCTGCTTTTTCATAGTTTTCCAGGTGGTAATAATCTCTATAATACCAAAAGTGATATAGTCTTGCATTTGGATTACTATTTTTATAAAAGAGGGTGCTCCAAATATATCTAATAAAATAAACATTTAGATTGTTAGAAAATTTATCATTTTACTTATAAAAAATTTTACTCATTGTAGTTTCCAAACATAGATTTTAGGTACAAACTTTCATGAAGTGTAGAAAATTTAAGTTCTTCTTTCAATAACATATGTCAGGTATCTCAAACTCTTTAAACCTATGCTCACTTTCAATAATCAATAACAATAAAAATCTTCTGAGTCATTTTATTAGCATCTTAAATTTCACAATATGTTAGTATGATGAAAAATTATAAATTCGATATATTTCTTATTCTATTTCCAGTTTTAAAAGCACTTTTAAGAGGAATACATGCTTTGTTCTCCTCCTGTTAAAACCATTTACTTAAATGTTTGAATGTTGCTGTTGTATCTTTAGAACTCTTTTCCTCTTGAGGATAATATCTATTTCTCAACCATTCTCAATGTCAGGGGTATCATTCCTGTCCTAATACTTAAATGTACTCTGCAAATATGTTCTTTTCCCTGTTTTGTGACAAAGGAATCTGAAATAGAGTTTGTACTCAACTTTGCCCTGAAATCAGCCATAAAAACTTAAGGTAAATATAAAATATAAAGTAAATATGAGAGGTAAAACTTTACTGCTACACTCTTAGGGTCCCTGACTTGGCCCAAAAATTAAATAGGCATGAGATAGATTAAAAGGACAAAAGCATACCAATTTAATATTAAGTTTTATGTGACATAGAAGCCCTCATAAGGAAATGAAGACCAAAGAAGTGGGAAAATCCATATGATTTTATATTAGATTGATCAAAGAGAGGGAATTACAGAAAAGTAACTAAATTATATGGGGAAGCTAAAGGAAGATAAGAATTATTTTAACATGGTCTTTTTGTATAGAGTTTTCTCAGCTATGACTCCCCATAGAAGAATGTTTCTTTTCTCCTGGTACAGGGAGGGTGTCTTTCATATGGGAGTTTTTATCTCCTGTAGGCAAGAAAAAATAGTAGATTAAAATATTCTGTTTAAATCTTCTGTTTTTCAAGTGCCTTTGGCTCAAAATAATCCTTATACCAAAGTGGTATATTCTGGACGGCTTCAGAAGCCTGAATACAATGCAAAATTCAGGCTATTCTGTAAGTAGTAACAATTAAAGTTTTATGAATGAATGAAATGCAATATCTTTTAGAGAATAAGAAGAATGAGAAAAGAAAGCTGAAAACTGAAGTCTAAAGAATTGGTGAAGAAGTCTGAGAGACAACTCTGACGGACAGGGTGAAGTAGTAGCATATTGTGTAAACAAAGATGTAGGGAACCTTTAAACAGACTTGTATAGCCAAGGTAAATGAGGTCATATAGACCCCAACAGACTTCCAATTTGAAGATTTCTTACATCAGAGCATTTTTCAAAACATAGCTATGTATCTTTAGATGTACTTGTAAATTTGACGTTTGTTTCCAAGTTGCTGTTAAATTAAGCATCAAAAAGAAAGAAGTATTTTATTACTTCATTTATGGAAGGTGCATTGAATATATTTAAATGCTCATAATTTTTAAATCATATTATACATATACTTTTGTATTGCAATTCTAGTGAAAAACTATTCACTCAACATTTAAAAAAGAGACAAAATAGGATCCTTGGTTTTCCCATAGTTAATAAGTTCAGCAAAATTTTATTTTTTGGGATCTTTCATAAATAATAATAATAACACACCATGTATTTGTGTAGCTCAAAAACTTTTAAATACAAGTTTATAACATTGATATATATTATTTTAGCTACAAAAGCCGCCTTGGAAATTGTTAAGCATAACCACTTCTTTTTTTCAGATGAGAAAAACCAGAACATGATACAGTTTCCTGTAACACCTCTGGTAACTAAGCCTTAAACTGGACATGGATGTTGCTCCATGGACTACAACCTCTCTTGTTTTCACTGCATCAGTGACACTATTAGGCCAAACATATTTCTGGCTATTTTTATTACTTCGGAAATGTTCATCTGGTGACTCAGCAAAAACACTAATTATCTCATCTTCTTTCCCCATTTTGGAGAAGGACAAATTGAGAATTGACCATTCAAGAAAGATATAATAATAAAATAGAAATAAAAGTGCATAAGGATTTTCTTCATTTTCTAGAGCCCTTTCATGACAAAATGTTTTCAATTAAAGATGAGTTAAATCAAAAGAATGGAAGAAATTAAACGAGACGCTTATTTTTTAACACCTGCTAACAGGTGCTAAAATCTGTTTGAATTCTCTGAATGATGATTTCTGTAGCCAAAATCTCATTATCATAAAACCCAAGATCAAAAAGACTGTGAAATACTGAGGCTGATTTAGTTTTCAAATGCAAAGCAGCAGCTGGATTAAAGCAAAAGGCTACTGGAAGAACCTGGAGAGACACAACTGACATCTTTAGTCATCGGGTGCACTCTCAGACAATGAACAGACTGATTGGACATACAGAAATGGGAAAATTCATCATGTTCTTATTCTAATAAGTTTCATTTCAGGAAACTGATGAACGGCAAGCTGCAGCAGGTTATTCTTTTACTCAGCAAAGAAAATACAGAGGTGATTGATACTGGGAGGACATAGGTAGAAACAAAATGCTTTTGTTAAGATTATATTTACTCTAAAATAATGCCATATATAAAAGTTTTATCCAAGAAAAGTTCTTGTACAATACATATATATCTATATTTACATATAAATATATATGTATGTCTACATAAATGTAGATACATAAGTGTGTACCTGTATAGCTACATGAAATACATATTCATATATACCTATATATGTATGTACATGTATATCTACATAACATACATATGCATATGTACAAAAAAAGGTAATTGAAACAAAAAATGCTTTTTCAAAAGTTGAGATTGATATACTCTCAGCTTTGATAAAAGTCTAATATAAAATATACTATTAAGGAAAAAATTCACTCTACCTCAAAAGAGTTTTTAAATGCATTCTCCATTATGCCACACAATATTCTAATGATCACCTTTCAATTTACTGCTAAGAGGATTCTTTGCCTCTTTAAGCAGGAACAATTCTATTGAAGTATAGAATGTCTTAGGAACAAAGTACACATAGCTACTTAAAAAGAAAGAGAGAAAGAAATTAAAGCTGCTGCTCCCTGTAATTGCAAGCTCAAGTATTATTGTTATTATTATAGTTGTTGTTGTTTTCTGGTTCTGGATCTTGTTATTTAAAATAAAAGAATGAATTCTGCACAGCCCAGGAAGTAATAAACAAAGTGAAAAGACATCCCATGGAATGGAAAAAAATATTTGCAAACTATCCATCTGACAAGGGATTAATAACCATAATATATATGGGTAAGATAAAAGAGATTTTTGGCACTGTAAGAAATGGGGCACACACACATCTGTAAGTATCAATTATTATTATTAATGTTTATTAAAAATGTGGAGACTATACTAAAAGTGATTAATTTTTAGGCCTTTACTAAATTTTGTAGACATAAAATTGTTTTTTCTCCATTAGCTGTTGTTTTTATGTGCCTAATATTGCCTAATAATTGCTGTTTTGTTTTCTAAAAATATATACTGCATATATATTATAAACATATGAAATAAAATATACATATTTAACAATAAAATAGTATGTACTCTGCAGAAAACATAAGAAAATGCCAGAAAGGGCAGATTTTCTAAAATCACTAACTACTCTACTCAGATAAAGATTTTCACGGTTAAAACATGTGACATATATCTACAGTTATTTTTTGCATTTTTCCCCATTTAAGCAATAATTCTAAGCTCATATACTGAATAACCATTTTTCTTCAATATTTAAAGAGAAATTTTTCTCATAACCTACTTAATTTTAAATAGATGCATTTCTATTATTTAGAGTTTTCATCCTATATTTTTTCCTATACCAACTACATGCTATGCTATTATGCTTATAGAAAATTTAGAAGCTGATTTCATATTGAGTTGTATAAGTTGTCTTTTCTTCTCCTATTTCAATGTTCCTTGACTGGTGTTATTAGTTATTCTCACATATAAACTTCTCAATCCTTTTATCAACTTTAAAAATTCTGTCTTTTTCCTTTCTGTCTGATTAAACACATTCTCTTGATTTTCTTCATGAAATAGGCATAGATTATTGTAACCATTTCTTTGTCAACCTATGAAACTCAATTAGAGACACCCATATAATTTAACATTTTTATAAGCCATGATAAAAAGTAAAATAAAATAGGTAAAAAGAAGTGTAATAATATATTTGATTTAAACAAATATATCCACAATATTATCACTTTAACACCTAGTTAAGACAAAAATTATTCAGATATTTTACATGTTTTTGTAGCAAGTATTCAAAATTTGGCATGAATTGTATACTAACAGCACTTCCCAATAGGGAATAACCACATTTTAAGTGCCCAATGATCACATGTGGGTAATGGTTACAGTATTGGGCAGCAAGGTTTTAGGCACTGATTATAATAAAACAAAATAAAAGAGGGTGACGTGTGTCTTAGTCTGTTTTATGCTGCTATAACAGAATACAACAGACTCAGTAATTTATAATGAACAGAAATGTGTTTGGCTCTTAGTTCTGGAGGCTAGGAAGTGCAAACCTGGCATCTGGTGAGGATCTTCGCATCACATCATCACATGGTGAAAGGTGGAAGGGTCAAGAGAGGGCAGGAGCTAGAGCAAAAGATTGAATATGCAGTCTCAGAACTTTCATAATCAGCATTAATTCATTTATGAGGGTGGAGCGCTTGTGACCCAAACATCTATCATTAGTCCCCACCACCCAACACTGTTGTATTGCGGATTAAGTTTTTAACACATGCTTTTTGAGGGACACAGCAAAACCATAGCAATACAGAAATTAAACACATATGAAGAAACTAAAATAGGATAACAGGTGGATAGTAACCAGAAGTGTAGAGGCAGGCATTCCCAATCAAATAAAATCTAGTGTAATATCACTGAGAAAAAAAAAAAGGCGTTTAGTAGTTTTGAGAAATAGGAGGTAGGGGTGGGGTGGTCACTGTGGCTGTGGCTGAAATGTGCTGCTAGATGAAATGGATGGATGAAGCAAGGAAAGGTAGTAAAAGCCAGTTCAGTAGGGCCTCCTCAGATTTTATTCTGTTTTCCATGGAGAGCCACAAGAGAGGCATAAGCAGGAAGATTACATGATGTGCTCTGTGATTTAGAAAACAGAAAACCACGTGATGGCTGCTGAGCAATGAATGGACTACAGTGTTGGGAGTGGAAAAGCAGAAGAGAGCTGAGGATAAAGCCAGGGAAACCATTGATGGTCTGTTTCAGTAATCCAGGAGTTAGAGATTCAAAACTTGAAAGGACTGGAATTGGTGAGAAATGGTTGGATTCAGGATATAATTCAGCAATGGAACTTGGACGACTTACGAATAGATTGGTTATAGGTTGTGAAGAGGAAAGATGACACTATGATGACTACTAAGGTAGGAATGCATGTTGATGCTATTTACTGTGGCAAGGAGACTTGGAGAACAAATGTAGAGAGATAAATTAGTAGTTACATTTTGGACGGTTAAATCATTGAATGTCTTTTAGTTGGAGAGGCTATTCAAGGTTATAAGTCAAGGGAAAATGCTAGATTAGAATTTTTTAGTTAGGATTTATGGGCCAATGAATGGCATTTAAAAATAAGGAAACTGATGTGATTATTTATGATGAAAAAAGTATGTTAGACAAGAAAGTGTTTCAGAACCAAGCCATGCTGTAACCTGACATTTAGAGGCCAGGCAATGGAGAAAGAAAGATTCAAGGACAGTGACAAAGAACAGCAAGTAAAGGAGAAAGAAAATAAGCTTTAGGTAATATCAAAAAGTCTAGAGATTTCTGTATTTCAGGGGTTAAGAGTGGCAAACACTAAACTGCTGAGGAGTTAAGAACACTAAATGTGGCTGGGCACAGTGGCTCATGCCTGTAATTCCAGAACTTTGGGAGGCCAACGCGGGTGGATCACGAGGTCAGGAGATCCAGACCATCCTGGCTAACACGGTGAAACCCCGTCTCTACTAAAAAAAAAAAAAAAAAAAAAAAAAAAAAAAAAAAAAAATAGCCAGGTGTGGTGGCGGGTGCCTGTAGTCCCAGCTACTAGGGAGGCTGAGGCAGGAGAATGGCGTGAACCCGGGAGGCGGAGCTTGCAGTGAGCCAAGATCACGCCACTGTACTTAGGCCTGGGTGACAGAGTGAGACTCTGTCACAAAAACAAAAACAAAAACAAACAAAAAAGAACACTAAATGTAAGCATGATCATTGATTTGGGCAAGATGTAGGTTATTGGTGACGTTTACTAATTCAGAAGAGTGTGCTGAAAAGTTAATGAAAAGTGAGGAAGTAAAAAGAGTAAGTGTAGACAGTTTTGTTGATATGTTTCCTATAAAGGAGAGAAGATAATTTGAGCAGGAGATTAGTGGAGGATTAAAAAAAAAGCAAAGTGTTTGATTTGTTCATTAGTGTATTTCTTTAAAATTAGTGATACCGAGACATGTTTACGAACTGTGATTGGTAGAAAAGAATAAATTAACCATGTAGAAGAGAATGGGATAATTGAAGAAGTGAAGTCCTTTAGGGTACAACAGCATATGGGAACCAGGCCTCATATAGAAACAGGAGCACTTCATGATCACAAGAGGGATGACAGAGTACAAGCAGGTAGGTGAAACTGTCATTAAGTTAATTAATTGATGTGGTATTGTATGCATTTTTGTAGGAATTATGTAACAAATTCATCCACTGATACTAAATGGGGAAGACATTTTTTGAAATGTGTAGTCATTCTTGAGAATGGGAAAGGGAATTTCCTGAAGCAGTGATATGATTATCAAGCAGTATTGCTGTGAAATTAGCAGGCATGGCTCTGTAATTTTTCTCCAGTACCGTTGAGCTGCTGTGGATCAATGTGAATCAGCAGATGGCTCAGTATAAACAGTATTGGGCTTTCATCATTGAGTAAAAGGGAAAATGAGGGGCATGGGAGGCCGAGATATTTGCAAAGGCAGTAGAGATCCTCTTCGTTGCATTTCTTCCTTAACCTTACTGTTTTTCTCTTCTGCCCATGAGGTGTCAGTTAGAAGATCACTGACTCTGTAATTCTGCAGCCAGTAGACCGTAATATGATGAATCTTTACTGAACATATTGCTATGTCATGACCCCCGTTATGGAAAAATGTGCCTCCTCAAATTCACATGTCAAAGCCCTAGCACCCAGTGTAGCTGTATTTGGAGATGAGAACTCTACAGAAGCAATTAAAGTTAAATGAGGCCTTAAGGGAGGACCCCTGATCTGATAGAATTAGTGTCTCTATGAGAAAAGACACCACAGAGCTTCCTTTCTCTCTCCCTGTGCACACACTGAGGAAAGTCCACGCAAAACCATAACAAGGAGGTGTATGTCCACAAGCCAAGAAAAGAACCCTTGCCAGAAATGAATTAACCAGCATCTTGATAATGAATGTCCAGCTTCCGAAATCATGAGAAAATAAATTTCTGTAGTTTAAGACACTCAAGTCTGCAGCATTTTGTTATGGCAGCCTGAGCTGACAAACACAGTCCCTTTTTCTCTTCTCTCCCAGAAAGGTCAAAAAGGGTATTTGAGATGGTACCATAACTTGTAGGAGGAAAGCTGAGTTGGCAAAATTTTACAGCATTTCTTTTTGTTATTTTTTCACTGAATCTATTAAAAAAGAGGAAATGGAGCAAAGTTTGAAAACTTTTGATAAAGCTTTTATCCCCCGCCAAAGGTAGTTATCTCCATTTAACAGGTGAGAAAACAAGAGCCTTAGGAAGGTTATAAAATTTGATTAAAGTTATGTGTTGACAACAAAAAACTGAAGTAATGTGTCAGGGGTCTGGGAAATCTTTAAACATGACAGGATTAAAGCTTATGCTAACTAGCAATACTAAGATTTTACAGGTAAAATAAAGACAGTTGCAAACATCTCAATTTGAGCAAGCCTCTTGGCATTTCTGTGGGTTAATGAGTTAAACAGACGGCCAAGGTGAACACCATATCAGCAAATGGGGCATTGTGTAGTCAGGAATGCGTAATTGCCAAAAGAGGTATAATGCCATTATTCACGGTCTTGGAAGGTAACCTCAGAACTCATGAATTTTCCAACTGAGAGAGTGTTTTTGTTATTCATGGTGGGCCCCTTGGACCACAGGAGGTAGTGGATGCTAACCAGGTGACTCAGGGTTTCCTGGAGCCACATCATATCAGTCCAATCTCTGTACAGGAGTTTTTGAATATTGAGTTCAAGTACATACACAATAAATCAATTGATCATAGATAGATAATAAACTCTTAATGAAACTTGAGACACCAAAGCTCAGGTGAGCTGCACAGGTTTGTAAGGTCTTATGCATATCATTTCAGATCAATGGCTGGAGGATAATACATCTTCAGAATGATGGAAGCTTTGCTTTGGGAACCCTTCCAGACTGCACCCTTTGTGTTCCTTCCCTTGACTGATTTTTTTTTCCCCGAGAGACAGAGATTTTTTTTTTTCCTCAAGACGGAGTCTTGCTCTGTCTCCCATGCTGGAGTGCAATGGCATGACCTCGGCTCACTGCAACCTCCACCTCCTGGGTTCAAGCAATTCTCCTGCTTCAGCCTCCTGAGTAGCTTGGATTACAGGCTTGCACCACCATGCCTGGCTAATTTTTGTATTTTTAGTAGAGACGGGGTTTCACCATGTTGGCCAGGCTGGTCTCGAACTCCTAACCTTGTGATCCACCTGCTTCGGCCTCCCAAAGTGCTAGGACTATAGGCGTGAGCCACTACCCCCGGCCTCTTGACTGAGTTTTAATGTATCCTTTTCCTGTAATAAGTGTAGCCATTAGTCTAATAGGTTTTAGTGAGTCCTATCTTTCAGAACTAATGAATTTTGGAAGAATTCATTAGTCTTTGTAATGAAAATTATTGAACCTGAGAATGATTTGGGGAAACTCTTGAACTTACAGTTGGTATCATAATATAGGGTAATCTTATGTGGACCCTTCCCTCTAACTTTATAGTTGGGACTCAACTTCTTGAAGTTAGAGTCAGACATGAACTTACTTGGCCATCTGGAGGACTGTGCCAATAACTTCACAGTTCGACTAACTCTCCATAGACTTAAGAATGCTTGAGTTAGATGTCAGGAAAAAATAAAATATTAGTTCAATTTAGATTACACTTTTCTGCAGCATATCCAAGTAGCAATATGTAGAAAGCAGTACTAAAGAATTAATATATCCAATTCTTGAGTTCAAGACAGAGACCCCAGGGATGTGAATTTGGTTGTCTATAAAACATAAATTATATTTGGAAACTTATGGGAATGGCAACATTCAAGACAAAATTATGAAGAAACAGTTACCTAATTACTTTCAGAGGTTCATTCTGTCACATGAGAGGTGAACCAGTGTTTCATTACAAAAAAAAAATGTAGCATGGCTAAATAAATTTTAGAAATTAAAAAGATAGTACTTGATCTTTTAGAGATTCATAATGAATACTAGTGGATTATATGTTCTGAAAAGCTGTTCTCTAATGTTTAACTTTGGTTCTTTGTTTGAAAATATGACTTTGGAAACATAGTTATTAAATATTATGTTATTTTGCTAAGGCTACCATAACAAATTAATTTCCTCACAGTTCTGGAGGCTAGAAACCCGAGATCAAGGTATTAGCAGGTTGGCTTTTTCTAAGGGCCTCTCTCCTTGGCTTGTAGATGGTCACCTTCTTCTTGTTTCTTCACATGTAATATATTGAGAGATACAGGGGAAAGGGTGTAGAGAACACATATTTTCAAAGCATATGCTCTTTTTCTTTTCTATTATCATTACAAATAAGGGTTAGCTATTGTATTTATCTGGAAATACTACTTAAAACAATTGCTTTGGTGATAATAATTATAGCAACAGAAAACTCTAAATTACAATTTTTTATCACCCTCAGGTACAATGACATTCATTTAAATTCTGGTCTACAAACCAATGATTGTGTAACAGTTTCCTTCTGCTTAGTTACTGTGTTCATTTGTTGTCCAGAGTACTACTAAAACTAATGCTAATGTAGTCTTCCAGCAATACAGTTTCCTTTAAACAATGGAATCAGGAAAACCTCCAGAGAAGTTTGAATCATAATTATTGCCCTTATGTAATGTTCTTCATAATACCTACCTTAACTCCCCTCCAAATTTTTTACTTCAGAATAATCAGTACTTATCTCCTATGCAAAGCTGCAAGGTCTTGAGGATGTGATCTGAGTCTTATGTATAGTTACATCCATTACTATAATAAATATTCACTGTTAAGTAAATAAATACAAAATATTGGCAATTGAACTTTTTCTATCTTCAAGTCATCCACACCTTGTTGTGAAGACTGACTCATAATAACCCATGTAAGGAATATCAGAACATCATGATGAAATAATTTTAGGTTTCTGATTTTAAAAATATAAGCTTGATGTAAAGGTTAAGGAGAATTCCTACCTTATACATTTAATATAATTAGATGGAGAAGGAACATAATTGTGATGGAAATAGTTGAAAAAAATTGAATGTGTATATATAGATGTATATATATATGTTCAGAAAAATAGATGATTTTGTGTTATATTTTCAACTCACATAAAGTATATGAATAAAACTGCCTGATTTAGAGCATGGAGCTGCAAGTCAAATGAGAATAATTTGTTATTAGTTAACTAGGGAATCATTGACAGTTGACACACAGGTGAATTTAAAGAACAGTTATAGTGTTAATTAAAACTAATGAGGACTTATTTTTTTAAAAGGTGATGTTTGAAGTAGGAGTTATCCAAATCAGGTGATGGAACTGATTGATCTATTAATAGACTGAATGAATCATTCATTTGTTCATTCAAAAATATTTAATGAGAGAATTCTAGGAAGTGGAGACTGGAGATGTAGCAGGAATCAAAAAGATGAGATTCTTACCCTCACATAATTTATATCTGATTGGGCCAATTAATAAGACAATTAAAAATATTACTTGTTGGGAAGGCAATAAACAAATGGATTATATAAGTATTTATTTGGTGAAAGATATTCTAGACAAGTAGTCAGAAGGAGCACTCTGTGAAAGTGACATTTATTTGATCTCAGAAAGCAAAATAGTGAGCCTCATGAAGATTTTGAAGAAGGGAATTGATTGAACTGGTATGTAAACACTACCTCTCTATGACTGTGAATCAGATGTTTACCACGCGGAAAAGGAAAATTGTCACTATCAAAAATGACCAACTTATGCAGTTAAACAACAAAACAGAACCAAAACACACACACACAAGAACGTCTCATCAGGATAAAATACTAAGCATTTATTTAGCTCAGAATTCTGTGAATTCTGGGTCAATGGATCTAGGCTGGATTTGGTTCAGAGGTAGGCTCTGCTCCACCTGTCCCTCCTCTTCCTGGGACCAGCAGGTGAGGCTAAGCATGTTTTTATGATGACCTCGACAGAAAAGCAAATGAGTAAACAAACATTCACAAGCACGTTGCAAATTTAATCCCTGCTGTGTCTGAAGACGTCCTGTTATCCAAAGTCACTCATGTTGTGAAACCCAATGTCTAGGATTGAGTAAGTATACTCCTCCCGTGGGGATGTATGAATAGTTCTGAGAACAAAAATAAAAGTTTGAGCATCCTTTGGCACTTAAAGGTAGTCCATATGTACCTTTTATCCTACCTTCACTACTTCTGATTTTTTTTTCTTATCAATGTAAACGCACATAGATTGTAGCCACAAGGGAAGCAGGAGTGACCACATGAAGCCATAGCCACCGGCACAAACAGAAGATGGGGCACAAATAGACCAGCCCTATTCTCAGTACTGAATAGACTGCAAGAACATAGCATTTTCTTTACCAGTGTAATAATTGGTCCAAACTAGGTGTTCTAGAGGCCTCAAATTTTTAATTTGTAACATAGTTTAAATTTATATTGAGGAACTCCCTGACTTATTCTGACTTAGTTATTATTTCTTCATTTAGTAATAAGAAACTGTTATTCACCAAGTATTCTAAAGTATCATTGGCTTTGAACAGAAAAATAGATAATTTTATGTTATATTTTCAGCTCACATAAAATCTGTAATTTAATTGGTGAACTTTTGAACAGTTTATAACAGCTGAAATTATTAATTGCTAATATTGATATTTTTGCAGCTATAAGGAGGCTAATGTGGACATAAGTTGTAAAGTTGCATGCTCAATAAGTTTATGGCTTTAAAATCTAAGAGTTAATGAATGCTATAATAGGTTAGTGAAGATGATGTACAACTCCAAATATTAAATGATTAAGTAGTGTTCTCTTTTTTAAGGCTGCAAAATCTCAATGGAGTTGTAAGCCAATGTTACTCAACACTCAGGAATCAAGTTTAATATATGGAAAATAAAGCTATATTAGTAGATCATTTCTAAGGCTGTCGTTAAGGTAATTTTTAGCTCTGAAGACTATTCCAAGTCTCATTGTAGGAATCCAGACCTGAAAAAAGTAGACAGTGGAAGTACCAATTAAAGCCACAAGAGGGTAGTCTTCCCACAATGAAAGCAGTAATATGTTTTTGTTTCCCTTATGTCAGCATTACATTATTAAAATTCAAATTTTAGAGGCCGTCCATTGAAGGCAGAATTTATGACCTATAATTTTTATAGCCACAAGTATTTAAAACTGTTTTAAGATGGACTAACATAAAAAATAAGTGGAGATGAACCATGATATATTAGTAAGCAAAACATGCTGTTTGAGTAGTTATGATTTTGTCTGGATAAGTAATATTTTTTAGGTGTAACCAGTTTTCAAAGAATAGTGTATCTGTGGAATGTGTGAAGAAAAACAGGATGCTCTTGAACCATACGTAGATTCTTTAATTTTGAGTAACAGAATAGCCTCTCTTTAGAATAATCCTCCAAATTTTCTCTTATTTTTTTACTGACTGTGAAAGGTTTTGCCTTTCATTCTGTTCAAGTGCTTGGCTAAAAATATTTAACAAGGTATGTACTAAGAAAAAATGGTTTTTTTTTTTCTGAGACAGAGTCTCACCCTGTTAGCCAGGCTGGAATGCAGTGACGCGATCTCTTCTCACTGCAACCTCTACCTCCTGAGTTCAAGCGATTCTCCAGCCTCAGCCTCCCAAGTAGCTGGGACTACAGGCTCACGCCACCACACCTGGCTAATTTTTGTATTTTTTTAGTAGAGACAGGGTTTTGCCATGTTGGCCAGGCTGGTCTCAAACTCCTGACCACAGGTGATCCACCCTCCTTGGCCTCCCAAAGTGCTGGGATTACAGGCGTGAGCCACCACGCCCGGCCAAAAATGTTTATTCTTTTGTTGTCTTTAAAAGTTTAGCAGTGCAGTGTGTGAAAGATCTTTTGCAGTATAAAAGAGGAGACAAGAATTCTCATCCCAAGTTTGTTACTAATTAACCAAGCAGTATAATTGACAGAAACCAATATATTCTCAGTTACTCTCTCAGTTGTTTGAAATGTAAAACAAAGAGTTTGAGGAGGTATACTCGGAGATGTTTCTTTGACTTTCCCGCCATTCTTTCCCCTAACATTGGTATATCCTCTTTATGAAGAAAACCGTAAAGAACAAGAGTTAATTCATGCTGCATCTGATTCATCTCTGAGCTAGCATTGCTTTGATCAAGGTACTGTTTCTTTGCGGAGTAGATTTAAATGCCAACTGATTTCAAACCAGTAGTGCTTTAAAGCCCCTTTGCTTGTCTTATTTTTTCACTGCTCCTTAAATTTCTCGTTCAAACCGTGAAAGTACATATGAATCAGGACTTTAGATCAAAGGTAAAATAAGTGTTTCATAACTGCTTTCTTCGTAGCTCAGAAACTATCCCATGGATTGTATTTAGTAAGAGTAAATTTATGTTATAATCTATTATGCCAGTCCTTGCTCAAAGTCTACAGTTAGCACACTAAATAATGAATTTCTTTTTGTGAAAAGTTGAGTAAGAAACTGCCCATGGGGGGCTATCTGGTAGTGATATTGAACAACCCTATTTGCTGAGGGTCAAGGCAACCATTTCCATGAGTGTTCTTTTTATCAGCAGGTGTGATGACAACAAAAGACAATTCAACAATGACCTTTCCCACTCTAAGGAACATGATTCTTCAGTCAAGGATGTGCAAATAGCTGTGGTCCTTGACTGGAGCTTCAAAACAGTATCTCAAACTCAATTCTAATTAGCTATAAAACAGCTATTTATCTGGCAATTATGTTGTTACACAGGTGTGTTGCTGCTGGAAGAACCATTCCACCACTCAGCTCAACAATGTGCATATGTTCATCTTGTTTGACTTGGTTTATGATTATATGCCGTAGTGCTGCCAAATAAATTGTTTTCAAAATGTTAACTACCTTATGCAGAAGATTGGTTTGCTATCATTTTAGTATATGACTTTGCTTCATTCATTAGATCATTTCTGTCCTTTAAATTTTCCCAAACACAAAACTGAACAGAATTCCAATCCCTCACTCCCTGTGTGGTGAATCTGAGTGTAAAAGTGGATAGAATGAACCATTCTTTACAAGATAAAAATTTAGCTTCTCCCCATTCCTCTTATTGCTTAAGGCTAAAGAGGCAGAGAAAATAAAGTTAACAGAAGGAATATAGGGATGTAGCATATCAGGCAGGTGGCTAAAGCAATTCTACAACACTTTATGGATTCATAGAACAAGAAATTGATGCAAATGACCAGGGATTTAGATGCCTCTGCCTCACTGACAATAGCATTGTTAGGTGGTGGTACTATTGCAATCACTTTCAGCTATTTTTCTTACCAACAGGCAAAGGACTAAATAAAGCATGCAGGCAGGGAACTAATATTTACTTAATCCTAACTATATGCCAGATGCTCACTCAGAGCCTCAAAACAAGCCTGAAAGGCTGATGTCATTATTTCCATTGTTCAAATGAGGAAACAAGGACTTAGAGAAATTGAATAATTTGTCAGAGTTCACATACCTCATTAGTGCCAAGGCATGAATTTCAACCCAAGTATGTGTTATTCAAAGATCAAGTATTTAAAATCGTTTTTCAAGTATTCTAAGTTCCTTCTCAGAAATTAAGGAAAAACAAAGCCTCCCTGATTTACTTTTATCTTTTCTATACCATATTTCTTGGTCTAGAAGTCTTCAGTGACATTTTTCTCTTGTTACTGAAGCGAATAGCAAATTCTTTGTCTGTGAAAATTGTTGTTAAATCACCTAACCTATTTCAACAAGGCCTCTTTTTCAATAGCATATTTCTCTTTTTTTCTCTTGCCAGGGAAAATAAAAAATGTTTCATGAATATTCAGAAAGAGATGTTCTGATAGCTACTAGCAGTCACCTATAATGCAATATTGAATGAAAACAAGGACTTACAGCATTGTGAAAATAAACTGAAACTGTGGGAAAAAAAACAAAAGATACACAATACATTGTATTGGTATTCAGAATGCCTATAGTCCTTTGGCTCAATTCTCATAGATGCATAAAATCATATTTCAAATCAGCACATTAAAATTCTCTGACTTAGACAATATATCTTTATCAAAAATCTTTTAGTAACAAACTTTAAAGGACACTCTGGATATAATAGCAAAAATCTGACATTTTCTAAGTCCATTTGATATTATCTTCTTCAAAAAGCAATAAAGAGTAATCATAACAAAAATATAAAGCCATTAATAAGATTTAATGTAATAAAAAAATACACATGTGTCAGAGAAAATGAGAACGAACATCAGTAAATTCAGAGCTCTTCATTTTAGCTAGTGCCTCAGAAGGATGTTCCTCTCAATGACAGCTTGCATTTCACTTGCACATTTGAAAAAAAAAAAGATGTTTACATTTTAGGAAAATGGGATAAATACATTCATATTCTCTTAAACATATTTTCATACTTTTAATGAAAACCAAATGTATTATAGATAGAATAGATTTGGAAAATATTGTTTTCAATTCTGAACACAGTAAGAAGTTAAAGCATTTTCAATGCTTCTTCAAAGATTATTTTTTCCCAAAAGTTTGGTAACAATAAGTCTTCTTTATATTCACCAATCAGCAATTACCTCTACCTCTTGAAACAGGTCAGTTTTCCAAAGAATTTTTGTCTGACTATTCAAAACATATTGAGTAAATTATATGCTGTCACTAAACATACACATATATATAAACAAACACACACAAACATATGTTTAGGTTTGTCACTTGATAGTATAAAGGCTTGACATTCAACCTACCTTATACCTGAGTAATTAGAGAATTTTGAACCATTTTTTCCTGAGTCCTGGGATTTTAAAATCTCCTCAGGTGATTCTAATATGCCACCCACATTGTGTAGCACTACTTAACCCTTGTGTTCTTTAGCAATCAATTCTCTATTGACTCCCATGGCAACTGAGCTCATCCATTTCAGAGGCTGCAGGTGAAAACTGTCCCGGACCTTCCCTAAGGTCCAGTCAATAGCTGAGGAGATGCCACACTGTCCACCTACACTATATGACAGTGGTTAGATTGGCCAATGAATGACTGAGTAACCCTCTTAGAGTTGGAGGCTTTTATTCCTGCGGAAACAAGGAAAGGATCCAAAATACCTGGTTTACTCCGTTCCACATCTGTTCCAGTGTCTCTCATCCCTATAATTTTGTCTCATACTTTAATTGGATTCTGTCGTAGAATTTATCAAAAATTCCAATTGTTTTACTCATCTTCCTGTCATATCGGATGTTCTCTCTTATGATACAATATAATCCATAAAAGCAACCACATTTTTTTTTCAATTCCTGATGCCTTCAGATGTTGCCAAGAACACAGTAGGCCTCCAGTGAGCACATTTTGTTTTCATAAATGAATGATTACATAAAAGGGTTGCAAAGAAAGAGACATTAGGACATTAGGATAGGTGGCCTCCCGGAAGAGCAAGGTCTTCTGATTTCCTTCCCATGAATGCATTAGGTAATAGGAGTGTGCAGCAGTGACAGGAAGGAGTTTGCTCAGGAAGGCCCTGACGGTATCCACTGCTCTCACAGCTGGGACCTCAGCCCATGTTAAGGGGTCTTGAGAATCATATTTTAAATTTTAACGTGTGTCCTTTTAATGTACTCTAATTTAAACAGCAGGTGGTTGAGGCTATTACTTTTGCCTTAGGAAAGTTCATGAAGTGAAAGAGTCAATCATGTAGGTCAAACACTAAGATCAAAACATAATCCTTTAGCATCTCCCCAGGCAGTTGGAATACAGGCTCAGGATTTTCAGCAGACCATCCCCATGGATCACACTATGAAAAATATGGGTATATTTCTGGGAATTTTAAACAAGATCTATTGTTTTTAATATCCCTAAACATAATATATGGACGGAATTTTTAAAGAATCATATACAGTAGGATATAAGCAGTAGGTGGTATGGGTCTGTTGTATAAGTGTGCACGTGTGTGTGTGCATGTGTGGGTGTGCATGTCTGTCGGTGTATGAGTTTACTAATATATATAAATAATTGTTTTATTTGCTGTATGTATATATTAATATGTTTGTGTACAATATATATAATTGGCTTTGATATACTACGTATTCTGACACATTACACGTTTATTCATATTGTACAAACAAGGAAATTAAACGTACAAATGCTTAAATATGCTATTTAATGTCACAACAAAGAGGAGTAAAAAAAATTTGTTCAAAATCACAATTATAGTCTTATTGCTGTTATTTTATAGTCCTTTTCTTTAAAATTATGCAGAAAAATTACCCAAAATATATTTCATCAAGAAAATATGTCAAATCTTGCATTGACAAACAATAGGATACATAATTTCACTGCCTATCAATCAACATAGCCCAGTATCTAGAAGTAAATCGAGAAAACAATCATTTTAGGCTTAATCTTATTTGTATAAAGAAATATTCACTAACAAAAATATTTTAAACTCTCATGTAGTATTTATTTTGTAGTATCTTATATATTAGAAAAAATTTGTTTATTATATTAGAATATACAAAATTAAATAAACTAGGGATTATTTTTCTGTTAAAGAAAACCTAATGACTTCTTGTGTTGTTTTTGCAACTTGGTGTTATATTCGTCACTTTTTTTTTTTTTTTTTTTTTTTGAGACGGAGTCTTGCTCTGTCACCTAGGCTGGAGTGCAGTGGCACAATCCTGGCTCACTGCAACCTCCGCCCCCCCGGGTTCAAGCGATTCTCCTGCCTCAGCCTCCCGAGTAGCTGGGACTACAGGCGCTTGCCACCACTCCCAGCTAATGTTTTGTATTTCTGGTAGAGATGGGGTTTCACCGTGTTAGCCAGGATGGTCTCAATCTCCTGACCTCGTGATCTGCCCGCCTCAGCCTCCCAAAGTGCTGGGATTACAGGCGTGAGCTACCATGCCTGGCCTATTTGTTACTTTTAATGAAAAATAAAAGTAAGTGGAGGTAAACAGATATAGAAACTGATGGTGGAAGACCCCAGAATGATGGAGTTACTACCAAAACCAAATATTCTCTAGTAATAGTAAAACTTTTGTAGATAAAATGTTATTCTATAAGTGGAAAAAACACAACTATGATATTAATTCTTTGGAAATTATGATTTATTCTGTTATCAATAATTAAAGAATGCAAATAAATATATATAGTAGCAATGGATTAAAATGGCTGGTATAAGTTTGTACTTCAAGTTACTTAGAAATAGATGCCCTTGAAGAAATGCAGTATATTTCTGCAAGTAACTAGGTCAACTTGGGGTTAAAATACTAATGGCAGCATGCTTAGACAAATCTGGTTATGGCACAATATCCATAACTTTTATACTATAACTTTATTATCTGAATATTTGATATATAATTTAACATAAAATATAGAATATATTCAAAATATAGCACAGGGTAACTAAATATCTTTGGATACCTTTTCTGCTTCACAATTGCCTATTCTACTAATTCCGTTTACATATTCTTTACTTAGCAATTCTAGTTGGGTGTTATTGATGGAACCTGCCAGAACAGCAGGTGTACAGGGCAAAGAGTAAATTTGTGTATCATGACGGCTAATTTCATTAGTATGGCCAGCCAAGCTGTCTTCTCTATGTATTTGAGCCTGAGCCTCAAATACTGTACAAAGCTTATGTGTCAAAAAACAACTTTTTAAAAACACTGCCCTTTTTAAAACTCAGAAGCCTATTTTTAACTCTGTTGACCCAAATATAACAAGATTTTGACAAAATTCTATGCAATTTTCTGTAACTATTCTATTTTTCTTTTCTGATTAGCTACTACCTTAGGCAATCCTATGCCAACATGAACACTACAATGATTCAGTTGAATCATATCTGATTTATACATTCATATATACATGTGTGTTTGATATGCAAAATCCTATGATCAGATCTCTTTATGTGTTGGAGTATTGGTGGGGGATTCAGATCACTGTAGATTCTTAGTCATAATAAATACCAAAAAATGTAAGTTTGATGTTGCATTGCTTGTTTTTCCTTCTAACATACTCTGTTATTTCTCAAAAGGGGAAAATAGGATAATAGTAACACTCACATAAAGAAAATTAATCAATCAATCATAGGTATAAAGGTTTCATAGCATCTTTTAGGTCATCCTGTCAACTCCTGAGGGCTGGGTGAGATTGTCACTGAAATCTTCTTTCTGGTATTTATCAAAAATAGTACCAAAAGTGTTAATAAGGAGAATATTTTTTCCTGATGTATTAATGCTCAGAGCTCAGAGTAAATGCTATTAATATTCATTGCAGCAGAACTTTCATTGTTATCATGGTCAGAGATCATTTGGAAATGATTTTGTTGTGTCTGCTAATAAAGACATCAGCAGTTCTACAGTCGTTTATTAGTCAGATTAAAAAGTCTCTATTTTAAAACTGTAAGAGTTGTTAGAACATATTTCTTCTTCGTTTGATTTTTTTGTTTTCTTATCTGTGTATTCAGTTATTTGTTTTAAAGACATTTCAGACACTACAGGCCTCATTCTACCAGAGCTTTGAAAAAAACATGAGCAATATACGTCCATTTAAAAAATATGAAAATGAGCAATCCAAAATTTAAATTCTGTATGTAAAACAATAAGTCTCTGAAGGCCAAACTAGGTCATGAAAAGAAAGAGAGAATAAAGATTTACAAAGGAGACCAAAGGCCTAATGCTCTCAAGTAAAGATTTTTTGAATTAGCCTCAAATGAGAGGAGCATGTAGTGATGCTAGAGAGAAGCCATTTATTGGTTCAGATAGGACATTTTAACATTGTATGGCTTTATGTTCCCCAGGATGTGTGACTTTCATTTTCCCATTTTCACACCATTAAGTATTATATGATTCCTGACTACTATGATTCACTTTTGAACCTCCCAGCTTTCCTTCTTTTAAAAATATCCATTCTACTATATGTCATATTTTACTTACAGTTTAAGATGAAATAATTTCATCTCAATTTCAAGTATCTGCTTCATCTTAATATAAGTACTGCAATTTTACTGATTTCTAAAAACCACATAATTTCCATATTCATCTGAATTTTCTTAACTGATGATGTACTTTAATTAGTATAAATGTTCTTTCAAAGCAATATCTGAGTAAAATATGATTGTGTCAGTAGTTTACCACATTAC
Source organism: Homo sapiens (assembly GCF_000001405.40). Classification (NCBI taxonomy): domain Eukaryota; kingdom Metazoa; phylum Chordata; class Mammalia; order Primates; family Hominidae; genus Homo; species Homo sapiens. Next base: position 64,790,031 of record NC_000004.12, read on the forward strand.
AAAGTTTAATTAGACTGTCACAGAGTAAAAGGGACATGGATGATATTAATTATCTTTAAAGTAATAATAATGAAAAATCAGTCTAAAATAGTCAATAGTCAATATTCAATTTCATATTGTTGTGAATTTCAGCCGTGGTATATGTGCAATGCTATAGATGAAGTAGAGTAGCTATGTAACTGAGATATAGTTACTTTTCATATAGATGGGACAGTAATATGTAGACCATTGTGAGCTGATGCTGCTCCTGCCCAAACTAATGACTTGTCTGGCAGGTTATGTAAGGTTGTGGTTTTTCCAGCCTGGTGCATCTTTCCACTACCTGGGCCATATTAATATGAAACAGTAGGCATGTGTGCTGGGAATACTAGGGAAGCATTGGGAAGTGACTACTCAATTGCATATACGTTTATGTCTGGTACCAATAGCCTTAAAGTAAAGTAAAATTACTTCTATAACCTTAAAAATAATTTTCTCAAATACCTCCTTGCAGTTTTAGTTATATATATGAGTGTGTGTACATATATATTTAAGTTTAAATCATTGCAAACAGAAAAGGATCCTATTTTGTAGCACACAGAGTTTATTCAATTTTGTGAACCTTTTTGTAAACTTTCTATTAGAAAAAGAAAATTTATAATGCACAACTATAAATAAAAAATCAAGTATGAGAGAATATTTAAATAGAAAATAAATTGCAAATGTAAAAGCTGACAAGTAAAGTAAATATCCAGAAAAATAACACATTGTTATTAATTTACTGCCTGGCACTCATCTGTAATACTTTTTTTAAATACCAGTGTTGTTGGCAGCATTCTTTTTGATCCTAACTTCATGTGACAATGATTTTGTAAAATCTACAGAGAGAAGAAGGAAATTAGTCTTCTTTTAACATGTTGAAATTTATTTTCGTTTTTTTTTAGTTGGAATATATAATGTACTTGACTTTACAAAGATACGTACTTGTTAATTTTTATTGTTGCACAGGTTTTGTTTACATACCCAATAATTCTAAAATTTATATTTTATGTAATTCCCATGGAAAAAAAACAACCTTAAGTTACTTGTTGTACTTCCAATTGTCAAAACTGCATTTTCAAGTATATTCCTGAGGCCGAAAATTTCTGTTTAAAATGGGCGCTTCAATAAGAATCCACTAAAAACTGTACACATCTATTGACTGGAAAAATTTTCCTCAGAACAACTTCTGGCTCCACACCTCTCAAACTCTACTTCTTCTATGGTACCCAGATACTCCAAGTTCTAGATGCCATTGGACATGCTCATATCACAATACAACCTCTGGCCTTGTAATGATAATGGGTGAGTGGTCACTGTGAGCGATGAGAATATACATGAAAATGATTTTTACACTGGGATGATGAACAATAGTCAAATTCACCAAGTGGATTTGATTTGTATGAATTTATCTCCCTAAACCCAAACTAAATATATCACCAACTCAGTTTCCCCTTTGAGTCACAAAATTCCCAAGAAACTTTAAAACCACATACAGATTTGTGAATGAGGGTAAGTAGAATTGGAATGAGACAAAGGTCTTAACCAATTGTAGTTGAAGTAACTTATTTTTGAAAATATGAAAAGAACATATGGCCTCATAAACACATTTTTAGGGCCTCTCTCAGGTCTTCCTTGGAAAAAAACCTGTGCAAATGAAGGGCTCTCAACTACATTTATGTTGCTTGTTGTTCTCCTTGAAGTAATGTTTTTTCTTTGTCCTCCAAAAAAATTATCTTAAATAAATTTATTTAATGTTTGATATGATTTTTTCTAGTTCTAGTTCTAATACTTATAAGCAGTAAAAATGTTGTATATAAAAATATATATTTACATTTTTATTTTTGGTTTTCTGGAATAAAAGTTATTACGATTATTATTTGTACCCGAATCCTCAAAACAACATAAATATATTACATATTTTGAAAAATATTATATTTTATAATGCATCATTTAATGAGAGATTTTTTTCAAAGACCAGTGAGTGAGAGTTATTTATTATCAATAGGAAACACTTTTCAGTTTCCAATCATTTCCTGCTTTTTTTTATAGATATAAGTACCAAGAAGTCTTCTTAATGAAAGTAAGAAAAAAAATGGAGTTTGGTTATAGCAACGCTAATAGTTGAAACTTTTTCTGACTTATATGCTACATATCACACAATAATCTATCATCTAATTATTTTATATATTTCAACTCAACTAGGGTCTTCTTCATAATACTAAAAGTCTCCTAATTTGAAAGAGGCTTTCAAGTCTTGTAACTTCTGTTTCTGCTTACTGCTAAGTAAATTAAAAAAAAAGTTTTCTCAAGACTTTCCAGGGATAATTATTTATTAATTATATGAATTACTTAGTTAAAGGCAAATGTCTATGTAGTTAAAAAGTATCAACACAAGTCTTACAAAATTGCAAATGAGAAGAATATTTTAGAAATTTTATTATACTTTTACAATAATTCAGAGATAAATAATAAAAAAGTTTGGCTATTAAACAAAAACCGTTGTCACCTATAACACTCACTTTATAATACATCTGAATTCCAACATCCAAAATTATCTCATTTCAAATGCCATACTTTTCTTTTTGCAGAAATGCATGTAATGCATATAAGGTAAGACATTAAACTTTACTATTAGTTTAACATACCCTTACTAAAAGGGCCTTCTCAGATATCAAATTTTACTCTATGCCTTATTTGATGTCCTTGACCTTTTTATACCCCAATGTGTAAGATTTGGAATGGTTATTTTATTTTTTATTCAAAGGATTTGTAAAAAGTTAGATAGAGAAGGAAAACTCATATGAATTCAAACTGCAAGCATATTCTGAAGCAGAAAAATTCTGGGAAAGAGTACACATCATAATCTCAGATCTGGGATAGAAAATTTGTCCAATCTCCTCCTGGAAGTTTCCTCTATCCATTTTGAATGTTTCTATCTTATTTCCTTTGCACTGCTTATTTGGGTGGTAAGCTTAAGCAAAACAAACCCTGAACTCTCAGCCATCTCTCTCTCAAATCTTCATATTGACACAACTCATTTGGCTTTGGCCTTGGTTAGTATATGTGTATCTTTTACTTATGTAATATACATAACTGGGAGAAAAATCCCCAAGTATAAAAGAATTAGTTTAGTATTTATTTTCAATAACTTTAAAAATGTATGTAAACACATGGCCATTTGTACAAACAAATATGCATTAGACCAGCATTTCTCAAATTTTAATTTACATAAAATTTGTTGGAGTTAAAATTTAGGTTTTGATTCCATAGGTCTGTGACGGGAGCTGAGATTCTGCAATTTTAACAAGCACTGAGGTGATGCTGATTAGCAACTGGTTCACAGACTATACAATTAGTAACGAGACACAAGATGATATGTATATATGTATGTGTATAAATATGTGTGTGTGCAGGTGTATGTGTGCGTGGATGTAGTACATATTCGATGTTGCCAGATCCATGTATATCATACACCTGTTTGTTGTGAAATAAAAAATTCCATTTATGACACTCTGCTTTCTATGTGCAGAAGAAATAAGGCAGATTTTAATCTAAGATCTAATGAGAGAGTTAAAATGACAATTAGATCAGTTTATTGCACTTCTCCACCCAAGAAGATATCTAATGGTGGGTTCTTTTCTATCTTCATAGCAAATCAATTTTCTTATATAATCAATTTCTTTAATGATTCTTGCAAGCTAGATTATATCATGAAGCTAACTTTATAGATATAAAGCATAATTCTCAACTCTATCAGATTCAGCAACCCCATTTTGTAACAAGTATGTTCTAATATTCTCTTTTTTATTCTGAACTGAAAAAAAAACTAAAGTAAAACCTCAGGTGTAATTAACATAATCAACAAAATGTCCTAATGCAAGTAAATTTTAGAATTCAATGGAAATAGTTATGCACCACACACACACACACACACACACACACACACACACACACAGATTGTAAATTCTTGACCATGTCCATACTTGAAAGTGTAATGAAGTAGACAGTGATTTTTGCATCTGTACGTAAGATCACCTCCAGTAATGGAACTATTAGAAGCATAATGATGAAGTTCATTGAATCATTAGATCCAATAACATGCAAAAGAAACTTTGTTATCAGTGATGCGATTTTCTGAAATGTGTACAATTTTACAATTTTCCAAATAAAACAAGGTAAAATCTTTACATTGATTTAGATTTCCAGGAGTTACATTGCTTGAAGAAAAGCTAATATATCTTAAACTGTTAAAATTCAGCTTATGTAGTAGTGATTTTAGTTAAATACAAAACGCTATTGAGATCTTGAGTCATATAATCATAAACATACTTCTTTACTTACTTGAATATAAGAGGGACATTTGAAAGTATCTTCAGTTCAGAGCTATTCTTTTTTTTTTTTTTTAATAAGAAATCTAGCATCCTTGGACTCTAACCCATGAGTGTCAGCAGGATAACTTGCCATTTTCTGTGACAACCAAGAAAAACAAGTTTCTAATGCACTCTGTGATTGGGTACCACCCTACTGAAAACAACTAATTTAGAATATTTTTGAATGACTTATATGAGAATTCACACACTTGACTCTACATATTTTATTTAGTTTCATATTACTTCTTTTGTTCATGACATCACTTTGATGTCATCAAAGACTTTTCTACTTCTCCATCCGAAATGTTCTTTCTTGGAAATACCATTGCTTAACGAACCTGACTTAATCTTGATGAATTTTTTTTCCTGTTTTAATTTATGCAATGGCTTTTTCTGATTCTTCTTATATTCATTTTGGACATAGCCATTCTCTTTCATTGGATCTTTTCTTTCTACCTGTCTACTTAATGAAGATTGGTATTTCTTAATATGTTTAGCAACTCTCCTTTTTTTCTCTGTCTCTCTCTGTCTCTCTCATTCTCTCTCTTCCTTCCTCTCATTGATCATATTCACTTCCATGCTTCTGACACCTAGACAAATTAGAAAATCATATAGAGTTGAATTAACAAGTACTTTTAATACAAATAAACAAGGATCATAACTTTGCAACTGATTTTTAATTCCTGTAATTGGATTTTTATGTTATTTTGCTTTGCTCACTTGAGCAAATAAAATGAGGTGAGAAATAAATAGAATCAGAAAAAAAGAAAAAAGAAAGTAATTCTCCACTTTTAAATTTTAGAAGAAGGTTTAGGAAAAACTGCTAAGGTCTAAAATTTTATATAGATTTATTTTGAGAAAAACTGAAATACATGTTCGTATCTCACTAGCCTTTGTATCTCACACACTTTGAATACACGCAAAAAAGATTTGTTATAGATTGATTTGATGTTAAATAGAGGATTGAGAAAGGTTTAAAGTGCACACATCTAGTGATAATTTTTTTTTTTAATTCATACCTTCAGAAATTGAAACAAAAATTATCGGCACATTTGCTATCTTCTAAGGCAAGTCACTTTTGTATGAAAGCATTGTGAGGTGCAATTTAAATATTAACTTTTCTCTTAAAATATATGTAAATAAGGTTTTCTGAGTCTGTCATGTTGGAATGAACTTCATATTGGAAAGAAGCAATTCCAACAATTTCTTCCTAAGCCATGTTACAAAATAATGTAGAAAACTCTTAGGACTCATATAAAAATATGATCTCAAATGCAGACTAAGTTTCAAAAGATAACTTTACTCCAGGCACATTTTACTTTCTCATTACATAACTTAAGAAAAAATTTCAGGGAACAATTTTGTCGTATGAATTGAGCAAGATCCTTAGAAAGGACCAACGCTTTAATTCTAGACACATGTCAAACAGCATCAAAAGACTAAAGAACACTCACTCCTTTTTTTGTTGTTCATGGTAATAACGTTTTTCAAAATTGATTTAAAAATTATCTTTTTACATTATCTTACCAATTTCAATTTAAATGAAAGGAAATATCTACACAATATAAATATATAAATTAAAGGCAATATTATTTATTGAAAAAAGTGAAAACATGGTTGGATAGTCACTCTAACAATAAAATGTTGTCAGTGATTTGTTTCATCTCTAAAGTGACCTTATTAAAGAACAAATGGGATATAAGGTATTATAAGCATATTTGCATTTTTAAATTTGAACTACGTTAGTTCATGATGCATGATTGCCTTACATACAATAGTAAGTTTTACTAGATGATGTAACAGGGGAAATAACTCATCGCGAAACTTAAAAAATAATTCTAAATGTATATTCCTGTTTTAGCAAGTTAACTGCATAAATTATTAAAATAAATCTATATACATAATGCTTCATTTTAGATTATTTATGACATATTAATTTACGTAATTAGTTTAGCAAATAAAAATTCCCTGTTCTCCCTACTCCCTCTTCAGTCCTGTAAGGTTTACCTCCAGATTCATTCCTGTTGTTGTCTGTGTCCTTGAAATCTACCTCTCAAGCTGCCTCATGCAGTTGCTACAGCTTAGATTTTCGAGACAGAACTTACGTTAGCCTGCCAGGGCCTAATTCATAAAATATTTCTAACACCACAGATTAGTTCTGAGCCATTTTAAAGCTTCGGAAAGTCTATACCATAAAGGATGCTCCCTTTCATTCCAAATCTATTTGCATTTTATTTGTGCCTCAAAGGAGGAACAATCCAAACTGATTAGAATCTGCAGACACTGTGCATAATGAAAAATTAATTGCATCAATCTTTTCACTGTAGTGGTCTTAACAACTCATTTTCAACTGGTCATTTTTCCACCTGCTCACCAGGGCCCAGGCAGCTGAGGCGAGCATAACTGTGACATTTGCAGAATATCAATGAAGCTAAGGTCACCAGTATATCATGCAAGTGAGAGCTGAGAATCCTGAAAGAGATGTAAGCTGTTTGGATGAGCTAGAACTATTATGTGACAGTGGAGGGCAAATGCATGCTATGACAATCCATATATGCATGGTTTGAATTAACAAAACCGAAAGGAAAAGAGAAAGCCTAAATAACCAACAACAAAGGTGAGGGTAGTGCTACTTCATTGGAGATGGAGCATAATGTGCTGCTGACAGTGGTGGTAAATCAACAATTGCACGTTAACATCATCATAGGCAATTTAATATGGCAGGTGGCGACAGTAGTTCAATGCATATGCGTGAAAATGAGGGGTTTGATTTTGAAATAGGATTGTAAGTCACCATACTTTGTAAAATACACATTTCAGTATTATTCATTTAACAATACTCTTCATGTTCTTATTGATTAAGATATACAACAAATTGCTCCTCATTGTATAAAGTTTTATACTTTAAGCAAACTCTTACACCTACAGGTTTTCAATAATTTCTTAACTAGATTTCTTATAGGTTTCTGGGTCTTCATGCCAAAATAATCAGGAAGTTGTCTAAATTTTCTTGGTTTTAACATCTAAATAAAGAAATTCAAGGCAGTCTCCAAGATGAGATTAATTTCTATCATTTACTACAATTCCATAGGATCTTATTAGTCAAAGTGAGGTCCACTAACCAATCACCCAGAAGCTAGTTAGAAATGAAGGATCTTGGGCTCAGACTGGGATTTACTGAATTAAAATTTGTGTTAGTTTTATTGTAATGTAAATTGCACCTCAATAAAGACTTTATCTTTAAAAAAGTTTTCATTTTAGCACAATTCCTAGGATATCTAAAGCAATGCTTCTCATACACATAACTAGAGCCTGATAAAGCCCAGATTCCTAGGGCCACCTCCAGACATTCTGTTCAATAAATCTATAGTGGGGCCAAGTAATTTGCATACCTGACAAGCTCCCATATAATGCTGATATATTGGTCTATGAAACACACTGTGAATTGCATTTTCTTTCTTTCTTTTTTTCTGAGACAGAGATTTGCTCTTATTGCCCAGGCTGAAGTGCAATGGCGTGATCTCAGCTCACCGCAACTTCTGCCTCCTGGGCTCAAGAGATTCTCCTGCCTCAGCCACCCAATAGCTGGGATTACAGGCATGCGCCATCGTGCCTGGCTAATTTTTTTATTTTTGGTAGAGACGGGCTTTCTCCATGTTGGTCAGGCTGGTCTCGAACTCCCAGCCTCAGGTGATCCACCCGCCTCAGCCTCCCAAGAATTGCATTTTTTTAAAGCAAAATTATAAGTAAAAATAGCATCTCATTTTGGTTATTTTTCTTCAATGTTCAGAATATGTAACAATAATGACATTTTGTTGGTTAAAATATGTCACAAAAAAAAGAAACAGACCTACTCTTTTTAATAATCTTTACTGTAGCAATTGTTATCTACCTAATGTTGAAAAACTTCAGTGAAGAAATTTTATGTTTTATAGAAAAGTTTCCAAATTTTAACTTTTAGGCTTTTACAGTAACAGAGGGAGAGAAACATCTTTCCTATAACTTATGAAAACTTGAGGTATGGGGCAAGGGAAGGGAATTTCAGTGGGGGAACTGTCACTGTAACTCTGAATGGTTATTTAAGAAAAAGCTTGTGAGAAGATGGAATATGGGACTACAAAAAGGAGGAATTCAACTTTGATAGAGAAAGATTTTAGTTTTAAAGTATGAAAAACTAGATGTAAAAGGTTGACCTAAGAAACTACATTATTTTGAAAAATATTGTTCTACATTGTAGAATTTTATTCTCATTAGTAAGATATAAATGTGTGGCTAATTTAAAAATACCTAGACCAGGCTGGGCACGGTGGCTCATCCCTATAATCTCAGCACTTTGGGAGGTCGAGGTGAGTGGATCATGAGGTCAGGAGATCGAGACCATCCTGGCTAACACGGTGAAACCCTGTCTCTACTTAAAAATACAAAATATTAGCTGGACGTGTTGGCAGGTGCTTGTAGTCCCAGCTACTCAGGAAGCTGAGGCAGCAGAATGGTATGAACCTGGGATGTGGAGCTTACAGTGAGCCAAGATTACGCCACTGCACTCCAGTCTGGGCGACAGAGCGAGACTCCATCTCAAATAAATAAATAAATAAATAAATAAATAAATAAATAAAATAAATAAATAAAAAATACCTAAATGAGTGAGAATATAGAATTGGCTCTGAATACCTATCTAACTGGTATGAAAAATGGTTGACAATGTTTACAGAATCATTACTAAGGAAAGGAACTTACAGTTACTCAATTTGCAACACACTTTAGGTCTCTGGGCCACTTCTCTTCTGTTTCATACTTTCTTTTGAGATTTTTTTCAGATATTTTGTCATAATTTTCATGCCAAAGACAATTCTAACATATGTAAATAGTTCATCGTATGTGTAAAAAGAATTAAATTGCACCAGTAATGCAAATCATCCCAGATATTCTGTTTATTTACTTATCTATATTACTTTATTTCTGAAATATAACTGGCATTGATTACAATGACTCCAATATTCCCTACGCTATTCACTGGGATGAGTGGTACAGGATTTATCATAGCATAAAAAATGCAGGGAGAGGCTTCCAAGATGGCCGAATAGGAACAGCTCCGGTCTGCAGCTCTCAGTGAGATCGATGAAGATGACAGGTGATTTCTGCATTTCCAACTGAGGTATTTGGTTCATCTCATTAGGGCTGGTTGGACAGTGGGTGCAGCCCACAGAGGGCGAGCTGAAGCAGGGCAGGGTGTCGCCTCACCCCTGATGCACAAGGGGTCAGGGAATTTCCCTTTCCTAGCCAAGGGAAGCCATGAAGTCTGAACCTGGAGGAATGGTACACTTCTACCCAAATACTGCGCTTTTCCCACAGTCTTTGCAACCGGCAGACCAGGAAATTCCCTCCTGTGCCTGGCTCAGTGGGCCACACGCACATGGAGGCTTGTTCATGCTAGTGCAGCAGTCTGAGATTGACCTGCAATGCTGCAGTTTGGCAGGGGGAAGGGTGTCTGCCATTGCTGACGCTTAAGTAGGTGGTTTTGTGCTTACAGTGTAAAGAGGCCAGGAAGCTTGAACTGGGCGGAGCCACCGCAGCTCAGCAAGGCCTACTGCCTCTCTAGATTCCAGCTCTCTGGGCAGGGCATATCAAACAAAAGGCAGCAGACAGCTTCGGCAGAGCTAAATGTCCCTGTCTGACAGCTCTGAAGAGAGCAGTGGTTCTCCCAGCATGGTGTTTGACCTCTGAGAATGGACAGACTGCCTCCTCAAGTGGGTCCCTGACCCATGTATAGCCTGACTGGTAGACACCTCCCAGTAGGGGACAAGAGACCCCTCATACAGGTGGGTGCCCCTCTGGGATGAAGCTTCCAGAGGAAAGATGAGGCAGCAATATTTGCTGTTCTGCAGCCTCCACTGGTGATACCCAGGCAAACAGGGTCTGGAGTGGACCTCCAGCAAACACCAACAGACCTGCAGCTGAGGTGCCAAATTATTAGAGGGAAAACTAATAAACAGAAAGGAATAGCATCAACATCAACAAAAAGCACATCCACAGCAAAACCCCATCTGTAGGTCACCAACATAAAACACCAAAGGTAGATAAAGACACAAAGATAGGGAGAAATCAGAGCAAAAAAGGAGAAAATTCCAAAAACCAGAGCACCTCTTCTCCTCCAAAGGATCACAGCTCCTCACCAGCAAGGGAACAAAACTGGATGGAGAATGAGTTTGATGAGTTGACAGAAGTAGGCTTCAGAACGTCAGTAATAACAAACTTCTCCAAGCTAAAGGACCATGTTCTAACCTTTTGCAAGGAAGCTAAAAACCTTGAGAAAAAGGTTAGGCAAAAGGCTAACTAGAATAAGCAGTGTAAAGAAGACCTTAAATGACCTGATGGAGCTGAAAACCACAGCATGAGAGCTTTGTGATGTATGCACAAGCTTTAATAGCTGATTTGATCAAGTGGAAGAAAGGATATCAGTGCTTGAAGATGAAATTAATGAAATAAAGTGAGAAGACAAGATTAGAGAAAAAAGAGTGAAAAGAAACAAATAAAGCCTCAAAGAAATATGGGACTATGTGAAAAGGCCAAATCTATGTCCGATTGGTGTTCCTGAAAGTGACAGGGAGAATAGATCCAAGTTAGAGAACACTCTTCAGGATATTATCCAGGAGAACTTCCCCAACCTAGCAAGGCAGGCCAACATTCAAATTCAGGAAATACAGAGAACACCACAAAGATACTCCATGAGAAGAGTAACCCCAAGAAATATAATTGTCAGATTCACCAAGGTTGAAATGAAGGAAAAAATGTTAAGGGCAGCCAGAGAGAAAGGTCGGGTTACCCACAAAGGGAAGCCCATCAGACTAAAAGCAGATCTCTCGGCAGAAACCCTATAAGCCAGAAAAGAGTGGGGGCCAATATTCAACATTCTTAAAGAAATGAATTTTCAACCCAGAATTTCATATCCAGCCAAACTAAGCTTCATAAGTGAAGGAGAAATAAAATCCTTTACAGACAAGCAAATGCTGACAGATTTTGTCACCACCAGGCCTGCCTTGCAAGAGCTCCTAAAGGAAGCACTAAACATGGAAAGGAACAACCAGTACCAGCCACTGCAAAAACATGCCAAATTGTAAAGATCATCGATGCTGTGAAGAAACTGCATCAATTAACAGCTAACATCATAATGACAGGATCAAATTCACACATAACAATATTAACCTTAAATGTAAATGGACTAAATGCCCCAATTAAAAGAAACAGACTGGCAAATTGGATAAAGAGTCAAGACCCATTGGTGTGCTTTATTCAGGAGACTCATCTCATGTGCAAAGACACAATAGGCTCAAAATAAAGGGATGGAGGAAGACCTAAAAAGCAAATGAAAAGCAAAAAAATCGAGTTGCAACCCTAGTCTCTGATAAAACAGACTTTAAACCAACAAATATCAAAAGACACAAAGAAGGCCATTACACAGTGGTAAATGGATCAATTCAACAAGAAGAGTTATCCTAAATATATATACACTCAAAACAGGAGCACCCAGATTCATAAAGCAACTCCTTAGAGACCTGCAAAGAGACTTAGATTCCAACACAATATTAATGGGAGACTTTAACACCCTACTGTAAGTATTAGACAGGTCAATGAGACAGAAGGTTAACAAGGATATCCAGGACTTGAATTCAGCTCTGGACCAAGTAGACCTAATGGACATCTACAGAACTCTCCACCCCAAATCAACATAATATACATTCTTCTCAGCACCACATCACACTTATTCTAAAATTGACCACATAATTGGAAGTAAAACACTCCTCAGCAAATGCAAAAAAACAGAAATCACAACAAACTGTCTCTCAGACAACAGTGCAATCAAATTAAAACTCAGGATTTAGAAACTCACTCAAAATCACACAACTACATGGAAACTGAACAACCTGCTCCTGAGTGACTACTGGGTAAATAACGAAATGAAGGCAGAAATAAAGATGCTCTTTGAAACCAATGAGAACAAAAACACAACGTATCAGAATCTCTGGGAAACATTTAAAGCAGTGTGTAGAGGGAAATTTATAGCACTAAATGCCCACAAGAGGAAAGACCTAAAATTGACACCCTAACGTCACAATTAAAGGAACTAGAGAAGCAAGAGCAAACACATTCAAAAGCTAGCTGAAGGCAAGAAATAACCAAGATCAGAGCAGAACTGAAGGATACAGAGACACGAAACACTCTTCAAAAAATCAATGATTCCAGGATCTGGTTTTTTGATAAGATCAGCAAAATAGATAGACCACTAGCAAGAATAATAAACAAGAAAAGAGAGAAGAATCAAATTGTTGCCACAAAAAATGATAAAGGGGATATCACCACAGATCCCACAAAAATACAAACTACCATCAGAAAACACTATAAACAGCTCTATGCAAATAAACTAGAAAATCTAGCAGAAATGGATAAATTCTTGGACACATATACCCTCTCAAGACTAAACCAGGGAGAATTTGAATCTCTGAATAGACCAGTAACAGGTTCTGAGATTGAGGCAATAATTAATAGCCTACCAACCAAAAAAGTACAGGACCAGACGAATTCACAGCCAAATTCTACCAGAGGTACAAAGAGGACCTGGTACCTGTCCTTCTGAAACTATTCAAATCAATAGAAAAACGGGGACTCTTCCCTAAGTCACTTTATAAGGCCAGCATCATCTTGATACCAAAGCCTGGTAGAGACACAACAAAAAAAGAGAATTTAAGGCCAATATCCCTGATGAACATTGATGTGAAAATCCTCAATAAAATACTGGCAAACAGAATCCAGCAGCACATCAAAAACTTATCCACCACAATCAAGTCGGCTTCATCCCTGAGATACAAGCCTGGTTCAACATACACAAATCAATAAACGGCAATAAACATAATCCATTGCATAAACAGAACCAATGACAAAAACCATATGATTATCTCAATAGATGCAGAAAAGTCCTTCAACAAAATTCAACAGCCCTTCATGCTAAAAACCCTCAATAAACTAGGTATTGATGGAATGTATCTCAAAATAATAAGAGCTATCTATGACAAACCCACAGCCAATATCCTACTGAATGGGCAAAAACTGGAAGCATTTCTTTTGAAATCTGGCACAAGACAGGGATGCCCTCTCTCACCACTCCTATTCAACATAGTGTTGGAAGTTCTGGCCAGGGCAATCAGACAAGAGAAAGAAATAAAGGGCATTCAATTAGGAAATGAGGAAGTCAAATTATCTCTGTTTGCAGATGCCATGATTCTACATTTAGAAAACCCCATTGTTTCAGCACAAAATCTCCTTAAGCTGATAAGCAACTTCAGCAAGGTCTCAGGATACAAAATCAATGTGCAAATATCACAGGTATTCCTATACACCAATACCAGACAAACAGAGAGCCAAATAATGAGTGAACTCCCATTCACAATTACTGCAAAGAGAATAAAATACCTAGGAATCCAACTTAAAAGGGATGTGAAGGACCTCTTCAAGGAGAACTACAAACCACTGTGCAACTAAATAAAAGAGGACATAAACAAATGGAAGAACATTCCATGCTCATGGATAGGAAGAATCAATATTGTGAAAATGGCCATACTGCCCAAGGTAATTTATAGATTCAATGCCATCCCCATCAAGCTACCAATGACTTTCTTCACAGAATTGGAAAAAAAACTACTTTAAATTTCATGTGGAACCAAAAAAGAACCTGCATAGCCAAGACAATCCTAAGCCAAAAGAACAAAGCTGGAGGCATCATGTTACCTGACTTCAAACTATACTACAAGGCTACAGTAACCAAAACAGCATGACACTGGTACCAAAACAAATGTATAGACAAATGGAACAGAACGGAGGCCTCAGAAATAACACCACACATCTACAGTCATCCGATCTTTGACACACCTGACAAAAACAAGCAATGGGGAAAGGATTCCCTATTTAATAAGTGATGCAGGGAAAACTGGCTAGCCATATGTAGAAAGCTGAAACTGGATTGCTTCCTTAAACCTTATACGAAAATTAACTCAAGATGGATTAAAGACTTAAATCTAAGATCTAAAACCATAAAAACCTTAGAAGAAAACTTGGGCAATACCATTCAGGGCATAGGAATGGACAAAGACTTCCTGACTAAAACACCAAAAGCAACAGCAACAAAAACCAAAATTGGCAAATGGTATCTAACTAAACTAAAGAGCTTCTGCACAGCAAAAGAAACTATAATCAGAGTGAACAGACAACCTACAGAAGGAGAGAAAATTTTTGCAATCTACCCATCTGACAAAGCGCTAATATCCAGAATCTAAAAAGAGCTTAAACAAATTTACAAGAAACAAACAAACAACCCCACCAAAAACTGGGCAAAGGATATGAACAGACACTTCTCAAAAGAAGACATTTATGTAGCCAACAGACATATGAAAAAATGCTCATCATCACTGGTCATCAGAAAAATGCAAATCAAAACCACAATGAGATACCATCTCATGCCAGATAGAATGGCGATCATTAAGAAGTCAGGAAACAACAGACGCTGGAGAAGAAGTGGAGAAATAGGAACGCTTTTACATTGTTGGTGGGTGTGTAAATTAGTTCAACCATTGTGGAAGACCGTGTGGCAATTCCTCAAGGATCTAGGAGTAGAAATACTATTTGACCCAGCGATCCCATTACAGGATATATACCCAAAGGATTACAAATCATGCTATTATAAACACACATGCACACCTATGTTTATTGTGGCACTGTTCACAATAGCAATGACTTGGAACTAACCCAAATATCCATCAATGATAGACTGGATTAAGAAAATGTGGCATAGGGCCGGGCACGGTGGCTCACGCCTGTAATCCCAGCACTTTGGGAGGTCGAGGCGGGTGGATCACCTGAGGTCAGGAGTTCGAGAACAGTCTGACTAACATGGAGAAACTCCATCTCTACAAAATTAGCTGGGCATGGTGGCGCATGCCTGTAATCCCAGCTACTTGGGAGGCTGAGGCAGGAGAATCACTTGAACTTGGGAGGCAGAGGTTGCGGTGAGCTGAGATCATGCCATTGCACTCCAGCCTGGACAACAGGAGCAAAACTCCATCTCAAAAAAAAAAGAAAATGTGGCACATATACACCATGGAATACTATGCAGCCATAAAGAAGAATGAGTTCATGCCTTTTGCAGGGACTCAGATGAAGTGGGAAACCATCATTCTCAGCAAACTATCAATCCTATTACAAGGACAGAAAACCAAATGCTGAATGTTCTCACTCATAATTGGGAGTTGAACAATGAGAACACATGGACACAGGGCGGGGAATATCACACATCGGGGCCTGTCGGGGGTTGGGGGCTGGTGGAGGGATAGCATTAGGAGAAATACCTAATGTAGATGTCAGTTGATGGGTGCAGCAAACCAACATGGCACGTATATACCTATGTAACAAACCTGCACATTGTGCACATGTACCCTAGAACTTAAAGTACACTAATAAAAAAATGCACACTTAGTTTCATAGCCAGATACTGGAATTTTACTCATATATTATTTATCAATAATTTTATCACATATGTATACAAATTTATAGAGTTTAGTAAAAATTTTATGTTCCTGAACTTTTTTATTTGCATAATAATAAAGTAAAAAAATTAAGTGAAACCATGATGTTCATACCAATGGAAATTTCTTGAGCTTATTAATTAATAAGAAAAAAAAGGGGCTAAAACAGGCTCAAAGGAGAAGCTGTAGAACATATATGTGTATGAAGGCAATTAGTGATTCTGACATGAATTGCTAATAAGTGAAAAACTGGTTCATATCCTAGAAGGCAACAAAATATAGTATTTGGAGTAATCTTTTTACAGAGGTAAAATAAATTGCATCTCTCCCAGACAAAGTCTATTTATACTTTTATGGACAAGAATTCTTTTCTTTTTCTTTTCTTTTCTTTTCTTTTCTTTTTTCTTTTCTTTTTTCTTTTCTCTTCTCTTCTCTTCTCTTCTCTTCTCCTTTTCTCTTCTCTCTTCTTCTCTCTTCTCTTTTTCTCTCTTCTCTCTTCTTCTTTCTTTTCTTTTCTTTTCTTCTCTTTTCTTCTCTTTTCTTTTCGAGATAGTCTTGCTCTGTTGCCCAGGCTGAGAGTTCAGTGGCGAGATCTCGGCTCACTGCAAGCTCCTCCTCCTGGGTTCAAGTGATTCTTGTGCCTCAGCCTCCCAAGTAGCTGGGATTACAGGCACTCACCACCACATGGCTAATTTTTGTATTTTTAGTAAAGACAGGTTTCGCCATGTTGGCCAGGCTGGTCTGAAAATCCTGTCCTCAGGTGATCCACCCTCCTCAGACTCCCAAAGTGCTGGGATTACAGGCATGAACCACTGTGCCCGGCCAATCTTTTCCATTTCTATCAGGAGATTACAGTTACAAAATAGTCTACTAGAAGATAAACAAAGATGCATACCCCTATAGAATTGGGTAACCCTAAAGAGTTTGCTAAACAGCTCCCATAATTTCATTTGGGCATTTTGAAGTCTCCCATATTTCCTAAATATGCCAAAAAATTACTTACTGTTTTTTCCTAACAGTGAAATTTTAATAGAGACTCTCCACCTAAAATTTTATGAAAAAGAATCAAAAGAAAGGGGAAAGATACACTTTAAAAATAAACACTTTAGGTAGGACTATGCATTGCAAAAATAAACTTTAATATATAAATATGTTTCTTTTCTTGAGAATTTGTCTATCCAGAGTATGTTTTTCTATGAAGAAAGTATATTTTTTGTCTTTCTAGCTTGAAAGTAAACTCTTCAGGGAGGCTAAAAGTAAATAAATAAGATACTTTTAGAAAAAAACTTAATTAGAGTTTATCAAGTTAGGATATGCCTGTAGGTGTTGCAAAATTTTCTGAGACAAAAATATTTTAACTATCCATTTGAAAAAACAAATTATACGGATACTATTTATTTATTTTATGAGGTTCCATATACAGCTACTAAAATAAGTAATTATACCATTCTCCTATTCATTTTAGAAACAAAACTGAAGTAACAATACATATCACAAGGTTGATAACTCATTACTTCATTTAATTAAAAAATCTAGTTCTCAATTTTTGTTTCATGTTTGTTTTTTTGTTTAGGGGGCAGAAACACCTAAATTTTCTTTTTTAAATGTTTCTGGGTACATAGTAGGTGTATTATTTATGGGTTATTTGAGATTTTTTTGATACAGGCATCTAATTCTTAATAATCACATCAGGGTAAATGTGGTATCCATCACCTCAAGCATTTATCCTTTGTATTACAAAAAAACAAATAATGTTCTTTTAGTACATTTTAAAATAATTCAAAGAGGAGGATGTTTTGTTGTTGTTGCTGTTTTTGTTTTCTCCATTGGCAGAAACTTGCTCTAGGACTATGGGTATGCATTTTGTCACCTACATAGCCCTTTTAACTGATCTGGCTCCCTTTGAATGAATGAAGTAAAATCAGGTGAGAATAAATGGATTTTTTTGTTACGTTTTGTTTTGTTTCCTGTGCACCAGTTCAAAGAATACAGCTGAATCATTGCATGATAACCATTGTTATTCTTCTCAAGCAACCCTGAAGTCCAAGGCTTTGAGCCAGTTTCTCTTAAGTTATTATACTTTCAGTCTGGCAAAAAAGAAGAACCACGTGGAAAATTAGAGGTTTAGAGAAATCTTTCAAAAGAGGCAATAGAGTCTGACTTTAGATTAAAAAAAAAAATTTCTCTCAGAAAATTCAAGAAAGTGTCACTGTGAAGTACTTTAATCTATTTTCATAAAGGAATGATCTGCATAGGTAGCATATGTCAATATATTTTCCTTTCTAAAATTTAAATACCTAATTTGAATAAACAATGACGATAAGGACTCTAGGGACTAGAGTAGGCCTTGTTTAGGCACATGAACTTGAACATGAGCATCTTCTGCATGGTTATATTCATTTATTCATTTAAATACTTTGTGACGTAGTACATGGGACAATCAACAGAGCATAGCCTCCAAGAAACCAAGAAGGGTTGGAATTTAGAGAACAAGTAGAAAATTAAGCCTGGATTGTAAACAACATTTTTTTTTTTTTTTGTAATAAGAAACTAGGTGGGGGGTGGTACATGAGCATTCATGAGTTTGCTAACAAAATGCCTAGGGAACTCCAACATACCAGCTTACATTTTCTCTGAAAATTGAAGACATTGTCCTGGTTTAAAACAAAAAAAGCATAAGACTAGTGGAGGAGTTAAAGTAGGCTGACTATCTCAATTCCTGCCTCCTCCAGTCTCCCTACTAGGGTGTTACTCTCTGTTTTCTACTTTAACCATTGTAAGTTTCCACATATCAGCTTTCAAATGTGCATTTTCCAAAGATACTCCTATAGTATAAGTAGACAAGAAAGTCCTAGTACACACAAAAAATATTTGGACAGCCATTCTTGGCAGGGAAGTGACAGAGGAGCCTTCTATATTTCCTCTTGGATTTCATGGTCACTCCAGCCTCTTCTATACCTAATCTGTATGTAAATTACAACAAAACAAAAAATAAAAACTGCCAAATAATTTGGTGAGAGAGGCACAAAACTGATTAATTGCAGTTTGTTTCTTTCTCACTGCTTCATTAATTTATAATCAGTGATTTGACAGAAAAAGTATTTTTAGATATGACATATGCTATTCCTTCATCAAATTTTTCAATGTCAACATTGACCAAAATCTCAGGATTTAAGTCTGTGCAGAGGTTGAAAAGTTCTGCAAATATATCTATTTTACCTCTTCTCTCTGCTCATAGTTGATTCTGTCACAGCTCTTTTTTCCACTCTCTTTTAAGAATCATTGTTCCAAATCTAAACTTTGTTTTGGAGCTTAATTAAATTAAAACACTGTGATCTGTTATTTAAAGGACAAATATATGTCCAGATCATCTTTTGTTGTGTTGGTTCCACTATTGTTATATACACATAATTAGTTTCTTAAGTAGTTTCACGAAGACCTTGATAATGTATATGCCCTATTCATTGTCATCATAGTTTGCCAAAACACATAATCACACAGTAGGGATTAATGGTTGCAAAGGAACTATAAAATCCGTTGAGTAACAAATCCACCTTCTAAATGTGTTTCACATCCTGCCTAACTATGGAAACCCTTGATAAAACACAAATGTGTCTGATTGCACAAATTATGGGTTATGTGAAAACTATCACTTAAAGCTACTAGAATAGCTGTCAATACTCTAAAAACAAAGTAGTTCTCTCTTAATTCTCCTTGTGTTTTAAATATTGCTTAAATGATGTTCAATTTTATACATCATATTTTAAAAACAGATCACATAATGAGCGTGTCTTGCTGATGGTGATTAGGATGACAAATATTCTGAACCACATTATTTAAAAATAGCTAAAGAAACTGGATCAATAAGCCTAGGAAAGAGAAAGCTCGAAGTCCTCTCATGTGAGAGGAAGTAGACGCACTTAGTAAAGTTTCAAACTGCAATCCATGGATAAAGATTAAGGAGAAGTGTGTGTGTGTGTGTGTGTGTGTGTGTGTGTGTGTGTGTGTTTTAAACTTGGCATACTAAGTGTCTTTCCTCAATTTGAAATTTCCAGAGATAAATTGAGTAGGTGAGTGCTGCCAGTGGGACTGGTCAAGCAGGGTGATGATTAATCTTTTTTAACCAACCTAATTAATACCTGTTCTCTAGACTCAATAAAGACTTTTTTTATTTTATTTATTTTTTTTAAAGTCATTCCTGGTCTCCCACTCTGGTTGGATCTTCCTCTTAAATGTATAGTTGTTATAGTATTCTAACCTCTTTCATATACTGTATGTTTGTTTATATAACTTTCCCCACTAATTTACAGTTATTTAAGTTTAATAACTTGAATGTTAGCATCTACCATAGCAAAATATATGAAGGAACATTCACTGAAATTATTGTTACATTGAGATCTCTAAGAGCACATGAAATAATTATTAATAATCCCAGCACTTTGGGAGGCCGAGGTGGGCAGATCACCTGAGGTCAAGAGTTCGAGACCAGCCTGGCCAACATGGTGAAACCCCATCTCTACTAAAAATGCAAAAAGTAGCCAGGCATAGTGGTGGATGCCTGTAATCCCAGCTACTCAGAAGGCTGAGGCAGGAGAATCACTTGAACCTGGGAGGCGAAGGTTGCAGTGAGCCGAGATCAAGCCATTGCCCTTCAGCCTGGGCCAAAAGTGTGAAACTCCATTCAAATAAAATAAAATAAAATTATTATTAAGGTTTTATAATGAGCCACCTAATACGTTAGCTGGAAATACCTTTTATGTTTTGGCTGGAGGTTATCTCATAAAGTTTATGTTATTCAGGTACTATCACATATATTGATCTTGCCAATTGATCTTACATGGCTTTATCTCTCATTAATGACTCTGAAGAAGATTGCTTCACATAAAAAGAGAAGAAACTTATAGAGTCTACAAGCCAATTACTATAGTCTCAGCAAAATGATTTACCTTTAAAATGTACTGGGTAAACACTGACCCTTTTCAAATACCCATACACCTTTTGAATATCTTTAGAAATATGCTAAACTTGTCTGAATAACACTAGTGTTCTCTCATTGATAAATGGCCTTTTGGTTCCCGCACATCACAACATAATCCTCAGTCAGATATTTATGTAGTACTTAGAAGAAAACCTGTAATTTGAAGCATGGAGGAGGCCAGGAAGGTTAAGGAGCCTATACAGTTCTTTGCTGATAAAAAATCCCCTCCTTGCTAGTTAAAATCCAGTTTTTATTAAAAAATAAAATCTCGTTATAAACATTGTATCTATGTGTAAATAACAGGAAGTGGGTAAGCGAGGGGCTACACAATCATTTCTAACTTTGTCTTCAAGTTCCTGTCTTTTAAATCTTCAGCCTTCACTTCAGATTTTGAAATTATGGTGTTTTGATGTAGCTGCCAACTTGGATGTTCAATAAACTCCAAAATAAACTCTCACAACTATTTCTCCTGTTGTCTTTACGTCTTCGAAAGGCCACCACTCTTATGAGTCTTTTTTGATTCCTCACCTGCTTCTGTTTCTTGCATTTGAACTGTCACCATTGTCTTCACATGGCACGGGTTCACCCTCTTTTGCTCTTTGTCATTGCTATTGCAGACTAAGCCACCATCATCCCTCACTTATTTTACTGCCATGGTCTTCAGACTGAGCTTGAATTCTTGTACTTCTCTTATCCTTTTCTTTTTTTTTTAACAAGCTATATAATTGATTCCATTGATGGTTTCCCAGTGAATTTTTGATAGAAATCTCCGTTTGTTTACCTAACTAAAAACTTCTGCATGATATGACCCTTGCCCACTTACACAACTATATTTCATATTGTTTAAAATAAATGAAACATATGTTTCAAACCTTGCAATTGAACTAGACATCTGAACCTAATTTTATCAAAATTTCATATTTTTAAAAACTATAAGTCTCTCTGAAGTGCATAAGCTTTGGACCCACCAAACCTTCTCCATTTAGACTTATCATTTGGTTTCAGTTCAATGTTTACCTATCTAGGAAGAAGTAATTATTTATTTCATATGTTCTTCTCACATTTTCATATAACTAAATACAGCTTATAATTGATTAAATTTTATGTATATATATTTTATGGTTTTGTTTATTAAATTACAAGATTTGAAATGGCAAGAACAATGATCTGTCTTATCCATTACTCTTGCTTTATCCTGCAAAATACTGCAATCTAAATATTTCTAGATGAATTAACGAATGATAAGAACAACATATGTAGGATTTTGTGTGTAAAACTTTGAGTTTATAACAAATTTCCCTTACCTTTTTACTCTTCTAGATCTTTACAGAAGAAAAGAAAATAAATAACTTAAAAATATTAGTTCACGGCATTTGAAAAAGGCTTGGTCATCTATGTGCAGATAAAGTAAACAGAGAACCCATTTGCCCATCTTTTAACAATTGTATCAGTCAATATTCTAAAAACATGGTTACTTAGAGTTTGGCTGAAAGGTCCAAATATTACCCTAAGTAGTATGAGAATAAATGAACACATAGACAGAGAAATCACTCAACCAAAACACTCACACTGTTCTGTAAAGGGCATGTATTTCATGAAATAAAATAACTGTGTGAGGACTGATTTCATTTTCCTGTGACTGAACAAAACAACTTTAACTTTGAAACCCAATACTGCCTGTGAGAAAAACTTAATTTCCAAAAATTTGATTTTTTACTTCTTTTCTCTTTTTTTTTTTTTTTCTTGAGACATAGTCTCACTTCAACACCCAGGCTGGAGTGCAGTGGTGCTATCTTGGCTCACTTCAACTTCTGTTTCCCAGGTTCCAGCGATTCTCATCCTTCAGCCTCCCAAGTAGCTGGAATTACAGGCAGGCACCACCATGCCTGTCTAATTTTTTTTTTTTTTTCAGTAGAAAAGGGATTTTGCCATGTTGGCCAGGCTGGTCTCAAACTCCTGACCTCAGGTGATCCACCCGCTTCTGCCTCCCAAAGTGCTGGGATTATAGGCGTGAACCATTGTGCCTGGCCTTTCTTCTTTTAAAGCAAGTTAATGCCCATTTAATGTATGCAGTGCTCTTGTGTTTCGAGGCTTTCTGATCATCTGTTAATGCCGGTATCCTCTGAGTAGAATGACGTCCTATCTGGTCCTATCCATTCTACTGTGTGGTTTTTGGCTATCAATATATGAGATCACAGCTGCATATTCTTTTTGCTCTTCACCAGTGCTCTCCAGTATTGCCACTATTTGAGCTATTGCCAAGCATCACTTAGGTTCAAAAACAAACTTTTAACACTCCCAGTTGGCCTTAGTGGAGATGTTTAATGTTGTTTCCCATTGTTTTGCTACACACGGGTTGCGGTAGTAAATGTAACTCCTCCCTTAATGTCCCTGGCAGATATTTCTTCTAGTCTCTCTTCGTACTATTTGTAGAGAAATTGTAGGAACCTACTGGTCCATCGGGCTTCTACAGGTCACAATGAACAAGTCTTTCACAGTTCTCAAATCCTCAAATCTATTTGTTATTCACCTGCAGAAAATGCAGCTGAGGCAATAATTGTTTTCCCTATGGAAGTGCTTCTCACTTCCATCAGTCCAGGGAATTTTTGCTAGTGTTTGAGTGAAGTACTGTTTAGCTACTAATTGCATACTCTCTACATCCTCTGGTAAAAAAAAAGTAAAGCCCCAAACACGGGAATAATATTCAAAAAAATTTATTGTGTGTTTTTTGCTCAGAATTTTAAGAATTTGAAATGCAAAAGCCAATGTTTATATCTGATATGCAGTTCTGCATTCATTCTGAAGCATCTCTATTCTGAAACATGAAAACATAATGTCTAATTACCCAATTAAGCAAAATAATATAAAAAATACCAAAAGAGATGGGAAAAGATTAATATGTGGTCTACTACAAAAATGATCATAAATGATTCTTAACATTTTCAGAAGGAAAAAAAAAACACATACTAATCTAAGTTAAGTCTTGCCTTATCAACAGAATAGATCCCCCCAACCCTTTTTCTCACTGTCTCTAAAATTGACCACACGGGTTGTTCAGCAAGACTTTTCTAATGGAAATGAATCATTACTTTGTATAACAGGTATTAAAATTGCCTTAAGGATTCTTTAAGCACCAGGACTCCTAAAATACAAGCTTAATTCTAAGGTCTACAAATGTAAATCTTACTAATTTTTCTGGAATAATTTATTATATTCCAGAATATTTTAAGTCCTAGACCCATGGCCTATTTGAATTTACAAGCTATAATTAGTAATTTGCTAGAGAAAGTCATTGAGTAGAAATGATTGAATCTTTTGCCTACATCAACACTGGGAAAAGGCCAGATTGGAATAAGGAAAGATGTGTCAGTTTCTCCAGTATTAATTTATCCACAAGTTGACATGCTGCTTCTCTCAACTATGCCAATTGTTTTAGTTCAAAGCCTCCCTGACTATCCAAGTTCTTGCTCCTTTACTTTTCATCTTCATCTAAGCAATTTTTCAACTTGGCTTATATTGAGAAAATTCAATATTTCTGACCTGAACACTTCATTTTGGGGAAATTAAATTGTGTGTGTGTGTGTACGTGTATATATGTATATACATATGAAGTTTCATTTATGTATATATGTCTATACATACATTTTTCTGTATATATATATATATATATATGTACCTTGGAGAATACTTATTAACTTCACATCAAATATATGAGAAAACAGCTTTTCATCTTTTATTACTTTTAAGAAAGAAACTGGGCGTTCACATCAAGAGTTCTAGAAGTGAATCAAAGGAACAAAATAAAATAGGTATGCAAGCTTCCAAAAATGAAACCGTGCAGCTGTGCACCATATGTCTATCTGAAATAAGCCAATTGTATGTCATGAGAAAAGAAGGGAAGTACAATCTGGATAAACCAAATGAATTTTCTTAACCAGTAAAAATCACCTTGTCCAAGTGACAAAAGTCACTCAAAGAGCTGGACCAACATTGATTGGATCAGATAATTAATTTGTCATGATCTTATGTTGACATAATTCAATTGATTTTTTGTGGCCTACATTCAAAAGTTTGGAAACACACAAATATGAGTTGTTAAAGCACAGTTCTCTAGGAGTTATGAATATAATTTTTTCAGCTTATGAATTATAATTTTAGAATTCATTATCATTTTTTCCAGATGGATAGACATATGAACTCTGTATCTTTGAAAATTTAATCAAAGTCATACATTATTTTGATTGTTTTCACTGTAAATTATGTATTCTTAATCGGTAAAAAGATATTAGATAACAAAATATACTAGATAACAAATTATTTAATATTGATTTACCAGTTCATACATAAGACTTCCTAAGATGAAACATCAAAAACATCCATCCTGAACCAAATACTTTGTTATTTTCACATTTAACGTGGGATCTTAAAAAGGAAAGAAAAAAAGATGAGGAAACTGATGGTACATGTTCCTCTGGTTATGTCTTTTGTGTTTGACAAAACTTGATGACCAACTTGTTCACACACATAGGACTTTTGTGTTCTATCTCCCCAGACCACCTGCATACTACAACTTAAGAAGGCTTTTATTAATAGACACTTCCTATAGGAAATTTAGCTCATTCTTTGCATGTATGGATCAAAAGGAAATAATAAAAATTGCATCAATTTACCATTAGAAATGAGAGTTCCATAACATGGGTAGATATAAGATACAATGTTGTAAAAAGAAACTTTATTTTGTAACAATAAAAAAATTAAAATTTTTATAATATTTTACTCACAATTGCAACAAACATACACATATAAACATAACAAGACATATTTGATATTCTTGTAAGAAAAAAATCAACTTTACTCAAAGATATTACAATAACTGAAATAAAATAAACATATAAGTTTATGATTAGAAGTTTCAATATTGAAATGATATTTATTTTACACAAATTAATCTATTGATTCAAAGATATCTAGTCAAAATCTCAATATGACTTCTTAAAGGAAAATTATTATTGGCTTTAAAACTCATATGATTAAAATAAGTGAAAATTTTTTTAAAAAGGGAATATTTGCCTTATCAGATAGGAGTGCATATTTTTATTTACATTAATTAAAATTGTATTGCATTGGTACAGGTAGACAAATGGAATAGAATGAAGAATTCAGAAATAAACTCAAGCATGTACCGTCCCCAATGAGCCTCATGTTCTGTGTTGTGGTGCCCTTGTATAGTTCCCTACCAAAGTGAACAATGATGACCTTAGTAATTTGTAGGAAATTTGCATTAATGTTGTGTGACTTCTGAGGTTAAATCATAAAAGATATTGGGGATTACCACTTGCTCTCACTTGGATCTTTCATTCTGAAGGAAGTCAGAGCCATGTGTTAAGGACATGTGAGCAGCCCTATATAAAGGTTCACATGGTGAGGAACTGAGGCTTTGTGCTAACGAAGGCAGCATTCACTTGACAGCAAAGTGATTCAGCCATCTTGGAAGCAGATCATTTAGTCCCCGCCAAGCCTTTAGAAGACTACAGCTCCAGTTACTATCTTGACTGCAGTTTTACGAGAGACCTCAATTCGGAAGAAGCCAACTATTCTGCCCCCAAATGTATAGCCTACACAAAATGTAGGATAATAAATGTTTATGCTTGTTTTAAGCCGCAAGGTTTTGAGATAATTTGTTACTCAGCAGTCAATAGCTAATACAGATTTCCATAGCTGCAATTAGGGTACGATCTTAAGAAAAAGTAATGTGTAATGAATTATTTAGGCTCTGACGTTGGAAGAATAATTGTATGTAAAGTAGATGAAGTGAGGATAACCTAGAAGCTGCCAGCACCTCCGCATTTCTCTGTCTCCGCATCTAAGCAGTGAACCTGCTATCACTTACAACGTTTCAACAAGTTCCTCTGTCAGCCACCTTTAACTTGAAACTATGCATAAAACCGCCTTTAACTTGAAACTATGCATAAAAATGCATTCTGGAGAACATAGTTCCAGACTAAACAAGTTGACCAAGTTGGAAAACGAATTCTGAGGGACATAGTTCCAGCCTAGTAAAACCGACAGAAGGTAGCTTCCTTAACCTCAAAAAAATCCATATGAAATAAATCTATGGCAAATGGCATATTTAACAGATGTACAAGTCTTTCCTTTAAGATTAAAAAGAAGGCAAGCAGATAACATCCACTACTATTATTGAACATAAACATCTTGATCAACACAAACAAGTAAACATGGGAAATTTGTGTAAGAAATGGATAAGACAACCTCACAAAATGATCATTTACATAGAAAGACTGTTATTTATTGCCAGTATACTTAATATTGATTTTAATAGTGTTTAAACTAAGACTATAATTTTTCAAGTTATAATCCCCATAGTTTACCTAATCCAGTGATCATATATTATTCAGCTCTATAATAATCTTATCTGCCTTCAGTGTTTTACTAATTCCCATAATCTTTTTATTTATATGTTTGCATTTTATGAAGTACCATAGAAAGTAAACCATTCCAACTTGCTTTACCCTCTTGTTTCATGTTAATGTACACAAAACATTAGAGTATATAGGGATATGGTATGGTAGATCTCTATCAGTAATTTCATTATTTTTCATATTTTCATCCTTTATGAAGAAAATGAACATTTTTTGCTCTAGGGCTGTACTTATCAATAGATATGATAAGTACATTATTAGTTTGATAAGTACATTATTTGACATTTTACATTAATATGTACCCACCATTAAAGTACCATAAAAAATAAACACACTGCTCTAAAAATGCTCTGTGATCTGCAAACTCATCCTTCTCTCCCTCCCACATAACCACTGGTAACTACCTTCCCCAAAATGTTGTATGGTTTAATCACACAACATGAAATCTCTTCACATTATATTCCTTCACTTAGTACTACACATGTAAGATTTCTTAGTACAAAGATAAGATTTTACTTAGTAATATACATATATGACTTGGAAGCTAAATAATATTCCATTGTCTGGATGTACCATGGTTTTATGAATTCATGTACTGAAAGACACCTTGATTACTTCCAAGTTTTGGAGATTATGAATAAACTTTCTATAAAAATATGTGTGTAGGTTTTTGTGAGTACATACGTTTCCAACTCTTTTGGGTAAATACAAAGGGTCATGATTACCGGATTGTATGAAAATAATATGTTTCACTGTCTTTCAAAATACTAATACCATTTTGCATTCCCACCAGAAGTTAATGAAAGTGCCACATCCTCATTTGGTGTTGCCAATTTTCTCAATGTTGGCCATACTAACAGATAGGTAGTGATATCTCATTGCCATTTTAATTTACATCTCTTTAATGGCATATGACGTAGGCATCTTTTCATTTACTTATTTGCAATCTGTGTATGTTAAGGACCTGTTAAAGTCCCTGGTCCATTTTTAACCAGGTTGTTTGTTTTCTTATTGCTGAATTGTAAAAAATTATTTTGCATATTTTGAATGACAGTCCTTTATCATATACGTCTTTTAAAAATATTTTCTTCCACTATGTGGCTCTTATTTTTATTCACTGGACAGTGTCTTTCACAGAGCAGAAATTTTTATTTTTAATGAAGTCAAGTTTATCCATTCTTTCTTTCATGGATCAGGATTTGATGTTTCTGAAAAGTCATTACTAAATCTAGGGTTATCTAAATTTTCTTATATGTTATCTTCTAGGACTTACGTAGACTTGTGTTTTACATGTAGATACGTGATCCATTTTGAGCTGATTTTTCTGAAGATTGTAAGGTCTGTGTCTATATTCTTTTTATATATATTTTTGTATATGGATGTCCAGTTGTTACAGCACCATTTGTTGAAATGTCTATCTTTTCTTTATTGTATTGCTTTCAATCTTCTGTCAAATATTAGTAGATAATATTTATGTATGTCTAGTTCTGGGCTCTCTATTTTGTTCTATGAATCTGTTTGCCTATTCTATCACCAATATCACACTGTGTTGATTATTGTAGCTTTGTAGTAAGTTTTAAGGTTGGGTATTGTCAGTCTTTCAACTTTGTTTTACTCCTTCAATGTTGTGTTGGCTATTATAAATCTTTTCTCTCTCCATATAAACTTTAGAATTAACTCATCAATAGCCACAAAAGTGACTTGCTGGGATTTTGGTTGGAATTGCATTGAATCTACAGATCAATCTGGGGAGACTATAACATCTTGACAATATTGTCAAACTAGTAACAATACTGAGTCTGTGTATTTGTAAACATGGACTCTTTATTAACTTTGTTATACTTTGATTTATTTCAACAGAGTTTTGTACTTCTCCTCATAAAGATCTTGCATATATTTTGTTAAATTTGCATCAAAGTATTTCATTTTGCAATTGCTAAGGTATATGGTACTATGTTTTTAATTTCAAATTATATTTCTTCTTTGCTGATTTACGGAAAACAATAAACTTGTTTATTAAATTGTATCCTTCAAACTTGCTATAATGGCTTATCAATTCCAGTTTTTTGTTGTCAATTCTTTGGGATTTCCTACATAGATGATAATGTCATCTGCTAACAAGGGAAACTTTATTTCTTCCTTCACAATCTTTATATATTTCCTCCTTGTGTTACCACATTACCTAGGATTTCCAGTACAACACTGAACACAGTAGTGAAGGGGAGATCCTTGTCTTCCTGATGTTACTGGGAAATCTTCAAGCTTGTCACCATGAAGTAAGATATCAGCTATAGGTTTTCTATTGATATTCTTTATTAAATTGAGGACATTTTCATCTATTTCTAGTTTACTTACATTTTTATCAGAAACGGATGTTGGACTTTGTTAAGTGTTTTATCTGCATCTTTTGAAATTATCACATGATTTCTCTTTTTTAGCCTATTATTGTGATGGATTACATTAATTGATTTTCAAATGTTGAACCAGCCTTGCATGTGTGGTAGAAATTCCACTTGGAGATGATGTATAATTATTTCATGCATTGTTCAACTTAATTAACAAATATTTTGTCAATAATGCTTACACCTATATTCATAAGATATGTTGGTCTGTAGTTTTATTTTCTTGGAATTTCTTCATCTTGTTTTGATGTTAGGGTAATGTTCACCTCATAGATTATGTTTCTACAATTTGAAATATATTGTAGACAATTCTTACAACTTTTTCTTTAAATGCATAATAGAATTCACCAGGGAATCTATCTGGGCCTAGTGCTTCTTATTTGGAAGGTTAATAATTATTAATTTAATTTATTCAATAGTTGTAGGCATATTCACATTGTTTATTTCTTTTTGTGTAAGTATTGCCAGATTATCCTTTTCAAGGAATAGGTCCATGTTATCTATATTATCAAATTTGTGGACATAGAGTTCTTCACAGTATTTTTTGACTATCATTTTAATATTCTTTGGATCTGTGGTAATGTCCTTTCTTTCATTTTGATATTAATTTCTTCTGTATTTTGTTTCCTTAGTTATCCTGGCTAGAGGCTTATCAAGTATATTAATGTTTTTTCAAAGAACAAACTTTTTGTTTCATTGCTTTTTGTCTATTGTTTTCTATTGTAGTTTTTAGTATTTCTTTTCTTCTACTTACTTTTGATTTAATTAAATCTTCTTTTAGTTTCCTGAGCTAGAAGCTTAGATAATTGATTTTAGATCTTTCTTCTTGTCTAGTATATGCAGTCAATGCTATAAATATCCATCTATACACTGCTTTTGCTGCATCCCACAAATTTTGATAACCTGTTTGCATTTTTATTTCGTTCAAAAACAATTACAATTTCTTTTTATATTTCATCTTTTACTCATATTCTATTTAGAAGTGTGTTGTTTAACCAGAATATTCTTTAAAGTATTTACAATTACACTTTTTACCCCCTTACTTCAACATGTGAATGTAATTATCTAAGCAGGATATCTACCTAGGAATTATTACCTAGGCAAAAACCTCTATTCAATTTCCTTTTTGTTTCCTGAAGTGTCCTTCCTCTCTCTCTTTTCTCCACATGATTCATTAGTTATGTTTTCAGATTCTAGACAATTATTCATTGTGTTAATATGACCATGCATATCAAGAAATTATGGCAAAAACTGCATCTTTGTGGTTACCATTGTGGTGCTATTAATAGGATGTTAAAATTTGCACTGGCTCAGATATTCTTATGTCTTTAAGGCATATGATGATTCAAATTTCATCACTGAGCTCGTTGCTTCAGAGTAAAAAAGTAAGAGATGGTTAGTATTCACATTTAATTTCAAATGCCTATATGAAATTTATAACGAAGATTTTATAACCTTTTTATTCTCAAGTAGTATAAGTCAATTTTGTAAAATCATGTAATGTTAGAGCTAGAATGGAGGGTAGTGCTTATAGTCTGTTCATTTTATAGATAACAAAATAGGTTCCAAGTCAATGTCTTGCTCAGAGTCGTAAAATCATGGTTTGGCTCTTCTAACTATGAGCAAACAGCAATGTTTTTCCTTTAATCACTGTGCTTCCCTTTTGCACATTGATCGCTATTTCCAGAAATGTAAAATATAAAAAACTATTGCTATTTCCAAAAATGCAGGATATTTTGAAACTGTTGATCCTTTCTCAAGTTATTTGAAACTCACTAGAGAACAAACATAATGATTATTCAACACTCCCACCATTGAAGAAGGTGATGTTCCTTACAGCAATTTAGATTTGCTTTTTTTCAAACCATAGAAAGCACGAACTATGATTGTGTGGAGACCAATAAATGAACGTCTGCTGACAAAATGATTTAATACAGACTGTGCAAAGTGTCAATTATTAAGTATTCCATACCCGGTGATAAGGGACAAGGACAGATAAATTACCACTTTAGTGACACATTAGAAAATATGTTCAACAGACATGAGGCAACTGAATTGACAAGTTAGAAATGATCCCATTAGAGGAATAAGAATCATGGGAAAAGAAACAGAAAATTCTGTACTTTACATTAAATAACAGTGAAAAGTTATTTTGAATTCCTGAAACATTTAGTAAACATTGGGTCCATATTTAGTAGAATTTGGGTACCTATAGGGTTATTTTTCTAAGACACTGTTATTTATTGCCAGTATACTTAATATTGATTTTAATAGTGTTTAAACTAAGACTATAATTTTTCAAGTTATAATCAATCCCCATAGTTTACCTAATCCAGTGATCATATATTATTCAGCTGTATAATAATCTTATCTGCCTTCAGTGCTTTACTAATTCCCATAATCCTTTTATTTATATGTTTGCATTTTATGAAGTACCATAGAAAGTAAACCATTCCAACTTGCTTTACCCTCTTGTTTCATGTTAATGTACACAAAACATTAGAGTGTATAGGGATATGGTATGGTAGATCTCTATCAGTAATTTCATTATTTTTCATATTTTCATCCTTTATGAAGAAAACGAACATTTTTTGCTTTAGGGCTGTACTTATCAAACTATAATGTACTTGCAATTCACCTGAGAATCTTGTTAAAATTGAGTTTAATAAGACTGGGCTGATCTGAGACTCTGCATTTCTAAGAATCTCCCAGGGGATGCAGATGTTGCTGTTCTACAGAGGACACTTTGAATAGAAAGTTGGGCCAGACTGTCTAGACCAGCAAAGCAGGTGGCCCCTAGAAGGTTGTTAGAAAGGGAAATGTATGGCCTATTCCCACACCTGCTGCATCTTAATCTCTATGGGTGGGACCAAACCCCATGAACCACTGTCTAATTCTATTCATTCTTCCAATTTAGTTTCACTTAGTTTCTTTTTTTCTTTCCTCCATGCAAATAAGCCTTGAAAAAGATGCATAAAATAAATATATTACATTTACTGTGTTCTTGGCTTAACAACCTTAAAAATTTATGTTTGGATTTAATTAAAAAATAAAATTTAATGGCAGTAAAATGTTTTTTGATAAAATTTTTAGTTAACATAGACTTATCTCGCCTCTTCCAGTGAAAATTACCTTTCTAAAGAACAAAGTATATCAGTTGTGTGAAATTTTACCATCCACTAATATTATATTTATAATTTACTAGGTGTTAATTAGGGTTTAATAGATCTTTCTGGTTTCTACAAAATTCTGACGAATTTAATACCTTTTTCTTAATTTACATTAGTTTGCCTATGTAATTAAATCAAAGCTTTGTTTAAGAAATAGTTATTTTCTGAATTAGCTCACTGAGTCATCGTATACAATGCATGAACAAAATATTTCTAATATGTTTACATACATGTCTTGTTGCATAATGTTAGATATTAAGCATTGTATAATTTTCTTAAGTTTGACTAGTTTCTTCTAATACCTAAAGAATGAGAAAAAATGACATCAATGTATATATGAGTCACAATAAAATAGTGAGCACTCTGACATTGCCTTCAAAGTTTGGCATAAATGCTGGATATTGAAAAGCAGTTTCCCTCTTAATTCTTAACTAGAAATATTACAATGGTTATATGAAATTGTACAATTGTACAATTCTGGCTAGGAAAATTTTATAAGGACCACAAAAAGAGAATGAGGTCATTTGGAGGACCTTAATTCATATTATATATTAATATTACATATTAAAAATGTATCCTAATTTCACTTTAAGTAAAATTTTTATTTTCATAATATTTAAAAAATATTTTTATGTTTTATGTTTTTTTCTTTTGAAATTAGCCGAAAAAAAAAGTACTTAATGGCAATTGTTTATTTCATATAAAAATTAACATGCATTCTCAGAATCTCTGTGAATCACGCCCTTTGTAGGGACATGAAGGAACTGAAGGCCATTATCTTTAGCAAACTGGTGCAGGAAGAGAAAACCAAATACTGTATGTTCTCACTTATCAGTGGGAGATAAATGATGACAATACCTGGACATATGGAGGGGAACAACACACACTGGGGCCTATCAGACGGTGGAGTGCGGGAGGAGGGAGAAGATCAGGAAAAATAACTAATGGGCACTAAGCTTAATACCTGGGTGATGAAATAACCTGTACAACAAACTACAATGACATGAGTTTACCTATATAACAAACCTGCACATGTACCAAGGAACTTAAAATAAAATTTAAAAAGGTAAAATAAAATAAACTTAAATTCTAAATTTTTTTAAAAAATAAATAATGGCAAAGAGATGAATATGAAAAGTGGAGTTAATGAAGTCAGCATGATGTTATTTCCATACACAGGAATACCTCAAAGATATTATGGGTTTGGTTCCAGAAAGCCACAATAAAGTGCACATTGCAATAAAGCAAGTCACATAAGTTATTGGTTTCCCAGTGCATATAAAAGTTGTTTACACTATATACTCTAGTCTATTACATGTAGAATAACATATGTCTAAAAAATGTACATACCTTAATTAAAAATAATTTATTGCTTAAAAATGATAACAATCATCCAATCCTTCAGCAATCATAAGTTGTTATTTTTTTGCTAGTAGAGGGTCTTGCCTCAATGATGACAGCTGCTAACTTATCAGGGTGGTGGTTGCTGAAGGTGTGGGTGGATGTGGCAATTTCTTAAAATAGGATAACAGTGAATTTTTGTCACATCAATGGACTCTTCCTTTCATGAAATATTTCTCAGTAGCATGTGATGCTATTTGATAGTATTTTATCTACAGTAAAACATCTTTCAAAATTGGTGTTAACCCCTGTCAAAACCTGCATCTGTTTTATAAACAATGTTTCTGAAATATTATTAATCTTTTGTCATCATTTCAATGATATTCACAACATATTCACCATGAGTAGAATCTATCTCAAGAAACCACTTCCTTTACTCACCCCTAAAAAGCAACTCCTCATCCCTTTGAGTTTCATCACGGCATTGTAGCAATTCAGTCACATCATCAGTCTCTCCTGCTAATTATCTTGCCCTTTTTACCACATCTTCAAGTATTTCCTCTACTGAAGTCTGGAACACCTCAAAGTCATCCATGTGGATTAAAATCAGCTTGTTCCATACTCCTGTAAATGTTGATATTTTGACTTCCTTCCAAAAGTCAGGGATATTCTGAATGGTATCAGGAATGGTGACATTTTCCAGAAGGTTTTCAATTTAATTTGCCTGGATCCATCACAAGAATCACTATCTATGGCAGCTGTAACCTTAAGAAATATATTTCTTAAGCAATAATACTTGAAAGTCAAAATTATTCCTTGACCCATGGGCTGCAGAATGGATGTTTGTTAGCAGGTGTGAAAACAACGTTAGTTGGTAGGGTGTGGTGGTTCACGCTGTAATCCCAGCACTTTGGGAGGCCAAGGCAGGCGGGTCACAAGGTCAGGAGATTGAAACCTTCCTGGCTAACACGGTGAAACCCTGTCTCTACTAAAAATACAAAAAATTAGCTGGACATGGTGGCATGCACCTGTGGTCACAGCTACTTGGGAGGGTGAGGCTGGATAATGCTTGAACCCAGGAAGTGGAGGTTGCAGTGAGCCGAGATTGCGCCTCTGCACTCTAGCCTGGGCGACAGAGACTCTCTGTCTCAAAAAAAAAAAAAAAAAGGAGAGAGACAACAACATTAGTCTCCTTGTACATCTTCATCAGAGCTTGCATGACCAGGTGCACTGCCAATCAGCAGTAATATTCTGAATGGAATATGTTTTTCTGAGCAATAGGGCTCAACAGTGAGCTTTAAAAATTCACTAAATCATGGTGTAAAAAGATATGCTTTCATTAGGTTTTGTTTTTCCATTCATAGACCAAGGGGCAGAGTAGATTTAGAATAATTCTTAAAGGCCCTAGGATTTTCAGAATTGTTAATGAGTACTATTCCAACTTTAATTCACCAGCTACATTAGCCCCTAACAAGAGAGTCAGCCTGTACTTTGAAGCTTCTGTTTTCTGGCTACGAAAGTGTTAAAAATGGCATCTCCTTCTAATATAAGGCTGTATCATCTACATTGAAAATCTGCTGTTTAGTGTAGCCACCTTCATTAATGATCTTAGCTAGATCCTCTGGGTAACTTGTGTCACCTTCTGTATCAGCACTTGCTGCCTCACCTTGCACCTTTATGTTATGGACATTACTTCTTTCTTTAAACCTCATGAACGAACCTCTGCCAGCTTCGACCTTTTTTTTAGCAGTTTCTTCACCTCTCACAGGCGTCATAGAATTTAAGAGAGCGAGGGCCTTGCTCTGGATTAAGCTTCAGTTTATGGGAATGTTGTGGCCGGTTTGATATTCTCTCCAGACCACTAAAACATTCTCCATATTAGCAATAAGGCTGTTCGTTTTCTTATCATTTGTGTGTTCACTGACGTAGCACTTTTAATTTTTTTCAAGATCTTTTCCTTTGTATTCACAACTTCGCTAACTGTTGGATAGGTTAACAACCTAGCTTTCAACCTATCTCAGTTTTTGACATGCTTTTCTCACTAAGCTTATTCATTTCTAGCTTTTGATTTAAAGTGAGAGATACATGATTCTTACTTTACTTGAACACTTAGAGGCAATTGTAGGGTTATTACTTCACTTAATTTTAATATTGTTGTGTCTCAAGGAACAAGGAGGGCTGGAGTGAGATGAGGGAGAGAGACAGGGAAATGGTGAGTCAATGAAGAAATCAGAACATACATATTTATGACATTCACCATCTTTTATATGCGCATTTCTTGGTAAACCAAAACAATCATGATGGTAACATTGAAGATCACCGATCTCAGGTCCCTATAATGCCTATAATAATAATGAGAATGGTTAAAATATTGTGAGAATTACACAAATTTGACACAGGGACACAAAGTGAGCTTGTGCTATTGGAAAAATGACACTGAGAGATTGCTCTATGCAGGGTCGCCACACACTTTTGATTTGCAAAAGTTGCAATACCTGTGAAGTACAAGAAACCAAAGCACAAGAAAACAAGATACACCTGTATGTTCAATTAAACTTTTCTTTTTTTTTTTTTTTTTTTTGAGATGGGGTCTCGCTCTGTCACCTAGGCTGTAGTGCGGTGGAACGATCTCAGCCCACTGCAAGCTCCGCCTGCCAGGTTCACACCATTCTCCTGCCTCAGCCTCCCAAGTAGCTGGGACTACATGCGCCCACCACCACGCCTGGCCAACTATTTGTATTTTTAGTAGAGACAGGTTTCACCGTGGTCTCGATCTCCTGACCTCATGATCCACCTGCCTCGGCCTCCCAAGGTACTGGGATTACAGGCACTAGCCATCGCATCTGGCCTACTTTTTGGTTTTTAATAAATTTTTGTTGAAATTTAAAATACATGTGACAAGTATGTGGCACACATGGCGTAGTGTGTACCTTGATGTGTTTTTCTGATATGAAGTTTAAAATATAGAATGTACAATATTTTACTTGTGTATTAAAATTTATTTTTTCTTTATTACTGGGCTCCTTGGGGAAAGGTATTGTCATGGCCATCTGTGAAATTCCTAGGCCTGCATTTAGCAGATATATGGTAAACATTTACTGAGAATACAGGAAAGAACAAACATAAAATAAATAATATATTAACATAGTGATTTCTGCTTAATTAGACAATTGTCCTATATAACTAGTGTTAACTCTTATTTGGTCTTCATAAATCATTATCATAGTGTCTTGGGGAGCATCACAGAAACAAATACTATATTAATAAATATTTTCTTGTTGGCATTATTTAGAACAAACAAATGCATAGCTATTAACAAAAAAACAGAAAACTTTCTTTTCTATTATTGTATTTAATTCTCTATAGGTAATTTTTATAAAAATTGCATGCATTCCAGACATGCTTGTGAATTAAGACAGCTTTCAAGATTTTAAGCAATATGTATCAGAAACTTTATGAAATAAAGGTTATTGACTAAATAAGGGAAGAACTCGTTCACACAGAGAAGGATGACGTTCACTGCTGTCAACTGCCTGCAACATCTTGTTATGCCTCATTATAGACTACTTAACATTTAAATTTTATATATATAATTTAAAAACTACTTATATATAGGCATATAATGGTATAATATATAGTGTGCAATATGTATTCATTTAATATATATGTTACATATAAAATTGAATCCCTAACACATGTAGCATATATTGTCATATATAATGTATATTTTCATTTTACTTTTATTGTTGCAATATAATTACTATAAATTAAAGTTTCCTCTAGGAGTCAATGTCAATGTAAATTTCAAAAATAAAATTAAAAAATATAGTTATACAGAAAGGTCAGATGAGTTATAAAAGTAGTGATTGTGGTATTACAGCAACTTGACTAGTCTTTCAGATAAAGGTAACCCTTTCTCTCTATTGCTCTTTGTCCTCTCTCCCTTTCTCCCTCTTTATAGTTTAAAAATACTCTATAGAATTAACCTGAGCTTGAACAATTGTTGTGACAGCAATGAAGATCAATGAGAATTGCTTTTAGAAAGATCATTCTGTTATACTTTTTGCTCAGATTTTTATTTATTTAACTTATTTATTTGGCAATAACATATTATCTTTACTCTGTCTTATTGTGATAGATTTAAGAGAGGAAATTTCAAGTGTAGGTTTGACCAAGGGAAATATTTATAGTTGAAATTGCTTTTCATATGATAAGGCTCTTAGTTCAAATTAGGATTTTTTTCTTTTAATAATAGTTGTTACAATAATTGCTAAAGTACCATGCATATAAAATGCTTTTCTTTGTCATCCCAACATATTTTATCCAATATTTAAATGTGTTATTTATAAATTTATGAAGCTCATAATCATTGGACCTCTATTTTTTCTATATAGGACTTAAAACACTCAGAATGCTATTGATAATGTATCCCAGAATACTGGCTAAGATTTCAGCAAAATGATCAGAAATAACTATCTTTAAATTCCGGCTCTTCCACTTATTAGCTCGTGTTTTTTGCAAAACTTATCTGATTTTTGTGCACCTTAATTTGTAAAAGTCTGCATAATGGAGACAGTATTATAAGACACTTTAGGATTATTATAAGAATTAAATAAATTGATATGCATGAAATATTTATAATGTACCTAAAATGGTCTATCAATATTGATTATTAGTTATTATCATTAGTTATGCACTTTTTACTGATATTATTATTAATCATTTTGACAGGATGATAAGGAAGAAGTTTAGCAGCTGATTCAGGAGAGTGCAAAGGAGAAACACCTGAAAATTTTGCCTGAATGTCTCTGTTTTTTCAGCCAGTACTAGCAGTGCACATCTAAATGCTATCATACCCTAATCAAGGTCTAAGTCCATCATCAAACAAGTGATTCTGATTGGACAAATGGAGACCCAAGATTTATAAAATCATCTCTATAAATTATAATCAAAGACAAATGTAACAGTAAGGCTTTTTTTAAAAAAACTCTAGCATATTTACATTTATCTTCACTTTGATTTTTATCTTACTTCTATGAATAAGATTTAAAGACGAAAGATTGAAAACAGTTTTTTCTTTTTTCTTGTTGTCTTGGCACATTCTCATAATTCAGCAACAACTTAAATAAATTAGGTAATACCAATTAGGTAATGAGAATAATAATTCTCTCTACTTCCACTAGTCTTTGTATTTTTCTTTTCTTACTGTGTTTTTTTACCCATGTTTGAAGCTTTTATTTTTTAAGTGCCTCCAACCTGGGAGAAGAAATGACTTAACATGGAGAGTTGGAAGCGATTAATGCCTATCTAGAGAGCACAGTGAAACATGAGTACCTTCACTGTAACCTAGGCAAGCATTAATCAGTACCTCAGCACAGCCTGAAGTGACTTTTTGTGATAATAAAAATGAAATTTTTCTCCCAAATGTATGTCAAAAATATGTGTTCCAAGTATTTCTCTGGAAAGAAACAGTTCTTGATGAAAGCATTTTATTTCTATATGAAATGAAACATTTTCTGATTTGACACACAGCATGTCTATTCTGGGGTGGTTAGGAAAATACAACCCTTATAACTCAAAAAATGAGTGGTGGTTGTAAATTATGTCAAAGCCCATTACACAAAGAGAATGTTCTTCAAAGGTAGGTAATACCATATATATACATAAGGGTTATCAAAAACCCATTAAATTTGACCCTTTTAGGTTTTCCTGCTGAGATTAATTTCCCAACATAACATTGCCCTTTTAAAGAAAATCTTTCTTTATCAGAACCTCTTGTTCTCATGGGAGGTATCCACCATTTCCTTGATAGCCAGGGGCTAACCAGCAACCCCTCACAATCTCGTAAGGCATTTCATTTAAATTTATATTGAGAAATTCATAGTCTTATTAAGTTGTCTTCCCTTGAGATTCATTTTGCCATGTTTCATTGGTATGTCATTTTAAATGGTGCCATTTAAAAGCTTGCCCCATATTTTTACGGGCCACACTACAATCAAATGAGGTTAAATCAAGACTTGAATGTTTCCATGTAGATAACCAAAGAAGATATTTTTCAATATTTTGGTTTTATATTGCTTATGCACATGTGCTGATTGAAATTTCCATGATTGCTCAATATAATTAATTGTACATCTTATAGTAATGATAACGATTATAAATAATTAGTGATTCTGTCCATTTTGAAAAATAACATAGCCAATGACTTAATAGTCTAATATCTTAATTTGTGGCTTTTTTTTTTCATCTCCATGTGGCCTACTTGATAACTGAAACAGTACTTTTTGATCCTGGTAATTAGTTGAGGAATTTCTTTCCTTTTTTCCAAAGCCAGATGGTTTTTTTGAAAATCTAAAGACCCATCAAAGATCCACAGCTCACTTAAACTTCCATACTGAGTTTCGAGGCCTTCAAATATACATGTTCCTGAACAAATTATCCTTCCTTTATATTCTTGTGAAAAAAAAGATCAAGCTATTCTGGAACCACTGGTGTTCTTTAAATCTGACATGCTGTTTGCCCATAGGAGAGCCTTTGGAAGCAGTTGAAATAATAGCCGTTTACAAACTCAGCCACACAACCACTCAGGAGATGATGATGATAATAACTGTATAAGTTTTCCAGGGCTGCTGTAACAAACTGCCAGAAAATGGGTATATTAAAACAACACAAATGTATCGTTTCACAATTCTTAAGGCCAGAAGTTCAAAATCAAAATGTCACAAGAGCCAGGTTCTCTCCCGTAACTCTAGGGAAAAACACTTCTTGCCTTTTTCCTGGCTCCTGGAGGCTCAAACTTGGCATTCCATAGCATGTAGTCACATAACTTCAGTCTCTGCCTCTATCTTCACATGGCTTTCTATCCTGGGTCTCTTTCTTCTCCTCTTTTTAAAGGGACACAGGTTATATTGATTTAGGATCCACTGCAATGACTTTAATTTTATTATATCTGAAAATACCCTATTATTTCCAAGTAAAGTTACTTTCAGAGGTACCAGGGGTTAGAACTTCAACATATCTTTTAGGGGAACACAATTTAAGCCATAACAATGACCAAGACTATAATAATGACACAGAGAGACATGTTTTTGAATTGTTTTAATCATAATGTCTAATCCTTACCAATGTTTAGCAAAATGAGAATTATAATTTCCATTTAATCTGGGAGGAAATTGAATCTCAGGGAAGTGAACTTATTTTTTTTTTTAAGATTTTATGGTGTCAGAGCAAAGATTAGAGTCTAGATTTTTCTGAGTATATCTTGTGTTACAGTGACCCTGTTAACAGAGTGAATTGACAACATTATTTCCACTGGCAGCAGTGCCCTGGAGTAGCTGCTATTTCTCCATATTATCTGCAGGCAGTTGGTCCCCCCAAGCAATGGACTCCAACATTAGCAGCTTCTAGAAAGTTTTCCAGCTTTAGCCCCTGTATTTTGAAGTGCTGGTGTTGCATACAAAGTCTCATTTCAGTAATACAAGTTCTCTAAGGTAGCATATTTTGTAGAAATTATTAATTATATAGTTCTGAGATGTTCCTTGCTTACTCAATAGTTTCCAAGTCCTTTCACTGTTGAACATTTTAAAATTTTCTCTCCTGGGCTTCCTTGTCATTTAAGGAATCTTGGTGAGACATGTAGTGACAGCAACTATGCTATACAGACCACTCATAGATATAGGTCCCCACACACTAAATATATCAGGAATTGAATATAAAAGCTGGAAACCGAGTGGCCAGGTATTATCACAGTAAATTATGTCAGTACTGGAAAACACTGGTTTAAATTGAAATTTTAAAAAGGTCACTTACTAGATGTGTTAATTTGGAGCAGAGTAACAATACCTAACTTGTAGAGTCATGAAAATTTAATAATAATATTTATAAAGCTTTGCTTAATTCATTTACCAGATCTAGGAGCTTTTTAGATGAGTCTATGGGGTTTTCTAGGTATATGATCATATCATTAGCAAACAGCAACAGTTTGACTTCCTCTTTACCGATTTTCTTTTTCTTTCTTTTCTTTCTTTCCTTCTTTCCTTCCTTCCTTTCTCCTCTTTCTTTCTTTCTTTCTCTTTCTTT
Organism: Homo sapiens; assembly: GCF_000001405.40. Taxonomy (NCBI): domain Eukaryota; kingdom Metazoa; phylum Chordata; class Mammalia; order Primates; family Hominidae; genus Homo; species Homo sapiens. The sequence goes on from NC_000004.12 coordinate 64,832,402, forward strand.
CTTTCTTTCTCTTTTTCTTTCTTTCTTTCTTTCTTTCTCTCTTTCTCTTTCTTTCTTTCTCTTTCTCTTTCTTTCTTTCTCTTTCTCTTTCTTTCTTTCTTTCTTTCTTTCTTTCTTTCTTTCTTTCTTTCTTTCTTTCTTTTCTTTCTTTCTTTCTTTTTCTTTCTTTCTCTTTCTCTTGTCTAACTGACCTAGCTAGGACTTCCAGTGCTACATTGAATAGAAGTGGTAAGATTGAGCATCCTTGTCTTGTTCCAGTTCTCAGGGGGAATGGTTTCAACCTTTCCCCATTCAGTATTATGTTGGCTGTGGGTTTATCATAGACGGCTTTTATTACATTAAGGTATGTCCCTTTCATGCCGATTTTGTAGAGGGTTTAATCATAAAGGAATACTGGATTTCGTCCAATCTTTTTTCTGCATCTATTGAGATGATCATGTGGTTTTTGTTTTTAATTCTGTTTATGTGTTGTATCACATTTTTTTGACTTGCATATGTTGAGCCATCTCTGCTTCCTTACTATGAAACCCACTTGATCATGGTAGATTATCTTTTTGATATGCTGTTGGATTCGGTTAGCTGGTATTTTGTTGAGTATTTTTGCATCCATGTTCATCAGGGATATTGGTCTGTAGTTTTTGTTGTTGTTGTTATGCCCTTTCCTGGTTTTAGTATGAAGCTGATACTGGCTTCATAGAATGATTTAGGGAATTACTTCTTTCTTTATCTTTTGGAATAGTGTCAATAGGATTGGTACCAATTCTTCTTCGAATGTCTGATAGAATTCAGCTGTGAATCTATCTGTTTCTGGACATTTTTTGGTGGTAACTTTTTAATTACCATTTCAATCTCGCTGCTTGTTATTGGTCTGTTCAGAGTTTCTATTTCTTCCTGATTTAATCTAGAAGGATTGTATATTTCAGGAATTTATCTATCTTCTCTAGGTTTTCTAGTTTATGTGCATAAAGGTGATCATAATAGCCTTGAATGACCTTTTGCATTTCTGTGGTATTGATTGTAATATCTCCTGTTTTGTTTCTTAGTGAGGTTATTTGGATCTTCTCCCTTCTTTTCTTCGTTAATCTTGCTAATGGTCTATGAAGTTTATTTATCTTTCGAAGAACCAGCTTTTTGTTTCATTTGTCGTTTGTATGTTTTTGTTAAAATTTTATTTAGTTATGCTCTGATCTTGGTTATTTCTTTTCTTCTGCTGGGTTTGAGTATAGTTTGTTCTTACTTCTCTAGCTCCTTGAGGTGTGAACTTACGACCAAGAACCCAAAAGCAAATGCAACAAAAACGAAGATAAATAGATAGGACTTAATTAAACTAAAAAGCTTCTGCACAGCAAAAGAAACAATCATCAGCAGAGTAAACAGACAACCTACAGAGTAGGAGAAAATCTTCACAGTCTGTGCATACAACAGAAGACTAATATCCAGAATCTACAAGGAACTCAAACAAATTAGCAAGAAAAAAGCAAACAACCCCATCAAAAAGTGGGCTAAGGGCATGAATAGAAAATTCTCAAAAGAAGGTATAATATAAATATAAATATATAAATATGGCCTACAAACATACAAGAAAACGCTGAACATCACTAATGATCACAGAAATGCAATCAAAACCACAATCCAATATCACCTTACTCCTTCAAGAATGACCATAATAAAAAAATCAAAATATAGTAGATGTTGGTGGGGATGTGGTAAAAAGAGAACATTTTTACATTGCTGGTGGGAATGTAAACTAGCATGACCACTATGGAAAACAGTGTGGGGATTCCTTAAAGAACTAAAAGTAGAATTACCATTTGATCCAGCAATCCCACTACTAGGTATCTATCCAGAGGAAAAGAAGTCATTATATGAAAAAGATACTTGTACATGCATGTTTAGAGCAGTACAACTGCAATTGCAAAAATATGCACCAACCCAAATGCCCATCAATCAACCAGTGGATAAAAACTTTATATATACGTATATGTAGAGAGATATGTGTGTGTGTGTATATATATATACACACATATATATCTACATATGTATACATATATACATATATACATATATGTATACATATATACATATATACATATATGTATACATATATACATATATACATATATGTATACATATATACATATATACATATATGTATACATATATACATATATACATATATGTATACATATATACATACATATATACATATATACATATATACATATATGTATACATACACATATATACATATATGTATATACATATAAGTATACATATATGTATATATATACACATATACACATATATCTACATATATATCTACATATGTGTATATATACACATATATATCTACATATAAGTATACATATATGTATATATATACACATATACACATATATCTACATATATATCTACATATGTGTATATATACACATATATATCTACATATACATATACACACATATATACACATATACATATATACACATATATACACATATCTATACATATATACACATATATACATATATACACACATATATATATACACATATATATACACACACACACACACATACACCGTGGAATACACCATGGAATACAATTTAGCCATAAAATGCAATGAAATAATGGCATACACAGTGACCTGGATGGAATTGGAGACCATTATTCAAAGTGAAGTAACTTAGGAATGAAAAACCAAATATTGTATGTTCTCAATCATAAATGGGAGCTAAGTTATGAGGATTCAAATGCATAAGAATGATACAATGGACTTCGGGGGGACGCAGGAGCAAGGGTAGGAAGGAGATGAAGGATAAGAAATTACAAGTTGGGTTCAGTGTACACTGCTTGGGTGATGGGTGCATCAAAATGTCAGAAATATCCACTAATGAATTTATTCATCTAACCAAACACCACGTGTTCCCCAAAAACCTACGGAAATAAAAAAATAAGATAAAAAAATAGTATGTATAAAGCTACACTCCTAGCTTTTTTACTTTTCTACATCTTGATTTATGACCTGAGGAACACTTTAAGAACTCTTACATTCCTTTGCATTAAAATTATTTCTCCAAATAAATAAATAAATAAAGTATAAATAAATAAAATAAAAATAATTTTTTCTTATGCATGTTTAAACCAAGATAACAAGAAATTATAAAACAAATTTTCCTAATAATTTTCTTCACATGTGTAAACATAGGACACAAGGTGCACAAGAGATTAGGGGCCTGGGAAGATTAATATATTCTATATTTGCTACAAATAACTACAAACTATAAGAAGAATCAAGAATTACATAATTTTTATTATTTTTATAATAATTGTATAACCTGACCCCAGCAGGTATTTATAAACTCATTATTAGCATGATAATTTCAACAACAGAACTATTCTAAAATGCAATAGTAATTGCAAGTGTTTTATTAATTTTCTAAGGACACTTACTACTTTTAATGAATTATTCTAGTGTCATATCTTAAAAAGAACATAGGACTGTGACCCAAGATTGGGAATTTATTTGGTTTGACCAACATATTATGATATTAACAAGTCACTTATCTTACATATGAGTATGTTTCCTTCCTAGAAAACAATGGATAATACCACCATATGTCATAGGATGAAAAAAACAAAAAACACATCCAAGGTAAATAAAAATATTTTGTAAGGCTACAGCATTCTAAGCTGCTCTTATTATTGTTATTGTAAATCCATTTTCTCTATTTTTCCTATATTTATTTCATCTTTAAATCAATTATTTTTTCATAACTAGTTTTATTGCTAAACTGTATGCTAAGCATTAGAAATACAATTTTCTTGAACTTTGAAGACGCACTTGATAAACATCAGGTGTTTGTGTCAAATTTTATTAGGGCTCGAAATCTCCCCAACCTCCATCACTACATCTCCTCTTCCACCTCTTTCTTCTTGTTCTCCTCTCTCTCTTTGCTTCCATTGAAACTTTCTGGGTTGTCAGGATTATAATGCTACTAGAAGAAGATATATGTAAGAAAAGAAATAGTCGGTATAACTAAAATATGTACTAACCTGGAAAGAAAAAACTAAAGAAAATTCGACATCAAATAACTATGTAATATTGAGCATACCAATTAATCATGCTAGAACTGAATTTTCTCACTTATAAAATGAAAACATAATTATTCAATTATCCTGTATATGAAGCACTTCTAGAATAGATATCTATATGTGATATACAGATATAGATGTATATACCATACTTCCAGAAAATACATGAAGAAAATGGTAGTAGAAAAATAATGGTAATTGTACATTTTCTAGTAAACAGCTGGTAAGTCAATTTTCTTAAATACATTTCATACATTTTCTATATGTCTTTTTTTTTTTTTTTTTTTTTTTTTTCCGACAGAGTCTCACTCTCGCCAAGGATGGAGTGCAGCTGCGCGATCTCGGCTCACTGCAACCTCCGCCTCCCGAGTTCAAGCGACCCTTGCCTTAGCCTTCCGGGTAGGTGAGATTACAGGCACCCACCATCATGCTCTGCTAATTTTTGTATTTGTAGTGGAGACGGCGTTTCACCATGTTGGCCAGGCTGGTCTTGAACTGAACTGACCTCAGGTGATCCACCCGCCTCGGCCTCCCAAAGTGCTGGGATTATAGGCATGAGCCACAGCGCCCAGCCTCCTATATGTGTCTTTAAGTGATTATCTGTTCTGCTTCTGACCCAGAAGTTATATTAAAATGAAAAATCAGTTGATAAAACTCAATAAATTGTGGAAAGAATGGTAATCCTCAAACTAAAAAGTATCATATTTAAAGTACACATAAGTTAAATGTTAGAGGATAAGTCATTTATTTTAGATATCTTAATATTCCACTCAGTGGTTTTGAATGTCTGTAATATTCAAAAAAGCTATAAGGTCATTTGTAATACAACTTAAAGGTTTATTTGCTTACATTTTTCAAAAAGAAATCAGGGCTCCCCATAACATCTCGTGCCAATACTTAAAATTGTTCAATTAAACATTGGTGTATAAAAAACATGTGTGGCCAGTTGCAATGGCTCATGCCTGTAATCCTAGCACTTTGGGAAGCCGAGGAGGGTGGATCCCTTGAGCTCAGGAGTTCCAGACCATCCTGGACAACATGACGAAACCCCATCTCTACCAAAAATACAAAAAAATTAGCCAGGGGTGGTAGTGCACGCCTGTAGTCCGAGCTACTCAGGAGGCTGAGGTGGGAAGATTGCTTGAGCCCAGGAGGCGGAGGTTGCAGTGACTGGAGGTCATGCCACTGCACTCCAGCCTTGGTAACAAAGCAAAACTCCATCTCAAAAACAAACACACAATAAACAACTCATGAATTTTTTTGGTTTGTTTGTTTTTAAGATGGAGTTTTGCTCTGTTGCCAAGGCTGGAGTGCAGTGGCATTCATAGGAACTGGACTATCTACTAGGGGAGCGTATTTATTGAGAGCCTGCTATCAGGCACATGCAGATCTCTGTTAGGATATTGGCATGCACAGTTTTATTTAGTGTTTACTACAGCTCCATAAGTGATACGTTAATATTTGCCATATACAGGGGAAAAACGGAAGCTCAAAGAGTTTAGTAATTAGTAAAATTACATTGTTTAAACAGAGTCGAAGTGAACTACAATTTCTGTATATCTGAATCCAAAGCTAATGTGGTTTCCTCCATTTGAAGGAGCCACACCAAATAAAAGTCAAAATGTATTTCCTTGCTCTCAAGGCATTTGCAATTGCTTTATGAAACTCATCTGTGTAAAAAAGTAACTGTTTCATTTTTCTCTGTTATAATGCTACCATCTTAAATCAAGCCACCATTTACTGTACATAAACTGTTCTAATCTACTACTAAGCTATTTATTTATCTATCTATTTATTTATTTAGTTACTTACTTTTTTTTATTATACTTTAAGTTTTAGGGCACATGTGCACATTGTGCAGGTTAGTTACATATGTATACATGTGCCATGCTGGTGCGCTGCACCCACTAACTCGTCATCTAGCATTAGGTATATCTCCCAATGCTATCCCTCCCCCCTCCCCCCACCCCACCACAGTCCCCAGAGTGTGATATTCCCCTTCCTGTGTCCATGTGATCTCATTGTTCAATTCCCACCTATGAGTGAGAATATGCGGTGTTTGGTTTTTTGTTCTTGCGATAGTTTACTGAGAATGATGATTTCCAATTTCATCCATGTCCCTACAAAGGACATGAACTCATCATTTTTTATGGCTGCATAGTATTCCATGGTGTACATGTGCCACATTTTCTTAATCCAGTCTATCATTGTTGGACATTTGGGTTGGTTCCAAGTCTTTGCTATTGTGAATAATGCCGCAATAAACATACGTGTGCATGTGTCTTTATAGCAGCATCATTTATAATCCTTTGGGTATATACCCAGTAATGGGATGGCTGGGTCAAATGGTATTTCTAGTTCTAGATCCCTGAGGAATCGCCACACTGACTTCCACAATGGTTGAACTAGTTTACAGTCCCATCAACAGTGTAAAAGTGTTCCTATTTCTCCACATCCTCTCCAGCACCTGTTGTTTTCTGACTTTTTAATGATTGCCATTCCAACTGGTGTGAGATGGTATCTCATTGTGGTTTTGATTTGCATTTCTCTGATGGCCAGTGATGATGAGCATTTTTTCATGTGTTTTTTGGCTGCATAAATGTCTTCTTTTGAGAAGTGTCTGTTCATGTCCTTCGCCCACTTTTTGATGGGGTTGTTTGTTTTTTTCTTGTAAATTTGTTTGAGTTCATTGTAGATTCTGGATATTAGCCCTTTGTCAGATGAGTAGGTTGCGAAAATTTTCTCCCATTTTGTAGGTTGCCTGTTCACTCTGATGGTAGTTTCTTTTGCTGTGCAGAAGCTCTTTAGTTTAATTAGATCCCATTTGTCAATTTTGGCTTTGGTTGCCATTGCTTTTGGTGTTTTGGACATGAAGTCCTTGCCCATTCCTATGTCCTGAATGGTAATGCCTAGGTTTTCTTCTAGGGTTTTTATGGTTTTAGGTCTAACGTTTAAATCTTTAATCCATCTTGAATTGATTTTTGTATAAGGTGTAAGGAAGGGATCCAGTTTCAGCTTTCTACATATGGCTAGCCAGTTTTCCCAGCACCATTTATTAAATAGGGAATCCTTTCCCCATTGCTTGTTTTTGTCAGGTTTGTCAAAGATCAGATAGTTGTAGATATGCGGCGTTATTTCTGAGGGCTCTGTTCTGTTCCATTGATCTATATGTCTGTTTTGGTACCAGTACCATGCTGTTTTGGTTACTGTAGCCTTGTAGTATAGTTTGAAGTCAGGTAGTGTGATGCCTCCAGCTTTGTTCTTTTGGCTTAGGATTGACTTGGCGATGCGGGCTCTTTTTTGGTTCCATATGAAATTTAAAGTAGTTTTTTCCAATTCTGTGAAGAAAGTCATTGGTAGCTTGATGGGGATGGCAATGAATCTGTAAATTACCTTGGGCAGTATGGCCATTTTCACGGTATTGATTCTTCCTACCCATGAGCATGGAATGTTCTTCCATTTCTTTGTATCCTCTTTTAGTTCACTGAGCAGTGGTTTGTAGTCCTTCTTGAAGAGATCCTTCACATCCCTTGTAAGTTGGATTCCTAGGTATTTTATTCTCTTTGAAGCAATTTGTGAATGGGAGTTCACTCATGATTTGGCTCTCTGTTTGTCTGTTGTTGGTGTATAAGAATGCTTGTGATTTTTGTACATTGATTTTGTATCCTGAGACTTTGCTGAAGTTGCTTATCAGCTTAAGGAGATTTTGGGCTGAGACAATGGGGTTTTCTAGATATACAATCATGCCGTCTGCAAACAGGGACAATTTGACTTCCTCCTCACCAAAGTTGAAATGAAGGAAAAAATGTTAAGGGCAGCCAGAGAGAAAGGTCGGGTTACCCTCAAAGGGAAGCCCATCAGACTAACAGCGGATCTCTCGGCAGAAACCCTACAAGCCAGAAGAGAGTGGGGGCCAATATTCAACATTCTTAAAGGAAAGAATTTTCAACCCAGAATTTCATATCCAGCCAAACTAAGCTTCATAAGTGAAGGAGAAATAAAATACTTTACAGACAAGCAAATGCTGAGAGATTTTGTCACCAACAGGCCTGCCCTAAAAGAGCTCCTGAAGGAAGTACTAAACATGGAAAGGAACAACCGGTACCAGCCGCTGCAAAATCATGCCAAAATGTAAAGACCATTGAGACTAGGAAGAAACTGCATCAACTAATGAGCAAAATCACCAGCTAACATCATAATGACAGGATCAAATTCACACATAACAGTATTAACTTTAAATGTAAATGGACTAAATGCTCCAATTAAAAGACACAGACTGGCAAGTTGGATAAAGAGTCAAGACCCATCAGTGTGCTGTATTCAGGAAACCCATCTCACGTGCAGAGACACACCTAGGCTCAAAATAAAAGAATGGAGGAAGATCTAGCAAGCAAATGGAAAACAAAAAAAGGCAGGGGTTGCAATTCTAGTCTCTGATAAAACAGACTTTAGACCAACAAAGATCAAAAGAGACAAAGAAGGCCATTACATAATGGTAAAGGGATCAATTCAACAAGAAGAGCTAACTACCCTAAATATATATGCACCCAATACAGGAGCACCCAGATTCATAAAGCAAGTCCTGAGTGACCTACAAAGAGACTTAGACTCCCACACATTAATAATGGGAGACTTTAACACCCCACTGTCAACATTAGACAGATCAACGAGACAGAAAGTCAACAAGGATACCCAGGAATTGAACTCAGCTCTGCACCAAGCGGACCTAATAGACATCTACAGAACTCTCCACCCCAAATCAACAGAATATACATTTTTTTCAGCACCACACCACACCTATTCCAAAATTGACCACATAGTTGGAAGTAAAGCTCTCCTCAGCAAATGTAAAAGAACAGAAATTATAACAAACTATCTCGCAGACCACAGTGCAATCAAACTAGAACTCAGGATTAAGAATCTCACTCAAAGCCGCTCAACTACATGGAAACTGAACAACCTGCTCCTGAATGACTACTGGGTACATAACGAAATGAAGGCAGAAATAAAGATGTTCTTTGAAACCAACGAGAACAAAGACACAACATACCAGAATCTCTGGGACACATTCAAAGCAGTGTGTAGAGGGAAATTTATAGCACTAAATGCCCACAAGAGAAAGCAGGAAAGATCCAAAATTGACACCCTAACATCACAATTAAAAGAACTAGAAAAGCAAGAGCAAACACATTCAAAAGCTAGCAGAAGGCAAGAAATAACTAACATCAGAGCAGAACTGAAGGAAATAGAGACACAAAAAACCCTTCAAAAAATCAATGAATCCAGGAGCTGGTTTTTTGAAAGGATCAACAAAATAGATAGACCGCTAGCAAGACTAATAAAGAAAAAAAGAGAGAAGAATCAAATAGACACAATAAAAAATGATAAAGGGGATATCACCACCGATCCCACAGAAATACAAACTACCATCAGAGAATACTACAAACACCTCTACGCAAATAAACTAGAAAATCTAGAAGAAATGGATACATTCCTCGACACATACACTGTCCCAAGACTAAACCAGGAAGAAGTTGAATCTCTGAATCGACCAATAACAGGAGGTGAAATTGTGGCAATAATCAATAGTTTACCAACCAAAAAAAGTCCAGGACCAGATGGATTCACAGCCGAATTCTACCAGAGGTACAAGGAGGAACTGGTACCATTCCTTCTGAAACTATTCCAATCAATAGAAAAAGAGGGAATCCTCCCTAACTCATTTTATGAGGCCAGCATCATTCTGATACCAAAGCCCGGCAGAGACACAACCAAAAAAAGAGAATTTTAGACCAATATCCTTGATGAACATTGATGCAAAAATCCTCAATAAAATACTGGCAAAACGAATCCAGCAGCACATCAAAAAGCTTATCCACCATGATCAAGTGGGCTTCATTCCTGGGATGCAAGGCTGGTTCAATATACGCAAATCAGTAAATGTAATCCAGCATATAAACAGAGCCAAAGACAAAAACCACATGATTATCTCAATAGATGCAGAAAAAGCCGTTGACAAAATTCAACAACCCTTCATGCTAAAAATTCTCAATAAATTAGTTATTGATGGGACATATTTCAAAATAATAAGAGCTATCTATGACAAACCCACAGCCAATATCATACTGAATGGGCAAAAACTGGAAGCATTCCCTTTGAAAACTGGCACAAGACAGGGATGCCCTCTCTCACCGCTCCTATTCAACATAGTGCTGGAAGTTCTGGCCAGGGCAATTAGGCAGGAGAAGGAAATAAAGGGTATTCAATTAGGAAAAGAGGAAGTCAAATTAGTTACTTACTTATTTATTTATTGAGATGGAGTCTTGCTCTGTCGCCCAGGCTGGAGTGCAGCAGGCGATCTCGGCTCACTGCAAGCTCCGCCTCCCTGGTTCACGCCATTCTCCTGCCTCAGCCTCCAAAATAGCTGGGACTACAGGAGCCCGCCACAACGCCTGGCTAATTTTTTCTATTTTTAGTAGAGACGAGGTTTCACTGTGTTAGCCAGGATGGTCTCGATCTCCTGACCTCGTGATCCACCCGCCTTGGCCTCCCAAAGTGCTGGGATTACAGGCGTGAGCCATGGCGCCCGACCGCAATTTATTTATTTACATCAATCCCGTTCATATTCAATTCATTTTTTTTGTGGAACAGCAACAGTGATATTTTCAAAAATATGAGTCTAATCACTGCAGGTTATTGTTTAAAAATTCTGTAATGCCTGCTCAATGCTCTTAGAATAAAATCCTACATGATATGACCTGGGCTTCGCTCATGGTGCATATTCTACTCACATCACTCAAGCTTCTTGAAAACTTCTTTCTGAGCTTTGAGCTTTCACATATGCTATTTTTTCAACTGAAAAGCTCATTACAGAGTAACACCTATATATCTTCCAAGACAGTTTAAATATCTTTTGAACAGGCTATGTTATTTTTTTCCTTTTCAGCCTTCGTAATTATTGGTTAATTTTGGGTTTAACGTCTATTTTCACTCTTAAACAGGAATCCTCTAAATAATATGACTATAATATGTGCCTGTTTTGTTTACTGCAGTTCACACTGTACCTGGAAGAAAGTCAGTGCTCATTCATTCATTAAAAAATTTTGTTGAATGTGACCTTTAGACAGGCATACTTTTCAGTACTGGGAATATATCAGTAAACAAAATAGGCAATAATTCCTGTAGTCATGAAGCTTTCTTCGTAGTTCACAAAGAAAGATAATATAAAATAACCTAATAAGCATATAAATGTGTAGTATTTTAGCAGGTGATGATTGCTATGTAAATTGACCATAATGGAAATTGTGAAAGACTTGAACATTAAATGAGTGAGTAGGGTATGCCTCATTGAGAAGGAAGTGATGTGCTCGATAAATATTTGTCAAAGAATGCATGAACTTTAAGAAAAGACGATTTAACAAATGCTTCCAAAGACAGCAATAATGCCATGAGAATTTAGGGAAAAATAAATGTATCAAAATGAAATAAATTAGGGATCATTTGATAAAGGAACATTAGAGCTAGGTTTTAAGCAATGTAGAGGTTTTGAGAGATTGATATTAAATATAAATTATTGGCAAAGTGTTTCATTATAAATAAATGTTACAAGAAAACATAAGAAAGTACAAAGATACGACGGACTGGTAAGTTTGATTGATGTATAAGTGAATAAGACAAAATACTCATGGAACTGGTTGAAAAGACTTTTAATATACTTTGTTAAGAGCCTAAAGATTAAAAAGAAGGATCAAGTTTAGAACTAGAAACAGTGGGAATAATTAAGCAATTATTTGGGAGTATTTATTTGTGCATTGTGTTAAAAAAAAGTTTGGAGGTCTTACTAGCATTTAAGAAACTTCTGAAAGAACCCCATAAAAAGGTAACAATAATTTATATCACGGTAATGACAAGATAGTATAAAGCATACTCTCAGATTTTGGCAACTATTAGGATCTATGAGATGACCACTTTTAAAAAGTAAAATATGATTTCTAAATATTAATTCTGGGTGATTGTAATAAGAGAGGTGCCAGTATCCCTAACTGTGAAGTCAGGATAAATATCTCACTTGTAGGAAAATGTTGAATTTTAACATGATTATAACTGTGACATGTCATTGTATATTTGGGTCATTTCCTTCAGCAGTCTATTAAATCCACTCATAGAACTTGAGAAACAGATTGAGATATATACATTTGCTAGCTATCTTTAACTATTATATTTATAAAAATATTTTGATGAGATATCTGACAGAAAGTATAAAGAGAAGAATAATGACTTAAAACAAAAGCCTAGACAACACATATTGGATCAGAGAAAGAATGCTGTATCAAGGAGGAAGAGATTTCAAAGAGGCAAATAAGAAAAAAGTAAATTCGAGGTAAGAAAACTAAAAGCATGTAGACTATTAAAGTCAAATAATGAAATAATATCAAAAATAAAAGATAGTTTAAATAGTGTAGAAAAACCTAAGAACTAAAAATAATTATTGATAATCTGGAAATAATGTGGATAATAATTACTGAAATATGTACGTTAGTATATGGAATGGGGTGGTGACAATGGCTTTTGTGATGTATTAAGGACTGAATGGGTAAATATTTGAGAATAAAGTAGAAATAAGGACAATATACTGTCCTTTCAGAGAGTTTGTCAATTATATAAACACAAAATTAATTGTGTAGTTCATAGTAGATATTTAATTCAGAGAAATTATTTTCAATCTCCTTTAGAGACAAGAAGTAGGTATGGTTTTATTCACAGAGGGGAAAGAAGTAAGATCAGAAAGGGAGAGAAAAAAGAGGAAAGTAATTTTCTGGAGAAAAAATGAAATAATAGAAATTTGATGTTAGGTGAGATTACCTTTTAGAGGTGGAGAGACATTGCTGAAGAAAAAGAAGAGGAAAATGAAAGAGAAGTTGAAATAAATAACTTAGATAAAAGATTACAATTGGAAGCTAACAAGACATTAAACAGGATTGTGTACAGACTGGTCTTTCCTGAAATAAAAGGGCCCTGACGATCAGACAACAAATGCCCAAGATGCCAGGAACACAATCAAGAGTCAGAGAGATATTTAATTGAGCATTGATCAGAGGATAATGAATGCTTATATTTGGCACTGAATAGGTTTAGCAGGAGGTGATAAAGACCTAATAACTGAAACTAAAATTCATGACATTATTTAGTCAATGGAATACTGGAATAAAGTAGAGAGAAATTTGTTCCCACAGTTCTGGAAAAAAATACTCAAACATTAGGGAACATGATAAAGGTCCAAGGTCCATTTTACTCTTTTTCTTTTCTTTTTTCTTTTTTCTTTTTTTTTTGAGATGGAGTCTTGCTCTGTTGCCAGGCTAGAGTGCAGTGGCGCGTTCTCGGCTCACTGCAAGCTCCGCCTCCCAGGTTCAAGCCATTCTTCTACCTCAGCTTCCCAAGTAGCTGAGACTACAGGCACATGCCACCACTTCCACCTAATTTTCATATTTTTAGTAGAGTTGAGGTTTCACTATGTTGGCCAGGATGGTCTCGATCTCCTGACCTCGTGATCCACCCACCTCGGCCTCCCAAAGTGCTGGGACTACAGGCGTGAGCCACCGTGCCCAGCCAGGTCCATTTTCTAAAACTGTGATAAAAATGATCAGGACAGGGCTAGAATTCATGGGCTAGACATCCCAAATTAGAAGAAAATAAGCAATAATTCTCATTTGTTTTTGATAGTCTTTCATAGTCTGAGCTATCTCTAATTCCCTTACTGTAATAGCAGGGTTTTCCATCATGTCAGTGATGGCCTCTATAGCTACAATTTGTGATAAGGTCATTTCATATGCGAAAGTAAGTAAGAGTCAGAAGAAGAGAATCAATGAGTTGATTGTGCCAAACAATAGTGCATAGTACAGTTTTGTGAAATTTTGTAGCAATAACCAGAAGGTTGACAATAGAATCAGAGAAAGCAGAGAGTAGGAATTTCTCAGGCCTGACCATCATTAAGGGAGCATGACAGAAGTTAACATGGAAATATAGTACTTATTTGTTGATCATAACATATTTGAGATATGTATATAGAGAAAAATACTGTTTGACTAAGAGTTAAGGAGTCAGAGTAGAGTGGGAGGTATGATTTATTGAGTAAACATAGAAGGCCTTGCTAGCATGGTGATAATTTGAAAACACTTGAAAAGAAAGAAGAATGAATCACACTAAGAAAGGGATGTTTCAGAGAGAGGGAAGAATAAATTCAAAGATCTTAAGGCAGAACCTTACTTGGTGTGTTTTAGGGACTGGAGTAAAGTAAACCAGAAGAAAAGAGTCAGGAGAGAAGTTCAGATGGAAGCGTATTCGACTATAAGAGGCTTTGTCGGACACCTAACACTGGTGCTTCTTTGCCCAGTGGAATTTCTTCATATTGAAGATTTTTGAGCAGATGACTTATATAATCTGACTTTCATTTTAGATTCACATTTGTCTTTATGGAAAGGACTAAGGGTATGAGAAGGGAAACAAGTAAGAAGGTTTTATTTTAATAATCTAGATTAAAGATGATAGGGTTTTCGACCTTGGTGGGTATGATGAGAAGTCAGATATAATTTGAAGCTAGAGGTAACATTTGCTGGTGGATTTTAGGTGGGGATTGAGAAAAAGAGTAGTTAAGGATAAATTCAAGTTTTGGGAGTGAGCATTTGAAGAAATGCAATATCCATGCAGTCTTTCAAAATTAAAACTCTAATCCCAGACTTAATTTTGAAGGTTCCTTGTGGATTAGTAACTTTCATACTTAATTACCATCATTTCAGTTAAATTTCAGAAGGGAGTAGAAGTAAATAAGCTTGTTCAGTCTTCTCTGTTTAATGAAAGCTTCATTAATTCAGTTTCTATATGCTATCTACTTGGGATGTATATGGCATTTATTCAGTTTATTCAATTAGATTAAACAACAAAATTAATGATACAAAATTCCCAAGAAACAAGATAATATTGGGTTTTATTCAAGTTATTTTAATTATTTCTATCTAAAGATATAATAATGTTTGAAGTCATTTTTCAAGTCATCTTTTAAAATGTATCTCTTACTTTAATTTTTATTTTAATTTGTACTAGTGACATAAAATAGAGAGAGGAGAAGGGAAAGAAAAAACATCTCAATTAACAAACAAGAAAACAAGTTTAAAGAAGGATGAAGGATGCTAATCTGTGCATATAATTGTATATTTGGTGAGCTTTTGTTCTCATTTAGAATTTGAACTATTATCGGTAGGGTTATTTTTGGATAAAATAAAATAGTATAAGAAAACTGCAGTTCAAATTGTGGTCTAAAATGATGGATGACTATATTTGTTCCAGTACTTCAGGGATGGATTAAGCTATTGAAAAAGCACTCAACATTGGGTAAGGAACAGTAATATATGTGAAATTCTACAGTTAATGCATCATTAAATAATTTGTTGTGACTGATTTATAGGTGCAATATACTACATGGTGTCAAACAGTGCAATATAATAAATGGTATAAAAAATATACTCCCAAAATTGTTGTTATAGTCAGTCTTTTAAGTTTAACCTTAGCACTTACCTGAGTCGTTGAGGCATTTTGTTTTCCCCTTGATAGTATCCACAGTCTAATAGCTTTTGACTGGTGGCCTATATTTGCTGAATCCTGTGGTCTCAAAAAAATTATCTGCTTTATAATAAAGGACTAAGAAAAGTGTGCAGTCCAGTTGATGGCAATTGCAACAGGTAGACTTTTCCTAGTTAGGATACTAGAAAATGAATATAACTTTAGTTGCAGGAACTCTAAAATTCTAATGCAATTGACTTGTAAATGTTTTGTTGATTACCTGGCAGTTAGCTTTTTTTGCCATAACAAACTACCCAATTCATTTTAGTTTGACAAAAAAGCTATTTATTTAACTCAGGTTTCCTTGAGTGAGCTATTTCAACTGTAGTCAGCTGAGCAATTATCCTATTCATCAAAGTGCCTCTGTCTCTGAAGGATGGGTGACTGTCGGTTCAGGGAATGGGGCTGAAGGGGGTGTCGAGGTGAGCATTACTGGGCCACGTGTCTCTCAATATCCAGAAAACTAGCCCAAGGGTTGTTCACGTGCAGATGGTTACAGGGTTTTCAAGGGCATCAAGAAAAGATGAGCCTCATACACAAGGTTTTATTCAAGTCTCTATTTGTGTCATGCTTGCTAATACGCCTTTAGCCAAACAAGTCACTGGAAGGCACTTCAAGTTGCACGGCCAGGGGACCTAGTTACAGGGAGGATGTATTGGTTTGCTAGGGCCACTATAACAAAGTACCACAGACTAAACGGCTTAAACCAGCGGTCCCCAAATTTTGGGCTCCAGGGTCTGGTTTCATGGAAGATGATTTTTCCATGAACAGGTGGGGGTGGTGTGTGGTGGGGAGGCGGGGCGGATGGTTTGGGTTTGGGGATGAAACTGCTCTTCCTCAGATTATCAGGCATTAGATTCTCACAAGGAGCACACAACCTAGATAACTTGCATGCGCAATTCACAATAAGGTTCATGCTCCTATGACAATCTAATGTCACTGCTGATTTGACAGGAGGTGGAGCTCAGGTGGTAATGTTTGCTGGCCCTCTGCTCACCTCCTGCTGTGCAGCCCAGTTTGTAAAAGGCCACAGACCAGTACTGGGGACCCCTGGATTAAACAGCATAAATTTATTTCCTCACAGTTCTGGATTCCAGAAATCCAAAATCAAGGTGTCAGCATGTTACTGTACCAAGTAGCTTAGCTTCAATATGCATTTTGAAATTGTTTTTCTTTTCTCATTTTAGCCTTGAAGTATAATTTGATACTCTTAGTTTCCCTCCCTTCCCGTCAGGTACTGTCTTGCACTGTGCTCGCTCATCTAATTATGTGGTTGCTTAGAAATTCCAGGGGCTAATCTGGAAATAAATCAGGCATGGAGACCCACATGTGGAATTCTCCCCAATCTAAATGTTATTTCAAGGTGGCTAATCTACCACCTGGCCATTGTGGAGATAGTGCCAGCCTGCAATTCAAGATAGTCATGGGAACAAGACATGCAGACCTGTACCCTGCCCCACTCCTGCATGTTTCCCACACCAAGTTTCCCTTCTTAAATCCCCTCACTCAGCCTAAAATTTGAGATGGTTTCTTGGAGGCCTTAGCCCAGCCATCTCCTCAACTGCTGACATTTGATAAATAAAGCTGCTTTCCACTTATCTCTTTTATATTCAGCCAGACTTGAGTTCAGTTACAAGCAGGGCTGGTTTCTTCTGAAAGCCTTTCACCTTGGCCTGTAGATGGCTGTTTTCTTCCAGTGTGCTGGCATTGTATTCCTTTTGTTTGTGTCTGTGTTCTTATAAGGACACAAGTCATCTTCGCTTAGAACCCAAACAAATGACTGCATTTTACCTTATTCACTTTTATAAAGGCCTTTTCTCCAAATATAGTCACATTCTGAGGTCCTAACGACTAGAACTTTAACTTATTATATTTGGGGATAGACAATTAAACCCATAACAGAAGGGAAGAACCTGTGGGGGATTTTCATTTTATTTTTTGCCTACCTTACATTCCTTACTCAGTAATTGATCCAGGAAAACACAATTGTGTAGCAGGCTACTGCTATGGGTATTCCAAACTTCTGACGTACAAAGCTCTCTTTAATCTATCTTTAATATCAGAACATTTTTAATGTTAGAGATTCAATTTTAGGTTAAGGCAGGGATTTCCAACCTCAGCACAACAGATATTTTCACCAAATAATTCTTTGTTGTGTGGGCTTTCCTATGCAATATAGCATGTTTGCCAGATCCCTGGTTCCAACTTGCTAGATACCAATAGTGCTCCTCACCTGTTATGACAAAAATGTCTTCAGACATTGACATATGTTCACAGGGCGACAAAAATTAGAATTTCTAGGTTAAGAGATAAATTCTAAGTAGGAGAAAAGGCATTTCTTAAATTGACATTTAAGTTAAGAGGAAGGAGTAAGACATGAACTTTTAGCATCTGCTACTATGTCTTTCTAAAAATAAATTTATGAGATTTTTATATTTTCCACCTTGGAGTGCAGAATCCTATAGGCATGAGGCTAAGTACATACACACTATGAACCAGACAGAAGGCACTCTCCAACATTTAGGTAAGAGTACAACAAGGAAATTATCTTAGGCAACTGCCTCCTAAAGACAAATTAGCTTGAATCTCTTTAGAATTTTCATTTTTGCTTCCTCAGGAAAACAATACTATTGATAAAATATTAAACTCTGAAATACTTTTTGAAAAGTAAGCAAATAAAAATATTTTTAAAAATCATAAGTATTTGACAAGTATAAATTAGCTAGCCTTCTCTTAAAGAAAAATACTTTCATATAACACAAAAAATAAAACCTACTAATATGTGACTCACAATCATACATATATATCTGTGCTGCATAGTGGATGAGCAAAAATATATCATGCAAATAGAAACAAATATAAAGCAGGCAACACTAATTTCAGGCATAGTCAGTTTTAAAATAAAAATGAGGTGATTATATGACAAAGCAATGTAACATAAAAATTAATATTAAAAATCAAAACAGACTTCCATAAACATTTTTATAGAAAATTACATGTCATTATATGCAAATTAATACATATAGAATATAACAAAATTGTGCTCTGGACTATTTTCTAATCACCAGAAGTCAACATAGACAAGGTAGTCAAAAATTTATCAAATATAGAATGTTTCCTTGTATAAATGATATGATTGAATTATGTTGTATTTATGTAAACCAAGATCTGTTTATAGGTACCTGAAAGATAAAATGTTGCATCCTAAAATTAATGGACCTTTTTAAATGCTTACACTATATTATAAATGTATCCTATACTAGACAAAAATGAACAAGTACTTTGTCTCTGACGAGGGTTTAAAAGATTTATAAACTCATTACTAAAAATGTATTTTAAAAATATTTAGTGTAATATCAGTCTCCTGAAGACTAAAAAGAAATCTGGGAAAATTATCAGCTAATTACAGAATTAATGGCCCTGAAATGAGGAACACATTTTACTTCTGTTATTGCCAACTCTCAGGCTATAAAATGTGTCAGTTTTCACTTCCATTGTCAATACATATAAGAGAATCTTTGTCCTGAATCCATTGTATTCAATTGGCACCATATATGTGAATCTTTTCTTGATTTTTAAATTCTTTTTGTGTACATTTGGCTGTAACTTCAGTAAAAAATAATTATCCATTTTATTATATTTGTAATAACAAAGTATTTCAAAATATTAACAATGATATTATCTTCCATCCTTACAGTCTTCAGATGCCCTCACTTGAGCACAAAAAGATTCTCCAACCCTATTTTCTAGACTAAATTGCCAGACATAACTTATCCACTGTTTTGGGGGAAAAGACAATTATGAAATAGGAAAAGGGAAAGTATTTCCTGATAATAACAATTTAAAAGATGGGCACGTAAGTATTGGATTTAAAGATTTGTACGCATAATAGATTAACACTTTTTCCACTCTACTCTAGGAGAGTAAGAAATGAAGGACCACACATCAGGAGCAGAATAGGCTCAAGAGAACACAAGACTCCTCAAAATCAATGCAGTCTTTTGCCAGCACCAGAAAATTCCCTAAAACCAGAGGCATTATTCATTGTCTTTGTAGATTAAGGTCCAGCAATCAACAGCAGCCAGTGTGTTACCTGGTCATTAGCTTTTTTTGGTGTCACAGTTTGGATAGATAATCCAAGACAATTGCAAGCATCTGAGAATTAAAGGTTAGGACCTATAAACCTAGAGAGATTTTGAGTGTTTGGAAGGGCTCCTGCATCTGACCAAGATTGAATAGATGGAATATCGCTAGTAAAAACAGTGAAACACATTTTCCCTATTATGTATGTTAGTCTCTGTGTGTACATCTAATACAAGTAAATTTATAGTGGACTACTGTGTTTCTTATCTAAAGACATATCATTGAGTTCACTAATGTCATATGTCTACAGACTAAGGATTTTATAGTAAGATCTCTAATATTTGGGCACTAATGATAAGTTAATAAAAGTTGGTATTTAATTGAAGTCTGAGAATAAGTCTTAATTCTTGGCCAAGGAATTGGTCAGCACTATAAACTAAATTTATGTCTTCCACAAAATTATTATTTTGAAGTCTTAATCCCCAATGTGATGATATTTGTAGGTGAGGCCTTTAGGAGGTAATTAAGTTTGTATGAGATCATGAGGGTTGTATCCCCCTGAAGGGATTAACGCCCTTATAAGCAATCCAATTACTGGGTAGATACCCAAGGGGTCATAAATCATTCTACTATAAAGACATATGCACATGTATGTTTATTGCAGCACTGTTCACAATAGCAAAGACTTAGAACCAACCCAAATGCCCATCAATGATAGACTGGATAAAGAAAATGTGGCACAAATACACGATGGAATACTATGCAGCCATAAAAAAGGATGAGTTCATGTCATTTGCAGGGACATGGATGAAGCTGGAAACCATCATTCTCAGCAAACTAACAGAGGAATAGAAAACCAAACACCACATGCTCTCACTCATAAGTAGGAGCGGAACAATGAGTACACATGGACACAGGGAGGGGGACATCACATACCGGGGCCTGTCATGGGGTAGGGAGCTAGGGGAGGGACAGCATTTGGAGAAATACCTAATGTGGATGGCAGGTTGATGGGTGCAGCAACCACCGTGGCACACATATACCTATGTAACAAACCTGCACGTTCTGCACATGTATCCCAGAACTTAAAATATAATTAGAAAAAAAAAATAAAAAGAGGAAGAGAGAGGAGGTCTTTTTCTCTATTTCTGAGCAAGGATGGACATGTGAGGACATACCCTGGAAGGCGACCCTCACCAAGAACCTGCCTATGCTGACTCTCTGATCGCGACTTTCAGGGTCCAGAACTGTGAAAAACAGATTTCTCTTGTTTAAGCCACGCTGTTCATAATATTCTGTTATAGTAGCCCACCTCACCATAAGTATGTAAATTACCAGCTTCTGCACCACCACAGGGATTTACTGTGAAGCTGAAAGTAATTGAAATATAAAGTGCCTAGAATACTGCCTAACACATACTAGTAGGAATTACTGCTACTATTACCAATTCTAATTAGCTGTAAAGTAATATATTTAAAATGCAATGGTGTTAAATATCATTTAATAATGCTATGATTTGTAGGAAGGTTATATTGAAGTAAAGAATAAGAAAATAATAGTGGCATACATATGAAAACCCTAAATTAGAGCAAAAATAAGAAGAGAAAAATGAAATAGTTTCCATTCCAGGTAACAGTCTGAGCTATCTGAAATTGAGATTTCTTACAGAATTCCGCTGGATATTTAGGGGTACACAGAGCCATCCTTGGCTCCTATGGACGTTAAGTGTGTTCACTTATCTGTCATTGAAAGAAAACTGAGAGTACTGCTCTCACCTCTAGTGAAAAGAGAAACTGGGGAAAAGCCCTCCTTATACAATGCAACACCTTTCAGAAATTTGACTTTAGTCGGTTCAAGGTAAATTTGTGGCATGATCATTTAAGTCTTCATATTCCTTTTTATAAAATTTACTTTCAAACTTTAGCCCCTTTTTTCTACATGTTGGCAAAATCTAAGGATTTCAGGCTCACAGAACCTTTGTTTTTAACTTTCTGATAGTGTTTTACTCCACAAAATATACTAAAAAACTAATGCCCTGATATAAACAATATTTAAAATTCACAAGAAAAAGATGAGTACCTCAGAGTTTTGGCAAGGATTATGAATGTGTATAACACAAAATAATTACAAATATATTTGCGTGATATATAATTATTTTTTGTAACTAAAAAAATACACAATTTTTTTAAAAAAGGCATCACATGTTTTCATCTATCAAATTGGCAAAATCAAAGATTAAATGATGCCATTTATTCAGGTTCCAAGCATATAAAAACAAGTTCACACAAGGAAGATGAGATTTTATTTTGATATAATAATTTGCAATTTTTAGCAAAAAACATGTTTGATACTATTTACATTTTTAGAATATATTCAATAAATATGATTATGAATTTAAAAATTTATAAGTAATGTTATTTGTGACATTGTATTTATAGAGAGAAAAGTAATAAGAGATTAAATAAATTACCCCCAAAAAGGGCAGATGAAATAATTAATGTGATATCCATAAAGTGGAGTGGTATGAAGCATTAAAAAGAATATATATCTTAGTCCATTTGGGCTTCTATAACAAAATACCATAAACTGGGTGGCTTATTTACAACAAACATTAATTTCTCACTGCTCTGGAGGCCAGAAATCTAAGATCAAGGTGCTGGCAGATTCAGTGTCTGGAAAAGCCCCACTTTTTTTTACAAGTTCCTGCCTAACATGGTGGAAGGGGCAAGGGGTCTCTCTCAGACCTCTTTTATAAGACCACTAATCCCACTCATGTGGACTCTACCCTAATGACCTAATCTCCTCCCACAGTCTCCATCTCCTAATACCATCATCTTGGGAGTTAAGATTTCAATATATAAATTTAGGGAAGACTAAAACAGTGAATCCGTAGCAATAAAGTATAATTATTTATATTGACATGGGCATATCTAAAATATATTTTTAAGTGAAAAAGGAATTTTTAGTACAAAAGTCCTGATTACATTCATATAGTGGTTATCATAAGATAATATAGCTGGTGGTAGGAGTTTGGATTATGAATGGCTTTTTCTTTCTTTTTTTTTTTTTTTTTCTGAGATGGAGTCTCACTCTGTTGCCCAGGCTGGAGGGCAATGGTGCAATCTCAGCTCACTTCAACCTCTGCCTCCCGGGTTCAAGCAATTCTCCTGCCTCAGCCTCCTGAGTAGCTGGGACTACAGGTGCGCACCACCACGCCCGGCTAATTTTTGTATTTTTAGTAGAGACAGGGTTTCACCATGCTGGTCAGGCTGGTTTCGAACCCCTGACCTTGTGATCTGCCCACCTTGGCCTCCCAAAGTGCTGGGATTACAGGTGTGATATATATTTTTCTTCATTTTTAAAATAATTATTGATATGGTTTGGCTGTGTCCTCACTGAAATCTCATCTTGAATTGTAATCCCCATAAGCCTCATGTGTCATGGAAGGGACTTGGTCAGGGGTAATTGAATCATGGGGGTGGTTTTCCCCATACTCATCTTGTGATAGTGAGTGAGTTCTCATGAGACCTGATGGTTTTGTAAGCATCTGGCATTTCCCCTGCTTGCACTCATTCTCTCTCCTGCTGCCCTGTGAAGAGGTGCCTTCTGCCATGATTGTAAGTTTCCCGAGGCCTCCCCAGCCATGTGGAACTGTGAGTCAATTAAACCTCTTTTCTTTATAAATTACCTAGTCTCAGGTATTTCCTCATAGCAGCATAAGAACAGAATAATACAGTTAGCAAAACATGTATTATAACACTTTGTAAATTAATGATTCTATTAGTTTTAACAAATAAATCATTAGGTATTCAATACTCCACAAATGCTGTATCATGCATCAAGGCACTTGACTAACAGTTCTAATCTTAGAAATGTATCATTGGCAATATAATAAAGATACTGTAGAAATTATATTTGACACCAAAAAATCCACTTTTAGTTTTAAGTAATAGCATGAAAGATTAGACAAAACACAAGGAATTCTAAAGATCTGATTTTGAAATATTAATTTTCTCACTTCCACACACTGTATTTAAGTTTTAAATTCCTGATTGATTAAATGAGGCGCTTAATCAAGAGCTTGAAGATTGCTTCCAGCTCATTATATAATTTTTTTTAAACCTTCGATTTTCTTATCTTGCAACTTTTCTACTACATTTTATACTTTTTTCAACAGGTAAAAATGTGTAAGAAATTATAACTTCACAATTATATTTGAGTCTAAATAATGTTGCAAAGCTCTGATTCTCAATATCCCTATAAGGAAATGCTGCTGAAAAATCTTACCCAGGGCATAACTAAAGGATTGTTTCAGATATTTTAATGACAGCTGAGCATCGAATGCCATCTTTTTCATGGAAGATAATTGTGTTAGAAAAATAGAGGTAAAATGTTGATAATAATTGAAGACATTAAGAAAGTCCTTACATGTGTAATGTTAGATGATGTGAACCAGTTCAAGAGAATGTCAGCTTTATGGATTTCGCTGCATCTCTCACAAAAATAACCATTTTTAAAATGATCTTATTGAATCTAATTTTTTATTCCTAGCTTTGATTAAAGCTGTATTTATAGATAATCACCTCAAACATTTAAGCATCTATACATAAAATATTTTATTAAATTAAGTGTCAGAGGGTTCTAAGAGACACAATTTAGGAATTTTATGTTAACTAAATTAGGACAGGGAGAGAGAGGTAAGTTTTAAATAAGATATCTTAAGTTGGTCTCATATAGAACTTCAGTTCACCACTCCTTTTTAAAGGAGTGAAAAACTCAAATAATATATATAGCATTGCATTTCTTAAGTAACTACATACACACATAAATATATCACTATCAAAAAACATTTCTGTCACCTGAGGGAGTTTCGAATTTTCTATGTCTCTTCCTAGTCTCTTTCCCCAAACCTCTACTAACCATAGTTAATTTTGTCTGAGGATTTTATATAAGTGAAATTATACAGTAAGTGTAAAGTTTTTGAGATCTATTCTTGATGTACTTTATCTGTAATTTGTTGCTTTTACTTGGACATATATATGTGTATATATGGATGTCTGTCTATATATATATGTATAAGTAAAAACTTTAGAAATTTTAGAAAGAAAGCTTTTAGAAATAGAGCTACTATGATCACTCTCGAACCAGGTAGTCTTTCTTTGTTCATATGCTTTCTTTTCTCTTAAGAAAGTATTAAGGAGTGGAATTGCTGAGTCATAGCAAAAAAAATGTATGTTTAACATTTTAAGTAGCTTCTAAATCATTTTTCAAAGTGATTGTGTCATTTCACACTCCCCTCATCAGTATATGAGAGTTTTCACTTAATTTCCAGCATTTAAGATTGTCAGTCTTTCATTTTAATCATCTTCTTTTGATGCTTCTTTTTGTCTCTGTTCTCTAATTAATGAAAAACATTGGGATCACATCAAGAGATATAAAAAAAATTATGCCTTTCCAAGGATTAACCTTTGTGAAATTTCAGTGTGTCTTGTTTTCTCACTATAAATCAACAGGTCTGCTGCACGAGAGTCAGAACATCACTACAAAATGAAAAACCTGCACCAGGAGAGAAGCGAGAAGGCACTGCTAAGGGACACTCGATTTACTCAAGATGGAATAAGTACAAAGTTACGTAGTCAGGAGAACTAGTACGAAAAAGGAATCAGGTCTGTGTCAGAGTAAAAATTGCATCTAGCAAATTTAAACAGGCAAAAAAGAGTTATTCAAGGCCAATGCAATAGAAGAGAGAGGCCAGACCTATGCCTGAGCACAGCTCCAGTGAAACAAAGGTCTGAAGAATTTTTAAAAGCCCAAGTGGGGGATCATAGGCCACCTGTGTTTGCTAATTTGCTTCACGCAAAGGTAAGGTAGGTTTTCTCTTACCTTAATGACAGGAGGTAGTTTTACACCTTTTGCAGGGGAAGTTAGTCTCCTCACTTCCCAGGGAAAAAGAGATAGGGGCATTATCTTCCCCGATGTTCCTGTTTCAAAGAGATGGCTCCCGGGTTCTTGAGAAAAACATTCTTGGGTTGTAAAACTGCAAGATGCTTTTTAAAAAACTTACATTTCAGAGGGGCAGAGAAAGAATGTACAATTACAAGTTTTCTAATGTAAATGCTCTAAGACAAGGGAGGTCAGGAGTCTAGTCAGCAAGAATCCTATTTAAAGTTTAGAGAAGTTGAAAGCAACTTTAAGGCTGTCTTGGTCAACTGCTATATAAAAACAAAAGTGAAATAAATTCATAATGGTAATTGGACCAACAAGTCTCCTGGAGGCCTTTTGTCTAATTTTTTTTCCCCCAGTAACAGGTTAGAGCCTCCTGCAAAGTGCAGTCCAGTCTTAAATGAAAAGAAAGTATTTACTCAAAGTGACCACATATATGCTTTTTATTTTTTTTTAATTATAGGATGGTAAAAATAGGAAGGCAAATGAAAGGAATAAGTGAATGGAAACCCATAAAGTGAAGCTTTCATTCTATTTGAAACTAGGAAATGAGGTTTTTTTGGTCAAGGTGATTTCAAAGGCCAGGATTCTAAGATAGGGATTGTGTAGTCTAAATCATAGTCTTAACAGAGTTAGGTTTGTGGAAAATATTCATATAATATCCTAGAAGATTTTTAATATTTCATGTTATTGGGCCTCCGGACTTGTTGAATCAATAGGTGGGGTAAGAAAATTATATTTTTAGTAGCTCCAAGTTTATAACACGTGAGAACTCATGTTCTAAACTTTGTAGATTGGGGAACTATTGTAAGAAAAGAAATTTAAGAGATTTGCATGGGGTTTTGTGATTATTATATAGTTCTAAAAAATAGCAACTAAGAAAAATATAAATACTGACCCTTGAAAGTTGTTAATTAAAATTAAGAAGTAAAGCTAGTGGGCTCTTTTAGTTAAAAGCAATTATTTCCCTCAAATACACTTATTTCTTTTTTATTTATTTATTTATTTATTTTTTTAAATTATACTTTAAGTTTTAGGGTACATGTGCACATTGTGCAGGTTAGTTACATATGTATACATAAGCCATGCTGGTGCGCTGCACCCACTAACTCGTCATCTAGCATTA
The DNA here is from genome assembly GCF_000001405.40 of Homo sapiens. NCBI lineage: Eukaryota > Metazoa > Chordata > Mammalia > Primates > Hominidae > Homo > Homo sapiens. The sequence continues at coordinate 64,859,262 of NC_000004.12, forward strand.
GGTATATCTCCCAATGCTATCCCTCCCCCCTCCCCCCACCCCACCACAGTCACCAGAGTGTGATATTCCCCTTCCTGTGTCCATGTGATCTCATTGTTCAATTCCCACCTATGAGTGAGAATATGCGGTGTTTGGTTTTTTGTTCTTGCGATAGTTTACTGAGAATGATGATTTCCAATTTCATCCATGTCCCTACAAAGGACATGAACTCATCATTTTTTATGGCTGCATAGTATTCCATGGTGTATATGTGCCACATTTTCTTAATCCAGTCTATCATTGTTAGACATTTGGGTTGGTTCCAAGTCTTTGCTATTGTGAATAATGCCGCAATAAGCATACGTGTGCATGTGTCTTTATAGCAGCATCATTTATAGTCATTTGGGTATATACCCAGTAATGGGATGGCTGGGTCAAATGGTATTTCTAGTTCTAGATCCCTGAGAAATCACCACACTGATTTCCACAATGGTTGAACTAGTTTACAGTCCCACCAACAGTGTAAAAGTGTTCCTATTTCTCCACATCCTCTCCAGCACCTGTTGTTTCCTGACTTTTTAATGATTGCCATTCTAACTGGTGTGAGATGATATCTCATAGTGGTTTTGATTTGCATTTCTCTGATGGCCAGTGATGATGAGCATTTTTTCATGTGTTTTTTGGCTGCATAAATGTCTTCTTTTGAGAAGTGTCTGTTCATATCCCTCGCCCACTTTTTGATGGGGTTGTTTGTTTTTTTCTTGTAAATTTGTTTGAGTTCATTGTAGATTCTGGATATTAGCCCTTTGTCAGATGAGTAGGTTGCAAAAATTTTCTCCCACTTTGTAGGTTGCCTGTTCACTCTGATGGTAGTTTCTTTTGCTGTGCAGAAGCTCTTTAGTTTAATTAGATCCCATTTGTCAATTTTGGCTTTGGTTGCCATTGCTTTTGGTGTTTTGGACATGAAGTCCTTGCCCATTCCTATGTCCTGAATGGTAATGCCTAGGTTTTCTTCTAGGGTTTTTATGGTTTTAGGTCTAACGTTTAAATCTTTAATCCATCTTGAATTGATTTTTGTATAAGGTGTAAGGAAGGGATCCAGTTTCAGCTTTCTACATATGGCTAGCAAGTTTTCCCAGCACCATTTATTAAATAGGCAATCCTTTCCCCATTGCTTGTTTTTCTCAGGTTTGTCAAAGATCAGATAGTTGTAGGTATGCGGTGTTATTTCTGAGGGCTCTGTTCTGTTCCATTGATCTATATCTCTGTTTTGGTACCAGTACCATGCTGTTTTGGTTACTGTAGCCTTGTAGTATAGTTTGAAGTCAGGTAGTGTGATGCCTCCAGCTTTGTTTTTTTGGCTTAGGATTGACTTGGCGATGCGGGCTCTTTTTTGGTTCCATATGAACTTTAAAGTAGTTTTTTCCAATTCTGTGAAGAAAGTCATTGGTAGCTTGATGGGGATAGCATTGAATCTGTAAATTACCTTGGGCAGTATGGCCATTTTCACGATATTGATTCTTCCTGCCCATGAGCATGGAATGTTCTTCCATTTGTTTGTATCCTCTTTTATTTCCTTGAGCAGTGGTTTGTAGTTCTCCTTGAAGAGGTCCTTCACATCCCTTGTAAGTTGGATTCCTAGGTATTTTATTCTCTTTGAAGCAATTGTGAATGGGAGTTCACTCATGATTTGGCTCTCTGTTTGTCTGTTGTTGGTGTATAGGAATGCTTGTGATTTTTGTACATTGATTTTGTATCCTGAGACTTTGCTGAAGTTGCTTATCAGCTTAAGGAGATTTTGGGCTGAGACGATGGGGTTTTCTAGATAAACAATCATGTCGTCTGCAAACAGGGACAATTTGACTTCCTCTTTTCCTAATTGAATACCCTTTATTTCCTTCTCCTGCCTGATTGCCCTGGCCAGAACTTCCAACACTATGTTGAATAGGAGCGGTGAGAGAGGGTATCCCTGTCTTGTGCCAGTTTTCAAAGGGAATGCTTCCAGTTTTTGCCCATTCAGTCTGATATTGGCTGTGTGTTTGTCATAGATAGCTCTTATTATTTTGAAATACGTCCCATCAATACCTAATTTATTGAGAGTTTTCAGCATGAAGGGTTGTTGAATTTTGTCAAAGGCTTTTTCTGCATCTATTGAGATAATCATGTGGTTTTTGTCTTTGGCTCTGTTTATATGCTGGATTACATTTATTGATTTGCGTATATTGAACCAGCCTTGCACCCCAGGGATGAAGCCCACTTGATCATGGTGGATAAGCTTTTTGATGTGCTGCTGGATTCGGTTTGCCAGTATTTTATTGAGGATTTTTGCATCAATGTTCATCAAGGATATTGGTCTAAAATTCTCTTTTTTGGTTGTGTCTCTGCCCGGCTTTGGTATCAGAATGATGCTGGCCTCATAAAATGAGTTAGGGAGGATTCCCTCTTTTTCTATTGATTGGAATAGTTTCAGAAGGAATGGTACCAGTTCCTCCTTGTACCTCTGGTAGAATTCGGCTGTGAATCCATCTGGTCCTGGACTCTTTTTGGTTGGTAAACTATTGATTATTGCCACAATTTCAGCTCCTGTTATTGGTCGATTCAGAGATTCAACTTCTTCCTGGTTTAGTCTTGGGACAGTGTATGTGTCGAGGAATGTATCCATTTCTTCTAGATTTTCTAGTTTATTTGCGTAGAGGTGTTTGTAGTATTCTCTGATGGTAGTTTGTATTTCTGTGGGATCGGTGGTGATATCCCCTTTATCATTTTTTATTGTGTCTATTTGATTCTTCTCTCTTTTTTTCTTTATTAGTCTTGCTAGCGGTCTATCTATTTTGTTGATCCTTTCAAAAAACCAGCTCCTGGATTCATTGATTTTTTGAAGGGTTTTTTGTGTCTCTATTTCCTTCAGTTCTGCTCTGATGTTAGTTATTTCTTGCCTTCTGCTAGCTTTTGAATGTGTTTGCTCTTGCTTTTCTAGTTCTTTTAATTGTGATGTTAGGGTGTCAATTTTGGATCTTTCCTGCTTTCTCTTGTGGGCATTTAGTGCTATAAATTTCCCTCTACACACTGCTTTGAATGTGTCCCAGAGATTCTGGTATGTTGTGTCTTTGTTCTCGTTGGTTTCAAAGAACATCTTTATTTCTGCCTTCATTTCGTTATGTACCCAGTAGTCATTCAGGAGCAGGTTGTTCAGTTTCCATGTAGTTGAGCGGCTTTGAGTGAGATTCTTAATCCTGAGTTCTAGTTTGATTGCACTGTGGTCTGCGAGATAGTTTGTTATAATTTCTGTTCTTTTACATTTGCTGAGGAGAGCTTTACTTCCAACTATGTGGTCAATTTTGGAATAGGTGTGGTGTGGTGCTGAAAAAAATGTATATTCTGTTGATTTGGGGTGGAGAGTTCTGTAGATGTCTATTAGGTCCGCTTGGTGCAGAGCTGAGTTCAATTCCTGGGTATCCTTGTTGACTTTCTGTCTCGTTGATCTGTCTAATGTTGACAGTGGGGTGTTAAAGTCTCCCATTATTAATGTGTGGGAGTCTAAGTCTCTTTGTAGGTCACTCAGGACTTGCTTTATGAATCTGGGTGCTCCTGTATTGGGTGCATAAATATTTAGGATAGTTAGCTCCTCTTGTTGAATTGATCCCTTTACCATTATGTAATGGCCTTCTTTGTCTCTTTTGATCTTTGTTGGTTTAAAGTCTGTTTTATCAGAGACTAGGATTGCAACCTCTGCCTTTTTTTGTTTTCCATTTGCTTGGTAGATCTTCCTCCATCCTTTTATTTTGAGCCTATGTGTGTCTCTGCACGTGAGATGGGTTTCCTGAATACAGCACACTGATGGGTCTTGACTCTTTATCCAACTTGCCAGTCTGTGTCTTTTAATTGGAGAATTTAGTCCATTTACATTTAAAGTTAATATTGTTATGTGTGAATTTGGTCCTGTCATTATGATGTTAGCTGGTGATTTTGCTCGTTAGTTGATGCAGTTTCTTCCTAGTCTCAATGGTCTTTACATTTTGGCATGATTTTGCAGCGGCTGGTACCGGTTGTTCCTTTCCATGTTTAGTACTTCCTTCAGGAGCTCTTTTAGGGCAGGCCTGGTGGTGACAAAATCTCTCAGCATTTGCTTGTCTGTAAAGTATTTTATTTCTCCTTCACTTATGAAGCTTAGTTTGGCTGGATATGAAATTCTGGGTTGAAAATTATTTTCTTTAAGGATGTTGAATATTGGCCCCCACTCTCTTCTGGCTTGTAGGGTTTCTGCCGAGAGATCCGCTGTTAGTCTGATGGGCTTCCCTTTGAGGGTAACCCGACCTTTCTCTCTGGCTGCCCTTAACATTTTTTCCTTCATTTCAACTTTGGTGAATCTGACAATTATGTGTCTTGGAGTTGCTCTTCCCGAGGAGTATCTTTGTGGTGTTCTCTGTATTTCCTGAATCTGAACATCGGCCTGCCTTGCTAGATTGGGGAAGTTCTCCTGGATAATATCCTGCAGAGTGTTTTCCAACTTGGTTCTATTCTCCGCATCACTTTCAGGTACACCAATCAGACATAGATTTGGTCTTTTCACATAGTCCCATATTTCTTGGAGGCTTTGCTCATTTCTTTTTATTCTTTTTTCTCTAAACCTCCCTTCTCGCTTCATTTCATTCATTTCATCTTCCATCGCTGATACCCTTTCTTCCAGTTGATCGCATCGGCTCCTGAGGTTTCTGCATTCTTCACGTAGTTCTCGAGCCTTGGTTTTCAGCTCCATCAGCTCCTTTAAGCACTTCTCTGTATTGGTTATTCTAGTTATACATTCTTCTAAATTTTTTTCAAAGTTTTCATCTTCTTTGTCTTTGGTTTGAATGTCCTCCCGTAGCTCAGAGTAATTTGATCGTCTGAAGCCTTCCTCTCTCAGCTCATCAAAATCATTCTCCATCCAGCTTTGTTCCGTTGCTGGTGAGGAACTGCGTTCCTTTGGAGGAGGAGAGGCGCTCTGCGTTTTAGAGTTTCCAGTTTTTCTGTTCTGTTTTTTCCCCATCTTTGTGGTTTTATCTACTTTTGGTCTTTGATGATGATGATGTACAGATGGGTTTTTGGTGTGGATGTCCTTTCTGTTTGTTAGTTTTCCTTCTAACAGACAGGACCCTCAGCTGCAGGTCTGTTGGAATACCCTGCCGTGTGAGGTGTCAGTGTGCCCCTTCTGGGGGGTGCCTCCCAGTTAGGCTGCTCGGGGGTCAGGGGTCAGGGACCCACTTGAGGAGGCAGTCTGCCCATTCTCAGATCTCCAGCTGCGTGCTGGGAGAACCACTGTTGTCTTCAAAGCTGTCAGACAGGGACATTTAAGTCTGCAGAGGTTACTGCTGTCTTTTTGTTTGTCTGTGCCCTGCCCCCAGAGGTGGAGCCTACAGAGGCAGGCAGGCCTCCTTGAGCTGTGGTGGGCTCCACCCAGTTTGAGCTTCCAGGCTGCTTTGTTTACCTAATCAAGCCTGGGCAATGGCGGGCGCCCCTCCCCCAGCCTCGCTGCCGCCTTACAGTTTGATCTCAGACTGCTGTGCTAGCAATCAGCGAGATTCCGTGGGCGTAGGACCCTCCGAGCCAGGTGTGGGATATAGTCTCGTGGTGCACCGTTTTTTAAGCCGGTCTGAAAAGCCCAATATTCGGGTGGGAGTGACCCGATTTTCCAGGTGCGTCCGTCACCCCTTTCTTTGACTCGGAAAGGGAGCTCCCTGACCCCTTGCGCTTCCCAGGTGAGGCAATGCCTCGCCCTGCTTCGGCTCGCGCACGGTGCGCGCACCCACTGTCCTGCGCCCACTGTCTGGCACTCCCTAGTGAGATGAACCCGGTACCTCAGATGGAAATGCAGAAATCACCGTCTTCTGCGTCGCTCACGCTGGGAGCTGTAGACCGGAGCTGTTCCTATTCGGCCATCTTGGCTCCTCCCCCCCAAATACACTTATTTCAAGCAAAACAATTATAATAAATATAGGCAGAAATGTCTTTGGAAAGTGTCCTAACTTTAGTGGAATGGTTTTAACAGCTCACTGTTTATAATTTTTTTGGCTGTGGTACAATTGAACTTTTTGATTACTTGTTTCTACTCATAGACTTCTTTGATTCTATGATGGAGAGTACTCTGCACAAACATATTTAATATGGATGTCAAGATTCCATCATTATTGGTTGGCAAGATCTTTAAGTATGCATTTAAATGTTCTTTTACATTAGGCTCAGTAATTTTCATCATTTCGTTGTTTCTTTTATTTCCCTAAATGATTCTTTGTGATTTTGTTATACAATGATCAGTTTATAAATCATTTCTAAGAATCAACAATAATTGATAAAAGTGAGGAATCCATAGCTTCTTTTTCATGTGATCATGTTTTTGGCAATGTTTTCCATATTCTTTTTTGTTATTAGTTGCTCATGTGTTGTCTGCTTTTGGAATCTTGAGCACATTAGGCTTTTAGACTTAAAAAAAATCAAAGAACTTATTTTTGTCAACATAAAAGCTTTTAGTTCAATTTGCCCATTTTGCATAATTTCATTGAAAAGCTGTTCTCCTATTCTGTCAATCTCCATCACTTTTGTTTGAAGCATCTGGTATAACAGCTGTCTCAGTCTTTTGCTTTCCTCCTTCCTTTTCCTTCGTATTCCTTCCATTTCTATCATATCCCTCGCTTGTCATGCCTCAGTGTCTTTATCTTGTATCCTAAAATGACTCTTTTAAAAACACTCCCAAGTACTGTTCCTATTGGAATTAGACTGCTGTTTTTTTCTTCCAGAAATTATCAGGATTCAATTGCCAGTATGTGTACATATATGTAATATAGTTATATGTAAGTATATGTAATAAAATAAAAATCAAGGGCAAGTTAATCAATTGTTGGCATCCAAAATTTTAGAAAGGTGTCATGGAATTTTGACTGTGTTGCTAGGAATTCTGCAATATCAAGTTCTTTATGATCCTCAACTCTCTATTTTATAATTTAATATTAAAAACGTTATGAGGGATTTTGTGAGGTGGATATAATACATATTCCTTCTGTACCAAGGACTTTGAGGACTATTAGAAAAAATAAATGTATGTAATTGAAATTTTGCTTTTCTACACATATAGCTTATGTTTATAAAGTTCAGTTAACTTAAACATAGTGTGTTCTAGAGAGAAATGCTTTGGAATCTTCTGTATTTTTTTAAATTTTTTAAATTTTTTTAGTCAACTAGGTCATTCTTATTGGTCCACGCCATCTCTTGCCTCCAGCCAATAAATATATATTCAGGTAGTTGCCAATGACAGAAATACAAAGGCTAAATTGGTGCCTTTGCTGCTGAAGAGATTTGATTTCTTTCTATTGCTCCTCTTGATCTTGCTAGGTAAATAATTTGTACAAAAACTGGGTCTTGTTTCTTTTGTCAATGGTTAAATATTTGTATTTTAAATAATTTACCAGGTATATAAAGTAGAATAGGAAAAATATAGCCAAGTTTTTTACACGCAGTGATATCAAATGACATTTCCGTTGCAGCACATGCTGTGAGCCCGTGTCTTGTGTACATGAGCAGAGGGATAATTTCTTTCTGACACAGTAGGACTGATAGTTACCAGTTCTAATTATCTGTAGAAAATATTTCAGGCACAATGTACCAAGTTAAACACTTCACATGAACATGTGTAATTGAAGGTATGCAGGGCTTACAACATACAACAGATGTAGTTTGACATAAATTCTAGAATGCAGAAAGTCAGCTGAAAACATGTTAAAGCTTCAATAAATGCAGTATCCTTAACAAAAGCACTGCCTATAAGTGTGACAAATAATAGCAGCTGGCTTTTCAAAAGGCAGGAACCAGGCAGCAGGGCTCTTGAGCACAGAAGCAGACAGCCCACAGGTAGCTTCATTTTATTAGGTTAATTGACAAAATTGTTTTTAATTAAATTAATTAAAGATGGGTTGGTTCCCCCCAAGGTGTGTCTGTAAAAGTGCTGAATAGGCTGTTGAAGGCAGTTACTTGAACTCATGCTCATGTTTAGTGAAGTTAAATTCCTATTTTCAATAGCTGAGTTTGGAAAGAAAATATAAATCAGGGAATGTTTGTTGCATTTCGTTTCTTTTCTTTTCTCTTGACAGCTCATTTCAGTCCATTGTAGCACTAGTACATGTCCTAGATAAAGCTGAAATGTACATATTAACACATATGAATATGTTACATATGTAAACTGCAGTAGGTTCATGGCTCTTGCAGGTTTGATGTGTATGATTTGGGGTATCCATGAGCAGTCCTGAAGGACCATGGTGTAACTTTACATTTGTGATACCATCCAGATGAACACTTAAACCAGTCACCTAGTTGATGTATAGAGCTAGATAAATCATCCAGAATGCATGTGAAGGCAGTATGGGATATGCAAGAAATAAAATTGTGAGCAAAAGTCAGTGTCTACTCTGCTTTCAAGATTTTGCAGCCTAGAAGAAATCATCCTCCCTCATTTTATCTCTACCATCATCTTGCATGCATTAACCATTAGGTACCATTAGGAACAAAATGCTTTGAAAAGAAAGCTCCTTCTTAGTTGTGACGGAAATTAGGATTTATAAAAAAAAAAGTGTATTTGAACGTCTTGAAATATCCTATTAATCGTTAGTGCTGTGCACTATTACTATTGTTATATTCAATTATCAGTTTATTAGAATAGTTTCCAAATACTGTACTATAAAGCCCAGAGGATCGGGTCAAAGCGAGGAAGCCAGTGGTTAGAGGAGAGAGTGAGGGAAAGGTTGGGGAAAATATTACAGTAAAAATAGTTCATGATCTGGAAGAATTCCAGAGGATATCCATATTTCTATGGTGGTGTTTTACTCTATGTCCAAATGTCCAAGCTGGCATACATATATTGGCTTGTATGGCTTATATTACACATATATATGTGTGTGTCTGTGTGTGTGGGTTCATAATATATTTAAACATAAATGTATTTATTTAAAAATGTAAGTATATATAAAATATATACATTGGAAATACTGTAAATATATATGTGTATGTTTATAAATACATATATACATGCATGTATACACATATGTGTATGTATACATCTATACATACATGTATACACATGTGTATGTATACATCTATACATACATGTATACACATGTGTATGTATACACATATACATACATGTATACACATGTGTATGTATACACACATACATACATGTATACACATGTGCGTACACACATACATACATGTATACACATGTGCGTACACACACATACATACATGTATACACATGTGTGTACACACACATACATACATGCATACACATGTGTGTACACACACATACATGTATACACATGTGTGTACACACACATACATACATGTATACACATGCGTGTACACACACATACATACATGTATACACATGTGTGTACACACACATACATACATGTATACACATGTATGTACACACACATACATACATGTATACACATGTGTGTACACACACATACATACATGTATACACATGTGTGTACACACATATGTGTGCATGTATATATACATATACATATGTGTGCATGTATATATACATATACATATGTGTGCATGTATATATACATATACATATGTGTATGTATATATACATACACATATATATGTGTATATGTATATATACATACACATATATGTGTATGTATATATACATATACACATATATGTGTATGTATATATACATATACACACACATATATGTGTATATGTATATATACATACACATATATATATAGAGAGAGAGAAGCTGAATTTTCAAAATGTCTATAATGTCATTACATGATATGCCATGGTAAGCCAATACATTGGAGCTACTCAGAAAAGTCAGAAGGGTTGAAACAGGTATCATAGGGCTTCTAATTTGCCTTCCCACAGGTATTACCTGGGTTCTGCCAAACACAGATAGTAAATGATTGGCTTAAAAATCTCTGAAATGAGATTGCAGATTCACCTTTTCCAACCTCTCCAGAGCTGGCATATTGTGACCATTCACGTTTATTTATCATCATGACCATTATCTTTATTCTGACCCATTGTCCCTGTATCTCCTTCACATCCAGCCATTGGCAATACCACCATAAACATATTCGTGGCTTGTATGCACTTTATTTAATTCTGATGTTCTATTCTGAATCATGCAATATTCTGATACAAGGAAAACTCTTTTTTCCTACTTTCTCTAATATGCTACCCATACAAGACAATGACTAAGAGATATAATTTAGAAGATGTGCCTTTTTTATAACTTAAGAGAGTTGAAGTGCTTTCCTAAAATTAGATTATAACTTGATATTTAATTTTTCATTTAGAAAGATTTTCCAAGAGGAAATTAAGAATTATCGTAACCATGTTTGATTTTTAAATACATTCTTTCTTCATGCCTTTTTTCCAAGAAAATGACAGAAATGTTGTCTGCTGTACACTTCAGAAGAAATGAAAAGCAGAAAACAAACCTTAAGACTGTATTCAAATTCACTCAATTTATTTAAGAAATATTTGTTTAGCACTGATCATGTACTAGGAAAATCGTTACAAAAAGACTCCTTTCTTGAGGTGTTTTGAGTCTAGTGAAGGAGACAATCAATAAACAAGAAACAAAAAAAATAGTAATTTGTATATTATATTTCTAGCAGTGCTTTGGGAAAAAAAAAATCGTTTGTGGTGTAGGGAACTTCTGGAGGACTGATATTAGGCAAGCGAGTTTGTTACACCAAATAAAGTTATTATGGTTGGACCTGTTAAGATTGAAAAGATATTTTATTAGATTGTAATTTCAATTTCAAATACTGCATGTTTGTATGTAAAAAATAACAAAGAAAAGGTAGAACATGTAAAGCTGCTCTCTACTCCAACATCAATAAAACCATTATTCATTCTTTAGATTTTACTATACCTTTTTTAGGTTTCACCTAGATTTGGAGGGGCCTTCTAAATGATGTTTTGTATTATCTTTCTATATGTGTCAATCTACCTACCTATCTATGTTAAAGCTGCAGAAATTTCAAATACAACTTCCCTTTATAAATGGGAAGCACTCCACAGTGGACAATCCTTTTTAACTAGGACATGAAGGATCAGCCAATTTAGCCATTTGTCTACACAGAAAAATCTGCTGTTCTAAAAAGCGTTTCCTAAGTAAAGATTTAAAAGCCTAAAATAAAATACTTCAAACCAGGAAAACATATAACAGCTCAGGTCTTATTTTAAAGTATCTTTTTCCCGACCCCCTGAAAGACAGATAATGCTAGTTTATTGTTTTTCTTCTTGAAATCTTCTTCTTATACATACAGTCAACTTCAGGCACTAGATTGTCTTATAAATATTAATTTATAGTTAATTAGTCGTTTTATTTGAAAGAATGCTAAAAATGTCTGGTCTGTCAAAGCATGCATAATAATTATAAGTAAACGCACCTTCACAGCCTTCATAAAGAAATGATAGTTTAATCTTAGTACTGTCACTTCTTATTGGAATGGATGATTCCTGGCAGCTCTGTGTCAAAACGAGTTGTCAGAGGGGATTACTTCAAAGACTCAGGTTCCTAATTGACAAAACAATAAGACAGAAAGACAATCCACAGTTCAATGCATAGCCCCATTTATATGGAGTTTCCAACGCTACATTCTACACAATTAGTAACTTTATATTTGAATAGAAGAAATCTTAAATTACAGACCAGGATTTGGGTCAAACCTTAGCAGTTCCTAAAGGCATGTAGTAATGTGACCTTGCTTACATTTGATTTGTTTTGATTACCATGCAGCATGGGTGAAATTACACTTTACTACTCACAATAATTGTTATTTTATTCCAGCTCTTCTTGTACTTCCATAGTATTGTAAAATACTTAGAAAAATATCTGGTAGATAAAAGTGGCTATCTGCTCTATTTCAAATCTTAACCATATACCATTAGGCACAGCATGGATGGAGATCTCCCTCCTTTCAATTATTAACAGATTTCTGTAAGGTACTAGGTAGAGCTTTGGAAGAAAACCAAAAAAAATTTTAGCTTTCAAACTAATGGTGTCTTTTTTTTTTTTATTATTTATACTTTAAGTTCTGGGATACATGTGCAGAATGTGCAGGTTTGTTACATAGGTATACACGTGCCGTGGTGGTTTGCTGAACCCATTAACCCGTCATCTACATTAGGTATTTCCCCTAATGCTATTCTTCCCCTAGCCCCAGCAACCCCGACAGGTCCCAGTATGTGATATTCCCCTCCCCGTGTCCATGTGTTCTCATTGTTCAACTCCCAGTTATGAGTGAGAACATGTGGTGTTTGGTTTTCTGTTCTTGTGTTAGTTTGCTGAGAATGATGGTTTCCAGCTTCATCCATGTCCCTGCAAAGGACATGAACTCATCCTTTTTTATGGCTGCATAGGATTCCATGGTGTATATGTGACACATTTTCTTTATCCAGTCCATCATTGATGGGCTCTTTTAAACTTCTAATCCTAACACTAGAATGTGTTAGCACAATACTGTTTATATGTATATTCATTCACTCCACACAGTTACAAGGAAGGTGTTATTACTATCTTTAATGTTTAGATGATAAAATTACTCCTTAGAAAGGTTTAATTAATTGTCCTAAATCACCCAATATAAAAGTGAAAACTACGGGTTTGCATATAAATCAGCTTGTGATGAAGGCCCACAGTTTTAATTAGGGAGCAATATTAGTTTATAATATTAATGAATATATTTTTCTTTTTAGAGAAATTCTGACATTCTATTCAAAGAAATTCTGGAAATTATTCAAATGAGAAGTAATCTTTTTATGTGAAGTACAAAATAAGTAAGGCTGTTTGGAAATTTTGTAAAATACATTGATAACTAAATGCACAACTGAAATTTGAAACTCACTCTTTTCTCGATATCATGCGCCTTCCTCCTATTGTATCTCTCAGTCCTCTAATCTCCCTCAATGTGCTCCAGTGGCTCAAGTCTCTTTATGTGTCCTGGAAAACACCAGACATAACTTAACACTGTTGATGTTGACCTTGATCACCTGGCTGAGGTAGTGTTTGTAAGGTGTGTACAAGATTAAATTTGTCTTGGAAACCTAGAGAATTCATGTGAGAAATGCCCACTGGAAAATTAAAAGGAATGTTTGTTGGAACTATAGGAGTTGGAGAGGGAGGGAAGTTGTTTTTTTTTTTTTTTTTGAGAAGAAGTCTGGCTCTGTCTCCCAGGCTGGAGTGCAGTGGAGTGATCTCGGCCTACTGCAAGCTCCGCCTCCCGGGTTCACACCAGTCTCCTGCCTCAGCCTCCCGAGTAGCTGGGACTACAGGTGCCCACCACCATGCCCAGCTAATTTTTTTGTATTTTTAGTAGAGACGGGGTTTCACCGTGTTAGCCAGGATGTTCTCCATCTCCTGACCTCGTGATCCGCCCACCTCAGCCTCCCAAAGTTTTGGGATTACAGGCGTGAGCCAACATGCCCAGTCAGAGGGAGGAAAGTTTTTAATTTAAATTTTGGAACTATTGCTTTGAACGGAGTTAACAGGGGCTTTCGCTAGTTTATTTGTTTTAAGACTTCTATGAGACATTAACATGTCAATAAACATTGTGAAGTTTCAGGAAAAACATATAATATATGGTTTTCTCCACATTTATTTGGCCAAAAAGAAAAATAAACATATTTTCTATATTCTACTTATTAATGTCTAAAACTAGTCAAACTTTCTCACTTTACACATGCAGAAACTGGTATTAAATGCTAATTAATTCATTCAGCCAGGTGCAGTGGCTCACACCTGTAATCCCAGCACTTTGGGACGCCAAGGCAGGTGAATCACCCGAGGTCAGGAGTTTGAGACCAGCCTGGCAAACATGGTGAAACCCCATCTCTACTAAAAATACAAAAATTTAACTGGGCATGGTGGCTGGTGCCTGTAGTCCCAACTACTTGGGAGGCTGAGGCAGGAGGATTGCTTGAACCCAGGAGGTAGAGGTTGCAGTGAGCCAGGATCACGTCATTGCACTCCAGCCTGGGCAACAAGAGAGAAACTTCATCTCAAAACAAAAACAAAAAGAAAAGAGCTAATTAATTTATTTACTTACTGTGTGCTGAACACTTCTTGTTGGGCAGCAGTGATACTTTATTCCCTTGATAACAGTGGTAAACCAGACAGGGATGCTTCTTCCTACACAGCTACACATGGCTCATTACACCATGCTACCTCAAAAAGATGGGAATTTGGAAGCACAATACAAGTTAAATAGTATTGTTTAACTTTTAACTTACCTGGCCCTAAAATACAATATTGCATTGAAAAGTGTTTATTTGTCCTATGGTTGAGAATAGACACACACTTAGAAACAATTAAATAGTTACTCATTGGAATTGGCTTTACTATAAATAAAATGTTAAGGTCCAAAATAAAATTTTAAAGCATTTGTAGAAAATAAATTACGTTCCCTTTTCACTTTTCTTCCTCTGGAATATGTACTCTGCTCATCAAGGTAAAATAAAATAAAGCAAAATATATAACATAAAACAGAATTAGGACACTTCACAAGGTGTACCTAAATAAGTGAGTGAATCAGCATACTTCTATTTGTTTGATGTAGCAGACAATTACATTATTACACTTCATAGAATAAACATAGTTAACAAATCATGCACATTGTCTCCCTATTCCTATTCAGAGGATCACACCGTTTGACTATATTTTTTGATAAGTATTTCCATTTGCAGACTCAGAAATCAGAATTGTACTTCTGTTCATTTTGCTCCTCTCCCTAATGCTATTTAGATTAATAGGATAAATACCATTCTAAGTCATTTGCACTTGGCCAAGGTAAAGTACGTGGAATGAAAACTTATTCTTTCCATCCAATACAGTTCTCATTGCAAGGAGAAAAAGGAGTAAATGTGGAAAATAGGGAAAAAATAAACATCTTAAGGTAATATTCTGATTCATATCATTGTTTTCATACTCACTTTATTTTAATACTAAAAAAATACTATTTATATTACCTAAACATCCTAAACCCTAAATCTTGCTTTGCAAATGTTCTGAATTCTTTCTCCATTTACACAAACGTCACTTACAGACTAATTTTACTTTTGAACCTAAAGTCTTTTACAATTTTTTCCCTTGAGTTGGCCATGCAATATTTTTATTTATTTTTAGGTTTTATTTATTCGAGAGTTTTTTTTCAAAATTTAGGCTTAGTCTTGATAACTAATGTACATTGTTTTCAATGTAGTAAGATTGTTCTGAACATGTCATTTACCAACTCCACTCATCTCAGTTAGGTTGCCAAAGAGAACAAATGAAAGTTATAAAAAGTATTAATTATTTATATGTTATCATGTTGTGAGTGAAACTGAACTGACTGAAATACAATAAGTCTAGTATAAGAATTTTGGAGTTAGAAGGAACTGAGTTGACAACTGGGTCTACTACTCATTAACTGTGCTCTGCCCTTGACAAGTTAATACTTAACTTCAGTTCAAAATCTATAATATAAGGATGAATAGTTTTTGCAGCAATAAATTTAAAATGTATGAAAACTTGGTAGGATTATATATCAGAGTTTTAATCTGTGTGCTTTTCTCATCCCATTTTCTATCAATTTTACTGCATACCCTTTCTCTTTTTCTACCCCTCATAGTTGTTTGAGCCCTCTATTACAAGGCTAGCACAAAGGCTGTGAATATTGCACTGGTCAAAAAGATTCATGTTCATGTTTTTAAAAAGAGTTCTTCAGGCAGCAGAAACTAGATTAATATTTATTTAAGGAAGTAATAGGAAAGAAGGAGGAGGAACACCAGGGCCTTGGAAACTCAAGTTCTCAAGAACCACAGAAGAAAAACAGAGTTATTCATCTTTGGTGAGAGAAGTCGGTAGAAGACCAAATGTAGGCGGTTAGGTCCAAGTACTGGAAATCCTGTGGAAACTAATTCAGGGCCAATATGCACATTTTGTTACCATCCTTTGGCCTGCAGCAAATCAACTGCCTACCGATTGCTCATCCTGGATTAATGAATGCCTCATTGTGTTTGGGAGATTTTTAGGGCATTAATAATTCAATCAATCTTCAAAGCCTATGGAATAGAGGTTGAAAGAACTTGGACTTCTTTTTATATAATAGTATGGAAAGGGAAAGTTTAGCTCCAAAACATAGGAACAAAGCAGAGTTCCTTTGAATTTTCTTCCAATCTAGGCTGCAGTAGAATGGATATTTGCTTCTCAAAAGACTTGGAATGAAGGACCAGTTTTCTTTTTCCAATATGTTACAAACTAATAACTTTGTAAAATACAGGGGAATATGCCCTTATGGCTAGAAGTAGAAGTTGCGGTTGGTAGGTTTTAAAATATCAAGACACATATTGCCCCAAGTGTGTATTCAAAATATATATATCAAAAATATTCAAGTATTCAAAATATATATCTCAAAAAATCATGTATTTATATGAAACTAATAACATAAATATTTGATAATCAACCTCTTAACAGAAATAAATTAAACTAGCAAAACAAGTATTATTGTATTGAGAGCATTCTGTTATGGTTAATTACAAAGTAATACATTCTAAAGAAACTTTGTTATATGTAGGTATACCTCAAAGATACTGTGGATTCAGTTTCAAACTACTGCAAAAAGCAAATGTAATAAAACAAGTCACATGAATTTTTTGGTTTCTCAGTGCATACAAGATAAGTTATGTTTACATTATACTGTAGTCTGTTAAATGTACAATACAATTTTGTCTAAAAACAATTTATATACCTTAATTAAAAACACTTTATTGCTAAAAAGTGCTAACAAGCATCGGAGACTTCAGTAAGTTGTAGCGTTTTTGCTGGTGGAGAGTCTTGGGTGTTGCTGGCTGCTAACTGATCAAGATGGTGGTTGCTGAATGGGATGAATGTGGCAATGTTTAAAAATAACACAAACATAACGCCTGCCACATGGATTGCCTCCTCCTTTCACAAAAATTTTCTCTATAGCAGATGGTGCTGTTTGGTAGAATTTTAATCAAGTAATCCTTTTTTCAAAATTGGAGTCAATCCTCTCAGTCCTTGCCACTGCTTTGTCAACTAAGTTCATAAAATGTTCTCAAATCTTTGTTGTCATTTCAATGATGTTCACAGAATCTCTACCAGGAATAGATTCCCTCTCAAGAGACCACTTTCTTTGCTCATTCATAAGAAGCAACACTTCATCCCTTCTAGTTTCATCATGAGATTGCAGCAATTCGGTCACATCATCGGATTCCAATTCTAATTCTACTTCTCTTGCTATTTCCACCAAATCTGCAGTTACTTTCTCCACTAATGTTTTGACCACTCAAAGTCATTGATGAGGGTTGAAATAAACTTCTTCCAAACTCTTGTCAATGTTTGCTTTTGACCTTCTTTCATGAATCATGAATGTGCTGAATGAAAACTAGGATAGTGAATAATTTCCAAAATATTTTCAATTTACTTTGCTTACATCTATCAGAGGAATCACTATTTATGGTGCTAAAGCCTTTTGAAATGTATTTCTTAAGTATTAAGACTTGAAAGTGAAATGATGCCTTGACCTATGGGCTGCAGAATATATGTGGTTTTTATCAAACATGAAAACAATATTAAATTGTTTGTACCTCTCCATCAGAGAGCTCTTGTATGAATAAGTGCATTGTCAATGGGCAGTAACATTTTGAAAGGAATCTTTTTTTTTCTGAGCAATAGGACTCAACAGTGGACTTAAAATATTCACTAAACCATACTGTAAACAAATGTGCCATCATCTGTTTGTTCAATTTATAGTGTTGACTATATTACTTTGTTGTTCCATTTATACAGGTAAAGTAGAATTAGCATAAACCTTAAGTGCTCTCAGATGTTTGGTATGGTAAATGAGCATTGGCTTCAAATTCAAGTCACCATCTGCATTAACCCTAACAAGAGTGTCAGCCTGTCCTTTTAAGCTTTGAGGTGGGGCATTGATTTCTCCTCCTTTCTAGCTATTAAAGTCCTAGATGGTATCTTCTAATAGAAGGCTGTTCTATCTACACTGAAAATTATTTGTTTAGTGTAACCACCTCTATCAATTAATTATCTTAGCTAGATTTTCTGTATAACTTACTGTAGCTTACATCATCACTTGCTGCTTCACCTTGACATCTGGTGTTATGGAGATTGTAAGCCAACTTCATGAACCAACCTCTGCCAGCTTCCAACTTCCCTTCTGCAGCTTTTTCACCTTTCTAAGCCTTTATAGAATAGAAAAGTGTTATGGCCTTGCTCTGGTTTGGGCTTTGGGTAAAGAGAATGTTGTGGTTTGTTTGAGGCCTGAATGAGGTGAGGAAGAAAGAGTGGGGAATGGATGGTCAGTGGAGTAGTCAGAACACACCTAATATTTATCAATTAAGTTTGTCATCTTATATGGGCTCAGTTCTTGGTGCCCCAAAACAATTAGAATAGTAACATCTAAGATCACTGATTACAGATAACCATTACAGACAAAATAATAATTAAAATAACAGACATAATAATAATTAAAAGCTTGAAATATTTTAAGAATTACAAAATTGTGACACAGAGACATGAAGTGAGCCCATGCTATTGGAAAAAATGGTGTCAAAAACCTACTTGATGTAAGGCTGCCACAAAACTTTGATTTGTTAAAAAAAAGTGTTTATGAAGCACAATAAAATGAGAAATACCTGTAATTTCCAAGGAAAATGGAGTACTGTGCATGCACAAGACATTGTATAGATGTTGGAAAGGAATGTTCAGATTTAAAAGGATTAGTTGAAAGATACATTAAGTTAAATTTAACCTCATAGAAAGTGGCATAAAATTGGAGAGTTAAATTTTTCTATTGTAATAAGAGTTTTGACTGATTTCTTATTACTGAAAATTATATGTATTTTAGAAATAAAAATTGTTCCAATATAGACTTCTGGAGAAATAGCTTTGAAATAGAATAGTTGAGTTTTCCTTCTAGTTGTATTAAGCAGCTGTGTAGGTACTCACAATATTTGTCACATATTGTCATTAGTAAGAGATTGAATATCACAGTGATCTAATGACATTTTCTCAGTTTAGATCACTTTGTCAGTACATATTTTTAGTTTACTTCAAGGTTATTTTTTGAGTAAATAAAAACATTTTGCCAGTGTATTCATCCTCCTATTTTATGTACTTTCCTTGAAAAAAATAATTTGGTGTTATCTGTTCTTTATTAAATCACAGTTGCCTTGCTGAACTGTAAATGAGCTTGTAACAATTCAAGATTTGTGAAGTATACGTGAATTAAAATATGTCTGCCTTTATTGACGAATGTGCTTGTATATTTGGATCAGTGAAGGTTTAGAAGTATTAGGAAAAGAACTGTTTTAGAAATGTAGCTCAGCATTAGAAAGCAACAGAATTGTACTACCTGGACTTAAACTCTTGAGTGCAAAAGATGCATTCACTAAGCAAAATATGATAGATTGTAGAAACATCAAAATTGTTTTGAGTGCTGAGTCTGACATGCTGAAATGTTTAGAGAATTTTCAGAATATTTAGCAGTTCATTCTTGAAGATGAGTTAACAAAAGTATCAGGTAAATTATATCGTTATTTCTCCCTTTTGGAAAACCTGTTGTTCTCACTTTGATACATTGGGTGGCAAAATTCTATTTAAGAATGGAAAGGAATATGCTATTAAAATTTAGTCTCCTACTAAATGTATTATTCTATGTTTGACACTCCTTAGCTAAGAAGAAGAAGCTAATTGTTAGAGTTAGGGGGAATCTGAGATGGAGATATCCTATTACGAGTTTCATTATCCTTGATTCAGAATCTGGTGTATATTTTTCCCTAATTTGATTTCTTTTTCTCTTAGGAACTTTCTTCCTTCTAGTGATTTTAAACCTTTGGGATGCTTTTCAATCTTTTTCCCTCCTCCCTCTATCTCTCCTTTCCTTCCTTCTTTCTTCCATCTTTTTCTCCTTTTCTTTTCTCTGCTTATCTTTTCCTCCTATACTAAAATAGCATCATCATACTTATTTTTCATTCTTGGTTCTTCCTTTAATCAGAACAATGAAGGTGGCTTCTGGGGTATAGTTTATCTTCTGCCATCTGGGTCCTGGTCACATTTGTGAGAATTCATAGAAGTACAGAATTATCATTTGTAAATTTTCTCTATGTAAAATTGCAATCAAATATTTTTAAGTGGCCTACATTTATTCTGGATTGAGCATTCAAGCCTTATCTTCTTTGATAATATTTCTAAAATCCCTTCACCTTCTCTTTATAAAACATCTTATTTCTGAAGGCCAAGCTCCTCCTTTCTCATTCAGTTCAATGATTATACTCTCAAAGATTATCCTACTTATATTTCCACCATTGTTTTGTTGTTATTGTTGTTGTTATTTAAGTTCTTCATTAGCAATGGTTTACAGTTGGTTACTACTGGAAAACAGTTTGTAATGTTATATTAAAGATGAGGTTCCCTAAAAATTTTAACTTGTTCAAATTGACTGTATATGAGGACATGTGAAAAACTCTAAAGGTGCCTTTAAATTATTCATTCCCAGTCTGAGACATAAAAGGTACAAATTACATTGCCATCACAAGAGCAAGAATGCTATCAAAGACGGCTGGAGTTGCAAAATAAACTCCCTTGAGGAGGCTTCCATAGATCGAAGGTGGGAAATACATCAAAAGGAGTAACTGCAATGGATTGGAACATAGTATGTCAAATTCCATTAGTTTATTAAGCCACTAAAATATTGTAGATTAATTCCCATTGGTACTTTTGGAAAATGTCTAGAAATAACTTGTTTGAAAAATGACAAATAAAAGAAAACAATCAAATATTTATCTTGATTTTTATTTCTAAATCTACCATAGATAACCAAATAATTCTCAAGAAAATGTGTCTCTCTTTAGAATTATTGTAGTTGGTAGAAAAAGAAGAAATTATATACAAATCCCATTTTATAAACTCCTAATAAAATTCTTGATTTAGGCAATAATAATAGCCACTAGTATGACGAAAACAAAGACAAAAAGCTTATTTGTACCTCTAGATGAAAAAACACGAGCCACCTATAAGGCATTCTTGCATTAAAAAAAAAGAAAAGAAAAGAAAAGAAAAAGATCTAACCTGAATCTAATTATAGTCCTTATATTTCAAAAGTTTAGAAAGAGGAAGGGGTAAGAAGGAGTAGGAGGAAGAGGAGCAGGATGAAGGAAAGGGAAAATGGAATAAATTGTACATTTTAAAGATATGAATCATTAGTTCAAATAAATATTTCCATTCAAACTTAGAACTTCAGATTTTTTTACCCTAGTATGTTAAATCCTACATCTGTAGCTCCTGTCTCTTACCTGAAAAACTTAGTGACAAAGGTGCTATAGTTTGAAAGTTTGCATGCCTCCGAAATTCGTATGTTGCAATCTAATCCCCAATATGTTGATATTAAGAAGTGGGGCCAGGCCGGGCGCGGTGGCTCATGCCTGTAGTCTTAGCATTTTGGGAAACGGAGGCGGGCGGCACACCTGAGGTCAGGGAGGCAGAGGTTGCGGTGAGCCGAGATCCGCTATTGCACTTCAGCCTGGGCAACAAGAGCAAAAGTCCGTCTCCAAAAAAAAAAAAAAAAAAAAAAAAAAAGTGGGACCTTTGGGAGGTAAGGAGATTATAAGAATAGAACCCTTCAGAATGGGATTAGTGCCATTATAAAAGGGGTCTGAGTGAGCTTGTTTTCCCCTTTGCCCTCCTGCTATATGAGAATGCCTGAAGAAAGCACCATTTATGAAGCAGAGGGCCTTTACCAGACACCAAATCAGCTGCAAACTTCATCTCCAACTTCTCAATCCCTAGAATTGGGCTACACCCAGCTAAGCCATGGGAAAGGGACTGTCCAGAGCCTGGAGGTTCATTCCACAAGCCAGTGTGTCTAGAAGTTGTAATATTGAGGAGGTTCATTCCACAAGCCAGTGTGTCTGGAAGTTGTAATATTGAGTCAAAGAAAATTATTTTCAAGATTTAAAATTGAATGTTGTTTTTCCTCTTGGGTTTTAGACTTACTTGAGACCTGTTACTCCTTGGTTTCTTCTGATTTCTCCTTTTTGGGAACGAAAAAGTTTATTCTATGCATGTTTCACTATTTTATGTTGGACGCACATAACTTACTTGATTTTGCAGGCTCACAGCTGGAGAGAAATTTGCCTTAGGATAAATCACACCTTTAATTTCACCTCTATGTAATTTAGATGATATTTAGTTGAGACTGGACTTAGACTTTAAAGTTTATCTTGAAAAAGTTAAGAAATTGGGGCTACTAGAATTAAATTAATTTACTTTGCATGTGAGAAGGACATTAATTTTGAGTGGCCAGGGGCAAATGCTATGGTCTGAATTTTGTGTCCCCCCAAATTAATATGTGGAAATCTAAGCCACAATATGTTGGTATTAAGTGACAGGACCTTTAGAAAGTGACTAGATGTTGAAACTAATATTCTCATGAATGTGATTAGTTCACTTATTTAAAAAAAAAAAAGAGATTTAGGTGAGCTTGCCTTTCTCCTTACCCTTCTATCATCTAAGATACAGCAAGAAGGTGCCATTTGTGAAGCAGAGAGCCCTCATCAGATAATGAATCTTCTGGTGACTTAATCTTGAACTTTCCAGCTTTTAGATCTGTGAGCAATAAACTTACGTTGTGTATAAATTACTGAGTTTAAAGTATTTTTTATAACAACCTGAATGGACTAAGACACAAATATAACAAAAGGATTGCCCATATACACTGACCTTTTTATTCTGTTGACAGGTAATTTTTTTTTGTCATATTTTATTTATGTTTATTATTTTACTAATTATTTAAGATATTTCAAACCTATTAACAATTTTAAGACAGTAAACTTCACACATTCATACATTTTAAACATTTTCTACCATCTGAGCTCTTTCTATCTCCTTTAGTTCAAATCTTATTGCTGTAATTTCATGTCAATTACTTCTCGTTGAATAACTAAACTAGATGAATATAGAGTTGCCAAGGCAGCATTAAATCAGTTTTCCCTTGCACAGCTTTGCAGCAGATGTATTGTGCCCATCTGGCTGATCTGCTGCTCGTGTCCCTTTGCCTTTATCTTAATTAATTCAGACTACTACAACAAAGCACCCTAGACTAGGTGGCTTACAAACAACAGAAATTTATTTCTCATAGTGCTGGAAGCTAAGAAGTCCAGGATCAAGATGCAGGCAGAGCAGGTGTCTGGTAGGGCCCAGCTGCCTTGTTGCACATGGACATTTCTGAGTGTATCCTCATATGGCAGAGAGCAGATAGAGAAAAAACAAGCACTCTCATGTCTTGGATAAGGGCACTAATCCCATTCATGAGGACTTTGCCTCATGACCTCAGTAACTTCCAAAGGCTACACCTCTTAATACCATCATACTGGGAGTTAGATTTCAACATATAAATTTTGGAGGAATGCAAATATTCAGTCTGTAGCAGGCTTATTGTGATTTAAGGGAGTGCTACTTAACCCTAATGTGTACAACTGAGAAAACTGTAAAAGTGAGGATTCTGACTTAGTAGATTTGAGGTGGGGTTTCAGTTTCTGTATGTCTAACAAGGTTCTATGAGATGGCGCTGCTGCTTGTCCCTGAATTACACTTTGTGTAGCAAGAGTTTAAGATTTTCTGTGATAAGGGATTTTGTTTTCAGATGAGTAATATGCTAGATTTCCCCTCTTTATCAATTTTCTTGTGTTTGGGTAGGTAATTAAAAGGATAGCAGTACCAAAATTGAGGTAGCTGTTTTTCCTGGGTTTTGTTGTCTGATTTTTTCTTACCCTCTTTACTGATGGTATCTCTAAGCTGTCATTGGTAAGCTGGTCCTCTTCAAAGTGTTCATCTTCATTCCTAGTGCATGTTCTGTCTCATTGGTCTACCTCCTGTACCTTAGCCATGGCTGTCAGTGTTCTCAGCTCAGGGAAGCTTAACATATAGTGATAGAGAGTAATAGTATTTTCTCATTTAATAAGAAAGAAGCTACTGGGTTGCTTTCAAGGAGAGCTCTCTAACTTCATCTTTTCCTGACTCATCATTTTGGAGGTGGCCTGACTGTCACCATTTTGGAGGTAATCTGTTGTGGGTAATATGTATTAGAGTTATGATCGCTGCATATTTTCTGCCTTCAACTGCAGCACCACCTGTAACATTTGTGGCCTCTGTACTTAATTCCCTTTAACGACATCAAACCTCAAGCCTTTCCACCTCATAAACCACAGAGTTGCTTCCTGGTTTACCTTCTTTATAACAATCTACTGCACATAGTATCTTTCTTAGTGTGTTTCAGTTAATTATATCTTAAATATTTCTTACAGTACACGTAACTGAAAGATTCTGTGGATTTGAGGTCACTGGGAGCTGCTACTTTATCTGCTCCTCATCTCTGCCCCGGGTGCAAAGCTTATTTTCTGAGACTGAGAGAGATCCAATAATGAGTGGCACCTGGGTTCCTTCTTCACCGCTCAGTCATGGAGATGATGACTAAGACCCACTCTAATGCCTGCAGGTCCCCTTCATGGTGACATTGATTAGGCCAGAGATGGTGGATCCATTCAGGGATTTCTTGGACTCACCCTTTACTTCCAGAACCGGACTCAACTTTTGTTTTTATATCTGCAAAAATTAGAAAATCATGCCTACTTTACAGGAGAAGTAGAGAAAATATTTGCAAAGCACATAGCAAAAACCAAGCATACAAATACTTGCAGGAAAAAAAGTAGATTTTAAAAATGTTTATGAAAAACTTTTGTGAATTCAGAAAAATACGATTGTTATCGTAGATAGGTTGTTAATACCTACTGATCACTTTTCTTTTCTATAAAATGATTGAAAAGCAGTTCATATACTGCAGAGGAAAGCTAGTATTAGTACTGTTCTTCAGTAATCAAGCTCCCTAGATATGTGGAGGTAACTTGATAAAGAAGATGATGATTTGCATCTCTTGGGAGATTTCATTTGCCTCTTAGAGCCCAAGATTACCAGAAAGGCATTGTGTTTTGACAGATAAATTTCAATTGGACACATTTTAGATCAACACATAAATGCCTTAAGAAAATACCTTTTTTGAGTATAATATTTGACAATCTTGTTCCAAATTCAGTTTTCTTTCATACTATAAAGTTTCACATGTCAAGAAAGATAGTCAAGGAACATTGTTAGGTGAGACACAAAGAGGATACCAACTTTGCCCCATGATTTGAACACATTTATCCTTGGAAGCACCCTTCATCCTTCCCATTTTAGCTCTATGTACCCTGTGATATTTAATACTTCCCACATACACCTAGAAGATCTATTCTAATGCAAGTGAACAAAGAGGAGGAGGAGGACTGTGAGGCAAGGAAGTTCATGTGTAGGTGCTGAGAAATCTGTAAGGGTTCTGGTGTTTTATCTTTTCTCTGTTCTCTGATGACCTTGGGATATAAGGTCACTATGGTGAATGAGGAGCCAGTCATTTCTAGAGAAGCTTTTAAGATAATGTATGTTCACCTTCTGATATACAGAGATAGGCTACATAAAACATCTTATGACTTTAAACACACTGGAGCTCACCTGATAAACAGAGAAGCTATTTCTATAGAAATCTATGATGGGTGAAAATATCTCCAATGATAAGGTCTAAGCTTCTTCAATAGTAAAGTGTATTCTGTAGTAACAGGCTTTGGGAAAGTTCTGGTGTTTATAATAAAGATGAGTTGAAAAGTTTAAAATAAATAAAAAAATGTGTAGATTAATTGCTAAAGAAAATTATATCTAGGTAACAATAATAGAGGTTGTTTTAAATGTGATTAAAATAATATTCCATTAAATGTAGCAGAGTGACATGATCTTTATAAAGTGAATGTTCAAGTTGTCATGCCCATGTTTCTAAGAAAATATGGCCAAGAAAAATAATTTCTAAAAGTGGCCATAGAAAAATACATATTTTACCTTTATGGTAATTTTTTTGTGGTGCTCCTTTTTGATAATGAGTGATGCTGTTGAGATTAAAAGTCCCTTCCTTCGTATGGTCTTTGGAACTTTGCCTCTACTCTATTAACTCTCTCATCTAATATTAGGAGAGTGATAGCACTGACTCCCAATCTTACCTGTTAAATAAGTCCACAACAGCAGGTGAAATTCCTCAGGCCAATTTTGAACTTAGTAGCTTCGATTACAGGGTGGTTTCTGCTTCCATTTGTTATCCTTTCGAAATTCAGCTTGGTGCTCTACGTACTGATTCAGCCAAGGTTACTGTGCTATTCATCTTGCCATAAATTACATGGATAAACTTTTTAAATCTCTTTAGCCTAACTGCGTTTGATCTCCTCTGGATTATAATAGAAAGAATAATACTTATCCAAGATTTGGCAGTATTATCTTGTTTTATTTTGGAGGGGTGGAGGAAGAGGTGTAGAGCAGGACAAATTCAGTTGAAAAAACTTTTTGTTTGCATTCTTTCATGAGCCTTTTAACTGATTTCCATGGTATCAGCAACCTCTTCCTTCCATTCGGTCCATTGAAGCAATCTTTGAAGTATGCATATTTGATCAGGATAGTCCTCAGCTAAACAAACAAACAAACAAATAAAGAGTATTTCAATGGTTTTCTATGGCCAGTTAATGGAGGCCATAATAAAAGCCTACCTTGAAGACATTACAGGTTTGGTTCAGACAACTGCAATAAAGCAAATATCAGAATAAGTGAGTCATGGAAAATTTTTGATTTCTCAGTGCATATAAAAGCTATCTTTACATTATACTGTAGTCAATTAAATGTGCACTTGCATAATGCCTAAAAAATGACATATATAACTTTATTTAAAACTATTGCTAAAAATTGCTAATGATCTGAGCATCCAGCAAGTTGCAATCTTTTTGCTGGTTATGGGCCCTGCATTGATGTTGATGGCTTCTGACTACTCAGGATGGTGGTTAGTGAAGGTTGGGATAAATGTGGCAATTTCTTAAAATGAGAAAACAATGAGGTTTGCCACCTCAATGGACTCTTCCTTGCGTAAAAGATCTATCTGTAGCATGGAAGGCTGTTAGATAGCATTTTACTTACAATAGAACTTTTAAAATTGAAGTCAATCTTTCAAACCCTGCTGCTCTACCAACAAAGCTTGTGAGATATTCTAAATTCATTGTTGTCATTTCAACATTATTTACTGCACACTCTCCAGGAGCAGATTCCATCTCAAGAAACCACTTTCTTTGTTCATCCACAAGAAGCAATTTTTCATTCATTCAAGTGTTATCATGATGTTGCAGCAATTCAGTCACATCTTCAGGCTCCACTTCCAATTCTAGCTCTCTTGCTATTTCTGTCACATGTGGAGTTAATCCCTCTGCTAATGTCTTGAACCCCTCAAAATCATCCACAAGGATTAAAATCAACTTCTTTCTAATTCCTGTTAATGTTGATATTTTAACCTCCTTCTATGAGTCACAAAAGTTCTGAATGGCATCTAGAATGGTGAATTCTTTCCAGGAAGTTTTAATTTACCTTGCCCAGATCTATCATAGAAATTACTGTCTGTGGCAGGCATAGCCGTCCGGAAACATCTTTCTTAAATGATTGGACCTGAAAGTTAAAATTCTCAAACCATGTACTCCGGGATAAATATTGTTTTAGCAAGCATGTAAACAACATTAATTTCCTTGTTCATCTCCATTAGAGCTCTTGGGTAACCAGGTGCATTTTGAATGTGCAACAATATTTTGCAAGAAATATATATTTTTCCTGATCAGTAGATCCTAGTAGTGGACTTAAAATATTCAGTAAACCATGATGATATACTTTCATCAAGGCCTTGTTGTTTTATTTATGGAGCACAGGCAGAGTAAATTTAGCATAATTTTTAAAAACCCTAGGTTTTTGAAAATTGTAAATGAGCATAAGCTTCAACTTCAAGTCACCAGCTACATTAGTCCCTAACAAAAGAGTCAGCCTGTGCTTTGATGCTTTGAAGCCAGCCATTGACTTCTACTCTCTAGCTATGTAAATGTTAGATGGCATTTTCTTCTGATAGAGGGCTGTGCCATCTATACTGAAAATCTGCTTTTTAGTGTAGCCACCTTCAGTAATCATCCTAGCTAGGTCTTCTGGATAATTTGCTGTAATTCTACTTCAGCACTTGCTGCTGTGCCCTGCATTTTCATGCTAGACATCGGCCTTTTTTCCTTAAACCTTATGTACCAGCCTCTGCTAGCTTCCAATTTCTCTTCAGCAGATTCTTCACCTCTCACACCCTTCACAGAATTGAAGAAAGTCAGGGCATTGCTCTGGATTATGCTTTAGCTTAAGTGAATGTTGCGGCTACTTTGATCTTCCTTCCAGACAATGAAAGCTTTCTTCATATCAACAATAAGGGTGTTCTACTTTCTTTCCATTTATGTGTTCACTGGAGGAGCATTTTTAATTTCCTTCAAGAACCCTTCCTTGGATTTACAACTTAGCTGATTTTTTGGCACAAGAGGTATAGCTTCCACCCTATCTCAGCTTTAGATATACTTTCCTCAGTAAGCTTAATCATTTCTAGCTTTCGATTTAAAATGAGAGACATGTGACACTTCCTTTCACTTGAACACTTAACAGGTCATTTTAAGGTTATGAATTGGCCTAATTTTAATATCATTGTGGGAATAATGACTTCCTTCAGAGAATAGGGATGTCTGAAAAGGAAAGAGCAATGAGGGTGTGGCCTGTCAGTAGAGCTGTCAGAATACACACAGTATTTGTCGAAAATTTTCCATTTTACACAGGTGTGGCTTGTGATACTCCAGAACAATTGTAATTTTAAAGTCAAAAATTACTAATGGCAGATCACCACAACAGATATAACAATAACAAAAAAAAAGTTTGAAATAATGTATTACCAAAATGCAACACGGACACGTAAAGTGAGCACATGCTGTTGGGAAAATGGCGCAAATAGAATTGCTGAAAGCACAGTTGCCACAAATCTTAAATTTGTAAAAAAAAAAAAAAAAAAAAAAAAAAAAAAAAAAAAAAAAAGGAAAATAAATAAAATGAGGCAAACCTGTATTCAGAATCCTTGTTATACACAGTGGAACCTGGGGCAACCCTGCCCTTTTGGGCTTGAGTTTCATCATCTGTACAGTGGGACTGGAGGCAGGAGGGTTGAGTAAGCTGACTTCTAAGGTCCCTTCTGGTTCTCTCTCCAGTGACAACGGCCTCCTTGAGCTTCCTACATGGGATGCCTGCTGCAGAACTGTCCCTTAGTGAGCCGTGGTGAAGAGGATCTGCAAAACGGGATAATCTTTCTTGAGCAGGGAGGTGAAAGAACCCAGCAATGGCATGGATGGATGTCCTTGGAAGAATGGAAGGCCCCAGTGTGGTGGGGTGAGGCTTACATAAAAGCACCCCCAAATGCCATTCACTTTCTTCTTCCTTCCTAAAATAATTGAAACTGTGGCTATTGGTAAGCACCTGGTCTTTGCCCAGCATTGTAGCAGAGGCTATAGCAGGAGGCCAGACGTCCAGCTCCCCAGGGAGTAAGGGGTCCCATGGACACAGCCTGATGGGACCAGCCATGATGGCGGGCAGAGCTGTGTCTGGAAAGGAGTCCAAACACCAAATTCTAGTATTGGGATCTTCATGGTGATCATTTGCAAGGCCTCAATTCTGCCACAGGCTGTTCTACTATTCCTTGTTCTACTGTTCCTAGCTTTTTCTTAACACTATTTGCTAAATGCTCTTCTTTTGGCCATATAAAACTGTTATTCCTCAGACTACATACTTATAATTTGTGTGTTATTTTTCATTCTGCCCTAAAGTTCTAAAGTCCAGAAATGCCTTTTCATATCTTCGCTATATACACACACATATATGGAATAGCAAACTGTGATTCTCTCCTTGAACCACCCAGGAATAATAAATATGTGGACTTTTTGAAGGTAGAGACTGTGGCTTGTCAACGACTGTAGAGTTAAAAAACATGAGTTATTTCTTTTGAATAAGTAGGACAAATATCACCAGTATATTGTAGGTACAATCAGCTAAACTCTTTTTCCCACAAACGCTGGATAAATTTTGTGATCACAATTACTGACATAATAATAGTTTTCCTTTCACTGGGAAAAGTCTTCTGTAATTTTGTGTTCATTTTGCCTTTTTGCCTGTTTACTGCTAAAAAGCGTGATAGTCAAATTGTCTTCTCATTCAAATTCTTAACGTTATGTTGTGATTTAAAATCAGAGCCAAAAACACAGAGCTGCTTATTCACATTTCTCTAATTTTTTTACCTAACAAAAAAGAATAAATCATTCACAGACATCTGAAGAAAAGTTACATAATTTTAAAAAATTATTACATGGAGAGTTACTAAGGGTATTGAGTGAGTTAAATATCCAGGAATTGATGGCTCTGGTCAGTCTCATTTTACAGAATCACTGGGGAGTGATTTGCATGTTTTGAATTTTTAGAATTTACTTGATAAAATAACATGCAAATGGGGAGAATAAAGACATGAACAAATTTTAAGTGGCTACCTAGAGAGCCAAGTCTTAAATTCTCCAACCACTCATTATTCCTGAGCTTGAGAATAAATCAATGAATCAAGATAAAGCATGAGTGAAAAGGAATAATACTGGGATAGCCACCAAAGTTTCTTTTAGAATAAAGAAAAAAAAAAACAGAACGAACAGTTGTGTATAGTAGCACTGAGAACATTAGAATTTCCTTCTTTTGACCCTTCTAGATATACTTATTGTAATTGTGTTTGGCTCCAGCACTCCTCCTCTTGTTTTTATTTTGAATTAGGTCCAGACTTTTTAGCTCCAGGGAAGCTAGGAGTAGTACTAAAATTGCTCTTTCACTTAAACAGAGCTAATTGCAGCTACGATGTCGTTCATAGACTGGAAATTAATGATGGGAAAGACCTGTTAGATCATCTCTTCCATCTGATTCTGGCAATACAGGATTATTTTTTACATTGTGTCCTGGAATATTCTGCCTGGTTAATTTTAAGTGACTAAAATAATGGTGCTTTCACTATTTCCCTTGGGAGACAATTATGTAGCCTAATAAACTTCACTCAGGACATCAATTTGAAGATCAGCCCAGGTTTTCTTTTCACTTCGTTTCATGCCATTACTTCTACTTATACACCCTTGGATCACCCTAAACAATTCATTTTCCTTATCCATTCAATACAGCAAATTTCCTGGCTACCATCCTAAAAGAACTCCAAGGATGGTTTCATTTGCATGTCTGAAAAAGGCTATGGTCTTGCTTAGTGGTGAAGCAAAATACAGCTATTCATTATTCCATGAATCATGCTTTTCCAAACGGAGGCAAAGGAAGGCTTTAAAAAATAAATAAATAAAAACCCACACAAGAACCTAGCATTTGCATTATATCTGCACCTTTAATTAATCAGCTTTAAATGTATATTAAAACTTTCTTTTTCTGTGACTTTTAAATATATCACTTCTATTAGATTTTCCACTCCCCAAAATCTTATCATTAAAATTTATTTTTGGATTCTATGTTTCTCCTTCATCACAATGTTCACTTGTTCTCTCAGTGTAAACCTATTATTTTTATTCATTCATTTTAAATATACTAAAACATTTTAAATAAGTATGTATATTGATTTCTTGTGTCATTCAAATGAGCATACATCTGATTTTGTATTATAAAACGATAAAGTAGTCAGTCATGTACGGTATCATTTAGATTTTTGACTGAAGAAAAAAGATTAGGTCTCTATAGATGATAGATAATGACAGGAAAGCATTATTACTATAAACGATATGCAATAAAAGAAAAATATTTTTGCCGTTATTGCAAATTTATTAGGAGAGTTAATAGATTTCTGGGGTTTGGAAACAAGCATATTTTAAAATTCTTGTAACAAATTATCCTTATGCCTATTTTATAGAGAACTGTTTCTAAATGGAAAAGTTATGACCTAGCTACACATTATGTACATCGTAATAAGCAATAAGAATAGTAATCATTGTTATTTTTGCAAGATGAACTTATTTAAGATAATATAGTTCATGAGAATAAACTACTCACCCATGTTAAGTAAAATAAATGATGTTGCTCACCAAAATGAGGCAATAGAAGCAATGTATTATAATAAGACTTCTCACAGGAATTCAGCTTAGAGAGAGTTTCAATATATTTCAGATAGATAAATTTTAAATAAATTTTAAAAACTCACATGTAATTCCTATTCTCAGTTTAAGTACCCAAGGGACAAATTCAAGAGTAATTAACTTAAAACATAGAAGTTGCTAAATCTTCTGCAGATACACACTTTCCTCTAACTTTTTATTTTAAAATTTCCATGGGATGTCATTCTGACTTTTTAAGACTAGATCCAGTCATTTCATTAATTTAGAGTTCAGACAATCTTTGTTCCTTTTTAATATCTATCTATATAGCATTTTCTTGTTCAAGAGTCTTCTACTTTATATGCATTTTTATAAATTTTTAATGACTTTAGGCGGGGGTCAAATTATTAACAGAACATCTAGATTGAACTGCTAAAACAAATTTTAAAATAGGCAACTGCATACAGAGTTAAGAAGTGCCATACTCTCTTAGTTTTACATTTTTGGGGTAAAACGTCTGTATTTTTCACGATGGGTTTCAACATAATTTCAATTTTTCTTTTGTTACTTTGAACATACACCATATTTATCTCACTTAAAATATTTTGTCAGGATTAAACTAACATAAACTAAAACCTATAGTATATTTTTAAAATACATAAATGTATTTTACGTAGTTTATGCGAAAAACAGACTTCTACTCTTGTCAGTAGGAGAAGGAAATAAAAGCACTCCCCCATTGTGTGCACTGTTTATTTTATACTGAGAGACTTAAGTTTTTTTTTTTTTTATGTATTCAAGGAACTCAGTTAACATTTACACATTTGTTTTTACAATATTACTAATAATCAAGTTTAAATAGGAATCTTAATTTGTCATTTTAATAGAAAGTGAAACAGAATTTTTCTGGCAGTGAAAGTCAAAGAAAGAAGGGGAAAAAGTAAGCAATTGGATGTATAAAATGGCAAAGGAAGGAGGAAGAGTGAATAGTGATATCTTTTCAGAAAGTGAAAAAGAACATATGAAATGCCAAGTGACTTGACAAAGTTACTGGGCCAAAGTTAAAGTTCATATAAGTGCATATACATTTTTTTCTATTATATAAAATGAACTAGTTGTTAAGTGTAAATGTAACATTATTTTAGTAATTTATTTTCTCAAAAATCTTTCTTATATTTTCTCTGTTCAAAATTATGTTTGTATAAATTTACAGATTTGAACAAATTTTTCTGAGTCTGATCCCTTTTGGGATGGTCTATTCTAGTGTCAGGCCTATGACAATGAATGACTGTTCTGGGATGCCTGGTTAACCACCAGGTTGTCATATTGATAAGGTCAAGATTAATCCAGTGTAACTGCCTGCATTATCCCAAGACCCCCTTATTCCTAATATTTAAAAATATATAGAGGGCAATGTCCAGCTGGCAGCATTCTGAAAACTGTGCAGCTAAAGTATTTTTGTGTAACTCAGAAATTGTAAAATTACCAAGAGTACTTTTAAGCATTACTCTTGTAGTAAACAAAGCTGTTTCTCAAAGAGAAGTTTGTATATTTGATATTTGGAGATCATGGTAGTAAACATATTAAACATATAATCAGAGAACAGAATTCAAATAGATTTGAATGATTCTGTACATGATTAGGAAGTGCCATACTTTTAAGATCCAAAGGATTTGAGACAGTCTTTCAGCATATATTACATATATTTTATATCAACTGTTGGTGTTGCCTAAAGAGATTAAAGATAACCACAGGATACAAGCTTAAACTCTTCTACAGTCCATCCAGGAGAAAAAATAAATAAATGTTTTAAAGTGGTTTGTTGAATGCTTTTGAATCTATTTTTCTAGTTTTATTGCTGCCAAATACTGACTTCTATTTTTAGGTACTGTAAGAAACAAGACAAGAAGCAAGGTCTTCGGAGACTCATTAGGACCATTAGAAAAATGCTTCTAGCAGCTCCTATCAAAACAGTAGAAATAAATAACCTTTGTTCCTGGGACGTGGATTCACCCTGCTTCTGCAGCCCCGTTTCCGGATGATGTATTACAGTCATTATAGTCACCTCTGTAGGACACTGTGTACACAATGTGTGAGAGAGCCTTACCTCCCAGTTCAGGGTATTTCGTGATATATGAACCTTTTGTCCTTGTCAGATTGTCCAAGGTGAAAAGAATAAACTTTAAATATGAACCACTTCTAGGTAACACAAATACAGGGAAAGAAAATATTTTATCTTACTTTTTCTTGCCACAAAGTAAAAAAAAAAAAACTACTGTGAGATAAAATAGATTCAAAAATAAAACACCTTAAAAAGCAGTATTACCTGTTTCATTTTTTTATAAATTACTATTTAATGGAGACATCCCATGAAATCAAAATGCCAAAATCTGCTATTTGCAGGAAATTGCATTTCATAACAGAGAAAAATGTTCTAGATATTTATATCCGAAAGGACCAAGAGATTCTTATCAATGGCAGACAAAGCTGAAGGTATGTCACATTTATTTCCTTATACAATGTAATAGTACATATTTGGTTCAAGTAAGCTTACGAAATTATTGAACATTTTTTGAGGAATTCCAGCAGATTCTAACTAAACTAAATATGTACTTTAGATTACATTTTACTACTTATTTATAAAATATGAAATATGATTACATTTAAAAAAAACTAGTTACAAACTAATTTTTGTTTTTATTTGTTTGTTTTTGAGACAGAGTCTTGCTCTGTTGCCCAGGCTGGAGTGCAGTGGCGTGATCTTGGCTCACTGCAACATCCTCCTCCCAAGTTGAAGCAATTCTCCTGCCTCAGTCTCCCAAGTAACTGGGACTACAGGCGTGTGCCACCATGCTTGACTAAATTTTGGTAATTTTAGCAAAGATGGGGTTCACCATGTTGGTCGGGCTGGTCTCGAACTCCTGACCTCAGGTGATCCACCCACCTCAGCCTCCCAATGTGCTGGGAATACAGGCATGAGCCACTGCACCCAGCCCAAACTAAATTTTTATTGTAATTTTTTTTTTCAAACTTCATATTATCATTGAAGAAAACTGTGACTGTATCAGCTCAGGTCTCTCAGTCTCAACAGTAACCCTAAAGTAATATCTAGGGGCATTGTTGACAGATTTTGACTATTCTTGTTTATCTCTTTTTAAAAATTTTGCATAACTTGTTGGAATATATAATATTAATGTGATGTATTTTTTCCTCTAGATTATCACTTACATGTCCATTATCAACTAATGGCAGCGGTTTAAGTCAGGTTCCAGCAGGGAATCTAAAAGAATGTTGCATAATTCAATAAAGGGAATTTAAGAAAAGGATTTAAGTACAAACATGCCTAGAATGCTCAAACAGTGGGTAGTAAGGAAATTCCAAGATTAGCAAAAGCAAGAATCACCTACCATTCCGAGGGATGGAAAGACAAAGGAAGAAAACAAGAGGACCAGAGCCCATGATTTGGATACATTCAGTAGAAGAAACCCCAGTGAATCTGCTGGTGGAAGGTGGAAGCAGGGACTACAGATGAAGCAGAAGCACTGTACAAGATGCCACTAAGCAGAAAGAAAGAGACACAACTGCTCAGCTTTCTCCCTCAACCCTGCACTGTCCAATCTCTTGCCAGTGACTCTCAACGGCAGAAGCCTTGTTCATTGACAAGTAGGATAGAAAAACAGTGTGTTCAAAAGTCACTCCCAAATAAAGCAGGGAAACATTCCATGTCCAGAGAACCCTCTAAACTAAATCAGGTAATATGCATACCATTTGATTGAATAATCATTATAAAGCAACACTTAAACTTACTACAGTGAAAAAACAGGGGTGGTTCTGTCAAAAGATAGAAATTTGAAACCTGCCTTGTCATCAAATTCATCAATGTTAATAAAATATACATAAATACATTCATATGTGATCACACACATATGAACATAAAAATGCATGCATGCACACAAACACACACACACAGCCACTTATCACTTAAGTCAATCTACTGCTTTATAAAACTTTTAAGAACAATTATATTTGCAAAATATCACTTGGGTTTGTTGCATTCCAGAACTTTCTTTTTTCCTAAAAAGTGTAAACTACTCTTTTTCTGGAAGCTTTCAACTTGTCAGGGTTGGCAGAAGGAATCTCTAAATTGGTAGATAATTTGGACAAAATATTTATAAGCTGTTTTATAAGTTTAGGATTCTTTAAGTCCAAGTATTTATAATATTGGTAATAGTTTTGTTAACATCAATTTTATTTAGAGATTCTAAAGATGTGCCTGTGATGGGATTGGCAGCAAGTGAACTTAGTAATGTAAATGATCACCCCTTGATAATTTGTAGCAATTTGGGGGTTAAAAAAATGATGTTGATTTTTTTTGCTAATAAAATATTATTTGAAGTAAATTTCCTTCTTCCCTGTATCTGAACCTACCCAATGTTTAGTTCCTGTATTTTTTGACCAAAATATTAGTCATTGCCCTTATCATCATGGCCAGGCACGGTGGCTCATGCCTGTAATCCCAACTTTGGGAGGCCGAGGCTGGTGGATCATCTGAGGTCAGGAGTTCTAGACCAGCCTGGCCAACGTGATGAAACCCCGTCGCTACTAAAAATACAAAAAATTAGCTGGGCGTGGTGACAGGTGCCTGTAATCCCAGCTACTCGGGAGGCTGAAGCAGGAGAATTGGTTGAACCCAGGAGGCGGAGGTTGCAGTGAGCCAAGATCACGCCATTGCACTTCAACCTGGGCAATAAGAGTGAAACCCCATCTCGGGAAAAAGAAAAAAAGATGTGATCACTTGACCACTTGCTGCCATCAACATTTTCAGAACTAACATTGCGAATTCTGCTTCTATGGCTTATTTTTCTGGAACTAATTATTAACACATTTTCGGGTAAAATAATTTAGAGTACTCATTGAAAGGCAAGGCAAAAAATCAAAAGTGGGAAAAGATAACTAAGAATAATCACTTACTTACCAGCACTTGAAATAATTTTGTAAAGAGCTAATCTTTTGTAGTTTTCTACATGTGCTGAGCAGTCATAGAAACTGGTCTTTAATAGGGATAGACTTGAAAAATAAGTCAGCATGGCTTAACTTGACTTAATCAAGCTTTATCATTTAAAGCATTCCACATACTTCTTATACCTATACAATCATGAGATAATTGATTCTCATTTTCTTCAAAATATTTTTAGACTATCATGTAGTTTATTTTTTAGTGTACATTTTATTTCATTAGTACTACTAGAATAAACAGCAAATGAAGTAAAAATATAAAAATGGGATTGGAAATTAAAACTTAAACCTGAATATAAGCATAAAGTAAGAATCAATAAAATATATTACAATTATTTATTGGTCTATATAACATTAGATTCCCAGATATATTTTATGACTGACGGAACAATGGTTACATGAAATAATAATTAATGTTCATGCCCATACTCTCTAAACAAAAGTTGATATAAGACCAGATTGCTTAATAATGCACATAACAATGTCTTCTTAGCTTTATATTTCACAAATACTTGCCATCTCTTATATGTTAGCAAACAAAGGTCATGTTGCTTATTTTAATCCCCAGTCTCTTCTGCATGGTATATTTTTAAATTCTTGTTTTAATATTTTTGACTGTATGTTTTATTTTACGACATAATACAAAAACAAATGATGTTACAGAAGGCACATAAGCAATGTCCCTTAGTTGATCAGGACTGGGCACTTCATGAGAAGTACTCATATAATAATATTAATTAGGCTTTAGTAGCTTTCTCCTCAATACCTACTCACTTCATTCTGTGTCCTTCATTCATTATTGTAATCATTTGAACACCTCAACACAATAACAGTGATATAATTCAATATTCCTTCTATTTAAAAGAAGGAAGACAGAATTTTTTTACTAATTTTCAAAGATTTACAAATTAAAAATCTAAAGAACAGAAATATGCAGATATTCAGGTTAATAATAACAATAATAATATCACTTGTATAGTTCCTCTGTTATTAGAAATTGTAGTATTCTCCTTCCCTTCACACTGAAGATTATAATGGCACAAATCAAATAAGAGGGGCCTTTAAACCTGTCAAAAACAATGACATGTTTTAATTTGTTGCCATTGTTGTCAAATCAGATTTGAATCCTTGACTGAGAAACTTTCTTCTCCAAGGTGTATAACCTCAACTTAATTCATTACCCACCTTCTCTTTGAAAGACTTTTAAACTAAGTTTTATGCAATAGTTCTGTAAGTTGAGAAAGGTTACCACTTGCATTTTACTTTGAGAGTAAATATAACTATTTGGATGAAAAGAAACTTGACACAATCTGTCCTAATCAAGCTTGCTTTGGTTTCAATAGCACAACAGGAGGCTATTGGAAATGCCCCCTCCCCATCTCTGTGCAGAATAATTAAACTGAGATTGGTTTGAATTCTTTTATAATTATCTCTCTCACCATGCTGTTGGATTTGAGAAGTTAATTACAACCATTTTCATGCCTATAATGCAGAAATGATCTCTCCGTTACGTACAGATTTGACAAGTCTTTAGAAGGATGTTAGATGATGGTGCCTAGCTATATATATTCCCTCTCCTTGACAGTAGCTGAATGTCTATGAGGCATTTTTTTCAGTGTTTTAAAAAGAATTTCAATCGTTTCTACTTGAGCACAGAGGAGAAACAGGTGAACCTACTTAAAAATCGGTTTACAGCAAAAACCTTTAACATAAGGTTAGAAATCTATGCAAATTGTCATAGGTGCTATTACAGAATGTGTAGCTATTTGCTCTTTTGAATTACAAATATTTGGTCTACTCCAAACTGAAGGAAAATTTATTTTAACAACGTTCTTTTCCCTGTAAAGTTGCCTTAAGATTTGCTGTAAAAAAATTTAGTTTCAAAAATGCATACAAATTTTTAAAACTCCTGAAATTCCTATTGCAAAAATATAGGTGAAACAGAAGAAAATGATTGAATAGCACTTATAATATAAAGTTGTGTCATTTCAGGGCATAAAAATAATAAGTTTAATGTATTTTTCATTAAAAGGCTCACTACATTTTAATGTGCCAAAGTGAGTTTAGGTTTAAACAATGTTTTTGGATTTCGACAATGATTCGTTTGGCATACTATATTTCTAGGTAGGAGTCTGTACAATTTATGTAGATTAGATAACATGCAGAATGGATTAAGTTTAAAATATATCTTACCAATATATATCATTTAAATTAAAATACTACTACAGTGAAATTACCCATTTTTGAAGGCTCTGTTCTCTGTCTCTAGAAATTATATTTCTAATAACATAGTCCCCAAGACTAAAAATTTATAATGCAACTAGTGTTTTTTCAGTTTCCTTGTTTTGTTCACTTTCTTTCTCTTGAACTGTGGAAAGTCTACCTAATTTACAGCTGTGTAACTACATCAGAATTTTTCCATACATAAAGACAGAAATGTTAACATTTAACTCCCAGGGACAAAAAAAAATCTCGACTATCTAGAAGTATGTGGGGAAGGTAATTTCACACTTTGACTTTGACCAGAGATCTTATGGTTATTTTGAAGTGCTCAGGATGACAATTTAATTTTTCATGAATGGATGGATATAGAAAAGTAGATAATCTCCCCTTATAATGCAATTTTGAGAATTGTGTTTAGGCCGCACATTAACCCCACTTTACCCAAACAATATAACCCAATTTCTTTCAAAATTGATTCACTAATTATTTTTATTAATATTTGAATGATATCTCAAGATCACAAAGACCTACCAAATGAGCCACATTTTCAAAACTGTGATAATTAGCTGTCTAGAATATTTGAGCAATAAACTGCTTTATTTTTTTCTCATTAAAGTTATTTTTATTAATTTTTTATTTTTTAATTTAATTTTATTATTATTATACTTTAAGTTTTAGGGTACATGTGCACAATGTGCAGGTTTGTTACATATGTATACATGTGCCATGTTGGTGTGCTGCACCCATTAACTCGTCATTTAGCATTAGGTATATCTCCAAATGCTATCCCTCCCCCCTCCCCCCACCCCACAACAGTCCCCAGAGTGTGATATTTCCCTTCCTGTGTCCATGTGTTCTCATTGTTCAATTCCCACCTATGAGTGAGAACATGCGGTGTTTGCATAGACCTTAAAAGAATTAGGGTTCTAAATCTGAAAAAAAAAAAAAAAGACCTTCAATGAAAGTAGCTGTTATACAGTAATAGAAATAGTAGTCACAGTCATGCTGCTGTAGTAATCATAGTAGTTCCAAAAGGGAAAAATGATAAACACATAGCAAGCATTGCACTATAGCATTTCTGAGAGACTGCCAGGCATATATGACTAACTCCATCTATTCAGAAGCATAAATTGCATGTAAGTAAGACCAGTTTTGCTCCAAGAGTTGGCATTCTTAACATTCTCTGCTCTATTTTCTGAGCACTTGGCCCCACCTCAGAGTCATTTTTTCTTATCCTTAAGAAGTGGCTTATGTTTGCAGGTGAGTAGCATTCTTAGAGTGCTTTCTGCCCATAGAAGTTTAGGAACACTGAAGATTATTTCCATTTTAACATCTTTCATTTTTAATTCCAATATTGTGGTGCTCTTGATGACACACAAAACTCTTCAAAACTCAGATGATTTTTCACGAATCTTACTGAGATTCGCTTAATTAGACAAAAGCCGAACACACAGCTGACCTCAAGTCATGCTGCTCTCTACCTTGCCTAGACTTCAGTCCAGTTGCTGGACATCAAGATCTGTACGATTTTTTTCAGAAGTTCTTTGGTTTAGAAAACAGGGCCTAACCCGTCCGGGAGGGAGGTGGGGGGGTCAGCCCCCCGCCCGGCCAGCCGCCCCGTCCGGGAGGTGAGGGGCGCCTCTGCCCGGCCACCCCTACTAGGAAGTGAGGAGCCCCTCTGCCCAGCCACCACCTCGTCTGGGAGGTGTACCCAACAGCTCATTGAGAACGGGCCGGGATGACAATGGCGGTTTTGTGGAATAGAAAGGGGGGAAAGGTGGGGAAAAGATTGAGAAATCGGATGGTTGCCGTGTCTGTGTAGAAAGAAGTAGACATGGGAGACTTTTCATTTTGTTCTGTACTAAGATAAATTCTTCTGCCTTGGGATCCTGTTGATCGGTGACCTTACCCCCAACCCTGTGCTCTCTGAAACATGTGCTGTGTCCACTCAGGGTTAAATGGATTAAGGGCGGTGCAAGATGTGCTTTGTTAAACAGATGCTTGAAGGCAGCATGCTCGTTAAGAATCATCACCACTCCCTAATCTCAAGTACCCAGGGACACAAACACTGCGGAAGGCCGCAGGGACCTCTGCCTAGGAAAACCAGAGACCTTTGTTCACTTGTTTATCTGCCAACCTTCCCTCCACTATTGTCCTATGACCCTGCCAAATCCCCCTCTGCGAGAAACACCCAAGAATGATCAATAAAAAAAATAAAAATTAAAAAAAAAAAGTTAAAAAAAAAAAAAAAAGAAAACAGGGCCTAAAAAGCATTGGCATATATCTTTCTGCTGTATTAACAGAGTCTTGTAGCTTTATCCTCAATTTCTTCTCTGCCTTGAGGCAATTGCTTACTTTGAGAACATTTTGCCAGCTAGAGAAGCTAGAAAGGAGGAAAAAAATTGCTTTCCAATCTGGAAAGTCCCAGGGTAGAAATAGTTTCTTTAAATTTCCCGTGAAACTGGACAATTCTTTCTTTGATACATTTCTCTCCTGAATTTTATAATGAACAGTGAAAAGAATGAGATTCTGTCGTTTGTAACAACATGGTTAGAACTGGAGGACATTATGTTAAGTGGAATATGCCAGGCAGAAAAAGATAAACTTCATGTGTTCTCACTCATTTATGGGAGCTAAAAATTAAAACAACTGAAATCATGGAGATAGAGAGTGGAATAATAGTTACCAGAGGCTGGTAATGGTAGTGAAGGCCTGGAGGCAGGAAAGTGGGGATGGTTTAATGAGCACCAAAAAAAAAAAAAAATTAAAAAAATGAATAAGATACAATATGACAGCACAACAGGGTGGCTATAGTCAATAATAATTTAAGTGTACATTTTAAAATAACCAAAGAATTTAATTGGATTGTTTGTAACACAAAAGACAAGTGCTTGAGGTGATGGATGCTCCATTTGGCCTAATGTGACTATTACACATTGTATGCCTGTATTACAATATTTTCTTTATCCCGTAATATGTACATCTAATATGTACCCACAAAAATTACAAATAAAGAAGAGTGGAAATTATATGTAAAGTACTAATGGATAATTAAACACCACTACATCTTGTGAGTTTCATTCACACGCTGCTATAGACTAAATGGCTGTGTTTCCTTAAAATTCACCTGTTGAAACTTAATCACCAATGTGATGTTATTTGGCATTGGGACATTTGGGAGGTGATTAGGTCATGTGATGGGAGCCCTCATAAAATGGAATTAGTGCCCTTATAAAAGAGACTCCACGGAGCTCCCTTGCCTTGCAGCATTTGAAAAATGCAAGACTAAATATGAGATTGCAAACCTTTTTGTATATTTATGACACTTTTCATATAATAATTATACATGTAGAGTAGCCATTTAGAATGTATTTAAACTCCATGTGGGACAAATCTCTTTTTACATATGTTGATAATTAGCCATACTTTTGATTGATTGAAAAATAGCTAACCTATTGTATATATAGCTTTTGCCATGTGAAGACACATGATTCTTAATTTGTCTTGTTAGTTAAAATAGTTCTTCGACAAAGTGATGGTAAGATCTTATATTTTCATATGTGGTTTATTCTTTGATTTCTTAAGATAAATATTTCAGTCATTTATTTTCAGTCTTTTCATTTTTAATAACAAAGTTTATATGGTAAAAAATCTGGGGGGAGAAAATTTAGAAGTGTTTCAGCACTTTACAGTGAAATAATTTTATTATTTTCTACATAGTTGACCATTTGAATTTTATATTTTTTATTTCTAAATTTTAAGTTGCTAGCTTGGAATTGTAAGCATTATCCATTCTGGATTCCCTCTTGTTGTGCCATGGCCAATGTGGGCCACAGAAGTAAATATACTACATCTTGCTCCCAGGGCCAGCTACATAGGCATGCAACTTGTGTAGCTGCAAAGACTCCATCCTCAGAAAAACCTCATGTTTTATTTAATGCTCAGCTGTTTGTTACTGTCTTTAAATTCCTAATATTTTTTAAGAGGGTACAAATTTTTATTTGAGAGGCCTAATACTTTAGTTTTCATTAGAAATTTGCCAATCTGCTTGAATTCCTCATGTTCTTTGAACTAAATGATCCTTGTAACATGTTTAAAGGGAGACATAGTACCAGCCACAACTCTTACTTCCTCATTGAGTTGTCTC
Organism: Homo sapiens; assembly: GCF_000001405.40. Classification (NCBI taxonomy): domain Eukaryota; kingdom Metazoa; phylum Chordata; class Mammalia; order Primates; family Hominidae; genus Homo; species Homo sapiens. Next base: position 64,902,760 of record NC_000004.12, read on the forward strand.
CTTGCTAGCAAAGATCTATGCATCCCATAATCACAACATAAAATATTAATTGACAATCAACTGGTATAGGATATCAAGGAAGCATTCCATATTTTTTTCTCAGTTTTTGTTAAAACACGCAAATACTCAAACACCTTTCAGTTGCTCCATAGTTGCACTCATATTAGCTTCATTGGTTCTAAAATCGTATAATTTCTTTATGCAAATTAATGTTATGCAAATGTTGTTGAGTCTCTGGTGTAACCTAACTGACTTGCCATTTGACCTTTAAGGTTTGCTCTCAATCCAAATATAGTTATAAGTGCATGTGCAAAATAAATATTTTCATTATATCAATGTACTCTATATTAACTTACACAGTTAACTATTTTGGTTTAAAAGTCACTTTTATTAGAATCCTATGACTGTTTCCACAGAGCCATCTTGATTAAAGAAAATGTAATGATGAAATGTATGATGAACAGAAATTAGATATCAAGATAAATGACTCATATACCTTCATTTATTTGCCCTTTGTGATATTTGCTTTTTCAAAAAAAAATTATGCAGAAAAGTAACCTAAAAATAATTAGAAATGCATTCTGGATGTCCACTATTTAGAGTATCAGCAAACCCTTAAAATAAGGCAAGAAATATGTTTCAATGAGATATCAAAATTGCAAGTTATGTAGTAACTAATCTGTGAATTACTTGGTAATATCAAGTATAATTATCAAGTAATTTGTGGGAACATGTAATTCTCCTGTAATTATAGAGCTATTACAGATGCCCTACAAAATAGGACGCTAGTACAGCCTTACCAATCTAGAATCATTTAGCCTTCTTTTAACATTCACTGACTGTGATATTCATGAATGAAACATCTGACTTCTAAGTGAAAAGCTCCAGATGCATTTATGTACAATAGCTATTCTTTCAATCAAAAATATGGCTTATTCTCATCATATGTAAAAAGAGATTCCTCCCACCGTTGATTATAAAAACATTCTAAATGGCTACTCTGCATGTATAATTATTATATGAAAAATGCCATAAATATACAAAAAGATTTGCAATCTCATATTTAGCCTTTCCTTTTTTCAGACAAACTCTGCTTTGTGTACACTCTTACAATTTTCCTTTATCAAATAATATTTGGGACTGGGTGACCTGGTATATTTTGACAGATATCTGCAAATAAATGAATATATTTTCAGAAAGTGCTTTTCATGAAACAGGCACTAATGTAACATGATTTTAAAGTTATAGCATTTGAAGGCTTTTTTAAAAGTAAATATAAGATTTATTCTCTAGTATTTATTTTATTTTTCTGCTACCTTTTCACTGACAGTATAGCCTATTATAGTCCTTGGCATTTTATGGAGGAAACAGTTATAACCTCTCACTTCATAGGGCCCAAGTCTCATCCTTTATTTCTATGTCTGGGCATGAAAATGAAAGGACTGTGGTTACTGAGCCTGGAAGCCACCAGCATCACCTAAGAAGACCATAAAGTCAGGTTATGTTCTTTTTGCTTAAATTCTCAATTCTTTCTTCTTTGGCTAATAGGAATTTTACTTATTTTCCTGGGAGCTCAAATATCGATTTCAAAGGTGATTCAGGTTATAGGATCTGCTGCGCTGCCAGAAATAATAGAAGCTTCTATATTGATCCTCTACAGTTAAATGGAATACAAAAACAAGTACATGGTATATAGTTTTTAAAAACTCTCAAACCCAATTGGTTCCCTGATCTATAATTATTAATGAACTAGAATCTTCTTAAACTTTCAAAATTTTAACCTAATCTAGAGCATTTGGTTAAGAAACAACTTGTTTTTTATATTTCTTTCAAAAATCAAATTTTATTTCAGAAACTCTGCTAGAGTTTTGAAAAGCTGATTCTAAAAATACTCAAGGAAATGGTATTATTTACCATGAAAAAGTACCATGTATGTATTTTTCACCACTTTGCTGGTACGTAATTAAATATAGATTACAAATCAACTATTTAGGTCACTACTATTTAATTAAAGACTATTGAAAGTACCATTTATGAATTGTTCACCTCTTGAACTATTCGTACACCTTTTTAAGAGCTACACAATTCATAAATGGTACTTTCAATAGTCTTTAACTTGTAGTGACCTAAATAGTTCATTTGTAGTCTATATTTATTTAAATACCAGCAGTCTCCATTTTAAACATTTTTAATGGATACTTAAAAATTTTAGTTCTATTTTAACTAAAATTGTCATTATTTTTGAATTTCAGTTTATATGATGTTAGATCAGTGAAGTAAACTGTAAGACTTGCTCATAACTATGATATTTAGCAAGTGGATAAAATAGTTACAAAGATGTTATTTGTCCCTTTTCTTTTACAGGATTAAGGAAACTGAAGACAAATCATTTGTTCAATAAAACAGGTCAGTGATGACGCTAGATGTCATGTATGCTTTTTAACCTCCCACTCATTTTTCTTTCTACTCTGTGAAGCTGCTTCGAATCCTCAGCTTTACTGGAGATTATTTAAGCTATTAGTAAGAGAAACAGAAGATTAAGAAGAACAGAAACACTTTAGGATAATATCAGCTAGCCATAAATAAAGTATTATGATCATTTTCTATGCTTTTTAAAAATATTTAGCACATATTTAGAGTTCATTAAAATTTATTTTACATAGAAAAGTTCCAGGATTGAATTACCTACCTTTCCACATTTAGGAAGAGTAAGACTACACATATCCAATATAGAAAATTAAATCAGATACTATCTATCCAAATTAAATTTAAAAATAAATAAATACTTAAACTACGGATATAAAATGATGGAAAAGAAAAGAGCTTAAAAGTCTTGAAATGCAAAATGTTAAGTATCTGATTGTCATTACTTTACAACAGAGTTTCTTTTCAACTACAGTAAAATGTAAAATAACAAATTGTATTTAATATAATTTTCTAGTATCAGAAAATATTTGTTTAAAATATATATACAGTTTATATTCTATTTATTTTTTGCTAGAGTTCATACATTTTTACATAAAGTTGATATCATGTTATTTGTCACATTTTTCAAATTATTAGCCTAATGAAGTGAAGAGTGTGTTACATTGAAAATAAAGATGGCTGGATTCTTGCTCTAGTTCAGAAACTAAGCATGCATATGACTTTTGAGAAGCTATTTAACCTATCCTTTCTTTCATTTCTGCAAAACAACTCTTATGCCTACCCCATACCATTTGAAAAATGATAAAATTGTACTAAATGACCTATAAGGTCTTAGATCTAATATGCTATAATTTTAATGCATGTGCTTGCAATACATTTCTACACAGCTAAGATACATTTGTATTCAGTGTGTTACAAGGTTCCCAATTCTTATTTATAAGACATGGAATCAGGGTAATGTACTGTGGCATGAAATACATAATAAATACATGAATGAATAATGCAGAGTCCTTGATCCTTAACCCTTGCCAACATCGCTCATTAATTGAATGGCTAATTTTGAAGTAAGCAACAACTACAGTATCTGCTTCATTCCATTTAACTTTTAAATGAAGAGGCTCCTACTGTGAACTTAAAATATAGTAATTTATATCTGAAACAAAGCACTCTGTCCACAACCCTCAAATCTTACTTTTTTATTTTGTACTGATATGTTCATTTTGGGGAAATTTCTATTCAATTCTTACTACTTATTTTTGTACTGATATGTTCATTTTGGGGAAATTTCTATTCAATTCTTACTACTTATTTTCACCTATTACACAAACCAGTAACATTAAAATAGGGAATGCTTATTAGTGAAACATACAAATGTTCTCCCAAAGTAAAGAATAAATATAGTAGAATAAATTTATATAAATAATATAGTCTCTGAGTTTGAGTAGTTAAGAAATATACACTTTGATTTAAGAAAAAGCTTAATCAATAAAAGACATTCACAAATGCGTTAATACTGGGGTATTTACAGATTATGCAATTTACTTTCTCATTGAAGGCAGACTATGCAATTTAAATTCTTAGCTGAACCTCATGAGTTATGGCTTTACCCTCTTTCTCCCTCTATTTCACCCACACAAATATACAATCTATAAAGCAAAGCCACATCATTTCACAGAGCAATGATTCACTTCGTATTCCAAGATGAAACCACTTTGAGACTCTCTGATTGGAGTTGAGCTTCTTTTAATATATTAAAATATCAATTAAAGAGTAGAGTGACTATTTTGAAATTCCCACCAAAATATTCAGCCAGAAAAAAATATCAATTGGAATAATTCATTTAAAAGTAACTAATGAAAATAACTTTTCTCCTATTTCTAAATTTTTGTCTTTTTATTGTTTAGTTCTAGTAATTTTTATATAAGCTAAATGTAAGTATTCTATCTGATCAATATTTTATTATTCATCACAATCTGTAGTTTGACTACCTATTTTCTCACTGTTGTCTTTTTTAAATAAGCTTTTTAGGTTGAAATAGTTTTAGATTCACAGAAAATATCCAAAATTAGAACAAAGAGTTCCCATGTACCTTGAATCAAGTTTCTCCTATTATTAACATCTCATATTATGGTATATTTGTTAACAATTTATGAACCAATATTGATACATTATTATTCACTAAAAACTATACTTTACTCACATTTTCTTAATTTTTACTTAATATCCTTTTTCTTGTCAAGGATCCCATTTAGGATTTCATACCTCATTTGGTTATTATTTCTGTAAGACAAGGCTCCTCTTGACTGTGACAGTTCTGCAGACCTTTCTTGTATTTGATAACCTTGATAGTTTTGAAGAGTACTGCTCATGGATTGTGTAGCATGCCCCTCAATTGGGATTCATCTGATAGTTTTCTCATGATTCATTGTGTTATGGATTTTTGAAAGAAAATCTACAAAGGTAAAGTGCCATTTTATCCCATCATATCAAGGATACACACTGTCAACATGACTTATCATTATTGATGTTGACCTTGATCATCTGGCTCAGGTAGTATTTGTCAGGTTTCTCCACTGTGTTCTTGTACTCTTTGAAAGGAAATAACTATGTCCAGCCCAGACTTTAGGACTGAACTCTTATGATGGCAGTCTACATAACTTATTCGGAATTTTTATATACTGGAGATTTGTCTCATCTCCCCAATTTATTTATTTGTTCAATTATTTATTTATGTCAGTATTATTCGTGGATATTCATTTTATAGTTTAGGTTTCAATCAAATACTACTTTATTTTGTTTCCAAATTATTATAGCTTTAGCCGTTGGGAGCTCTTTAAATTGGTTACCCTCTGTCTTTGACATACTGGCATCATTATGGGATCTGTAGTTGTTTATTTATGTATTTATCAGCTCATCCTTAGTTTCTGGCACTAAAAGATTCCCTAGGCTCATCTAGCACATTTCCTGCCCCAATCCTAAAAGCAGCCATTTCTCCAGGGACTCCTATTTCCTTTTATTTAATAATGGCACTAAAAACCAAGATCTAGGTGTTAGTTGTGCTCATTGTTACTGGGTGTCATTGCTTGTAGGCCCTTTTAGCAGACAGAACAAGGAAATACATGGGTGTATATTAACCCATGTTTATATACAGATCTCTAAATATTTATATGTAAACAATTCATAACTACGTTAAGATAAACATGGTCTCTTGCTGACATCTCCAACACTAATTCACTACTGAAAGGTTTATTCTAGCCTCCTTACCTTGCCTATCTACAACTTTCAACTCCAGTAGTCAGAAAACTGGCTTCTACTACCCACCATCAATTTACTTATTTGTTCAACTATAACATACATGCATAGTGGTTTGTATTTTTTAACTAGTATCAATGTAAGCAGCAATTTTATTAACTAGCATACAGGGCTTTTGTAAAGTCATTTTTTGTTTTTTGTTTCATTTTTATTTTTTCTTTAGTCTAACAGATTCTATTCATTTCCAAAATTAAGTAGGTGGACGTTTTTTCACCACTCCCTTCAGTGAGGTATTTCATACATTTGTAATATAGTTAGATTTATTTCGTAGCATTCTGCATTCCACCCCGGAATTTCTAACCTCCTAATTTTTTAAAATAGAATACATTAAGGTTCACTCTGTGCTGTAAAGTTCAAGGGATTTTGACAAATGCAGAGTGTCAAGTATCAAGTATCTACCACAGCATTATCATACAGAATCATGTCACTGCCCTAAAAAAAATCCCTTGTACTTCAGCTATTCAACCCTTCCTTCTCCTTAATCCCTAGTAACCACGGACATGTTTACCGTCACTACAGTTTTGCCTTTTAGTAATATCATGCAACTGGAATAATGCTATATGCAGCTTTTTAGACTGGCTTCTTCCACTTAGAAATACACACTTAATATTCATTCATGTCTTTTCTTGGCTTGATAGCTAATTTCTTATCACTAAACAGCATTCAATTTTATGCATGTACCATGTTTTGTTTATTCATTCATATATTGAAGGGTATCTTTGTTGCTTTCAGTTTTGCCACTATAAACAAAGTTGTTATACATATTTATGTGAACGTTTTTGTATGTGTGTGGATGTAGGTTTTTAAATTAGTCAGATAAAAACCTAGATGTATAATTGCCAGATTATATGGTAATACTATGTTTAATTTACTAAGAAAATGGCAAAGTAGTTTTCAAATTAACAATGCCATTCTCACTGCAATGAATGAGAGTTCTTGTTGCTATGCATTCTTTTCAGCAATTGGTATTGACAGTTTTTTTTTTTTTTTGGTTTTTATCCATCCTAACTCATGTTTACTGATACCTTGTTCTCTTAACTTCCAATTGCCTAATGCTATACTTGCTACTTAGTTACAGGAGATTTGCGTGTGTATGTGTGTGAGAGTGTGTGTGCATGTGTGTGTTTGTAGATTTGTTGGACTTTCTATATTGATAATCATGCTGAATAAAGACAATTTTATTTCTTCCTTCCCAATCTGTATACATTTTATTACCTTTTCTTGTCATACTCAACTAGCACATACTTCCAGTACTATGTTAAATATGCATGGTGAGAGTGAACATATTTGCCTTCTTCCTAATATTAAGGCTAGTTTCTCGCCATTAAATATGACTGTATCAGTCTGTTCTCATGCTGCTAATAAAGACATACAAGACTGGGTAATTTATAAAGTAAAAGAGGTTTAATTGACTCACACTTTCACATGGCTGAGGAAGACTCACCATAATTGCAGAAGGCAAAGGAGGTGCAAAGGCATGTCTTACATGGTGCCAGGCAAGAGGGCATGTGCAGAGGAACTACCCTTTATAAAACCATCAGATCCCGTGAGACTTATTCACTATCATGAGAACAGCACAGGAGAAATCTGCCCCCGTGATTCAATTACCTCCCACTGGATCCCTCCCATGACATGTGGGAATTATTACAGTTCAAAGTGAGATTTGGGCAAGGATACAGAGCCGAACCGTATCAATGATGTTAGCTGATTTTGTTTATTTGTTTTTGTAGCTTTCCTTTATCATGTTGATAAAGTTTTCCTCTATCCCTACTTTTCTGAGAGTTCTTAATCATGAATGGTGTATTTTTTTAATGCTTTTTCTTCCTGCATTACTTGTTATACTCACATAATTTTTCTTCTGTAGCCTGCTAATGTGGTGGATTATCCTGATAGATTTTCAAATAATGAACCATCCCTTCATTCCTGGAATAAATTCCACATGGTCACAGTGTTTAATTTTTTTGTGTGCATTGTTGGATTTAATTTGCTAATATTTTGTTGCAGATTTTTACCTCTATGCTCATGAAAGATATTTCTCTGTAGTTTTTCTTTCTTGTGATGTATTGATCTGTTTTTGGTATTAGGATAATTCTGGAATCACAGAATAAGTTAGGAAGTTTTCTTTCTGTTACTCTTTCTAGTTTCTTTAAAAAATTTGGAGAATTTGCATCATTTCATCCATAATTATATCCTTGGAAGAATTCACAAGTGAAACCATTTGGGCCTGGTACTTTCTTTTTTGAAAGGAATAAATTTAATATTCTAAAAAAAAGATATGTCTTTTCAGATTCTTAATCATTTTTGTTTGATCTCTATTCTAATTCCCCTTCAGCTATATTTTTTTCAAATGTTTTACTTTGACTTCAAGACACTTTTTCAGGTGAGGTACTTTTAAATTACAAAAAAAGAAATTGCTAATCTTAAACAAAAACAGTAAGTGCACAATATTCTGAGTTTCTGCATTTACTAAAAGTGTTGTTTACATTAATAACTGAAACTGTTGCTTTATACTTAGAAGTGCTTTTACTGAAAATGTATCTGGAGATTAAAGAAAGGCATATTAGGTATATTATTATAAAATGTAGATAATATAATGTTTTAAAATAAATTTTTCCTATTTTATTTGCTTTTCAGATACCATGTGTACTAATATTTTGAAACTTATAGTGATATTTATAAACAATGCTATTGAAGTTATTGATAGAAAACTGACTCTACTATTACCATTGACTATGGGAGCTATCCAATTCTCTAATTTTATTTTTAAAATATTTACAGACTCCAATAGGAGCATAACATTATTATTATCTGACTACACATTTAAATTTTAGAACATTTCCTGAGAATTTTTATGTAAGAACTTGCATAGTTTATTTTGGAAAATGTAATTTATACAATCAAATAGTATATACATTGTGGCTGCAAATGTGTAGGTTTAACAAATTTCAATGTGCTCTTCTAAATTCCCTAGTTCCTTCTTCTACTAGGTTTGGCCATTATGAGTATAATCAATAAAGTTTGAAGCAAAGTGATTCACATAACTTTAAATGTAGTTAATGTCCAGTATGCCTTCTCTGTTTACTCTTCCCTTATTACAGGGACCTTAAAGTTCAGCTATTGCAGACATTGCCACAAGTTGCATGTCAAGATGACTTATTCTAATATATCTTATTATAGCCTTACCCAAACAAATATATTCATGCACTTATTTAAGTATGATTTTGCAGATACAGTTAATTTTTTATTATTCATTACACTAATGTTTTACAAATTCATCCGCAAATCCTGAATTAGCAGACACTGAAACACTGTTTCTAGGAGAAATGTGTATGTGTACACATATATGTCACATAGATTATAATCTTAAATCCCAAAAACCAGGTCATCCTAATAGCTTCTATTTTATTTATCTTACAGAAGAGAAAAGTAAATTCAGAAGTGTTAGGTGACTTACCTGAGACTACCCAACTACCAGATGACAAATTTCTATCTGGCCTTTCAACTGACTCCAGAGTGAAGCTTCTTGGATTAGGATGCACTGCCCCCTACCATCCTCTTATCATCACTGTGTGAGAATTAAAACAAGAAGGCAGAGCATCCACCCTTATGGAAGCAGCACATCTGGCCACTCACCTGTTTCCGTTAACTGAGAGAATGACTGCAAAAGCTCAGTGAGCATGGACTTGGGGGTTAAGAATAACAGTGAGTAGGTGAATTCACACACATGGAATCCACAAATAACGAGAATCAAGCATATGTCCATCTTGATTTGACCAAAAAAAATGGATGTTTAATTTTTAAAAATGTATATGACCATGACTACCACTCATTTTTAAGTAACTATTTACTGATTTATTATATGAGTCAGACTCTATGCTAAATTTTACAGATATGGGATGAAGGAATGGCTTTTCCTCTCAGGAGCTCTTGATTGAGTAGAGAGAAAGTCATACAAGAAGTAACCATGCAATGTCATAAGTACATGCTTCAGTTAGGGTAATATTAGCTATAAAAGACTTAAAACTCAACTCAAATTAATTTTAACCATACTGGAATGTATTGCTTTATATCATTAAACATATCTTGAAAAAGTTTACTTTGAAAGCATGGTTTGATCATATTTTTGTTTATATTTCTTGTGATTTGTGTACCTCTCCCTTCTGTTGTATCTTCACTCAATCCTAAGGATAGCTTGCTTTTTGGTAGCAAAATTTCTAGGGCAGCTGAAGTCTCACATCTACACTCCAAACTATTGAAAGTTTGGCGTGTAAACATGAGACTTCAGATGCCCTAGAAATTTTTTTTCTCCCATGCCTTGAATTAAAAATGTCTTGAGCTGCAATTTGCCTGTTCTTTTCTACACTGTCCTGTGCGCGCTGAAAAATATGGCCTCCTTGCTTCCTCACCTTCAAGCCCTACATTCAGAAAAACACCAAATTTAACCTGATTATCACTACGCCTCATACTGTGACCTGAAATGTCTCTTCAAGCATTAAGATGTTACCATCACAGCAATTACAGTCACCAGAGTATTTAGATGGTTCTGAATGCATTATGCAAATTAGGGCCCATCCTGGGAGATAAGGGTGGTGTTATTCACAGCCAACACATTAGTGAAACGCATTGCATAAAGTTAGAGTGATGCCAGCCACATGCAATCACAAAGTCCTTCTATTATTATATTATACAAATAGGTATAAACTAATAAAATAGAGGAGTACAAATAATTCTGTTTTGAAAACTTTACATTGGTTATTTTTTAAATGTTGTAGCAACAAGGATGTTACATGCAGGATGAATGCTATCAAATGGAGAAAGAAGAAAGGAATTGAATATAGGAAGGAATATGGGAGGGTCTCAGTTGCACTTGTAAAATTATAATATTATGTGAAAAAAATAATAAAAGTTCATACTTTAGACAGTTATTTATAAAGTTTGCAAAAACATTGAAAAGATTTATTGAATACTATTTTATTCTGTTATGGTTTTGACTTGTTCCTTATTAAGTTTAGAAATGATATTAAGAACTAGGCATGGTATTTCAGTGAAGTGCAATGAGTGTGTTAAGATGATCTATAAGATAAAGTGTGAGAATATGCCTACAATGTTGTTAAATTGAGCTCATTTAGTCATTTATCTTATTGCTTGCATGAAATAGAGATAGATTAAAAGGTGGTAACAACTAACGTATTTTAAAGAGCTATTATAAAAATTTAAACAGAAGGAATAGGGACAATATAAGGGCATAATGATGAAATATCTCCAAATTCCAGTAGACTATTTCTGGACAGTGAGAACATTGTAGACTATAATAAACCTAATAGAACTTTTTATTTCATTCTTCCTAGTTCATTTTCTTTATTAAGTTTGCAATTCATATAGGCAACTAGTCTTTTTTTTTAACAGTACTAATGCGTCCATCTGGTATATTATACGACCATAATCTTCCCCAAGATTGGAAAATAGACTGTTGCTTTAAGACCAGCAAATTTTAAATATTAAGCAAGCAGTAGTGGCAATTCTAAAACCAAAGTAATGAAAACAGTAGAAATTGCCCATTTGCTGTTATATATATATCCTGACTTTTCTCCAGACGTTTTGAAGATAACTAACAGATCAATGGGAATTTTCAAAAGTAAAATTGTCAAAAAACTTTCTTCAGGAAATTATCTTGAGTTTCAAAATCACAGTAAAAATAGTATACTTCAGTATACTATCAGTAATAGTAACTTCAGTTCCAAAATCACAGTAAAAATAGTATACTTGCTGTAATATTTCAATGTATACATTTTTCAAATATTTTATTATGACGATTTTTCAACATAAAAGTTGAAAGAATTTAACATTCAACACTCCTACATTCATCATCTACAATTAAGCTTTAACATTTAGATAGATTTGTTTTATTTACACATCGATCCATTTCTCTCTCCCTATTTCCATCCATTATCCTATTTTCCTTTTGAAGCATTTCAAAGTAAGTTGCAGACATCAAGAGAGGTAACCCTGAAAATATCAGCATATATGTCTTTAACTAGGTTTTACAATTTGTCTAAAATTATTTTAGGGTAAAATTTACATACAATGAAATGCATCAATATTAATTGCACCATTTAATATAAGTTTTGACAAATGAATACAGCTATGTAAACCAAACCCCTGTCAGGGTACATAAATTACCATCAACCCACAAAGCTCCCTCATGCTCCTTCCCAGTCCATCAGAGCTCCACCCAATCACCAGAAGCAACATCTTTTCTATCATAATTTGTTTTTCCTTATTCTAGATATTTCTATACATGGGATCATACATAATATACTACTTTGTGCAAAGCTTGTTTAACTCAGCAAAATATTTTTGAGATTCAGTCATGATATTATTAGTTATAACATGCATTTATTATTTTTATCCTAAATATTATTGTATTTTATAGCTATACTATATTTTGATTTTTCATCTTCCTATTGACCAACACCTGGTTTGTTGTGAAGCTGCTAAAATCATTCTTGTAGAAATCTTTTTGTACGTGTTTCTTCATTTTGAGTGTATGTCTAGCAGTAGAATGGTTGGGTCATATAATGGATCTATATGAAGTTTTGTAAAAAATTTTAAAAATTTTTTCCAAAGTGGTTGTGACATTTTCATTTTTACCAGCAATGTATGAAAATTTTAATTGGCCCTAACCTTGCCAAAATTTGATGTTTTCAGTCTTTTTAATTTTAGCCATTCCTAGAGGGTGTGTAATGATATCACAATGTTGCTTTAATGTACCATTCCCTACTTACTTAGTGATGCTGAACAGTTTTTATGTGTTTATTATCCACTTATACATCTTAATGTATAAAATGTGTGTTCAAACATTTTTCCCATTTTAAAAGGTTGTTTGTCTTTATAATGTTTTGCTGTAGGAGTTGTATTTTGTGAGTATTTTGATTCACTGATGATTTGTTTTTGGTAAAGTCAAACATATCATTTTTTCCATATGTCATCATTTGTCCTGTATCTTATCTACCTATAAGAAAACTTTGCCTAGCTCTATGTCAAATAGTCATTCTTCCATATTTTATTCTGAAAATCTTTTGTATAAGCTTCTATGTTTCGGTCAATAATTCATTTTGAATTATTTTTAGGTATATTGTGAGTTATGGGTGGAGATTCATTTTTTCCATATAAATATAGTTATTTCAGTATCATTCATTAAAAATATGTTTTATTTATGGGTAGAGACTCCTCATGACCACTACCACTTCATTCTAGAGAATGAAGATTCTCTAGACTCAGAAAAACCTACTATCTCCATGTTTAGTGTCTTTTACAATGAAAAGATACACATTAAAATTAGCAAATTGTAAAGGTACATGGGATAAAGTCTAGAAGACATGAAGCATGGGCTTCTAGGTGTCCTCCCACAGTGGAGTCCTATGGATGTGCTTTATTATCCCAGCAATGATGTGTGGCAATACATGTGATGTATTTCCAGTCAGGAAGCTCAATCTTGCCTTGGTCTTCAGAGGTTTTATTAGGGGTCAGTCACGTAGGCATGCAGCACCTGTATAACTGTCCTCAGCTGTTGAGATTTTAGTTCCTCATACACTTACCATAAATCTCATTGTTAACAAAAACTACCCATTTAAACTTGTACTTTGTAATCTAAAGTCTCAGGCTTACAAAAACAGTTGTTCACAATAAAACACATAATTAGTGTAAACAGTTTGAACATTATTTTTACCACATGGACGGAGGTGTCAGACATACAGAAGCACTCTTCTCAGGCAGAATATTCCAGAGCCTCGGAGCTCATTTTTGAGGAGCCAGCCAAGGGCCCACCCTGAAGAAAGATGCTTATGGGAAATATACAGGGTTTGAGCAACCCAGGCATGTGAATTACTCCTTCCCTGCACATTCATTGAATTGCTTTAATATATTCGTAAAAAGTTAAATAACCCCCCCAATATGTGCAAATCTATTTCTGGGCTTCAAATTTTATTCTATGGCTTTGCTAATCAATCTTTACATCATTGCCATATTATTTTGATTCCTATAGCTTTATAATATTCTTGAAAACATTTATTATAGTTAAACTATGCTATTCTTTTTTAGAATTGCTTTAAACTATGCTTTTTTTCAGAATTGCTTTGAATATGCTAGAACTTTGTACTTCCATATAAATTGAAAAGACACCTTATTACTGTCTTTATGTAGTCATTTTTTATAATTTCTATCTCTTTGCTGTGATTTCTTAATTTTTCATTCATTTCAAACATATTTTCCTTTACATCACTCAGCATAATTCCTTTAAAATCTTTGTTGTGCCAATTCCAACATCTGAGTCATTTTGCTGTCAGTCTCTGTTGATTTTCATTTATCTTGAGAATAAAAAACATTCTTCTTTATTCATGTTTTGGAGTAATTTAGGATGCATGTTGGAAATTATGAATATTATCTTTTGGAGATCATGAGTTTTGTAATCTTCTTCTGAATCTTTTATTTCTATTTAGTCTGTAATGTAATTTACTTGGTTGAAATCACACCTCTGCAAAATCTATCTTTGTGTGGCAGCTGAAGTCTTGCTTCAGTTATTTTATCCTTAGGTGACTTGCTTGGAGTCAGATCCACAAAGTCATTATTCTAAAAACATGGACACAGTTTATAATTTCAAGTTGGCGACCTTCTCTTTTTCTGGCTCTTTTCCTGTGCAGTGTGTATTCTCACTTACTAGCAGCTATGGTTGTCCCAAACTCTCTCTTCTAGTACACCTTTAAAATCAGAAAGACAATGCCCTTTCTATCGCAGTTTTGGCTACTATCCATGGCATGGTTTAGAACTGCCTTTAGTCTAACAGCTAAAGTAAATGAGAGACTCAGTCAGTGTCATTTTCCCTTTTCTATTGTAGACTACTCTTCAGAATATGCTCTTTTAGGGTCATTTCCAGTGCCTTTGGCTGGTCTTTTTTTTTTCTTTTTACATTTGTTCACAGTTTATATTTATTATCTGTAGAAAATATTCATATAGATGCTTATTTGGCCATTACCAGAAACAAAAATTCCTTTGGAATTGATGACCACAGATGGTGAATAATCTGCTTCGATGGCTGACTTGTTCAGTAGAAATCTTTATAGATGTCTGGGGAGTGACACTGCATAATCTGTATTACTGAGATTTGAAATATATTCCAGTAAATTTTGTTTTGAAAAAGATTTTCTACATGCATATGATGTCCAATCCCACTCAAAAGTCTACTAACATCACAGTAAATGATTACATTGCATAGACATGCATAAACACAAAGGGAAAAGAGAAGCAACATAAAACAGTTTACAATACAATTTTGCAAAATATGAAGCAGATGGTCAGAGAGTAACTAAGAAAAAGATGTCTAGAGTTAAAGATGTTAACAAGAAAAATGAACTAAAGTAACTTAAAACTTTCAGACATTGGAGACCCCAGTAACTTTTTAA
The DNA here is from genome assembly GCF_000001405.40 of Homo sapiens. Lineage (NCBI taxonomy): Eukaryota > Metazoa > Chordata > Mammalia > Primates > Hominidae > Homo > Homo sapiens. The sequence goes on from NC_000004.12 coordinate 64,917,957, forward strand.
GTGTGAGATAATGGTAGAGCTGAAATAGAGGAGTTACTTGAAAGTATTTAGAAAGCTAAGTTAGATAATTCTCCATCCCTCCTTCACTCATCCAAGTATCCAGGCACTTACCCTCTTCTAAGAAAAAGAGATGAAGCTTACTTTCTGGAGAAGAAAAAAATTAAACCTAAGAGATTCCAAATAACAGTATATCAGGCACAATGTATGTAATAAAAATGAGTCATATTGAAACAAAAGTTTGAATTAAGCAGAAGCCAACAGAATAAAAAAGAATTCTGTCTTACTATGCTTAACTCTCAGAATGCTGGAAATTAGTTAAGCTAACACACAGACTGAGATTGTCAAACCTTACCTAATATCAATGTTTACTAAATATTTGAATAATATAAGAAATTAAAAAGTTCAGATAAGGCAATGAGATGTCTGGAACATCAAAAGTAGCACCCCAATTCCTTGTCATATTGGTCTATGACACCAGTTCCAGAATAGGTAAGGCCACTATGTGAGATTCACCCACACAGAGGGAACATTAAAATATTATGTATCTTTATATCTTGCATCAAATATATTGTTCTAAAGATTGAACAAAAAGGAAAAAATATTGGAAAACATTACATACAAACTGATCCAATATCAATAAAGTGCTCAGAAGTTAAGAACATAGGAAAAAGAGAGAAGATAATAATTAAAAAAAATACAAGAATTTCATTCCTCCTCCAATACACACAAAAAATAAGATTACCCTGAAGTCCAATAAAATTAATTTTAAAATACTTATTAATCAGAGCATATTTTCATGGACTTTTAGAATACTAAAATCCATGAATAGAACTTAAAAGCTCCCCAGAAGATAATGGTAGTGTGACCAAACCTTTATTATAAAGACCATAAGATGGTTATTTTCCTTATTTTCCTTTTATGTTATCCGTTTCATCTTCCACGAAAGCTTGCTTGAAAGTAGTCATTTTGGTAAAGGATAGTCACTGGTAATTGATTAACTTCATTCATATGCTAACCTCCAGAACTCCCTGCAAGATTGATAAATTTGTTTTTCTTTTAAAGAACAATGCTTCTTACATCATGCAGACCTCGTAGTTGGTGTCTATAACTCTGAAATGAACTGATGAGATCTAGAATCTGAAGAATGCAATCAGCTTTGATCATTAGGAGATCCCATCTCCCATATTTCTATCTTGCTCATAAAAGCCCTCCTTTATGTTGAAAGGAAGTCAAATTTGAGTGACCATCTCTCCTACTCTCTAACTTTTGCCAAATTGAATAAACCTTTCTCTGCTCCTAGGTGCTGATGTGTCAGTGATGGGTTTACTGTGCATTGGGTACACAAACCCACATTTGGAGTTGTTTGATAACAGTAGGACAAATATAAAGGATCAGTGATAGAAACTAGAACTTTAATAATGACAGATTGAAGACCATGGAGTGACAACTTAAAATTCGGATTAAAAAAATCTATATGCAACTCCATATCAATCAAGTCATTGAGTAGAATAGTATTATCAGATACTAAGATAAAAATTAATTTTTCTGAAGAAGCAACATAACTACAGAATATGATCTATAAAAAGGAAGGAATCAACCAAAAATATTTAGAAATATAAAATCAGGTATCCAGAAATTTTGTATCTAATCATGACAGAGATAAAGGAATTCCAAGGACGATGATGAGGGAAGTAATTAATAGTAAAGATGAAAATAAATAGTAACCTATCACGCCAGCTTACAGGGCAGTCTTGGGCACCCTGGGGGCCCACACCATAGTTTCCATGCAGGAGTACCATGCCTGACCAGTAGAGAGTGCCAGAAAGATGGCCTCTGTGGCACGCACCAGCCTGCATGTTTCCTCCTTATACTGCAACTTCCCCCAAGCCCACTGCAACTCCCCACATCACTTTGCTTAGCTAAAGTTGCTCAGAGAACAGGTCATCCTCTCACATCTGGAGCAATCACTACTGCTTGTGGGTCACAGAGAAGGCACATGGTCCTGTGCTGGCCAATACCCTGCTGCAAACTCAAACCACTTCCACTGTAATAGCACACACAGTCTCCAAAACTCTCTTGCTTCCACCACTGTGGTAACTGCCTACAGGGAGACAGGCACCCCTGCATTTCTTAGCATTCAGCTGCAGCTGCTGCATGTTGGTTCTCCAGCACAGTTAACTCCAAATCTCAAGGAGCCAGAGAACAAAGTTGGTGCCCAATACAAGTCCCCCAGAGTTAGAGAACACAGTCTAGGAGTTGGAAGCTGAACAAAGGTCCCCTAAAATCTTCCAGAAGCAAAGCTAGGCGGCTGAACCTACCTTATACCACAATCAAACCCTCCAGGTCAACAAATAGAAAAAAGAAAGGAAAAAAAAAATCTGAAAGTCAATAGCTTCAAAGATTGAAGGTAGATAAGCCAACAAAGATGAGAAAAAAATCAGCACAAGAATGCTGAAAACTCAAACGTTTCTGAAAACCTTCTTTTCTCCAAATGACCATATCATCTCTCCTGCAAGAGTTCAGAACTGGACTGAGGCTGAAACAGCTGAAATAACAGAAGTAGAATTAACAATATGGGTAGAAATGAAGCTCATTGAGCTACAGTAGTATGTTGTAACCTAGTGCAAGGAAGCTAAAAATCATGATGAAACATTACAAGAGCTGACAGACAAAAGAGCTAGTATGGAGAAGAACATAACCAACTTGATAGAGCTGAAAAATACACTACAAGGATTTCATAAAGCAATCACAAGTATTAATAACAGAATAGACCAAGTGGAGAAAAAAAACTTAAGGCTTGAAGACCATCTTTTTAAAATAAGACAGGCATATGAGAATAGAGAAAAAAAAGAATGAAAAAGAATGAATGAAACCTCCAAGAAATATGGGATTATGTAAAGACACCAAATCTATGACTGATTGGTGTACCTAAAAGAGATGGGGAGAATGGAACCAACTTGTGAAACATATTTCAGAATGTCATCCATGAGAATTTTCTCAACCCAACATTCAAAGTCAGGAAATGCAGAGAACCCCAATAAGATACTCTGAAAGAAGATCATCCCCAAAACACATAATCATCAGATTCTCCAAGGTCAAAATTGTAGAAAAAAATGTTGAAAATAATTAGAAAGAAAGGGCAGGCCACCTACAAAGGGAAGCCCATCAGACTAACAGTGAACCCCTCAGCTGAAACCCTACAAGCCAGAAGAGATTGGGAGCCAATATTTAACATTGTTAAAGAAAAGAAATTCCAACCCTGAATTTTATATCTGGCCAAACTAGGTTTCATAAATAAAGGAGAAATGAGATCCTTTTCAAACAAGCAAATGTTGAGGGAATTTGTTTCTACCAGACCTGCCTTAAAGAGCTCTTGAAGGAAGCACTAATTAGGGAAATGAAAGACCATTGCCAGCTACTACAAAAGCACACTGAAATACACTATAAAGCAATCACATAAACAAGTCTGCAAAATAACCAGCTAACATGATGACAGGATAAAATCCACACATATCAATACTAATCCTGAATGTAAATGGGTTAACTGCTTCAATTAAAAGACACAGAGTGGCAGGCTGGATAAAGAACCAAGACCCATTGGTATGGTGTCTTCAAGAGGCCCATCTCACAGGCAATAAAACACATAGGTTCAAAATAAAGGAATGGAGACAAACCTACAAAGCAAATGAAAAACAGATAAAAGCAGGGGTTACAATCCTTGTTTCTGACAAAATAGACCTTAAACCAACAAAGATTTTAAAAAGACAAAGAAGGGTAATGCATTTATATAATGGTAAAAGTTTCAATTTTGTTGTTGGTTTTTTTTAGCTTTACATAATGGTAAAGGCTTCAATTCACCAAAAAAAATCTAACTAACCTAAATATATATACACCCAACACAGGAGCACCCAGATTCATAAAGCAAGTTCCTAGAGACCTTTAAAGGCACTTAGACTCCAACATAATAATAGTGGGAGATTTTAACACCCCACTGACAATATTAGACAGATCATTGAGAAAGAAAATAAACAAAGATATTTAGGACCTGAACTTAGCACTGGATCAACTGGATCTGTTAGTCATCCACAGAACTCATCACCCAAATACAAGAGAATATATATTTTTCCCATCACCACATGGCACATACTCTAAAATTCATCAAATTATTGGAAAGTAAACATTCCTCACCAAATGCAAAAAAAAAAAAAAAACTGAAATCATAACAAAGTATCTCAGATTACACCACAATCAAATTCAGAATTAAGATTAAGAAATTCACTCAAAATTATACAATTACATGGAAATTGAATAAACTGGTCCCAAATGACTTTTGAGTAAATAACAAAATTAAGGCAGAAATGAAAAAGTACTTTGAATCTAATGAGAACAACAATACAACATACCAGAAACTCTGGAACACAGTGAAAGCAGTGTTGAGGAAAATTTATAGCACTAAAAACCCCCATCAAAAATTAGAAAGATCTCAAGTTAATAACCCAAGATCACAACTAAAAGACCTAGAGAACCAAGAGCAAACAAAGCCCAAAGTTAGTTAGCAGAGGGCAAGTAACAAGCAAAATCAGAACTAAACTGAAGGAGATAGAGACACACAAAAAAATTCAAAAAATCAATGAAATCAGGACCTGTATTTAAAAAAAAAAATTAACAAAACAGAGGAACAGCTAGACTAATAAAGAAGAGCGAAGATTCAAATAAACACTATCAGAAGTGACAAAGGGGATATATTACCACTGACCCTGCAGAAATACAAGCAACCATCAGAGGATATTAAGAATATCTCTATGCACATAAAATACAAAACATAAGGAGTGTATCAATTCTTAGACACATACACCCTCCCAAGACTGAACCAGGAAGAAATTGAATCCCTGAACAGAGAAATAACAAGCTTTGAAATTGAGGCTGTAAAAAATAGCCTACCCACCAAAAAAAAAAAAGAAAAGAAAAGAAAAAAGAAAAGAAAAAGCCCAGACTCACAGATGAATTCTACTAAAGAAGAGTTGGTACCATTCCTACTGAAACTATTCCAAAAAGTTGAGGAGAATGGACTCCCCCCTAACTGATTCTGTGGCCAACATCATTCCGATACCAAAAACCTGGCAGAGATACAACAACAAAGAAAACTTCAGGCCAATATCCTTGATGAACATTGATGTAAAAATACTCAACAAAATACTAGCAAACCAAATCCAGCAGCAGATCTAAAAGCTTATCCACCATTATCAATTAGGCTTTATCCCTGGGATACAAGGCTAGTTCAACATACCAAGTCAACAAATGTGATTCATCACATAAACAGAACTAAAGACAAAAAACACATAATTATCTCAATAGATGTAGAATAGCCTTTTGATAAAATTAACCATGGCTTCATGTTAAAAACTCTTAATAAAGAAAATGTTGAAGGAACATACCTCAAAATAGTAAGAGCTGTATATGACAAACCCATAGCCAACGTCATACTGAATGGGGAAAAGCTAAAGCATTCTTTTGAAAACCAGCACAAAACAAGGATATTCACTCTCAATATTCCTCTTCAACAGAGTATTGGAAGTTTTGGTCAAGGCACTTAGGCAAGAGAAATAAATAAATGGTATTAGTATAGGAAGAGAGAAATTCAAACTATCTTTTGCAGATGACATGATTCTGTATATAGAAAACACTATAATCTCAGCCCCAAAGCTTCTTAAGCTGATCAACAACTTAAGCAAAGTCTCAGGATACAAAATCAATGTGCAAAAATCACTAGCATTTCTATACACCAACAACAGTCAAGCTGAGAGCCAAATCAGAAATAAACTCCCATTCACAATTGCCATAAAAAGAATAAATACCTAGGAATACAGGTAACTAGAAATGTAAAAGATTTCTACAAGAAGAACTACAAACCACTGCTCAATAAAATCAGAGATCACATCTTTGATTTGGAAAACATCTCATGCTCATGGATAGGAATAATCAATATCATTAAAATAGCCATACTGCCCAAAGTAATTCATAAATTCAACGCTATGCTTCTTAAACTATCATTGACATTCTTCACAGACTAGAAAAAACTATTTAAAAATTCATATGGAACCCAAATATAGCCTGAATAGCCAAGGCAATCCTAAACAAAAAGAACAAAGCCAGATGCGTCACGTTTCCCAACTTCAAACTATACCACAAGGCTGCAGTAACCAAAACAGCATGGTACTGTTACAAGCAGATACATAGAACAATGGAACAGAATAGAGAACCCAGAAATAAGACCACACACCTACAATTATCTGATCTTCAACCTGACAAAAACAATCAATGGGGAACGGACTTCCTATTCAATAAACGGTGCTGGGATAACTGGCTAGCCATATGCAGATGAAAACCAAACCCCTTTCTTACACCATACACAAAAATTAATTCAAGGTAGTTTAAGACTCAATGTAAAACCCAAAACTATTAGAACCCTGGAGGACAATCTAGTCAATACCATTCAGGACATAGTCATGGGCAAAGATTTCACAATGAAGATGCCAGAAGCAATTGCAACAAAAGCAAAAATTAGCAAATGGTGTGATCAAATTAAACTAAAGAGCTTCTGCACAGCAAAAGCAACTATCATCAGTGTGAACAGACAGCCTACAGAATGGGAGAAAATTTTTGCAAACTATGCATCTGACAAAGATCTAATATACAACATCTATAAGGAACATAAACAAATATACATGAAAAAGATGAATAACCCTATAAAAAGGTGGGTAAAGGACATGAACAGACACTTTTCAGAAGAAGACATACCTGCGACCAACAATCATATGAAAAAAAGCTCAACATCACTGATCATTAGAGAAATATAAATCAAAACCACAACGTGATACCATCTAACACCAGGCGGAATGGCTGTTATTCAAAAGTCATAAAATAACAGATGCTGGTGAGGTTGTGGAGAAAAAGGAATTATACCCTGTTGATGGAAGGTGTAAATTAGCTCAACCATTGTGGAAGACAGTGTGGCAATTCCTCAAAGACCTAAAGACAGAAATACCATTTAACACAGCAATCTCATTACTGAATATATACCCAAAGGAATATAAATTATTCTACTATAAAGACACAGGTAGGCAAATGTTCATTGCAACACACTTCACAAAAGCAAAGACATGGAACCGACCTAAATGCCCATCAATAACAGACTGGATAAAGAAAATGTGGTACACATACACCACTGAATACTATACAGCCAAAAAATAAGAACAAGATCATGTCCTTTGCCTTTTCAGGGACTTGGATGGAGCTGGAGGCTGTTATCCTTAGCAAATGAAGATAAGAACAGAAAATCAAATACCGCATGTTATCACTTATAAGTAAAAGCAAAATGATGACAACACATGGACACTTAGAGGAGAACAACATGCACTAGGGCCTATCGGAAGGTGGAGGATGCAAGGAGGGAGATGATCAGAAAAAATAACTAATGATACTAGGTTTAATACCTAGGTGATAATCTGTACAACAAACCCACATGACATAAGTTTACCTATGTAACAAAACTGCACATGTGTCCCTGAACTTAAAATAAAGGTTAAACACATTTTTTTAAAATAGTGAGCATACCAGTGCAGACTGGAATAAGATAACAAAACTCTTAAAGGGAGAAGAGGGACAATTCAGGAAATGACTCAAGAAAAGCAATTTAGTAAGAATAGTAATTAAGTAGGTGAAAATAATAAGAAAGCAAAAAGCAAAATATCAAATAACTTCAGGAGATGCAAAATGTGGCAGAAGAATAAAGTGAAAGCATATTACACTATGTAGCTGTGTCTTGTCTAAATTAGTATTTCCATATTCATACATTTTATTAAAATTACCTCATTGGTCACAATATTGACTAAACCAAAATAGGGACAAAGACAATCGTGGTATTAGAATTTGGGAGGGGTGGTGTATCTGTGTGTGTGTGCATCTGTGTGTGTATTGTGTGTGTTCCCTAATCCACTCATATCAAAGTTCACTTTTGTGGATTTGAGTACATATGGCTTTCTTCACAGCTTCTTTATCACAGCTATTACAACATATTCTAGCTATGTATTGATATGTGTATCACCCTCAGTAGATGTAAATCCTCTGAACAACAGAATTTGTCAATTATCCTTGCATATTCCATGTAGAGCAGATAATCTTTCTTATAACGATTCTAAAGGAATACTAAAGATGTGTGACTGAATGAACACATTAATGTTTTTGATTATTTTTGCCCTAACTTGTTTGTTCAAAACAAAATTGGAATCATATTATGAAACCTTATATCTGCAATAGGTGTGCATAATTAATATTCACTCCTAAATAGATTAGTGAATTTGTACATTCTTCAAAATAACAATGACATGAGCAATTACAAAATCCTGGATAAAGCTGACTTTGAAATTTAAAAAAGTTGAAATATTTCTGCAATATTTTTATTTGAAAGAAGATTCTAATATAGTATTTCCCCTTCCTCCTTCACACAGAAATATAGATTAGACAGACAAGTGATAGATAGGTGGACAGATAGATAGATAGATGGATAGGTAGATGATATGTAGATGATACAGAAAAATAGTACAGCCAATCTGAAAAAAGCTTGAAAGCATATTACCTCTTACTTTTGTTCCAGGGCTCCACCTCTTGCAATGTATCCATATTCTGATCTCATTCTCTAATTTTTACTGAGAAAATGAATTGTTACAGTGGAGACAATCAATGAACTGTTCAGGAAGACATATTATTAATTTTTAAAATAAAGCTGCTAAAGCTAATAAGATCAATCATTTCAATCATTGTCTATAAAGTGACTTTATATTTCCCTAAGTCATTAAAATTTTATCAAGGAAGAAAAATGGAGTAGGCTTAATTAATAAAACTAATACTGTTTAGAAGAAAATGCTATAAAATGAATTCTATCTGATTTACTTATGGGATATTGTCACTAATTAGGTTTTCCAGAAATGGGTGCTGAGGAGAGTGATACGCGACATTTTTGATTGGACTGATATCCTTTGGGAGGAAGTAGAGCAAGTCACTGAAAAATAAATAATAACTCTAAAATAAAAAACTTAAATTTGTATTATAAAGAAAAAATTAATTTTAATTTATTTTATTTATTCCACGCTATGTTCTCTTTGTAAACTTCTGGTTTTGAAATTTAATTTCAAAATATTTTCAAAAGTCTAATTTATGTTAGTGTTAAGGGTACATACGTTAATCAATTAAAAATGAAGAAATTAAAAGAAAATATTCTCTGCCGAATAATGTATCATTACTCTGCTCACACCAAGTATCAACATAATTGTACTTATTATAATTAGCACAATACTTAATTTATGGAGTATTAATAACTTATAAATCTATTTCAAATAGACATTCCTGAATATGTGTATCAAAAATTGAAACAAATCGTTTTACTTCATGTATGAAGATAACAATCACTTAAGGTTCGACAGATATATACAATTATAACAACAAAAATATGAAGAACATCGTTTTTTAAATAACATAATTAAACTTCATGTAAAACAAGATCTTCAACCTGTCTTTTACTCTCATAGATAATTTACTCCTACACTGTGTCAGTGTGTTTACTTTAGGACCTGAGGGCTGAGACTGTTTCTTGTTAATAGCTAAGAAGTAGCACACTAGAGACACCTTTAAACTCATCTTTGCGTAAGTTACATTTTAGTTGGCTTTATTCCTTCTATTTTGTTTTCTCTTCCTGAAATAATGTCTTCCTTTGCTCCTGGGTTATTTCCAACTGTGTTCTGCAGCTGTTGGTTCAATTCATGATAAACAATTGATTACACAGATCATAGAACAAGTTAATCAGTCTGGGACTTTGGTAATGAAAAATAAAGCTCCAGCAAGTTAATAAATCAGTTTTAAGTAGAGAAGGTATCTAAAACTAATTAAACACTGGTCTCAGTGACAGTGATTTAAGCTGTAGTCCTAAAACCTTTATATTCCTTAGAACCACAGTTTTCATCATGTTAGTGTCAAATTACAGTTTCGTCTTTTGAATCGTTATAATTGAGTACTATGAAATAAACACTATGTTAGAGAAGTGACCTTGCAATTAAAGTTTGTAAGAAGTTAAAAACTGTCATGGAAGGATCCACCTTACCAGACACCATATTTCCCTTTGTCCTGGAGTAACTGATTATTAATAAGTGATTTCCCATGGGAAGATAATTTCTAAGAAACAGTCAACATAGTTGTAGAGGGAACAAGTGTTATACTAGTGACACCTTTATCATTGCTTTATTGAGTAGAGGTTTTTTAAAATACTTGGTGACACAGATGAACGTTAAACTCATAGTTTTCCATATGTATCTAATGTAATGGTCTAATCAGGATTTGGGGTTAATTCTGATATTAATTCAGCGTCTCTAAGATGTCTGGTATAAAGGTTCTTCATATTAGAAGGCAACATATAGTATAATAAATGTTTGTATTACACCTGTATGATGTGTAGTCAAATGATTGTTGTGGCAATAACGAGAGTCTATAATCTGTACTGAAAAATGGAACCAACTTACAAAATAATGGTTATTCATGCATACTGAAATAGAAAATGCCATGTGGTGCATGGAAGATCAGTATAGATACCATGCAAATGTTGCAAATTCTATGTTCCTTTATGTTGAATACCCAAGAATGGTAGAGAAGTATGAGTGCTTGTGCTTCACTAACCTTTCATTCGAGACTGTGCTAACATTTTATTTGCTAGAACCGTTCTCATTTAGCATTTAGAAATTAGCATGCTAAGACATATAATATAGTAGTGTCGTGCCTCATCTTAAGGACTCACTTGGTATATCTTTAAAAAAATTATTGGACATTGTCATCTTCAGGCACATATGCCTAAAATCAGTTAGATAATTAGAAATCTGAAATCAACACTTAAACTTTTTTCAAATATTATGTGTGTTCTCATCGGGTTAAGAATTTCAGAGTTTTACCTGCTATGTTTGCAAAGCCTCTACATGATGTCATGCTGACTTCCACCTTTGGATATATTCTTGAAAGAAAAATATTTCAAATTCCCCCAAAGTACATTTTATTTGTCATTTCCCTCATTTTCAAAAGTGAATAATTGATTCCATACTCCTTAGGCAGATAACATCACAAACCTTATGAACCACATCCTAGTTAATTAACCATACTTTTTTTTTTTTTTTCAGCAGGCAGCTGAGGGCACAGGTGCATTTTGGGGTATAGATTACTTACTCAGAAAAACAAGGTATGTCTTTATGTTAACTGGGTGAAAAGTAGCTTTGCAACGTATATTCACTTCAATAATTCATTGCAAGTTGTTTGTTTTATACATAGTCCACAATGGAACAGCTATTGTTTGCTTGTCCAGTAATGCACAAGAGAACTACCATTTAACTTCCAGAAAAATGTATACTAAAACATATTCAAAAAAAGCCACCTTAACTTTTAATTATGTCAAATTTTGCATATATTTATGGCTTTCTATTTTGTGTACTCTCTCACCAGTCATGTTTGCAAATAAATGTATAAAATTTATTAGAAAATAATAATGAATTAGCTAATAATGAATTAGCTATTCTATCGCTTGAAATTCTTTGTTCAAACGTGTATTATAATGTTTGACTATGCATTGATATTGGAAGGGGACATTATTAGACAATTGGTGATATTTGAATATTGACATACGTTAATGATTTATGAGTTTTAAATTTTCTGAATTTAGTAATTTGTGATTAAGTTAAAATAAGATCCTTTTTTCTTTGAAACACATTTTTCCTGTTTTCTTCAAAAACACATTTATAAGTATTTTGGAGTGACTTGTGATATATGTTATTGCCTTCCAATTTTCCAGCCAATATATTATATAAATATAACATAGTATATATAATACACTATGTACATACCCTATATCTGTATACAATATACTATGTACTATGTTCTCTCTCTGTCTCTCTCGATATTGTGATATAATGCTGCCATTCACTATAGTGTATGTATATATATATATGAAGGGGGGATTTGCAAATATAAGACAAATGTTGCAAATTATGACCAATGGTGAGTGAACATCTTTTGCCAGACACAGATCATTTTGTTGGGTAAAGTCACTTTAACTACACGTCCATAATATTTTTAGGAATATTATGGATTCTTCTTATATGGTGCTGATTTTCATATTTCTGTATGCACCAGTTTTATTTAAACAATGTATTTACTTGGCTCATTATTTGAATGTTTTGTTGACATTAGACAGGATGTTATTGAAATCCCTGATCTTGAAGGGATTTGATGTTCTTTAGTAGTGATGGCATTTTTAACCTCTGCTAAGTAGAAGCCTACTAATTATAAGTGGAGTCACGAACAATTTTATCAGATATTAATTGGCTTCAAAGACCAAAACCGCCACTGAGACTCTCCTTTGTACTGATGCCAGAGACTCCAATCAGAACTTGTTTCTGTAGCTTACACATGCAACACCATAAAAGTAATAATATAATAAGGACTGACAATGACACGAGATACATTTTTTTGAGTTTCAGCCAGGGGCAAACTGCCTGTTGCTTTCCATTCAAAAGAGCTTTGCTCCTTTATCTCCTCCGTCATGACCATCCTCAAAGATATAGAAAGAGCAATTACTGCAGAGGTTTTTCTTTCAGCTCACTGAAAGTACTTTAACCTTGGCTACCATGTCAAAGATGGCAGCATTAGTAATAGAAAAAGTCTTAAGTCTGCAGCTCATATCCACCTTTTACATCAGTCAATCCAGATCATTATTCAAGAGTCAGTAGGCACCAAGAACCCTTTAATTAACATAAAAAGTCAATGTCATCATATTGCTTAGAGAGCCTGAACTGATTCAGATTTACCACAGTTCTTGGCTTTGGAAAATACAGAGCTTCCTAATACTGTAAAATATGCATTCCCAATCCTACTCTCTGGGAGATATGTCAGGGTATCCCCATTCACTCATAATATGCATAATTTATTTAGATATTTGAGTAATAACCACATTCTTCACAAGTGAATTTACGTTAGAAATTTAGTATCGACCATCAACTTCTTCCCGTCATCACTGAAACCTCATATGCTACCATTCATTCTAAACACACACAAACACACACATAAAGTTACTCATTATAGGTCCTTTATCACAGTGTCTGGGAAATACTGTGCAGTAAGCTCCAGAATCTGTAACTTTTACCTGGCTATATCAAGGTCCTTCCTTGGTTCAATGTTTTTTCCCTGAGCAGATAACAATAGTCTGAATATTGCAAATTTTTATGTGTTTCTTTGTTTCTATAATACAGCTTCTATTTTAATATATTTGAGAATTATAGCCTCCTGCTCACATTATATATTCTAAGACTTTTGTCATGCTAGATTATGAATGTTTAGCACACAATATGGATTTCAAAATATCTTTTCTGGCTTTTGTTCTATAGTACCTTGCAACCTTTTCCAAATCTCTTTGTTCATAATGGGTTTGATTGTATTGTCTAGATCTTACTACTGCTACCAATTTGTATTTCCACCATGTTGAAAAATGTTAATACCCCTTTCAGATTGATGTGATGGCCAGACACAGATAAAAATCTGTGTAAAGCAAATAAGGCTTACTTATCTAAAATATGCAAAAGGAAACCAGCATAGAGGGTAACAAAAGCCAAAAACAGGATTAAAGTTTTCCAACTGCTTTGGTGCAGACATGTAGATGATAAATCTGCGTGGAACTTTTGAAATCTTACTTGCCTCACTTTACTCGCAGAGTTTTATTCATTAGGCTAATGGCACAATTTCTCAACTTCAATTCTATTCTCATTTGGATCAGATAATTGTTGTTGTGTGGGGTTTTTTTTTGTATATTATAAGATGTATAGTAGTATACCTGGTCTCCAACCACTACATGCTAATAATCCACTTTACTCTCAGTTGTGACAATTAAAAATGTCTCCAGAATTCACCAAATGTACTTTTGGGTAAAACTCAGCACCTTTGTAAGAACCACCATGCTAAAGTAATTTGGATGGCAGTCTTTCCTTGGTATATGCTAAAGACCAAGCACATGCATGTCATGCTTCTCATTAATTTTAGAGCTAAGGATTGCACAATATGGGAAGAGGGCATAGTGCTTTTTGGCTTAAGCACACTTTTCATGTTTCTGCCCTTAACATTTCTAGCAATTCAGATAGAAAACACTTCTGAATTCAACACCATTAGTAATAGAATAGAGAACAGAAGTCAGTTATTAGGAGATTATGCTTATAACCTATAAGGTCTATGCTTTTTTAAATAAATAATGGAAAGTCTAAAGAGGGCAGCTGCTTGGAGTGATTAAACAACTCAATAAGATTAAGGCTGGCATAGCTGAATTTCTCTGCAACTATTCATAATTCAATTTCCCTAAAACTGTACTGTTGCTGTAGCCTTATATACACCGTATTTGTTCAAGGCAATAAGAATGTAGAAATGTTTCACATAAGCTCTCTCAGTTATTACTATGATAAAAAATTCTTTGATAGAGAAATGACATCAGCAAGAAGGCAGAATATCTACCCTTCTTTTTCCCCATGAATACACCTATTTCAACATTACTATATGGACCAATTCCATTTGTGAGAGATCCAGAAAGAAATATAGAGGCACCTGCACCTCTGACAAGTGTGAATCCAGCCACAATTAAGATGGTAGAAAAAAAGTGGACAATCTTCTCATTATAATACTTCATCAGCACAGCAACACAAGAGTGGTTAACTCAATAAATTTCTGCAAAAACCAATGTCCTGGAGAGTTTTTCTGATTTTTTTTGTTTTTTAGTAGTTTCATAGTTTGAGGTCTTAGATTTAAGTCTTCAATCCATTTGTATTTGATTAATGTAAATGGTATATGGTAATATATAGGGATCTAATTTCATTCTTCTGCATAAAGATGTCCAGTTTTCCAAGCAACATTTATTGAAGAGACTATCCTTACCCCAGTGTATGTTCTTGGCACCTTTGTCAAAAATTAGTTCACTGTAGATGTATAAATTTATTTCTGGATCTCTATTTTGTTTTGTTTTGTCTATGTGTCTATTTTGATGCCAGTACCAGGCTGTTTTGGTTACTATACTGTAATACTAATTCTGTAGTATAATTTGAAGTCAGGTAATGTGATTTCTCCAGTTTTGTTCTTTTGCTCAGCATAGATTTGGGTATTCTGGGTCTTTTTTGGTCTCATACACATTTTTAGCATTTGTTCTATTTCTGTGAAGAATGCCATTGGTATTTTGATATGGATTGCATTGAATCTGTAGATTGCTTTATGTAGTATGGACATTTAAAAAATATTGACTTTAAAAGGTTAATAATAAACTTTTAGTTAGACTAAGAAAAAAGAGAGAAGACTCAAATAAATAAAATCAGAAATGAAAGAGAAGACGTTAGAACTGATGCCACAGAAATAAAAAGGATCATAAGAGACTGTTATAATCAAATATACAGCAACTAACTGGATAAGCTGGAAGAAATGGATAAACTCCTGGAAACATACAATTTACCATGACAGAATCATGGAGAAATATAACATATGAACACAATTATAACTAGAAAGGTTATTTAATCTGTAATTAGAAACTTTCCAACAAGAAAATCCCCAAACCATATAGTTTCACTGGTGAATTCTATAAAATATATAAAGAATTAAAGTTAGTCCTTCTCAAGCTCTTCCAAAAAATTGAAGAGAAGTGAAAGATTCCAACTTTATTTTAATGAGGCCAATATTATGCTAATATCAAAGACAAAGACACTTCAAGAAAATAAAACTACAGGTCAATATTCCTAATGACCGTAGACATACAAATGCTTAACAAAATGCCAAAAAACAGAATTCAATAGAAATTTTTTAGGAAACATACACCATTACCCAATAGGATTCACCCCTATGATGCGGAATCACTCAATGTGATATACTACATTAAAAAAAAAGGAGAAGAATTGCATGATCATCTCTATTAATGCAGAAAAGCATTTGACAAAATTCAATGTTCTTTCATGATAAAAATTCTCGACAAATTAGGTATAAAAGGAACTTACCTCAACACAGTAAAGGCCATATATGAAAGGTTCACAGGTTAACATGATATTCATTGGTGAAAAACAGAAGGCATTTTCCCTAAGATCAGGAACAAGACCAGGATGTCCATTCTTGTCACTTCTATTCAACATAATACTGGAAGCTATTGCCAGAGCTATTATTCAAAAAAAAAGGAACTAAAAGATATTTCAACTGAAAAATAAGTAAAGTTATTCTTTGCAGATGACACACTCTTGTATGTAGAAAAACTTAAATATGTTACAAAAAACTTTTAGAACAAATAAATAAATTCTGTAAAGCTGCAGAATAAAAATATCAGTTATGATTGTATATACTAATGAATTATCCAAACATGAAATTTAAAAAATAAAACAATTGTATTCACAGTAGTTTGGAAAAGAATAAAATACTTCAGAGTAAACTCAAGCAAGGAGATGACTTTTCACTGAAAAGTGCAAAACACTGATGACAGAAACACAAAAAGCCAGAAATAAATAGAGACATCTGTTCATGGATTAAAATAATTAATACTGTCAAATGTTCATACTAGCCAAAATAATCTACAGATTCAATGCAATGCCTATCAAAATTTCAATGACTTTTTTACAATTTTTTTTTAATTATAAGATGTGTGTAGAACCACCAAGGACATCGAAAGGCCAACTCAATCTTGAAAAATAAAAATGTCTTAGTGTAATTTGGCTGCTATCATGAAAATGCCACACACCTGGTAGCTTATAAACATAATTTATTTCTTACATTCTGGAGATTAGAAAGTATTTATTAAAGTGCTGTCAGCTTTGATGTCTAAGTGTCTGGTGAAGAGCCAGTTCCTGTTTCAGGGATGACTGTCTTCTCAATGTATCCTGACTTGGCAGCAGGGGTCAGGAAGCTTTCTGGGGTCCCTTTTAAAAGGGCACTAATCTTATTCATGAGAGCTCTTGTATTGGGGATTAGGTTTGAATGTATGCATTTTGAGGAAACGTATTTAGTCTATAGTATTCTATCTCTGGTGCCTCAATATTAATGTTCTTCTCACATGCAAAATACATTAATTCCATTCCAGAAACCCCAAAAGTCTTAACTCATTGCAGCACCAACTTTAAAAAGTCCAAAGTCTCTTCCAAACATCATTCAAACCAGATATGGGTGAGATTCAGGGTAGAATTTATCTTAAGGCAAATGTCTCTCTACATGTGAATCAGTAAACCCAAACAAGTTACATACTTCCAAAATGCACTTGTGGGACAGCCATAGTATAGACATTCTCATTGCAAAAGGGAGAAATAGGGGGGAAAAAAGTTAGTAATAGGTCCCAAGTAAGTTCAAAAACAAATGAGGCAAATGATATTAAATCTTAACGCTACTCTCATGACTTGCCTGGGCACCACTATAATGGGAACTCTTTGTGATGGCCCCAATCCTTTATATCTGGATGGACACAGCAATGACCCCAACCACGACTCTCCTGGGTGCATCCCATACCACAGTTTTCTGTGAGCTGGCAGTGACAGCACTGCACAGATACTGCCAAAGTTTCCTGTTTATGCTCTCCAGAGGAGCAGCTACCAGGGCCCATCCCACACTGAGACCCATCAGAGCCCCACCTGGGGCAGAAAAGAAACCTGCAGCTGGAGTACAGGGAGTAGAGCATGTGATATCAGGAAGTGTGGAATAACAGAGACTGAGGGCAGGCAGCTGCTGTTGGCCCCTACTTTGAAACTGCTCTGCCTCCAGGTTTTTGCACTCTGTGATAAGAGGGGCAGCCCTGATGATCTCTGTTGCCTTCCTAGTCATTCTTTGATTGTCTTGTAGATTAGCTCCTGGCTTCTGTTGAGAAGGGTGATCCACACTAATATCCTTATCAAGCAATTGCTAACTTACTCCTTAGTGTTCCCTCATAAACTGGCTTCTCATTCTTTTCAATATAAACAGGCTGAGAATTCTGCTTCCTTTTTGATTAGCAATTCTATCTTCAAGTCATTTTCTCTTATCTTTTACTATCAGCAGTCAGGAGAAACGAAGATACACCTTCAACATTTTGCTTAGAAATAGAGTCATCTAAATATCCAGTTTTATTGTTCATAAGTTGGACCTTCAACAAAACACTAGCAAACAAAATTCAGCCAAATTCCTTGCCACTTTATGATAATGATGGCCTTTCCTCTACCATTCAATAACATACTTCTTATATTCATCTGAGACCTCATCAGATTGCCTTTACTGTCCATATTTCTATCAACAACCTAATAATCTCCCAAAGGACCCACCTCCAGCTACCATTTCACTGGGGACCAGGCTTCAACATATAAATTTTTAGGGGAAACAAACATTGTCTGTAGCAAAGAAAAAAGTTGGAGGCATTACATGTCCGGATTTCAAGATTTATTACATAGTGACATTAATTAAAATTACAAGTTTTTGGCTGGGTATGGTGGCTCACGCCTGTAATCCCAGCACTTTGGGAGACTAAGGCAGGTGGATCACAAGGTCAGGAGTTCCAGACCACCCTGCCCAACATAGTGAAACCCCATCTCTACTAAAAATACAAAAATTAGCTGGGTGTGGTGGCAGGCACTTGTAGCCCCAGCTACTCGGGAGGCTGAGGCAGGAGAATTGCTTGAACCTGGGAGGCAGAGTTTGCAGTAAGCCAAGATGGTTCCACTGCACTCCAGCCTAGGTGGCAGAGTGAGATTCCGTCATAAATAAAAAATAAAAAATAAAAAAAATTACAAATTTTGAGAAAAAGACAGACTTAC
This sequence comes from Homo sapiens, assembly GCF_000001405.40. NCBI lineage: Eukaryota > Metazoa > Chordata > Mammalia > Primates > Hominidae > Homo > Homo sapiens. Next base: position 64,936,814 of record NC_000004.12, read on the forward strand.
AGACCAATAGAATAGAATAGATAGCTGAGAAATATCCCATATATTATATATATAAATATATACACACACATACATATATATATACACACACAAACATATATATAAAATAAACTGACCTTCAACAACACTTCAGCAATGCTTCTAAGGATACACAGTGGAAAAAGAATAGTCTCTTCAACAAATAGTGTTAGAAAAACTGAATATTACACACATCCTACACCATGCATAAAATCAACTCAAATTAATTAAATACTTAAGTGTAAGACCTGAAACTGTAAAACTCTTAGAAGAAAAACATAAGAAAAACACTTTAAGACATTGGCTTTAGCAATTATTTCTTGAATAGAACACCAAACATATGGCCAGTAGAAGGTATCTGAGTTACCGATGGTGAATCTGTATGGGAATGCAGCTACCTCAATTTTTTCCTCCTCAGAAGAAATAATTTGACTGAGTTGCATATGGCAGAAAAAGAGACCAAGGCAAGTTTCAGAGGAGGGATGTGTATGTTTATTTAAAAAAGCTTTAGAGCAGAAAAGAAAGGAAAGAAAAATACACATAGAAGAGACCCAAGTGGGCAACTTGAAGGTCTAATGTGGTGTTTAATCTTGATCCCAGAACCATATAGACTGACCCCTTTCCCAGGATGCTTCCCTTAGGATGGGCTGCCTGCATGTGCAGTGCCCTCCTTACCCTTGGGAGGAGAGTGTGAGCAGTGTGTTTAGGAAGTTATATGCATGCCCATCTGAGGTTTTCTTCCCTTTTCTGGTGGAGTGTCCCCAGAAGGTCATACCTGCCATTTTGTCTCTTACGCACATGCCCAGGAAGTTGTTTCTCCCTGGAATCTGCATTCGATTAACATCTTAGTGCAACAGGTGTGGGCCATCAGGAAATAGCCTCTCCCTGGTGCCAGCTGCCAATTTATCACTTTCAGAGAGGCAATGTGATGATCGCTGAACCATCATCTGATATTCCTTGTGGGTGGGGGACAGCCGTCTCCTGCTCCACTCATGCTCGTCTCACTACCTGTAAAAAAATCCCAAGTAAAAGAAGAAGAAGAAAAAAAAGACAAGTGGGACTACGTCAAACTAAAAAGCTGCTGCTCTGCAAAGAAAACAATCAATAGAGTGAAAAGAGTGTCTATTGAATGGAAGAAAGTATTTATAAACCATATATTTCATAAGGGTGAAATCTAAAATATATAAAATAGTTTACAGAACTTAGCAAAAAACAAATAATGAGCAAAGTACATGAATGCACATTTATCCAAAGGAGACATACGATTGGCCAAAATTTGTATAAAAAGATGCTCAACTTCATTGAGATAGTTTGGATATTTGCCTCCTCTAAATGCCTTGTTGAAATTCGATCTCCAATATTGAAGGTGGAGCCTAGTGGGAGGTGGGGACATACCCCTCATGGATGGCTTAGTGCCCTCTCAGCAGTAAATAGTTGCCACTCTAGTAGTTCACATGAGATCTGATTGTTAAAAAGAGTTTAGGACCTCCCTCCTTACTCTGTCTCTGGGTTTCCTCTCTTGCCACATGATACATTGGCCCCCTTTTCTTTCCATCATGAGTAAAAGCTTCCTGATGTCCTAATCAGGAGCAAATATTGGTGCTGTAATTTGTGTACAGCCTACGGGACTGTGAACCAAATAAGACTTTTTTCTTTATAAATTTTCCAGTCTCGGGTATTCCATTATGGCAACACAAAAGGGAATAATCCAGTCACTAATCAAAAAAAAATGCAAATCAAAACTATAATAAGACATTATCTCATACTTGTTACAATGGTAATGATTTAAGAAAATGACAACACCATAATATCCATACGTGTATGTGAAGAAGTTGGAACCATTGTACCTTGTCAGTGGGAATGTAAAATGGTGCAGCCACTATGAAAAACAATATAGAGATTTCTCAAAACAATTAACATCAGACTTACCTTATAATCCATCAATCTCTATTATTTATAATTTTCCAACAGGTTTAAAATTATCATTTTGAAGAGATATCTGCATTCCCATATTCATTGTAGCATTTTTTATAATAGCCAAGATATAGAAACAATCTAAATGTCCAGGGCAGGTGACTGGATAATGAATATATGACATATTTATAAAGAAATATTATGCAACTATAAAAAGAAGTAAATCCTCCTGTATTAGTCATGGTTCTCTAGAGGGACAGAACTAATGGAATATGTGTGTGTGTATATATATATGTATGTGTGTGTATATATATATAATATATAATAGATTATTATATATTTATTTTATTTATATAAATATGTATTTATATAAATATACATTTATTATATATTAGATATCTATTTATATTTTATTATATATATTTATATTTATATATAGGGGAGTTTATATATATATTATACACACACACACACACACACACACACACACATATATATAAAGGGGAGTTTATTAAGTATTAACTCACATAATCACAAGGTCCCACAATAGGCCATCTGCAGGCTGAGGAGCAAGGAAAGCAGTCCGAGTTCCAAATCTGAAGTACTTGGAGTTCGATGGTCTAGGGCGGGAAGCATGTAGGGAGAAAGATGTAGGCCAGAAGACTAGGCCAGTCTCTCTTTTCACATTTTTCTGCCTGCTTACATTCTAGCTGTGCTGGCAGCTGATTAGATTGTGCCCATCCAGATTAAGGGTGGGTCTGCCTTTCCCAGCCCACTGACTCAAATGTTAATCTCCTTTGGCATCCCCCTCACAGACACACACATTATCAATACTTTGTATCCTTCAGTCCACTCAAGTTGACATTATTAAGCATCACACCTCCCATATGCACCAACATGGATGAAACTTGAGAAAATTTTTGCTGAATAAAATGAGCTAGTCACAGAAGGACAAATACTGCATTATTCTCCTTATAGGAGGTAACAAGAATGGTCAAACACAGACGCAGAAAGTAGAGTTGTGGTTGTTAGGAGATAGGGAGGAAGGGAAATCGAATGTTTCCATTAAATGGACATAAAATTTCAGTTATGTAAGATGAATAATTTCTAGATAACTTCTGTACAACATTGTGCTTATTTATAGTTATCATACTGTATAATACATTGAAAATTTTGGTAAGAACATAGATCTCATGTTGTTTGTTCTTACCATAATTAAAAAATATTTATAGAAATCCCAAGTATATTTTGACTTCTGGCTTCCAGGAAAGCTGGAATTGAATTATTAATCCTATAGTGAAGGAAAACAAGAAGGTAAGAGATAAGGTCTTATTGAAAATTTATGTTAACAAGAACATAAGTATCTGCTATGAGAAGAATTATTAATTCTCTCTCTCTCTCTCTCTCAACAGTGTCATCACTCTGTTGCCCAGGCTGCAGTGCAGTGGTACCATCACATCTCACTTAGACTCAACCTTCTGGGCTCAAGTGATCTTCCCACCTCAGTCTCCTGAGTAGTTGGGCCACCATGCCTGGTTAATTTTTGTATTTTTTTGTAGAAACGGGTGTATTCTTCTATCAGGGTTTACTACTAATTATTTCCTACACTTCATATATCACCTGTAAGTTCAGAATTAGTTGAGAATTAAACCAGTAGAGTAAAAGACAAGGATATCAAAATATTAGTATTAATACCAACTAAGACTGGTTGGAAATTGTGGATTAGATATAGGTCACAGTTAAATATTATTGTAATATTCATTAATAATTAAATGACTGAACATAGGAAATCCAACCAAAAGAGATTTTGCATCTACAGAGAAGATGTACTCAACCTAGAATTATTTTTGCCCTTTTTTTTATTCCTATTACCAAGGGCAGGGAGAAAAAAAATGAGCTTCTTGTCTCACCCCCAGAAAGATATAGAATTTGAGCTACCAATCTAATGAAAGCAGTACGATAATATAAATGATCATGGAGTGTAAACTTACCAATACAAATGTTGGGCCAGACGCGACCAACTTTACAAGAAAAAAAAAAAAAGTGGTTTCCTCTACACCAGAGAAGACAGAATCAGCTAAGGCCAAATTTAGCCTGGCCAAGGCCAGTGAACCTAATTGCCAAAGATCTGTGTGAGTCATAAGATGAGAAGTTATACAAAAAGTAATAAGTCAGCTTTAGTAGTGTTAGTGGAGGATAAACTGTTTTCTTTGTAAACTCACAGTGACTAGTATCCCAGTAAAGGTGTTCAGCACATTTTTTTACTCTTAGTGGCAAGGTCAGAGATCATTGTCCTGTTGAAAGAAAAGTTTTATACCACTATGGAAACAAGAACATTCTTGGAAGATGATTAAAATGATACATGTCTGAAATTAGGAATCCATTGACAAGAATGTTAACAGTAAATCCAAAAATATAAGTGTAGCTTTAAGAGAGTTTAAAAAAGAAAAATAAATAAACCAAACATAAACCATATTAATCTTTCAAATTTGAAATAAAAACATTTTCATATCCACCTAGAACATCCTTCAGACAGTATCTTCAAAATAACATTCCCTAAGATTAATCACTTTTAATTGCTTATTTCCTAGGAAGTTTTTCCAGATAATTAAGTTGCCAAATTTCTCAGGATTTTTAGGTTTCCAGAAATTGTACTTAGTACAATAAAAAAGGAAATTTCAGGAACTTGAACTTTAGGACTGTGGAGATAATTTAAAAATCTAAGGAAGGGGAGAATGAGTGTTGCTCTGAAAATTTTTTGGACATAAATGAATAATTATTAGACAAAGAACAAGGATCAATTATGTCACATTCATCTAGTGACTGTCAATCTGCATTAAGAAGGTCTCCAGTGTAGTTTGTTGTCTTGAATGTTGATTCAGCATTTATATGTAATCTTGATCCTGAATCAATTCTGATAAAGCAGAATTGATTTTGGATTTGCCCTTATATAAAAGAAACATGAGATTAGTGTTGGTGAAAAATCCTGCTTTTCAGCATGTCATCCTGAGCTTGAAGCAGGTCTCTTTTCAAAACTATGCCAAATCTTAGCACAGTGGATTTTTAACTTATAAGGTCTTATTTTAATTAAAGTTGAAAAAGAGCTTTCTCTTTTTAGATTTCCTTGTCTGATTGATTGTTCATTGTGTAACTACCACATAGAATTAGTTATGAAATTTTTCAGGCAATGATTGAATTCATTTCACCCTTTCTTACCTTCTAACTCTAATGTATAAATTCTTTATTGAAGATTAAGACTATGGAAATGTACATTTATCTAGTAGCTAAATAAAGTGTGCATGCAGTTCTACCACCTCCTAAGTACTCACCTTGGTGAACTCAACTTGTCTCATGTTAAGAGCCATCTGTTAACCCCCTATCACTAAAGGAAACCTCAAAATATTTCATAGTCATATCTTTGGAAATAGCTTGAATGTATATCCTTTTAAAACTCCTGTTATTATTTCAGACTTACCACAATCAAGTTTAAGAATGCAAAATAACGAAAACTATATGCTCCTATCAGAGTCATATGTTAACAAACCAAGAGAATAAATAGAACAAAAATAGAGATTTATACTTGTAAAATTAATACATAATAATATATCTAAAAGTGTGTGTTAAAGATGGACTTTTATCTATGGTAAAACATTTAACTGAAACTTGTGAAAAAAAGTAAAATTCATGCCTCATGCATTATACCAAAATTCTAGATAAACTACTTCTTACCTTAGAAAAGAAGGATAAGCTATTATATAAAAATATCAGCAAAATATTTTTTATTTAGGAGGAAGAATAACTTCTTCATTTTGAAAATAGAAGTTGAAAACAAAAACTAGTATAACATGTGAACGTACACCAAACAAAATTTAAAAATCAAAAAAAATAAATCTATAAAGTCTATTTAAAAATTAAAAATCAATGCCTGGTAACAAAATTTATGAAGTTAAAAGGAAATGATAAATTTAAAAAATTGACGTTTAATAACAACAATGAATGACCTCAATTTAAATGCAGAATTCATAAACTTACAAAAAAGAATAAATGCACTAATTATAAATTGGAAAAACAAGCTAAACAGAAGATTAATTTGAGAAATAAAAGCTGCAGAAAAATGTGTTGAGCTTTAATTATAGGACAAGGACTATGCTAATGGCTTAACGTGAATTGTTTTACACTGTCCTCAGAAAAACTCTATCATTGCTACTAGTGTATCATTATTAGCATTATTGACATCACTAATTCTCATAATTATATAATTCATAAAAATGCAGGTAGGCAATATATTTTGTTCCTAACAAAGTAATTAAAAAGTTACAAATATTTTTAAATAAGTAAGTGTTTTTTTCATGTATCTGATTGATAAAACACAAAAATTATCCAAACTTCATTTTGAGGTAAACTTACACATGAGGAAAGCATTCCTTCATTTTCATTGTTTCTGATTGTATATAAACTTTCTAGAGTCTCATTTGAGTGAGTAGAAAAAGATGGGCTGGGAATTTGCATATTACAACCATAAAATATTTATCAAAATAAGAGAATCTTTGCAGACAAAGAGTACTCCTAAAAAAATAGAGTTGAAATATTTACATATTATAACATGAAAAATTTGAGACTTGAGATAACCTCCTCTTAGTAGCATTTTCCCTGAATTTACCAAGCGTATCATTGTCTATACAGAGAATATTTATCGATTAAAAGATTATCATCTACAAAAAGGCAATTAGTCTAAAATGAAAGCTTAAATAATATTGTCACCAATTATATTTTTTAAAAACTAGGCTATATAATAGACTAAGTATATATATAAAACAATAATAATTAGAACCTATTTTTTAAATTATTTTCAGAAAAAGACTCAAGGTATAGTATTAGACACATTTAAGTGTAAGAAAATGATTAAAGTATATGACTATGTGCTAAGAATAGTTACATTGCTTTTATTTTTTGATAATCATAAAATAAACATGAAGGTTATAAATTTTGCTTTCATGTGAATTTGTAATTTTTTACAAAATATTTTTTGAAAATTATTTTTGAATAAAATATTTTATGAGTACATCAAAATAATAAAACAATCATTGATAATTATAATATATATTTTTAAGTATAATATTTATTATTTTTAATTTTTCCTTTTGCTATCAAACCTACTCTGTTTTGGGTGATTAATTATGCAGTATATCATTTCACCCACTAAAAGCGATATTTTTCTGTCCATCTGGGATGAAGTTCAAGGTTGATGTATGCAATATGACATAAAAGGCACAGAATCAACATTTATAAAATTATATAAATAACTGTGATAGTTCTTTTACTATTGTGTTTAACAACATGTTTGTATGTATACTAGTTTTTGGATAGTATATGTTAAAAATGTTTTATTCTTCTTGAGTCACGCTGTTCTAAGAAAGCAACAAAAGTCGGTTGGCCAAAACAAAACTTTTATTATACAGACATAGATAATTACAATATATCATCCCAGAATTATATTGATGTCAGCTATGCTCTACAACAATAGCAATTTGCATCTGTAGGACATTTAAGTGGTTTAAACATTTTATCTACACACTCCTTGATTTGGCCTTCCAACTCTGCAGGAGAGAGAGCACATTTGACTCATCTTTAGTAAATTGAGATGGAGTTTAAACTAATTGCTCAATGTGAGCCTTGAGTTGGATTTAGCTTAGGTCTTCTTTTTTCAAATTAATTGGCTCTATCTTTACAACACATACTTTCTCACTGTTTCCTAACAGTTAAATAGAGGAAGTTTTCAAAATTTCTAACACCAAAGTTACAGTTTTTGTACTTGTGATTGAAGGTTTTATCATGTGGGCCATAATTTCTCATTAAAACATGGATGAATAAAAACTATAATTAAGATCTATTTTTCTTCTTTCCTGAGGTTCTCTAAGTATTTTCTTTTATCGATATATGTACAGCTACTTAAGACACTCATAACAGTGCAGTCTTTTGAGAATTCTGTCATTGAAATTGACATAAGAAAAAATGTTTTTAAGTTTGATATTTATAATATAATTTATTTGATGATACTACCATTCTATGTAAAAATAAATTAATGAATGGCACAACTATTCTTATTGAGACTAGGTGTTCTTTCCTTCATTCATCCTTTGTCCACCTTTGGAGTACTTTTGACTTCTACCTACAGGGTCAGCCCAGTCATGGTCTGTGTGACCAAAGTGATCACCAGCAGAAGGGATTTAGTAATGCCCAATATTCAGGAACTTGATTTTAAAATAATATTTGAACATAACATATCCCTGCTTATACTTTGTCTTGAACTTTGTGACTTAGGTCTGATTATTTGGTTTTTACTTCACTTGTCTGTTTTGAAGCTAGCCATTTTTGTATTTGATACTTTTTCCCTTTGTAACCTGTCCAATTTTTCAAGATCCCTTGATTTTTAAATTCAGCTAGGGGGTTTCATTTTAGTCCTGATATTAATATCTTCTGATTAAGAAAAAAGCCATTATGTTCTGGTGTGAAGTATGTATAATATAAAACATTCAAATAATAAATATAGTGGCATAAGTTTACATTTCAATGATGACAGAAGCAGAAATTGTTCATTATTTAACTCGTTCTCTGTCTTTAATTTTAATAGTAACATGCCAGGTACTGTTCTACGTGCCTCACACGAAATAGATATTTTAGTATTTATAATAACCCTACAAGGTAAGTGCTAATATTCTGAATTTACAGAAAAGAAAAGGGTGGCATAAAAGGTTAAGTAAATCAACAATGTTACATTTCTAATAAATTGCAGGGCTGGGATTCAGAGCCAAGCAGTCTGACTCTGGAATCAATGAATCTCTTAATTCCTATTCTGTATATGTTCTACCTGACAGCAACTACTTCTCTTCTCTGTGAAGTGTTTCCTATCAAATAAGGATCAAAATCAGTACTCATTACCATGGAATCAAGTTGTGTCTGCAGATTTTCTATAGGTCACCCTACTTCTCAATCAGAAGATTGTTAAACAAATTATTAATTTATTAACTTGTATCTTTTCCAAACTGGAACCCACGATTAATCAGTTCTACTTTTTTGACACTGCTGAATTTGTATTTATCATATAATCTTTCTTTCTTAAATGTCACACTGCTTTCAATAGGACCTAAATTAGATACAGCAAACCATTTGACAACTAAATTAAAACTAATCTATGCATGTATTCTTATTCAGCCTTAAGTATAAAATATGACTCTCTTTTATTGCTGTGTCTTGATAACTGTGTTTTATAAATGTATGGGTGCATTCTGTCCTGCTTTATATTGAGCAAGTTTTGTAACTTTGTAAATTAAGACTACCTTGAATGATGAGTTATAAACCCTGGTGAAATCTACACCATGCACACAGAAGCAAGCAACAGTCTTTCTATAGCATATATATATAATTTCTATAGCATATATAACATTTCTATAGTGATCTGTAATTACTCGTTATGACCTCTTCATTAACCCACACGATTTCAGTGGAGAGTATTATGTTATTTGACATTCCCAGTCAATTTTAAGAGTCAATCTCCTTTTTTCCCTTTGATAGAACACTCTATAAAATGTATTAGAAAGTTAACTGAACATAATTTTATCTTTCTTTGAATAACTAAGAGTCAACAATAGTAATTTCTAGTATTATCACTTGATGTTATGCTGTAATGTCTTCAGAAGATATCAAGTGATTGTGGGCTTAGATTTTCATTTCATTCAAAGTTTTAGGGCATCTGAGGCTCTGTAACAGAGGCTTCTTTTCTGGATTCATTTAGATCTCTTGTCTTCACTGACATCTCTCATCATTGCAGCTTAGTCGGCTGATCAAGAACCTCAGCTGTTGTAATCTGTAATTACCTCTACTTTTTATTTTTTCTTATTTTACTTTTCACTCAATTTTCTATTCCTTTCATTACCAACTTTGAATTTTATGGAAAAAAAATGAGTTTGTACTGCTAACTCAACAATGAATGAAGTAGAAATGATGAGTAGGTTGTGAAGTCTCAGTTCTGTGTGCTCTATAAAATCACAAAGTCTGTGATTTTATAATTCCTTGCCACTTATAACTTCTCATCTCTCTCGCTTTTCTCACCTTACTACAGACAACATTTAACCCAAGTGATTACTGCCTTAATTTGGAAACTATTGTTCATGCATCCATGACTCCAAACCATTAGTTTTGCCAAGTATTGAGAGAGCACAGTGTAATGGCTTGATCCATAAGCTCTGAAGCAATGATCCTAGCATTTGAAACTAAAGTTTTCCACTCATTGTGTGATTTCAGAAAAAATTTTTTCCTCTCAGTTTCCAAATCTGTAAACTGAAGATAACGATGAGGATGATGTTAGCTAACTTACGTTGATGCTTGATTAAATAAGTTAAACATGATAATGACTTAGAACAATGACTAGCACAGTAAGGACTATGTAAACACTAGTATTGACAGTTTCATACTCATTCCTCATCTTGTCTGTTTGCTATTTAAATTTTTATAGTGTTACAGTGTTATATTGAATGACATTTTTCTGTAACTGTACACTTTCCCTAGGGGACATCATTAATCCATGATTTTAAATACCATTTATGTGCTTGCAACTCACAATGTTTTTTCTTTTACGATTTTATACCACAGTTCATGGGAGATTATCATCTTTGGTCTGTTCAAGGATTCTCCTCTTTGTTCACCTCATTCTCATTCCCAACAATAGGCAGTAATTCAATTATATTTAATGTGCAATTTGTGTATTTTACAAAATGTTTTATGTACATGTACCTCTAACTACATTTTATTGTGATACACATTTCATATCTCATTGTTTCTTACTTATTTTCTTTTCTTCCTACTAAATAGTACATTTAAGACCTATACTTATTTCTATGAATACATCTAGTTTGTGGCTTCTAATGGCTTCAATGTATGTATCTACCACTCGCATCCACCACATTACCTATGTTCTCTTTCAGTGATGAACAACAATGTCATCTACAACTCATGAACTGCCTGGATAAAGCTGCAATGAATATATGCATATATGTCTCTTTGTGGATGACTGAAGTAATTTATTTGGGATATTTAAGAAAGGAATTGCTAAGACTTGCTCCCAAATATGCCTCTACCATTTGCATTCTCAGCAGCAAAACACATTATAGACAGCATCTGGCAATCTCCAACTTTTCAGGTTTTGCCAGTCTAATAGACATAAAGTTTACTCTTAATTCACATCTTCTGGTTGCCAAAGATCTTGAGAATCTCTGCATGTGCTTCTGTCTTCATTTAAGGTATAATAAAAGTGTTAAAAATATAGAAACATTCCAGAAAAGGAAAACTCTTCAGCATAATGAATGATTTGAAATTTGGCACAAAACATTTAATGAACTTTAGATATATCAATGGAATATTATTTATAAACAATCATGAAAGTCGCTAGAATTACTCAAACCCAAGAACCCATAAACGCAGGTCCCAGTTACCAGTGAGAAAATATGACTAATTTCAAAGAAGATGGATACATGTCTACACACCATCTGCAACTTAATTTGTATTATTCTTCCTCCTGTACAGTTCAATAGTGCAGGTCTACAAGCATATATTCTATATAACCCAACAGTTAGACATTTCTAACTTCTAATATAAAACACAATTCATTTCCCAGTAACTTTTTATACTCCTGTCAGCAGCAAAAAAAGAGAACACCCTAAACACTGTTTATCTTCAAACAGAAACATTTCATGAATTATTGGGAAAAGAAAAATAATTTTAAAACTGTGATCCAAAAGAAACTACATGTTTAAAGTAGTCATGTAAATGCAAATGAACAGGCAAATAAAATATAATGCTAGTTTCATAAATTCGTTTTTCTTCCCTTACCACCCACTCTGCACTAATTCTTATTTTCTCCCCAGTTTTAGTTTTCAGATCTTTGAAAGAGCTCCCATGCTGGGGCATGAAGCTTAGCAATAAAAGAGAAACATGAAATAAAATTTGTCTTAGCTTTCAATTCAGACTCAAATGTAAAAACAAATCAATTTTTTTCCTAAAATGTATTATCTTTATAAATTTATAATACATTCAGTGCTGTCTCAATTCCCAGAATAACCAAAAAGTATTCTTTTTACTGTCAATTTTAACACCCCAGGTAATTTTATTAAAGCCTCGTGACTTTATATATTATCTGTATGCTGAATAATCTCAAATTTATATCTCTAGTCCCGGTTGGTTTCTAGGCCTTCAGACTCATAGATCCAACTGCTAATTCCACTTATTCACTTTCATCCATAACTTGCTTCCCAACTGTAAGACACAAAACAGAAATCTTGGTTTTCCTCCCTGAAACTCTGAACATCCTTTCTCTTTAACACTTCAAGAATCAGCACTATCCTCACCAATCTACTTGGGAAAAAAATTCTGGGAGTCATCTTTGACTTTTTTCTTTTCCTCACTCACTTCATTTTGTTCTTAAGAGAGCTTACTTTCCAATGATGAAGGAAATGAGGGAGTGAGTCACACAAAGATTTGGGAAAGACATTCCAGGGAAAGAGAACAGAAAATTCATAGGCAAAGATGTTTTTAAAATATTTTGCTTACCAATATTTAGTTCAGTGTCTGTCACATAGTATGCAAAAATTGTTGAGTGAGTGGGCTAGTCAATTTTTCTCAGACAAAATGATAAAATGTAGTTTTCTTAGCTTACTCAAAATTAAGACTAAAATGAATTTGGTGATTAATTTAGTTCTAGTTTAGTACCAAACCAGTGTTCTTTAGTTGTATATATTACCTAAATACATACAAACTTATTCATGATAAGAACTATTTGTCACTCATTTTACTCTACTCAGGAGAGACTATCTGCCTTTAACATACTAAGTGCTCAATAGATGTTTATTGAATAAAATAATTGGTCAATGAATTACACTTATGTTTACGTAACACTTTTGTATACAATCATACTTTTGTTTTAAATAGAGAAATCATTATAATCAATACAAAGAATCCTGAAATTGCAGAGCCAAAAAGTATTTAATGATTGTATTATTCAACATCTTCACTTTAGGAATGAGAAAACAGTTTCATGGATCTCCTTTCTTTCTCAAGTTTTCATAGTTATTGTCAGACTAAGAAGAAAATTCAGGCTGCCTAATTTCTAGACAAAAGTTCATGTCAATATTTTGCCAAATATTAATTTTTTTCTAAAGTTCAAACAAAGATGTATGAATATTCAGGAATCTTTTCTAAATGTTGAAAAATAAAAATCAGTTGTAACAGGGAAGCTTCAGTGAGGGTGATTTGTTTGGAGCTGCTATGAGATGCTAATTGTCTTAAATTATTATTGCCTGTGTTCATTATATTGAAAATGAATACAGGAGATAAAAATAAATAAAATTGAGCATCTGGGAGCATAATAATGAATGTTAGGCAGTTGAAAATAAGTGAGTGCTTCATTGACCAAACTGATTCATTTTGATAGTGTATACTAAAAAATATGACAGTAACAATTAAAGAGCATGGTGTAACCAATATATAATAAAAGAATTAAATGTGGGCAAGCAGTTACATAGTAGGATGTAGCTATATGAATTAATTATTGTATTTTACATTCATACTTCTAAGAATGTGAACAGAAAGATGTGCTAGAAGGGAACCATAATAGGGTAATCTTCCTGTCAGCCTTCTACCTTGAAGTCTTTCCTTCTAAAACTGAATCTATTTTTTCTCAAAACAATGCTGGCAACACATATAGTATCATCCCTAGTACTGAGAAAAAACAAGACGATTTCTTGTAATGCAAAAGTTAAAACAGACAGAAACCTATGACTGTCAAAATGGTGAAACTTAATCAGCATTTAGTGGGACTGTTAGCCATGGTGGTTCTGAATTTAAACCTGGAAAAATTAAGATGTAATAAATAATTATTTGCAAGTGGGGGTAACATTAAAGATACATTGACTTTTTTTTAATTTGCGTTTTTTCTGAAGGTGACATTTTTCCTGGTCAAACCAAGACTTGGGTCTGAGATTGGGATTATGGCATATTTAGATTATAACCATAAAAGTATAAAATAAAAAGTTAATAATAGGTATGTTCTAATATTCTTTGCAATATTTTGCTTCACAGCAATATGGTTAAAAGACAAGTTTTGTAGAAAACAGTAGAGAGCAAGTGTTTTCTAAGTGCCTTTAAAGAAGAGTCAGGACAGAAAAACTCAAATAAAATATAAATAGCATTTATAATAATAAAGATAGATAGACGATAGAGAGATAATATATGATATGCTTTTGACATATGAAGGTGACCAAAAGTTGAAACATAAAGCCTGACTCTTCTGTCTCTAGTGCATTGCCAGGAAAAGTTAGGGATGGAGGCAGAGGGGGATCATTTAATTAGGCTCTGTCTTAGTCCATTTAGTGTTGCAATAAAGTAATACCTGAGGCTTGGTTATTTATAAAGAAAATAGGCTTATTTGGCTTATTGTGCTGCAGGCTGTACAAGAAGCATGGCACCAGAATCAGCTTTTGGTGAGGGCTTTGGGCTGCTTCCACTCATCGTGGAAGATGAAAGAGCAGCTGGTGTGTATGGAGATCATATGACCGGAGAGAAGAAAGGAGTGAAATCGGGGAAGCATCAGGCTCTTTTTAATAGCAACTTTCCCAGGAACGAATAGAGTGAGAAATCACTCAACTCCCTCCCCTCAGGGCGTTAATCTATTCCTGAAGGGTCTGTTCCCGTCACTCAAACATCTTCCATTAGGCCTCACCTCCAACATTGAGAATCAAATTTCAAGATAAGATTTGAGGGGACAAATATCCAAAGAAGAGCAGGTTCTGATCTTGTGGCCACCGACTTTACAAGAGAAAGATGTGTTGGATAGGTTAAAGGTAACCCGGAAAACAGGAGAGTGTTTGTTCACATTTGCATGTGAATTTTAGAAGGAAATTACCCCATACAGCCTATTCCTCCTTAACCTTGGGCTGTTGCTGTGTCAAGGTCAACAAAGAAATACAGCATGATAGGACAAAGAGCTGGAATTTCATTTTCCTAGGTCCCAGGTTGGGGCTTGGAGAGTATCTGAGTTTAATTTGTAAGCTTGCCATGGGACCCATGTAGTAGGGAATAAAGGAAATCTGCAGCAGAGGCCTGGAAAATCAGCTAGACCAGGCACCCAGTATAGAGTATAGCAAAGTCTCAAATACCTAAAATGTTATGAACACCTAAGCTGAGGCAAATCGACAAGGATACCTACGATATCCAAGTGTTGCGGGGCAATTCTCCAGGGCATTTCTACATATCTAGTGACAACTTTGGTCTGGGAATTTTTTTTTCAAGAATGTTTGACAGGAAATTGCCTGGGAGGCTGGAAATAGTGTCTCTTTCTGTAACAGATAGTAGATTTATTTCCTAACCAGTATCATTATATATAGAGAATGCCTGCTTTCCACCCTTGATTCTATTCCCAGGTTATAATAATATTTATCTTTGGAGGAGAGGATGGGCATGTTTGACAGAAGACCTCTTATTAAATTGGAAAGTTTCTAACCTCAGTGATTGTCAACAATAAAGCAGACCCTCATGTGTACAAATAAAACTAAGATTGCCTCAGTATTGGCCCCAGGAGACCTGGGAGAGGTATAGAACAGATGCAGACATAAAGCTCACACTACTTTGCATTGAGTAACAAACTGTCTAAATCCATTGGAGCTAATTATTTTCTTACCAACTGAAACTATGGGAGTGTGGTGAGTGTCTTAGGGAGTACTTGACTGCTTGAAGCTAACCAAGCCAAAAGACCAAACCTGAAAATATACAAGCTGTAAATTTATCTACAAATGCCAGTATGACAAGTAGCAATCATACAGATATGAGATATTATCATGGAGACAAAAATATCTTCAGATGTTTACAGATCTAAGGACAACTCATTCTGCTACCATAAGCCCTGCTACTGTGAAGTCTTCCTCAAATAATGTTGTTACTGTGTAGTTGAGTAAAAAGTTGTTGAATTAATATGAGTTGTTATATCTGAGATCCCTGCAATTAAAGGTAAGTTCTGGACACTTATTAGTTGATTACTATTTACAAGTTGCTTGGAGATTCACTGTTCTCCTCTGTAAGATGTGGTTAAAGAATACATAGCTCACAGAGTCATTGTAAACAACAGATTTTTCAAGACAGCTATGGTATCTGTCGCCTTAGAGATTTTTTAAAAAATAAATTTGAATTTAAGCTGAAAAAAAAAAGATAAATTCTTAAGGTATAGTTAACCCAGCAACATGTACAATGATAATTATGTTCCTCTAATAATTAATTGTAAAAAATATTACAGAGTTAGCCTCCAGAAAGTGGATGCAAGCTTCTCTATTTGAAGGACACAGGCTATTCTCAGAGACTAGTTGGTTATTGTCTCCTCAGTCCTTAGTGCAGTTCCTAGCACACAAGCAAGCCTCAACTGTATAAGGGAAAGTAATTGTGAAAGTAGGAATGGGCAGATTCCTGGTTAAATGATCAAGTGAAGGTTTTATGGTATTTTCTCTTTATTTAAAATAGTTTATCTACCTGCAGTGTAATGAGACAGTATTTATTTAAAATAGTTTATCTACCTGCAGTGTAATGAGACAGCGTAATGAGAAGGGGTCCTTGGAAATACTCCAAATGACCTGCACACTGGGAATGCACACTGGGGTGGACACACAGAAGTTCACACCCTTTGTACTGGGGAGGAACTGGCCCCTCCTCTTCTTGTGTGGAACCTGGGATTCAAACAGTCAGGTGGGAAGTACTTTAGCAGGGATTCTGGCCTAGCGAGAGTCTCTGTTTCCCCCTTTTCTTCTTATAACTTAATAAAACCCTGTCTTACCATTCAAATTGTCTGGGCTTGAATTTTTGTGGCCATGGGACAAAGAACCCCATCTTTAGCTGAACTAAGGAAAAGTCCTGCAATATTTTTTGGCGCCCAACGTGGGGCCCAGAAGCAGTGAGTGAAATACAAAACAAGAACTCTTTTTCCCTCTCCCTTCTAAGTTTTTTCATCCTCAGACTTCTAAGGTTAGGGGAAACATGCTTCCAACCCCTGTCACTCCTGGGGGTTGAGGGAAAGTCTCTTTCTTCCCTTTTTTGGTGATAGACAGGTCAGTAGGGGCTCTCTGCTTCCCTTCCCCTCCCTGCCAGAGCTGCGATGCATGTCCTAAGGGTCCCACAAAGCTGGTTCGCAACCACAAGCCAACACAGCCTTCCTGAGCCAAGGGATTCAGCTTTATCACACAGTAATTAAACTAATCTCCCTGGTGGAGGAATCATTTGCATAAGAATAAGAGATTCTTCCCCAGGCATTTTTAAACTGTTTCTTTTTCAAGTTAAGTTTTAAAGTTTTTTATTCTTTTTAGAAAGCATTTTACTATGCCAGCCCTTCCTCAAACTATTACTGTTTTTATTTTCTGTAATGTTTTAATTGTGAAAAAGGATTTGTTGGGCTGGTCTTGGGCTGTCACCAATCTGTTGTGCTTTGCATGTCTGTATGGTACCTAGCAAACTTCTAAGCTTCCATTTTGTTTTACATCCTGTGGTGTGGGTATGGCTGGTAACTCTGGTGGTTTGTTTAGCAATCCTGCCTTAGGAAATTAAAGTTTTGTTTAGCAATCCTGCCTTAGGGAATAAGTTTCTTTCTGATTTGATATCTGTATGTTTTCCTAGCCCTGTCTCTTAAAGGGCCTCACCCAGCAACTGGGTTTTCTCCTGCCTGTATGTGTGTGAGTATGTGACGTTTGTAAAAAGAGGTCTAATTAAATTAGCCTGAAAGGAAGACAAGTTATTGGGCAAAATATTTTTTAAAGGGAAGATAAAAACTGTGGTACCTTTCAGTTCATGTGACTTTAATCTTTGAGGAATAAAAACAGCCTTAAATATTATCGGTAGAAAGCAGATATCATCAAAATGTAAATAACTGAACTAAACTATGCATGTCAGAGTCAATGTTTGCTAGATGTTTTAAGGTTACAAAC
The DNA here is from genome assembly GCF_000001405.40 of Homo sapiens. NCBI lineage: Eukaryota > Metazoa > Chordata > Mammalia > Primates > Hominidae > Homo > Homo sapiens. The sequence continues at coordinate 64,954,753 of NC_000004.12, forward strand.
TCCTTTGGGGTTTTGAGAACTATTTGACTTGCTGGCTTTACAACTGGTAAGGCTTGGGGGCATATGGAAATTACCATGCCCTTAATTAAGAAGACAAAACTTGGCTGCACTTAGCACACCATGGAAACAACTTACAGGTTTTACATTAAAGTTAAAAATTGCTAGGAGTTACCATTATAATATGTAATTGAGATTACTGAAAATAGATTTACATGCAAGGTGTGTAAGAACAGTAAATGTGTTTTTATAGTGAAAGGTTATAAGAAGTCATGTAAATGTAAACTTTGGCTTAGGGTTAAAGGATTGTTTTAAATTAGATAAGAAAAAGCTGAAGGTTCAAAGAAGTGGTGGAAGAATTGTGGAATATAGTCTTGTAGAAGAGGTTCTCTATGTGAACATATTAACTAAAATCAAAAGGGTATTATAAGTTTTTTTCTGTAAACTGAGCATTGAAATCAAAACACAACAAGGTATTCTTAAAATACTAATCTGCTGTTTGGCAAAATTTATAAAGGGTTATAAAAGTTTTTTGCTTCTTTAAAATTTCTGAGTCATCATTTTGGATAAATAATTTATGGTAATCTGGAATTCTATTTCATAATATCGAGTGCTTTAAATATATTTAAAAGCCTTCCCAAAATCAAACTTCAGTTTCAAAATTGTCTTTCCTGACACCTGGCTTTTCAAATAGTCCAGAGGGCCACTGGAATGTCCAGAAAAGAGGTAAGCAGGATTATTTGACATGTTTATGTGTATGGGATTGACAAAATGATGTTCAATCTTCTTTATGATATATTTTTGTGAATAATATATGTTACAAAAATTGTATGAGACTTTCTAAAATTCTAATGTCTAAGTATATGCTACCAAACATAATTAAGCTTGTTATGTTAAGTTATAGTAAGCCACGGAGATAATCAAACTTCTTTATCAATTGTCTTCCTAATTGCAATATTCTGTGAATAATTTTGGTATTCACAGAAAATTGTTGTCTTGTTTTAATCCTTTTCAAAAGATGGTGTATAATAAGTTATAGAACTGTAACAGGCACTCTCAAATACAGCATTCTGGTAACTTTGGAGACTGTGACATTGGAATAAAGGAAAGTGTACAGGACTCATGAAGAGCTAAAATGTTCACGAATATCAAGCAAAACAAGAGTTAATGGACTGAACTGAGAAATCTGAAGCAACCATTTTGACTTTTGCTTGCAATACTGCTGATCCTTGATTTGTTTTTCAGAGTCAAGGAAACTTATTTTGAACTATTTACAGCCTTTAATAATTGAGTAAGTTATTCTCCTGTGAACAAAATTTGGAGCATGTTTGTTTCTCTCTGCCTGGTTCCTCTAGAATTTGGAAACTCTGTGAGTATTCTTATGACAATATAGTTGTTCACATCCATGCAATAAAAATCCATTTTTCTTTTGCAGCAGGACACAATTTAAAAAACTGATCATTTTGCAAAGGCTTTAACTGGAAGGGTATGCGTCCCTTTAAGGAGTCAATCTCGACTTGCAGAACCAATAAAAGCCCAGTGGGAAACTGGCCTCATAGCCTTGCCTACACAGTCCCTGTACAGGCTTCCTGACCTGTGGTCAGTGTGGAATGTCACTTTCTAAAAGCTTCAGGAGCTCCAAGTTTATGCTGGGATCTTAAGAAGAAAGGATCTCCCAACTCGCAGGTATTTGAGGATACAAGTCTATGGCTGGGCTCAGATTTAAAAGGATTTATCTGAGATTGCTTGTGGAACACACTTCCATCAAAGTCAGTCCAAAGGCCTATGTAGAAATAATTATTCTTGCTGCACTTTATGCAAATAATCAGGTCAAGTATAAGAATAAAGTCTATTTTGCAAACAACTCGGTCCTATGATGATTTTTTTCTTGACAAATATGAGAACTAGAGAGAGAGAAATTAAGTTTCAAAACCTACCATAGGTTTGTCATTATATTCTAAACTCATTAGTTGTTTTTAAGTTTTTACCTACATTTTAGACTAAACCTGCTTGTTCTTGTGAACTAACCAGCACTCTCTGGCTCCAGCTTAGAACAAAAAAGAAGAGCAATGTAGAAATCTGGATCAACATTCTAGTTCTGAGCAATTATCCTGCAAATTCTGACAGGTGATGGGAATAAATAGGGTGCCCATCACCCAGACGTTTCCTTTTTGGGAAAGTAAGACCAAGGGAGCTAACCAAAGCCAAGCACCATGCATCCAAATCCTAGTAAGCATACTTAACAGCCATCAGTTATTTGGGTGTGTCACAAGACATCGATTTCTCTCTCTTGTTGGAGGAGAACTCAATTCCAAAGTTTCACCTTAGCGTTTGGCTTATAATAAAGAGTCCATGCAACCACCGCCGCCCCCTCCCCACTCCCCACAAGACACATTTTTGTCGCAAACTCACTTCCAAGCTTCAGGTCAAAGCCCTTGGAAGGAAAAGTGGATCTGAGGGATCCAGAGGCAGATAATAACGGAAGTTAAAAGGCACTACGAAGGTGAGTGTGGCTGATTCCTGCTGATCAAGCCAATCCCAAGCTTCCTGTTTCATGAATAAAGGCCACGTTAGTATCCATGGCATAAATGAGGTCTAGTTAATCCAAGGCTACTGACAGCAGGGGAAACAGGGCATACGTGGGTAAGAGCAAATGATTCCCACCCCCTAGGCCCTCCTGCTTCATGGGTGAATGAATATGATATATTTAATAATATCACTAGGAATTATGGGTGGCTTACATTGTATCCAATATTGTACTATATACTTTGAAAATATTATCTAATTTCATTTTCACAATAACCTCATAAAGTATCTATTCTGCTCATTTTTTTTAAAGATAAATATAATGAATCACAGAAAAGTTTAGTTACCACCCAAGACCACACTGCAAATGAACCTAAGGCTGGTATTGAGTTGACCTATTCTACTGATATTAGTAAAAAGAAAGAAAGATACAGAAAAATAGAGATAGAGGGAGAGACAGAGAAACAGAGACTATCATTAGATGCACTAGAATGGAGCCCTTTATAACTGAATAACTTTTTAAATATTAGTTTTTTGAGCTAATGAAATTTTAGAATTGGGATATAACTAAATTTTTTTTTTCTGATTTTTTTTTCAATGAGAAAAATCAAGGCCAGGTGCAGTGAGGATTTGGAGAGAAATTGTGTGTGTGTATGCATATATATATACATATATATATATATGTATATATATATATAATATATGTCCACAGACACACACACATACACAAATATACACCCAAGTCATTCATTTCATTATATCACTCATCTTCCAAGTTATGAAATAAAGTAACATTGTAATTGAATTTTATATAATTGTTGTATATGGAAATACTGCATACATCTATACATAAACATATTATACGGATCTGCCATAGCAAATGAGGCAAATGCAAAATTGATTGAGATGCAGAAAATCCATTTTCTTAGAAATAGGTAACTTTTATTTATTCGGGGTTTAATTATCACTTCCTACATGCAGCATACATATCACTAGACATTGGGAATAAAGGAAGAAATGATACATTTTCTGACATTAAAAACTTCTGGACTAAGAAGATAAAATGGGTTCATAAATAATATTTTTGAAATTGTAATATATCTTAAGGAAGAAAAAGATAAAGCCTACTTTTCAGAGGAATTTAAAATCAACTCCCAATGTTATGAGGTTTTTATCCCAAAATAGAAACCAAATCAAATGCCTCAATCCATGTTAAAAATTAGACCAAACATTTGGAAAAGAATTACTCCGTATATTCAATACAATCCGTGAAGAGCAAAGTACATTGCTGTAACTTAATTTATTAAACCTCTTAGTATGGCAGATGTTATGTAAAATTATTCCTGGCCTGTTAGCATGTAAAGGTAACTAAACTTCCATAGCAAGCTTTTTTCTTTTTTTTTTTTTTTTTTTAAGTGGTCAACATAGCTGTTGTATTTAATTTGTCTGTCCAGGGATTATGACAAAATAAAAGGATTTTTTAAAAAATTTAACATTAAAGATGCTTCCTACTCTTGTAATTTTTAATATTTTAATATAGATACCAATTTTGCTTTATGTTTTATTGTAAATTAATGTTCCATCATTTTTAATCATGTATAGTTGTCTTTTATGAGAATTATCAACATAGTAACATTTACACATCAATGCAGATATCAGTCTCAGAAAATACATTGATGTAAACTTTCAGTTGGTGATTACAGATTGAAAGTCGTAATAAACTGAAATCTCCACTTCAATAAAATTCACTCTGGAGTAGAAAGTGTTACAAATTTGCAACTTTCTATGCATCACTCAGCAGGTAAATATATTTAAATCATTTCACCATATAGTATTTTTCCTATGAGGTAGTCTTAAAAATTACTTATTCAACAGATATTTAATGCATACATTCTGCATTCTAGGCACTTTAATAGGTACTTATACATGAACAAGATGGATAAAATATTGAGTCATATGTCTTATGAAAAATTTAATTTTTAAGAAAAATATTTAAAAAGACTGATAAAATGTCTTCCAACAATAAACAGATAAACAGACAATTATACATAAGGGGGCAAAAGTCTTGCAGAAAGAAATAAGTTCAGGAAGGGGTAAAGTGTTACTTTTATTTTATACAATATGATCAAGGGAAGAACAGATAATAAGAAACTATTTTATCAGGAAAAAAGTATGAGAAAAATAGTGTGGAAACTTGGAGGAAGCGTATTTTAGGCAAAGATGCCCTAAGGCTGGAGGCCAAATGTTAGGAATGAGGAAAGACAGTTGTGGGAGGTGATGGTGTTCACATTATGTAGGTATTGTAGGCCATATAAAGATTTGGATTTTGCTTTGAGTGGAGTAGGTTTTGGCAAAAGGATGATATATACAGACTTATATTTTGGGAGGATCATTTTAGTTGTCTTGTAGAACTGCCTATAAAGAGTAAGGCTAGCCAAGGTGGGTGGATCACGAGGTCAGGAGTTTGAGACCAGCCTGGCCAACATAGTGAAACCTCGTCTCTACTAAAAATACAAAAAATTAGTTGGGCGTGGTGGTGGGCGCCTATAATCCCAGCTCCTTGGGAGGCTGAGGCAGGAGAATTGCTTGATCCTGGGAGGCGAAGGTTGCAGTGAACTGAGATCACAGTCCAGTCTGGGCTACAGTGCAAGACTCCATCAAAAAAAAAAAAAAAAAAGAAGTAGGGTTAGAGTCTGGGAAACCAATCAAAAGGCGGTTACAGCTGTTTCATTGGGATATTACAGCAATCCCATTACAGCTTGAATCAAGAAAATAGTAGCTTATATATTGAAGTCAATAAGATTAATGGTTGATTTCCTATGAGGCATTGTGATTAGAGACAATAATGTAGAGTTTTCCATAAAGTTGCGAATCATAAATGGAACAATAATTGGGGTTAAGAAAGATTTCTTCTTTCTTTCTTAAAACGGGACATATCAGAGACAATTTGTATGTGCTTGGGAAATGATCCAGTAAAAAATTAAAAAAAATATGATTCAGGAATATTCAGGAATGTAAGTGAGAATTGATAGTGAAATATCCTTGTTAAAGGAAGTTGAAATAGAACCTAGGGCAGAAAGGAAGGATGGACCTTAGATTAGAACAAGGATGGTCCATCTATTGCAGTAAGACTGAAGCTATGGATTCAGAGAATAGTTGTTTTAGTATGCCGTTTTGGATACTTTTTTTCTGAAAGTTTGTATTTTCTGAAAGAAATAGAATCAATATCATTAGCTGACAGTGATGGATGTGATGTTAGAAGTGTGATGAGAGGAAAGGTGTGAAATAGTTATGTAGAGAGAAGAAAACTGAACAGCTAAGGAAATGAAGTCACGTTGTTAAACAACACTAACATTTCACCAATGATTACTAATTAGGAGTAAAGTGAGGTGGGTTGACATAATTATGAGTTTTCTTCCGACCACGTTTACCTTTTAAGTTCAGAAGAAAAGCACATGGAGAGATGGTTATGGCCATAGTCAGAGATTTGTCTAGTAAGTATAAGACAAGAGGAGAGGAATATGGATAAAATTATCTGCAAAGAAGCAATTACATTAATAGACTATGCATGGAATCTATGCCAGGTAAAAATAAAAGTGACAACACGAGGGCATGAGGGACATTAAAATATTGAATTAATGTAGGGAAGGTCCCTGTAGAGTGAGAGGAAATTGGAGCCGAGGTTCAAGAAGAAAGGTAAAAAAATTGCAGAGGTATTTTAAAAATAAAATGCTTGAAAATAAGATGACAGAAAGGGTGTAATTATTTGTAATGACAAGGTTATAGTCTATATGGAAATCAAAATGATTAATCATTATGACAAGAATAGTATCAGAGAACGTGAGAGTAAACTAGGTTTTGAAATAGCCAGACAGAGGCAGTGCCTTTGGGAGTCCATAGTTGTTGTTAAATGAGCAATAGTGGATAATATCCGATGGCCTGTGCTTCAAGGGTGGAATTTTTGTGTGTAAGAGGCAGAAAATTGTTCCTTCTAGGGAGAAGCAAGCATGATGCATATTGGAGGCTTCCATGTCATCTCCAAGCCTAGTGATATGAGGACTGTGGGAGAGTAGCCATAATTAAAAGGAGCAAAGATAAAGTCATGTCTCCAAGAGAGAAGCAAATTTCAGGTAGAACAGGAAGCAGAAGTGGAAGGAAATGTTTGAAAAAGAAGTTAGAGATATAGGAAATTTTGTTTATGTCAGAACATGAGTTCTATAGGATATCATAGAAGGTTTTGTGGACTTATTTATGGGTGACAAATGGACTTAGATGGGGCCAAACAGAGTCAGGTAAAGCAGGGAGCTCAGTTAGTGAGGCATGACTGAGTAGGTGGTTCAAATCTCATTGTGAGAAGTGATGGAAAGAAGAATGTAGGGTTTGATAGGATTTGCCCTGATGGTCTCTGGGGGAAGAGTATGCTGTTGAAGGTATGAGTTTGGAGGACAAGAAGCAAGTGGAAAGCTTCTCAACAGCCTGATGTGCTCTGAGGCCTCTTTCTTTACTCCTGTTTAACAGAATTATTTATATTTCTTGTTGGATTAACTGTTGTGTTTTAGGCATTGACCTGTTCTGTCAAGCTACACAACACCTTGAAGAGAAAAATATAGTCTTTTTTAACATGTCCTCACTGCATTACCTAACAAAAGTGCTCATTACATAATGATTTGGTTGATTCTAGCATATGATATAGTGGATTATTTTAGTAACAATGTATTCTCCTTATCCTAAACTAAAAATAATTCGGACTTATATTTATAGTTTATCAAGCAGGAAATTGTTTTAATATATGATCTACGTATATTGAAAACCAAAACATTATGTAATCATTATCAGAAGATCCACATTATTTGAACACACTATGCTGGTATAAAAACCAGTTTCCCTAAGGTGAAAAAAATAAGCCTAAGGCATTTTACCTGACACTAATATTATCATCCTCTTCCAAGAATGACCCAGCTTCTTGATTATAGAGAAAGTAAGTAAAAACACATTCTTTACCAATTTTGGGGACAACCCTCCCATTCCAAAGTAAAAGACTTTCAGCCCCTTCATTTATGCCTTGTAGCACTGCACATCTTCCTTTGCCTTTCCCTGAACAAAGATGAGAAACATACCAAAAAGCCACAGTGTACAAGCCTAACTCATGATTGTTTGGAAGATGAAGAGAAGGGTTCATCTTCCAAAAATGGAAAGGTTCAAATGTTGTCCTCAGAGGGACTAAGAAAAGGGAGGGGCAACAAGGGAAATGTACATCTATATATAATTAAAGCAAGAGTGAGAGCTATCAATTGATGTTCAACTCTATTAACATTTATGCCCATAAAGAGTAGAGCAATTTCTAATAACTCAGCATTGCCCGTAACCCACCTGGCCACAAAACTTCATTTTTACTTAATAAGGTTTGAAACATGATGCACAAAAATAACAAAGAAGAGCATCCTTCTATATAAATCAAATATTGATCTTTTTCTTATTTGTATTAAATGCAGCTTCTTCTTTCATTTGAAATATGAACATATGGCAAGAAAACCCAAAGGTAAATAAAATGCAAATCACTACCTACCCAACCACTTTCTGATTATTGCTCATTTTCTCCATCTCCTTTAAATTTTCAGAATGCTAAACAATGTCCCCAATTGAGACCCCAGCTAGCAGCCTTCTGGCATTGCTAACCTATCTTCATCATATAGTTCTCTTTTGAATTGATTCTTTGCCCATAAGACCTTATTGATAATGAAGTTACAGATTTGTAGAATATATAAATGTTTATGTTTCTCATTTTTTCTCCAGAGTAAACACACACATATCTGTGCATTATTCTAAATCAATTAAACTTTCCACTTGCCAGTAAAAGTAGAAAAGGTCAAGCTCCTTTAAATAAAGGGTAATTAATATTTCCTTGCTGGATAAATGGGTGCTCAATGGTTAAAATTAATTTTCCTAAACAAGGGGATGAGTAACTATAAATGACATAAACAATATCAATAGTTTTACTCAGGAAATTACAATGACATTTCAATAAACACCCATCCCCTATAAGTGGGGGTGGAGCTGTGGGAAGAAGACAGCCATAGCATTTTTGTGGATCCAATATATAGGCATTTGAAAACGATGTAAACAAAGCAATCAGAAATAGGAAAGCCTTTGGTAACATTTATTTCATTATATATATTATATACTATATATTATATATAAAATATATATATATTATATACTATATATTATATATAAAATATATATATATATATATAAATATGTATATATATTAGACAGAGTCTCACCCTGTAGCCCCAGCTGGAGTTCAGTGGCACAATCTCAGCTCACTGCAACCTCCGCCTCCCAGATTCGAGCCATTCTCCTGTCTCAGCCTCCCAAGTAGGTGGGATTACAGGCACACACCACCACACCCAGCTAATTTTTGTAATTTTAGTAGAGATGGTGTTTTACCATGTTGATCAGGTTGGTCTAGAACTGCTGACCTCAAGTGATCCACCCACTTTGGCCTCCCAAAGTGCTGGAGTTACAGGTGTGAGCCACTGCCCCTGGCCAACATGTATTTCAAATATAGGAAAATCATAGCCACAACAGGTATTGACCTTGTGAAGATAAATTTCAAGTGGCAATATCTGATATACACAAGTTACGTAAAAAGAAGTCATGTTAAAATTAGTTTCCATAAATAGAAAATAGAAAACATTGATCTAATTGGTAAAATTGGTGATTTGAGTTAGTTATGAATCTTAATCAAAGGAATGCAAAAATGTATTTTTCAAGTGATTAGTAATCTAACCTAATTAATTATTATCTAATAAATGTTTTAATCAGTAGATAGGAAAAGTTCTGATGGGTTACAATTGCCTTTGTAAATAGGTGATTTTAAAATGCTTGAAACATTTCAACTATTTTTATCCCCAGCCCACTCTTATAATGTTTAAAATATACAATTTGCAGCCAAACCTGTTAGTTGAGATTTTCATTAAAAATATATTCTTAACATATGCAAATAAGCTAGGCTAGCTTTCCTTGTTTTGTTACTCTTGGGATCCCTATACTGTTGTTAATGTAAAGTAAATGTGTTCAAAAATATGCCCTTTTACATTCTTTCTCTGCTCCCCCTCTTACTTTTTTTTTTGTAGATTCTCTTTCTTTTACCTCTTGTGTTTCTGCACAGTTAAATATTGATTCTGCAGATCCTCCTCAAAGCAGAACTTTGTTGCAGAAGAAAGCCTATGTAATTGTTCAGAAGACCTAAACTGAGTCCACCATTACTGCAGTTTTCTTGCACTCATGCAATTGTAGACTGAGAAAATTTGCATCTTGTTTTCAGATTTTCCTGAAACTTTTTTGCCAATTGAAGAATTCTTCATTTTATGAGTTAGTATCTTTGGAAGCCTGTTTTGTTTTTTTGCTTTTTATTTATTGATTTTTTAAATTTTTAACTTTTATTTCAATTTCATGGATACGAGTGCCAGTTTGTTACACAGGTAAATTTGTGTTATGAGGGTTTGTTGTACAGATTATTCCATCACCCAGGTATGAAGCATAGTATCCACTCATTATTTTTCCTGATTATGTGCTTTCTCTCACTCTCTACCCTCCAGAAGGCCCCAGCTATATTGCTCCTCTCTGTGTCCACGCGTTCTCATCATTTAGCTCCTACCAATAAGTGAGAACATGCGGCATTTGGTTTTCTGTTTCTGTGTTAGTTTGCTGAGGATAATGGCCTCCAGCTATATCAATGTCCCTGCAACAGAAATAATCTCATTCTTTTTGATGGCTGCATAGTATTCCATGTTGTATATGTACCACATTTTCTTTATCCAGTCTATCGTGATGGGCATTTAGGTTGATTCCATGTCTTTCTACTGTGAATAGTGCTGCAGTGAACATATGTGTGCATGTGTCTTTATGATAAAATGATTTATATTCCTTTGGTATATATGCGGCAATGGGGTTGCTGAGTTGAATGGTATTTCTGTCTTTAGGTCTTTGATTTCCTGATCGTCCAGCTCTCAGTCTCATCAGAATAACTGGTCTACCCTCTGCTTCCTTTCACACTGTTGAGGATACTACTTTTTTTAATGTTAATAAACACACAAGCTCATATTTGGAATCCATGGAGACATAAAATTTAATTTTCTGTGGGTTCATTTCTTTTCTTCTCACTCTCTGTTTTTTCCCCCATGTCTTGGTTGCTATGTATGACAGATTCTATTTTTCAAAAATAGTCACAGTATCTACCATCCCATATGCACTCCCAGAAAACTTGCCATTTACCAACAAAAGGTGGAGTGCATATGTGTGTATATGTATGTGTGTAATCAAACATGTTTCACTTGCTAAAATAATAATGTTGAATCAATAATATATATTATATATAAAACTATATATTGATTATATATTATAGATAAGTATGGTGTTTCCATCAACAGATGCTTTTTTCTTCTTTTAAAAATTGTGTGTGTGTATGTATGTGTGTATATGTACCTGCGTAATCAAACATGTTTCACTTGGTAAAATAATAATGTTGAATCAATATTAAGTGTGTTCTCCTAAAACAGTTCATACTGTTCTGCATTTGTAGTGCCAAATCACTACAGATTAAAAAGTCCTGCATCGTGGCACCAACTGAGATTATCTATCTATACATATATATTATAACATTATACATATAACTTATATAACATATATACAATGACAAATATATATATAACATATATAACGTGTATATATATATATAAAATGACATATACATATATAATCTATATATATGTTATTTTTAGCCAGTAAGTTTTTGGGAAGTTTATTTCACAATATTTAATAACTGAAATACTTTTTTGTTGTTTTAGGTGATGAATTTGGGGAAATTAAAAATTATTTCAGTAACCTCAGAAGTGCTTAATGTTAACATAGTCCAATTTGTAGATATTATTTAATGGTTAGCACTTTTGTATTTCTTTTAACTTTCATGCTATTTGGTTAATAATCTAATGCTAGAAAGGCTATTGGATGTGGTTATAAAATTACTTAATAATTTAGTACTTTAAACAGAAGCATAGAATACAAAATATCAAATATGCAGGTAACTATTTTAAACAAAAAATAGACACAGTAATGTAAGTTATAGAATTATATAATAGTGACATTTTCTTGGAGATACATAGATATATTGCTAGTAAATATCTAAATTTTATTATATTTAACTTTTAACATTAGATACAAGTGATTTAGAAATTCAAATTTGTAATATGGTATAAATTGTTATTATATTGATTTCTTTGCAAGATTCCACTACAAATTGGACCAGCTCAGTCTGAGAATATTAAAAGAATAAAATAATTTTATATCTATATTTTCATTTTGGCAATAAAATAACTAAAATGTATATATTTTAACTATTATAACAAGAAAAGAAAAAATTCTGTAAAATGCAAGGTTTAAGAGTTTTATGTTTTAGATCTAATAAAAGTGTTATGTGGAAAATATGTGAGAAGAACATAAGCGTTAAAAATCAAAAAGTTAAACCCTAGATCTGGCTAATAAATCCCTCAGGAAAATGACTGACAATGTTGCTTATAAAGCCATAATTTGGTTTTAACTGTGGGTAAACTGGTGAAAGTGAATTTAAAGATTTGTTTCTGCATATTGCTTGTTTTATATATATATATGTGTATATATATATATATATATAGTACTACATATACATATGTACTATATAGCATATATCTATATATATAATACTAGTAAATGGCATTATTTACTACTTAGTATTAGGAGGAGAAGTTGTAAATATTGTTTTTAGGTCCATGTGAGCCTCACTTATATTTGAAGAAATATAAACCCAAGTTTGAACTTGTGGTTTATGTTACAGCAACATTCAAAAAAATGACTTTCAAATGTCTAACACCAGAAAGCAAAATCCATTGAAAAGTTCGAGTGGAAATTTTAAATATATTTTAACCTCTGCCATCTGTCTTAGCCACAGATCCCTAGAGAACAGAGGCTGATTCAAAGGCTTTCATGTGGATGCTTCCTTACAGTGCAATGCCAATAAAGCAGAAAGAAGGGAAAAGGGATGCAGGTAGAGAATGAGGGGAAAAAAATCAAAGGAAGCACTTTAATGAGCTCATCAAAGCTTCTTGTGAAGTGTGATTGTTTGTTCCATCTCTGTCTTCTGAGAAACCATAGGCCACAGGATTTACTGCTGGAGGAAGGGAGAAGAAATGATCATTTTGCTGCCTTTCACCCTCTGCTATTACTGCTCAAAGTCCCCACTGTGGGACACAGTTGCCAACACTCTGGGTTACGTTTTTATGACAGTACATAAACATAGTTGACAATCTCTCCTTTTTCATTTGGTGCCACGATGCAAGACTTTTTAATCTGTAGTGACTTGGAACTACAAATGCAGGAACAATATTAACTGTTTTAGGAGAACACACTTATTATTGATTCAACATTACTATTTTACCAAGTGAAACATGTGTGATTACACACATACATACACACACACACAAACACACTTTTTCAACAGAAGAAGAAAGCATCTGTTGATGAAAACACCATATTTATATATTTTCTTCACTTAAAGGAGTATGTTTCAAATCTAAATATTTTTAACTTTCTCATAATTCTCACTTTCTCTTTTCCCAAAAAAGTTCATCATCAATAATATGTTTCAAGAAATTCCCCTTTGGTTACAAAATAATCCATGGTCAAAACATAAAATTTAGAATTATGAGATTCCGTGGCCACCCCAAATTAAAAGTTTTGGCATGGGACAGCTATTAAATTTTGTCTCCTAGTAATTTCAAGCTTCTTTTTATTAAAAATAACAGGCAGGCACATTAAAACTTCATGATTAGTAAAATGGGTTTCCGAAGTGCTACTTGCAGATGTCATGTTATTATTCAATTGATAATTCATGCATTTCTCTATAAATATCAGGATACTTTAAAGATGCAAACAGACTTATGCCCTTTAGCTCTAAAATATTATATAAAAAATTAATCCAAAAAGAAAAAATATAGATAACTGGAATTTGAGATTTAAATTTTGTGCTTTTCAAAAGACAATGTTAAAGAAATGAAAATCAATTCAAACACTGGGAAAATATTTGCCAAATATGCATATGATAAACATTATATGTAAAAATAAATAAAGATTTCTTACAATTCTGTCATAAGATGACAAGTGTATTAGTCTGTTCTCACACTGCTATAAAGAAATACCCGAGACTGGGTAATTGATGAAGAAAAGTGGTTTAATTGACCCCCAGTTTTACATGGCTGGGGGGACTCAGGAAACTTACAACCATGGAGAAAGGAAGCAGGCATATTTTACAGGGTGGCAGGGAAGAGAGAGTGCATGAGTGCAAGAGAGGGCAGGAAAAACTGGCTTAAACCACCTGATCTCAAAAGAACTAACTCACTCTCACAAGAACACATGGGAGGAACTGCCCCTATGATTCAATTACTTCCCACCAGTTCTCTCTGTCCACACCTGGGGATTATAATTCAAGATGAGATATGAGTGGAGACACAAATCATTCTGCCCCGATCCCTCCCAAAGCTCATGTCCTGACATTTCAAAACCAATCATCCCTTCTCAACAGTCCCCCGAAGTCTTAATCCATTCCAGCATTAACTCAAAAGTCCAAGTCCAAAAGTCTGATCTGAGACAAGGCAAGTTCCTTCTTCCTAGGAGCCTGTAACATCAAAAGCAAGTTAGTTACTTCCAAGATACAATGGGTTTACAGGCATTAGGTAAATACACACATTCCAAATGGGAGAAATTGACCAAAACAAAGGGACTATAGGCCCCCATGCAAGCCCAAAATCCAGTGGGGCAGTTATTAAACCTTTAAGCTCCAGCATAAAATCGTTTGACTCCATGTCTCACATCTAGGACATGCTTATGCAAAGGGTGGGCTTCCACAGCCTTGGGCAACTTCGCCCCTGTGGCTTTGTAGGGTACAGGGTACAGCCCCCGCCCTATCTGCTTTCATGGCTGGTGTGGAGTGTCTGCAGCTTTTCCAGGTGCATGGTTCAAGCTGTCAGTGGATCTACCATTCTGGGGTCTGGAGGATGGTGGCCCTCTTCTCACAGCTCCACTAGGCAGTGTACAAGTGGGGGATCTGTGTTGCAGCTCCAACCCCATATTTTCCCTTTGCACAGCCCTAGCAGAGGTTCTCCATGAGGGCTCCGCCCCTGTTGCACATCTCTGCCTGGACGTCCAGGTGTTCCCATATATCCTCTGAAGTCTGCACAGAGGTTTTCAAACCTTAATTCTTGTTTTCTGTGCATTTAGAGGACCACAACATGTGGAGGCTGCCAAGGGTGGGGGCTTACACCCTCTTAAGCAATGGCATGAACTGTACCTTGGCTTCTTACAGCCATGACTGGAGCGGCTGGGATGTAGGGTACCAAGTCCTGAGGCTGCACATAGCAGGGGGACCCTGGACCTTGCTCAGTAAATCATTATTCCCTCCCAGATCTCCAGGCCTGTGATGGGAAGGGCTGCCACAAAGGTCTCTAACATGCCCTGGAGACATATTTCCCATTGTCTTGGCAATTTACATTTTGTTCCTCATTACTTATGCAAATTTCTGCAGTTGGCTTGAATTTCTCTCCAGAAAATGGGTCTTTCTTTTCTATCACATCATCAGGTGATCATTTTCCATAGTTTTATGCTCTGCTTCTCTTTTAAACATAAGTTCAAATTTCATATCATCTCTCTCAAGTTCATAGTTACACAGATCTCTAGGGCAGGGGCAAAATGGTGCCAGTCTCTTTGCTAAAGCATAACAAGAGTGACCTTTGCTCCAATTCCCAACTAGGTCCTCATCTTCATCTGAGACCACCTCAGCCTGGAGTTCATTGTTTCATATGACTATCCATATCATATTTTGTTCAAAACTATTCAACACATCTCTAGGAAGTTCCAAACTTCCCCACATCTTATCTTCTTCTGCTCCCTCCAAACTGTTCCAACATCTGCCTTTTACCCAGTTCCAAAATTGCTTCCACATTTTTGTGTATCTTTATAGTATCCCACTCCTGGTGCCAATTTCCTGTATTAATTCATTCTCAGACTGTTATACAGAAATACCTGAGACTGGCTAATTTATAAAGAAAAGAGATTTAATTGACTCACAGTTCCACATGGTTGGGGAGGTCTCAGGGAACTTACAATCATGGGGGAAGGAAGCAAGCACATCTTACATGGCAGCAGGCAAGAAAGAGTGCAAGAGAGAGAAGTAAAATCACCTTAGAAAATCATCAGTTCTCATGAAAACTGACGCACTATCATGAGAACAGCATGGGGGTCACCATGCCCATGATCTAATCACCTCCTACCCTGTCTCTCCCTTAATACCTGGGATTACAATTCAAGATGAGATTTTGGTGGTGACACAAAACCTAACCATATCAACAAGCAACCTAACTACAAATGGACCAAAGTACCAAGCAGTCACGTTGCCAAAAAAGATATAAGAATGTTCAATAAGCTCATGAAAATTTGCACCTTATTATCCATTAGAGATATGTAAATTAAAACTATAATGCAGTACTGCTGCATACTCATTATAATGGCTAAAATTAAACAGACTGACAATAACAAATTTTAATAAGGGTACTGAGGAAAAGAAACTTCTGTTTTGCATTACTGGGAATGCAAAATGGCACAGCCACATTGAAACAGTTTAGATATTCCTTATTAATAAGGTAAATACATACTTACTTCATCACATAGCAGCCCCATTATTAGGTACTTACCTTAGACAAATGAAAACATTGATTCACATAAATAATATGAATGTTCTTAATGACTTTATTCATCATAGCTCCTGAAAACAGCCCAAATGCCCATCAACTGTTGAACGGATACATGTATTATGGTATATCTACATATATCTACATATCTATATCATTAAGAATTACTCAGAAATAAGACGTAATTACTGATGGTCACAACAACATGAATGAAACTCAAAAATTTTATGCTAAATTGAAGAAACCAGATACAACAGACTATGTCATTTGAGCCCACATGGAAAATTCTAGGAAAGGCAAAAATCATAGTGACAGGAAGCAACATGTGGTTGCTAAGAGTACAGGACTGGGAAGGATTTCGACTTAAAAGTATATGTGGGAACACTTTTAGGTAAGGGAAAGGTTTTGTTTCATGATTTTGATGATAGTTAACACAGCTACACATATTTATTATAACATGTCAAATTAGTGATTGTGTTTGATTAAAATCATACCTCGATAAAGCCAATTTTAAAAAATCAACAAAAGTAGTAAATTCTGGAGGAGAATATAAATTTGGCCAGGGACTTACTAAATTAGACATACTTAAATTAATTTTTTTAAGATTAATTATTTTAATTAATCACCTTTTAATATTTCTTTTTAATTTTCTATACCTAAACTGATCATTACTCTAAAGGACATAAAATATGGTTTCATATATCAGTTGGTTTAGAGATAATTTTACATGGAGGATGGATTCTTACCGTTTTTCATTTATGAAAATGTTGCAGAATTTCATTTTGGTGACGTAAAACCAGAAGAGGCAGGTTTCAGGCAAGATCCTCCATACTATCTCACAGGCCAGACCACAGGCCATTACAAAACTTGGTCTGGCAGGCCTCACTGAAGAATGCTGCCTTCACCACACCAGATATGGTGCACAGCCAGTGCATAGCAGTCTCTAAAGAGAGCTGCAGTCAAAGACCCCACCTATCATCCCTGCTAGCCCTGCTCTTAAGCATATACGTCTGCATATGTGGCCTGGGCACCTCCATTCCAAGGTCTACTGTTTGTGGCCCCCACAGTTGAGGCCTTTCTCAGGTGCCTCTGCTGAGAACTCTTTGTCTGATATCCATGAATACCATTTTCACTTCTCAGTATTTGTCTGCTTTTGGCTTTTTCCCCTGACCTTATTCTTAGCCTTTGGGTAGAGAAAACATGAGGAGTCTTTTGTTCAGGGTGAGATGACTCTTCCAACTCCACTGTCTGTGTTGAAGTAAAACCTTTACCTGATGCCATTTCCTGGGGAGAATAGAACATTAGGGGAGCTGGTACCTTCTTTCTGGCTTCTTGGGTACACGATTGAAATAAGTGAATAGAGCCTTGAACTGTTATTTTCAGTTTGGCTTAAGGCCCTAATTGACTGCCTCAACACTTGGCAGCTCTCAGCTCTTGATAAAACATAATTTAATATAAATAAAAGATAAAGAAATACTATCAAAAACGTATGCAGACAGACAAACATTAAGGATCTGTAAACCAAATGGTTGAATTTGGTAACAATTCTATAGCTATTTTTTTCTTCACACAAATTTCCATTGTACCTCTAATGGTGTCATGGTAATTGGATGGAAGTCATAGCCATTTGCACACTTTCTTAAGTATATTCTTCAATGACTGGAATTGTCTAGAATCTAAAGAAATTATACAATAGAACATGTTTTTTTAAGTAAATAGAAAAAATACTATTATAAAAAGTAAATGTGCATAAATTAGACGGCCCCTCCTCAAAACCATGATTCCTTAATGTTTGTAAAAAAGTGTGTATATATTTTTATTAGTATTTTTACAAATACTGATCCAAGGTTTTCGAAATATTTGTCGCAAATGAGTTCAAAGTTTATTATAGCCCTTATTTAATAATATCAAATTAAAAGCAGTTGGCAGATAGGCATTTTTACTACCCGTTTTAATAGACAACTTAGGCAATTTAAAAGGAAAACATTATAATTAATTTTAAAAACACTTTGACTCTACCAGAAATATGTGAATAAGTATCAAAAGAAAGCTATTAGAATGATTCCTTTTCACTGAAAGGCTACAAAAATTCCTACTGATATTTAAACAGCTACTGGATGGTCAGCAATTTTCTCAAATTGCCAAATATTATTACAAGTGATCCATACTGTGACAACTCCTTTGTATTGAGAAGATCTTTAGGGAAACCAAAAAAATTGAGTGCAGATTTATGCAGATTTCTTCTTCTCCAGTCATGTAATTGCTTAGGAAAAAAAAGCTGTAATACCACATTCAGTAGTTAAATATCCAATAAAATTAGTCCATGGAGCTACGTTGTAAGGTATGGTATTATACATTTCCATATAGGCCACCTCTCAAGTGTTCAGGATTATTTTAATTTCTCTCAGAACCATTATGAAAAAAGTATAAGAAAATAGTTGAAAATTTGAGATGAAAATTATGCAAGTCTCTTCAATATGACAGTTCCATGTTACTTTTAATGGATTTGTTGTTCCCTAGCTACTTTACTTCTAGCAATAATTTGGATATTTATTTTCTAATTAAATTTTGACTTTAGAAATGACTTATACACATTTAATGTAATAATAAAGCTCTTTACAGTTTTGAAAATATTCAAAATTTTTCCCTTCATTGGAAGATTTTTCAATTAACACCTAGAGCAAAATTTTAAGAATTATATAATTAGAAAAATTCTGATTACTTCAGGAAATAATGATGTCAAATTGTTCAAGTCGTTACAAGTTATATTTATTAAAGTTCATGGATAAAAATGTTGTTTTGAATTCAGATTGCTTAATATGGCCTGTAGAATTTGATGTATGGGTGTATTACATAAACTTATGCTTGAAATGATTTTTCTAAGTGTCAATCTTGCCTGACAGCTCCAAGAAAGCTGAAGAAATTAAGAAGCAACATGATATTCCTTAATAAATAAATCCATAAGACAACACCAAGCAACCAGAATGAGAAAGGATGCAGATAAGAGCAAAGACATGGGGGTCGTGCATGGGAGGCAGCATGGGTGGCATGCATGGGTGGCACCCATGGGTCATGCATGGGTGGCAGCATGGTCTTGTCTTCTATTTTGATTTAGATACTTTGAGAGTAGTCTTGATTCCCCATTTCTTAAGTATGAATAGTTATGCTTATGTAATAAAGGTCTAATTGTAATTAACCTTACAATTTAAGCCTTAGAATGTGGTAAATTAAGGAAGACTCTTCATTTATACTTTGCATGCTTTAAAAAATCATGTACATATATTTTGTAAACTTTGTTTATGTCAAACTCTCTTAAACACAAATTATTTCATGGTCTTTATACCAACACTATGTAAAGGAGAAGACTTTGACTCAATAGCAACAGCAAAACTTAAAAAGAAAACCTGAAGGCTTGTGTCTAGCGGTTTTATCGTTTTCATCTTATGCATCCAACTCAATAGCAAAAGACATAGAGGTTCTGTGTTTCTTTGCTTATATTATTATACATATATATAAAATATGTAATTATTGTATATATAAATATGTAAAACCCCACAAAAATCCTTTCACATCCTTCACCCATGTGATAAACCTCTGAGAGGTTTATCACTGGACATTCTTTAGTAATTCTAATTAGTAATTCTAATGAGAAATTGCCAAGTAACAGCCTCTCCAACAATGAACTACATCAATGAACTCTGTTTCTAAGCAGGTTATGTGAACCTCTTCCTTTTCACAAATAAAAGCTTCTCTTTACCCTTCCCTCACCAAATGCACTGGTAGCTTACCATTCTGTGCATTTTGGATTGTAATTCTCATTTCTCATTTCTCATTTCCTAGTAAACGCAACATATTTTGGGAAAATTTTCTTTAGTGACTTTTTAGGTTGACACTGGTTACTCTATTTAGAACCTCAAAAAAATTTCTAGGCACCAAACAAATGAAATGAGGAAAAGAAAGGGCTCTTTATCTGTCAAGTCTATTAATCCCATTACTTAATTCCCATAATAAGAACATTAACAGTGATAACCATTATTAAGTATCTTCAAATTTAGTAAGCACATCAATATGAATATTTCCATTGTAGAATATTTTTTATCTATGTACTTTTTCTCTAATTCCAATTTTAAATTTGTCATGTAGGGCATCTGTGATTGAATTTATTTATTAAATGAATGTCTTTATCTTCTTTTAAATTTTATTCTAGATAAAATTTAAAGTATAAAATTACTTTAACCACATTTTACACAAAATTTTTAGGGTCATTATAGGAACTTATCAGTTTCTATAGACTTAGCAGTTTCTATAGAAGTTTCTACAGAAACTTACCAGTTTCTGTAGAAGTTTCTACAGAAACTTAGCAGTTTCTATAATGACCCTAAAATTTTCTGTAAAATGTGATTAAAGTAATTTTTTTTATCTCAAGTCAATTCTTTGGATTCACATGGACAACAAAGATGCTTCTTTCTGCATTAATAAACCTATGTAATGCATATTAAGTAGTGTTTACCTAAGTAGATTTTAAGCCTAAATCTCAACATCATTACATAAAGTCTCAAAGGCTCTTAAATATAACACTATCAAAGCTCCTTGACTGCTTCGTTGTTAAGAAGATAATACTTCACCTCAAACACTTTTCTTGAGTTTTATTTACATATTTTATAAGAGAAAAAGACAGGAAAGAAGGATAAGGCTAGCTGAATCTCAGTGGAGATTCCCAAAGTGCCCTTGGTTTTCCTGACAGCCTCAAGTGAGGTTCAAATCTATTTAGTGTGCTAAACTAATGCAAAAAATGAACAGCATTAACATTCTAGCTCTGGGTTAGAAGCTCATAGGAAAGCAGAGATTTATCAAAAGTGATAGACATGTGTCTCTGCCAAACTGGATAGTAAAATTGGATAATAACTCAGTTAGCGAAACAATATTTAACGTGGTATGCTTAGTAGTTTCTTGAGTATAAACTACCGAAGGATCTTTAGAAATCAGACTTTCATTTTGACAAGAGTGTATTGCCTCAACACCTACTGTCTTGCTAGTCATCAAAATAAGGAATTTAGTAGCAGTGTTTAAATCTGTATCTAGTATTCAACACTCACTAAGAATTCACCCAGACAATATGTAGAAAATGGCCTCTAATATTCCCAATTGTTTGATAGCTTTAGCGATAAATTAAAATGAAATCTGATTTAAATAAGTATTAATTAAACAACTTGAAATGCTCTATGTTTACATTCTGATATGACTTGCACATCACTTTTCTAAAGGTCTTTTTCCAAATTTTATACACCTGAAAAGATAGTCTTATAGTTACAGCGATGAACATTTCCAGTAAAGATTGTTTCAATATTAAAGCTGTCAGGGAAACATAAGGGCAATCAGGGACCTTGATTAATTAATGCTTGCAACTGGGATCAAATTGTATAGGTCAGCTTCTCCAAATATTTCAGGGTTGATAAGAACTTAGGACTACTAATAAATGAAGAGTGAGTGACATCAAATTAATGATGACTTTAAAGCTGCTGGGGTATTGAACCCATCAGTTGAATGTATTCTTAAGAAAAACAGCGAAGAGGAATCTATGCAATTAGAAGTGGTATGCTTGCAATAAAACCAACTACTGACACAAACAGGCATAGGATATTTTATTGGAACTTAGGCACCTTTTTAAATGAATTATAAGAACTGCTATTTAAAAAATAGAGAAAATCAGTATGGCAAGACTACAAAAAACATATTTTAAATATTTTAGTAATCCTCTTTGTAGTTCTAAGTATTAGAAAAGCATCAGACATCATTTGGAAACAAAATAGACATGAAGCAAAAGGAAATATTTAATACCAACTTGATTCAAGAGAACATTGGACTAAATTAAAGTTGTTAGACTTAAGAATTAAGTTTGAATCTGAACGCTATGATATTGTTTACAAGTTATTTCAAGATCTGATGAAATGTTCCCAAACCAGTCACATCTCTCTTACCATCATCCCCCCTTTAATAGCCCCATATACACTGTGCTCCAGAAAGTCTAATCATTTGGTTCCCCAAACTAGCTTATATTGCCTGATAATTTCCCCCCTTTATTTTTCTTTCATTTAACTAAATCATATGAAATTTTGGTTCTTAGTTTAGATGACAGTCTGAGGATATTTCTCTGAATTTCTCTTCTGGCTAAGAATATTTCTGTGTGCTTCCTTACCACTATGTATGTTTCATTGTTGTCCTTATCATTTTGCCTGAGCTGTCTATCTCACTAGATACTTAGAGGAATAAAACCTGTCTCTTTTGTGTACCATTTCATCTCAGCATCCAGCAGAGTTCTTAGTAAACATTTACTGAGTATATGAATGGACTGAAGAGACTATTAAGCTTCTTTGTTTGGAATGTTAACAAACTACATTTAGGAAGTAATACTAGAATAGCTCATAGGAGCCTTACCTGAACTCCTATTTCTCAATATCTGCTGCAGAGCAGTTTCATAGGTCAACACCCATGGGCCACCGATATAAAAATCACCAGAGACATTGGTAAAATATCTAAGTCCTTGGATTCCTCCAAATAACTTCTGAGGTAGAATGTCTGGAAATAGAATTAGGAAATTTCTAAACACACAAAAAAAGGAGCTCTGCTGAGGAGAAAGCATGGCAAAAATGAGTTTTTATTGACTGATGCATACAGAATTTCCTCTATACCATCATTACACAAAACTGTAGGGTTAAAAATTCTTAAATTATAGACCCATAGCAGAATTTTCTACACAGAAAAAATATGTAAATGTAAATATTTTATATATAATATGTAAGTATTATATAAAGATATTTAATAAATTTACCATCAAATTTCATTAAGCTGCATAAAGTAATATTTCAAAAAGCAACAGAAACAAAGTATAGAGTAAGCAGATAGATACACTAATCCTTATGGATACTCACTGCATTGCCAGACATGATTTATCTACTTCTATATCAATCTGAAAGTTAGTAGAATGAAATATTCTACTAGTGTGCTAGTAAAAAAAAAGATGAGCTTATATTTGCTTCAGATCAATTGTTGAAGGACACTATGATGAGACGTTACTGGGTGTGAAACAAGATCAAGATCAAGTCTAAGGTCCAGGCTTGACATGTGTAACAGTGCTTTTGTTATTGGTGAGGGAGGAAGACTTACCCAGCCTCACCCCCGTCCTCACTTAAAAACACTTAAAAATAAAAATTTTCATCTCCTTAACTTATAAGACTGTCTTTTCAGGTGGATAAAATTTGCAAAGAAACCTTTCGAAAAGTGATGTGCAACCCATATCAGAATGTAAACAGAGCATTTCAAGTTGCTTAATTAATACTTCTTTAAATCAAATTTTATTTTAATTTATGGCTAAAACTATCAAACAATTGAGAATAGTAGAGGCCATTCCTGCATGCCATCTGGATGAATTCTTAGTGGGTTTTGAATACTAGATCTAGATTTAAACGCTGCTACTAAATTCCTTATTTTCATGAGTAGCTTTTCGGTTTTTCTTCAAATAACACCTATTAAACTGTTTCATATAAAAGCAATTCTTAGGGATTGTTTTACAACTCTTAATTGCTAACCTGAGCAAGTTATGTGAGAAAGAAAATAGCTAGTAAATATTGTTACAATTGTGACACCAGTGCACCCTAATTTGCCTGTAAGTCTGATTTATTCCTAATCCCTAATATAATTATTAATTGCACCTCTTTTTATTCTTATCAGTGTCCCAGTTTAAATAATGAATTGTATGACAACCAAATTTTAAATAGCATTGGTAAGTGGCATGAGTCCTGTAAGAGTTTTTAGAAAGAAAATACTACCTTTCATTAGTAAAGTTTTTGGATTGTATTAAATTGTTGGAAAAAGACATTATATTACTAAGATACTGATAGAAATTATTTTTAAACAAATATCTCTGAGTAGATCAAGATATCTGGAAAAACTCACAAAAACAAGTAACAAAAAATGTATACTATCCTATGTCTGAAAACTCTTCATATTATCCCACTCAAAACCATTCAACATGCCCTTTCTCAACTCCCTTTCTCACTTTCTGCAGTTGTGCAAATAGTATCTGGAGCAGTGTACAGACTATTAGATTAGGTAGCAAATTTCAAACTTGTGCCAGTGTTGGAATGAAATTACTTTTCACCTCAGGTTTTAATACTAAGAACAATTTAATACTGGGAGACAGAAAACAAAATAAAGAAAAATAACTCCAAGTAATGAGAGAAATTTCCAGGTAACACTCAGTCTAGTTACTTTTTTTCCAGCTGAGGCCAGGGAGAAATATAAAGTCTCTCTCATGGTAACCTAAGAAGATAGTTTAGGGAAACCATTTGCTGATATTTTGAAAATTACACTTCCAGCTTCTGGTAACGTTCAAATACAGTCACTTCTCAAGCATTTGTACAGATATTTTGCTTGGGAGGCAACTGCAATAATCCCCTCTAAAGTTAGAATCTAGTCTCTGCCAAGGAAAGTTTGAGATTTAAAAGGTTCATTTGAAATACATTTATGTTTGCTAAATAACACAATACGAGTAACTTATTTTAAATGTTAACTTTATATAAATATTGAAAATTACTCATCTATCAATGCTGTAGCAATATGCTTTGGCTTAATAACAGTAAAACACCCATTATCTGGTTTATCCAATTTGAAAAGTGTACTACTTTAAATTTTTCTGTTTCAATACTTTTGCTAGGCAAGGCCTATACTAAAACAGAACGCTGACTAATACCTATCCATTAGCAATTTTCTTATATGTATACAGTCCTACACAGCATAGTGACATTTCATTCAATGACAGATGGTATATAGGATGGTGGTTACATAAGATTATGACGAATCTGAAATGTTCCTTTCACCTAGTGATGCCATAGCTCTCCTAACAACATAACCCAACACATTACCCAGCTGTTTCTGGCGATGCTGGTGTAAGAAAACCTACTGTGCTGTGAGTCATATAAACCTATAGCACATCCAGTTATGTAGAGTTCATAATACTTGATAAAAAAGACTATGTTACTAGTTTATGTACTTACTATGCTATGCTTTTATCATTATTTTATAGTGTACTCCTTCTATTTAATTTTTAAAAAGTTAAATGTAGGACAGCCTTAGGAAGGTCATTCACAGAATATTTCAGAAGAAAGCATTGTTATCATAGAAGATGACAGCTCTATGCCTGTTACTGCCGTTGAAGACCTTCCAGTGGTACAAGATATGGAAGTGGAAGACAGTAATATTGGTGATACTGACCCCGTTTATGCCTAGGCTAATGTGTGTGTTTATGTCTTAGTTTTTTACAAAAAAAGTTTACTAAGTAAAGAAATAAATATATAAAAAAATTAAAAAGCTTACAGAAAAGGATATACAAAATGAAAATATTTTTGTATAGCTGTATAATGTGTTTGCAGTGTTTGTTTGTTTGTTTGTTTAGAGACAGGGTATTTCTCTGTCACCCAGGCAGCTGGGTTGCAGTGGTGTGATCATAGTTCACTGTACCTGGAACTTCTGGAATCAAGAGATTCTCCTACCTCAGCCTCCCAAGTACTAGAACCACAGGTGTGCACTACCACATCCAGCTAATTTTTAATTTTTTGTAGAGATGAAGTCTCACTGTGTTGCCCAAGCTGTGCATTTGTGTTTTAAGCTAAGTATTATTACAAGAGTCAAAAAGTTTAAAAAATTTTAGAGCATAGAAAGTAAAAAGGTTACAGTAAGCCAAGCTTAATTTATTATTGAAGAAAAAATATTTTCAATAAATTTAGTGTAGCCTAAGTTAATATTGTTTATAAAGTCTACCTTAGCATACAGCAATGCACGAGGCCTTCACATTCACTCACCACTCATTCACTGATTCACCCAGAGTAAGTTCCAGTTCTGTAAGTTCCATTTATGGTAAGTGCCCTAAACAGATATAACTTTTTTTTAATTTTTATACAGTATTTTTACTGTTCATTTTCTATGTTTAGGTATGTTTTGATATACAAATACTTACCACTGTGTTACAGTTATCTACAGTATTCAGTCCTTTAACATTCTGTCTACGTTCATATTCTTAAAGCAATCTTCTATACCATATTGCCTAGGTGTGTAGTAGGCTATAACATCTAGCTTTGAGTGAATATGCTTTCTGATATTCACACAATGATGAAATCGCTTGATGCATTTCTCAGAACAAATTGCCATGATTAAGTCATGTATGACTATTCGTGTAGCTAATACAGACATACCTTGTTTGATCACACTTTGCTTAATGATATTTCACAGATATTGCATTTTTTACAAATTGAAGATTTGTGACAACCCTGCATTGGGAAAGTCTATCAGCACTGTTTTCCAACAGCATGTGCTCCCTTTGAATCTCTGTGTCACATTTTGGTAATTCTCAAAATATTTTAAACTTTCATTATTATTATTATCTGTTATGGTAATATCTGATCAATAATCTTTGCAATTATTATTGGAATTGTTTTTGGGTACCATGAACCACACCCATTTAGGATGGCGAACCTGCTCAATAAATATATGCGTTCTGATTCCTCCACTGGCTGGCCATTTCCCCATTTCTCTCACTCATCTCATTTAGCCTCTCTACTTTCTGAGACACAACAATATTGAAATTAGGCCAATTAATAATCCTACAGTGGCCTCTTGCCTCTAAGTGTTCAAGTAATAGAAGAGTCATATGTCTCTCATTTTAAATAAAAAGTTAGAAATGATGAAGCTTGGTAAGAAAAGTATGCCTAAAGCTGAGGTAGTCCAAAAGCTAGGACTCTCGTGTCAACAGTTAGCTAAATTGTGAATGAAAAGGGAAAGTTCTTGAAGGAAATTGAAAGTGCAACTCCAGTGAACACAGGAACTAAAAGAAGGTGAAACAACCTTATTGCTGATATGGAGAACATTTTAGTTGTCTGGATATATCAAACCAACAACAACAGTCCCTTAAGCCAAAGCCTAATCCAGAAAAAGATTTTAACTCTCTTCCATTCTATGAAAGCTGAGAGAAGTGAGGAGGCTGCAGAGGAAAAGTTGGACGCTAGCAGATGTTGGTTCACGAGGTTTAAGGAAAGAAGTCATCTGACAACTTAAAAGTTCTGCCTGAAATAATAATGCTAATGTAGAAGTTACACCAAGTTATACAGAAAATCTAGCTAAGAAAATGAAGGTGGCCACAACAGATTTTCAATGTAGACAAAACAGCCTTATATTACAAAAAGATATCATCTAGGACTTTCATATCTCAGGAGAAGTCAATGCTTGGCTCCAAAGCTTCAAAGGACAGCCTAACTCTCTTGTTGGGGGCTAATGCAGCTGGTGACTTTAAGGTGAAGCCAATGCTTATTTTCCCTTCCAAAAATCCTAGGACCCTTATAATTATACTAAATTTATTCTGCCTGTGCTCTATAAATAGAGCAACAAAGCCTAGATAACAGCACATTTGTTTACAGCACGGTTTACTGAATATTTTAAGCCCATTGTTGAGGCTTACTACTCAGAATAAAAAATTCCTTTCAAAATATTACCAACATTGACAACGTACCAGGTCACCCAAGAACTCTGATGAATATGTATAAAGAGATTAATGTTTTCATGCCTGCTAACACCAGACCTATTCTGCAGCCCATGAATCAATGAGTATTTTTGACTTTCAAGTCTTATTATTTAAAAAATATATTTAATAAGACTATAGCTGGCACTGACAGCAATTTTTCTTATGGGTCTGGGCAAAGTAAAGTGAAAGCTTCCTGGAAAGAATTTATCAATCTAGATGCCATTCAGAACATTCATGATGCATGAGATGAAGGCAAAATATGAACCTTAACAGGAGTTTGGAAGAAGTTGATTCTCACTCTCATAGAAGACTTTGACTTCAAAACTTCAGTGGAGAAAATAGCTGCAGGTATGGTAGAAATAGCAAGAAAAATAGAATTAGAAGTGGAGCCTAAAGATATGACTAACTTGCTGCAATCCCAGGATAAAACTTGAAAGAAAGTTTTTCTTATTGATGTGCAAAGAGGGTCATTTTTTGACATGGAAACGACTCCTGGTGAAGATGCTGTGAACAATGTTGAAATGGCAACAAAATATTCAAAATACATCATAAACATGGTTAATAAATCAGCAGCATTTAGAGAGGATTGATCCCACTTCTACCATGTGTAAAATGCTATCAAACAGCATCGCTTTCTACAGAAAAATCTATTATAAAAGGAAGAGTTAATTTATGTGGCTAACTTCATTGTTGTTTCACTTTGAAAAACTGCCACAAGCTACCTCAACCTTCAGCAACCACCAATCTGATCAGTCAGCAATCAAGATCAAGGTAACACTCTCCACCAGCAAAAAGGTTATCACTCATTGAAGGCTCAGATGATGGTTAACCTTTGTCCAGCAATAAAATATTTTAATTCAAGTATGTACATTTTTCTTTTATACATAATGCTATTGCACACTTATGAGGCTACAGTATGGTGCAAGTAAAACTTTTATATGCACTGGGAAACAAAAAAATTATAATTGACTTTGTTGAAATATTTGCTTTATTGTGTCTGGAACTGAACCTACAATATCTTTGATGTATTCCTGTGTCTATTAAGTCATTTGATGTGTCTGACATTTTTCTAACTTCTTTATAGGTCCTATCTTATTTAATCCTGACATACACTAAGAAGTTAGCATTATTATATTTCCGATTTTAAAGACAAATAAACTGAAGCATAAAGAGATTGAATTGTCCCAGAGCAGTCAAGCTATGTTAAAGCTAGAATTTTGACACTGTAGATTATACACCAACCGCTGTATTATGTTGCTCTTTGCTGATGTTTCCTTAACAAATGGTCATTCTGTTTGTACTTTCCACTGATTATTCCACTCCTTGAATAGATTCATTCTTGCATTTTGTACTCCAAGAATTATAAATTAGTTAATGGTGCTTACATTAGGAATGGGATGTGGATGATTACTTATGTTTTATTAGCACTCCAGTAAAAAAAAAAAAAAAGAATTTGTATTCTTTACAAATACAAGAAATTGCTAATGAATCATTATCTGCTGTACCCTACTTTCATTCTATCAGTATAAACTTCCTGAGTTTTTCTTTCAAAGAGCACAAATCCTGGCTATAAAGAAGACATATGGGACATATCTACTTGTTATATTATAGAGAGGAGCATCAGATATTATCTTAAGAAAAACTACCTCTAACAGGGACTCCAAACCCAACTAATGAATAGAACCCAGAACAAAATGGCCATTGTGTTCCTGGTTGTAGGCTAATAAATCTCAACTGGTATTTTAGCTTCAGTGACCAGGAAATAATAGGGAATGGTGGAAAGTGTGGCAAATCAGAGAATATATGTCTTGTCTAAAGGGTCAAGCATGATGAAACACAGGAACAATGGTTTGATTGCTTCTAAAGGGACATCCAATATCCAGGTTATTATGTGCAATATGATTTGTAATTGTAGGTAATAGGTACAGTTTAAAAACACTTGCAAGCCAAAAATAAAACAAATAAACCAAAAACAGTCTGTGGTCCATATTCAGTATATACTCTCAGTTTAACCTCTGGTCTGTCACATATACTACACATGGAGAAGGACTGAAATAATTGCAGTTGCTATTATACATGGCTCTTTTTCTTCCCCTTGTCATATACCCTTGAAGAAATGTATAAGATGAAAGGCTAATATTTACTAAACAAACATATCATGAATACTTGCTCAAATGTTTCTGAGATTAGGCAAGTTACTGGGGATTAAAACTATTATATGTATTTTATATAATCTTAGTAGAAAAATACTAATGCAATCAAATAATTACAATTCTGCATGCATAGTTTGTGTAGTACTTTTTAGAGTACTAAGGGAACAGAAATGAAGAAGTGACTATGTCTGGCTGATTACCAGCAGGTGATATTTTGGGTCTTGATTAAATCAGTGGGAGTTTGTAAGACAGATGAAATTATTGGCTAAGTAAATTAACGTACAGTGATATGGTTTAAAGTGCCTGAAATCTTCAAACCAAGCCATTTGGTTTTCAATGATATTGTGGAGCAATCAGAGAGAAATGCCCACAGATAACACTAAATAATATTAGCACCAAACCTACCTTTGAAAATCTTAATTACATTTTTTTTTTTTTTTTTGAGACAGGGCATTGCCCTGTCACCCAGGCTAGAGTGCAGTGGCCAGACCTCAGCTCACGGCCACCTCTCTTGTAGGTTCAAGCAATTCTCCCACCTCAGCCTCCCAAGAAGCTGGGATTACAAGAGTGTGCGATCACACCCAACTAATTTTTGTATTTTTAGTAGAGACAGGTTTTTGCCGTCTCCTGGCCTCAAGTGATCTACCCGGCCCAACCTCCCAAAGTGTTGGGATTATAAGGGTGAGACACCACGCCCCACACCAGGCACTAATTTTTCTTAAACCATGTTGACATAAGCACCAATTTCTCTTGCCATTTAACTTGGGTAATTACCATAAACTCTTAGAAAGCTTATCATGATAACATTTAGGAAATGATTACTGAAATCTGATGTCCAGAAATAATCTTATTCATATATTATAGTTCAAAAACCAATCAGTACAGAAATGTCTTTAGTTGCTGAAGAGCTGCAACATCTACTTACATAATTCTAGTGAAAGAAATCTGTCTGCTTCTGTAGAATTCAGTTTGATTAGACAACTCTAATTTCCAGAAAGCTTCTTATAGCATTTAGTTTAAGCCTGCCCTCATGAAAGCACTGTTTATCGGTCTTAACGATCTTTCTTCTAGAAAGGTACAAAAGAGTTTTTAAATTATTCACATGGCAATTCCTAAAATATTTGAAAATAGCTATCCTTGCTTTTTGTATTTTTATCCCAGGCTGAAGATAGCTCCTTCAAATATTACTTATTTAATGTGATTTCCAGAACTTCATGGATCAGTTATCTTTAACTGATTTGATCAGTTAAAATTTGATCAGTTAGAATTTGATCATTCTAAATAAAACCCCTATCTCCTACTGACCACCTTATTATTGTTCATGTTACGATTGAAAGTGGAAAAGGATAAGGGAAGGTGAATGCACAATTGTCCTTGAGGCTGGAAAAGTAACACAAACCATATGCTGTCCACAATTTAAGTCAGGAGTGGTATTTAAGCATATGGTTCTACATATTTGGTTTATATTAGAAATGGACATGTGAAAAAAGTTAGTTAGGAATCTAATAGTGTTGCCCAGTGTGCCACAATGTGTGTTTATTAAGGCTGCCCCCTGCCTTTTTTGCATGTCCTTTGTTTTATATTTTATTTTTATTATTGTATTTCAAGCTGTTCTCCTCAATGCAAACAAAAAGGTATTTATCATTATTGTGTTACTTATAGTCTTTTTCTTTTTCTTTTTTTTTTTGAGACGGAGTTTCGAGCCCAGGCTGAACTGGAGTGCAATGGCACCATCTCGGTTCACCACAACATCCACCTCCTGGATTCAAGCGATTCTTCTGCCTCAGCCTCCCAAGTAGCTGGAATTACAGGCATGCGCCACCACGCCCTGCTACTCTTGTATTTTTAGTAGAGACAGGGTGTGCTGAAATCAGGAGCAGACATAGAAGAAATGCAGAGAATAAAAGTTCCAATAATCAATACAACTGGCAACAAATATTGCTAAGAAATAGACAAGATTTAAAAGAAGAAAAACAGCATCACTGAAAGAAAGAAACTTGGAAAGAATGCTTTTATTTCATGACTCTAATTTATAGTAACCCTCTTCCTCATCCAAGTTCAGAACCAATTGAGAGGTAAACAAAGGGGTCAAGTAGATTATGGTAGACTGTTTCACTGTAGTCCCCAATAAACAACAGGTCAAGTAACTTGCTTTGGACTTGCTTTGAATACAACTTACGTGAGTGATCTTAGCTAAATCACATGTAGTATAAGAACTACCAAAGTGAGCCCAGTCAACCCACAAAATTATGAGAAAAAATAAATTGGTCTTGTTTCAGCCACTGACAGGTTTGTTACTCAAAAATAAGTAACTGAAACATTGATGTAGGCCAAATGACAGAGTTATTGGCAAACATGGCTAAGGTATATGGCCTATTGGTTTTCCTAAAACTAAGCCCCAGAATTAGATTGCCTTACTGACCTACACATTCTTGGAAAATGCCTAACTGGAAGTCCCATCTCACAGATGTTGCATGTGTCCCATGTAAATTTTACAGCACGAAGAGCAAAGCAAATACATCCTGTGAAGGTAGGAGCATTCTAAAGAAAAAAATAAGATGAACTTGGCCATGCCATTTCAATTTTAGCTCTCAGACTTAATCAAAGAACTCACTCCTCTTTTCCAGAGGATTCAAGGAACAGAGTAACTCAGGAAATAGAAACAAAAAGGTCATCTTTATTGTTATCTCTCCACATGAAAACACAGAGTAGGTGAAAAAGATGTTCTCAATTTCCATCCCCACTGTTACCACCAAACAGAGATTACATTTTATCCTGAATTCAGATCTCCAATCAGGGGACCTCATTTTACAATCTGAATTTATGATGAAGTTTTATCATCCTTAAGATTCAGGGTATGTCTTATATAAGTTGTTTCTTCCTCAATATTCAATTCAATGCCTAACATATGGTAGGCATGTTGGATTAAATGAATAAATAAAAGCTTAAACACAACATACATTTACTCATTGAATTCACTCAGAATTATTTTTAGTATAGAAAAAATTCTCTATTGTGAATTTTTAGTGTATTTTAGCTAGTATAATTAATTAAAAATAAAACAATGCATATTAAGTATTTATGATTTCTGCCTGAGTCCTACTAAATGTACTTTTAAAATCACCTTCAACCTCTGAGCTCTATGATGGGCTGCATGGAATTTAATTACTATTAATTACTGCTATTATTTCCTGATGTTGCTTATCAGAATATTTTATTTTTGTGCCAATTAGAGTATAATTATTAGGATAATGGACTCTACAAAAACTAATTATGCCATGAGACTAGATTGGATTTATCTCTAGTAATTGAGTTTCACAATTTAAGATCAAAATAAGTGAATCAAAAAGAAAATGTAGAATCATTAATCCCCCAGGCATCAACAATAAGGTTGATTTGCTTTTCTATCCCAAATTAAGCTGTTATTTTACAGTGTCATATCAGTTGATAAATAGACCCAATTCACCATGAGTAAAACTATGTTTAACCACTTACAATTCAGCCTCACGCCACATATTCTTCACAATTTTTCTTTAACCAGAGCTTTATATTTGATCCAGAATACTGCAAATTTGTGGGAAGTTATTGGTTATCCTATTTACTGGGAAGCAACTGAATGTTAACCCCAGACACCAAGTTACCATGTGACCTGAGGTGCTCATCCTGAACTGAGTATTGTGGGGACAAACTATAAAATTAGGTATGCATGGCTGCACTCCAACATTAAGTGGAAGTTGTATATGTGAGACTGGACTGAAGGAAGCCCTGAGGAACAAGTAAGTTACATGAGGAAGCAGCCCAAATGCCCATGGTTCCTACTCCTACCATGTTCTCTTCTCTCTCCAGTCCACATTTACTGCCTCATTAGAGAGTTCTCTATAATCAATTGACTGAAGAAAAAGGGCCTAGTTTACACAGGGTTCTGTGCAGTATGTAGGTATGGCCTAAAAGTAAATAGATTCAACACGATAGCCCTGTTTTGAGATATCCTTGAAGAACACTAATGAACAGAAATTCTCCCAATGGGCAGAACTTGGAGCAGTGCATCTGGATGTTTGTTTGCTTGAAATAAGAAATAGTCAGAGTTTCTGTTATAAACCAATTCATGGGATGTGGCGAGTGGTTTGGCTGTATAGTTAGGTCTGTTTCCTGAAGACTAGAGCAGCTCCATTTAATGAAGGAGAAAATTATTACTGGCTTGCTGTTTAGATCTTTTTTTTCTTAGATGATGGTGAACTTCTTTCAACAAGCTTTTCATAGAATTTTATTTAGCTTATGACTACCTAACAATAGAAATATTAAAAAATAGGAATTACTTATATAATCTAACCTACCTTACTGAAGTTCTACATTAATGTTATAATCAACATTATAAGAAACAGGACAGAGAAAAGTGGGAAAAACTGTTTAATGTGTAAGAGTTTTATTTTGGAATGATGGAAATGTTTTGGAACTACTGGCAGTGATTGCACAACATTGTGAATGAACTAAATGCCACTGAATTGTTTACTTTAAAATGGTGAATTTTATGTTATGTCAATTTCACCTCAAAAAGTAAATTTTTAAAAATTATGACAAATGTCAATATGTGTGTATTAGTTTGCTAGGGCTGCCATAACAAAATACTACAGACTGGATGTCTTAAACAACAGAGATTTATTTGCTTACAGTTCTGGAGGCTAGAAGTCCAAGATCAAGGCATCAACAGGTTCGCTTTCTTCTGAGGGCTCTCTCCTTGGCTTGTAGATGGGCATTCTCTCTCTCTACCCTCACATAGTCTTTCATCTATGCATGTGTATTCTTGCTCTGTTCAAATTCCCTCTTGTTATAAAGACATCACCTTAGTGGCCTCATTTTAACTTAATCATCTCTTAAAAGGCTGTATTTTCAAATACAGTCACATTCTTAGGTACTGCAGGTTAAGCTAAGGATGGCCAGGTCAAGTTATCTTTGTATTCCTTTGTCAAAATAAAAAAAAAAATCAAGTATTCTTCCCCAAAACACCAACTTTTTAATAGTGATTTTATACCCCAGGTCTATCTGACTCTGAAGTCTTTGTTGTTTCCAATATATTTGCTATTAGCCAACTATATATTGTATATATACAATATATAGTTGTATATATATATATATATATATATACTATATATATATTGTATAGTTGGCTAATAAATACCACATATATAAGCCAACTATACCACGGACCACAGAGAGATGGCACAGGCAGTATTAAGACAACAACAACAACAATAGTAAAGTCTTGTAGTTGATAAATAAAAAAGTAGGAGTAGTACACTGAGAGCAAATGTCAAATGAGAAAACATTGAGATAAAAAAGTACATTGATAAACCATCTGTAATTTTAACTATACACATGTTACGTAATTAATGTATGCTAGACACCTTGCTAAGTTATTTACTTTCCTTAACTCAATACATCCTCATAGTCCTATGAGGCAGCCAATCATTGTGTCTTCTGAAACAGCAGAAGATTTGTATGTTGTTTTTATCTACAGAGAGACAGGTCTAATAAATCATCTGTTTTCCTTACAGATGGGTGAAACTTGTTTACGTGTCAAAATGTTTTATGCTTCTTTCCCATCATTCCGCCCCCAAATCACATATTACAGATGTTCACATGGTAGAAAATCCAAATGATTGTGTTATAGCTCCATACTCCATCAAAAAGAGCACACCTAAGCAAAAGTTGGAGAAGAATGTGGTGACGTAATATCCACAATGATTCTGTTTCTTTCTTTTCTTTCCCTAAAGGGCCATATTTGTAGCTTATCTTTGATTACCTGTGATTATCAATAACCCATTCACTTCCACACTAAGTGTAACTAATTGTTAGAAAAGAGTTTGGAACACAGAGAGACAGACAGAGAGTGAGAGAGAGAGAGAGAGACTGATCAGGGAAATGCAGTCAAAATTTACAAAATGGGTTTCCTTTTTTTTTTTTTTTGGTAGAAGTTGTAATGTACTCAATAGTAGCAGTCCTCCCTCTGAGATACTACCACTTCCTAGAATTGACTTTAGGATTTTTTTCGTTATAATAATGAAATTTCTCTAGAATAAATATGTAGCCTAGATCTTCTTAGTGGTAGATTTATGGTCATGTTTAGAAGGGACAATTGTGTAGATTTAACTTTGTAAAGTTTAATTTTAGGAAGAGAAAAAGGAATAAATATTTCTATAACTAATACACTCTTCCATGAAATCCTGTCCTGAAGAAATTCCTGAATATACACATAGCTCTTCTATCTATTAAACTTCTTCCCAAAGGAACACACATTTAAATTCCCATGATATTTGTAAATATTTAAGTTAGAAAGTGAATTTTTGCCATTTCCCATAGGAAATCAAACAATGTACTTTATGCTAGTCACATTGCAAATAATCATATCTCAGAATTTCATTTGTAATTGCCTTCAAACATTACCATATAAACTGTTAGGAATTTACTGCATTTTATTAACTATATTACCCATATCTAAGATATTATTGCCACATCCAGTGTCTTAAAGCATTTGCCTTATGTTTTCTTCTAAAAATTGTATAGTTTTATGTCTTACATTTAGGCTTGTAATCCTTTTTGAGTTACTTTTTATATATGACGTTGGATTAGGGTCCAACTTTATTGTTTTGCATGTGGAAATCTACTTTTCTCAACACCATTATTTTCCTTCTATTATAGATCCAGGGGTAGGTGTACAGGTTTGTTATATAGTTGTATTGTCTAATGCTGGGGCTTGGGCTTCTGGTGAATCCATCACCAAATAGTAAATATAGTATCCAATAGGTAGCTTTTTCAACCCTTGCCCCTCTCCCTATTTCCTTTCTTTTGGTGTCCTCAGTCTGTTATTTCATCCTTATGTCCATGACAGCACCAATTTTTAAAGAGATTTTGCTTTTCCCATTGAAGTCTTCTGGGAATATAACCCTCCAAGTTGAAAGCAGGGTCTCAAAGAGACATTTTTACACCTATGTTTATAGCTGCTTTACACAATAGCTAAACTATAAAAGAAACTTGTGTCCTTCGACTGTTGAATAGGCAGCAAAATGTTGTATATACATAAAATGGAATATTATTCAGCCCTACAAAAGAATGAAATTCAGACATGCTGCAACATAGATGAACCTTGAGGACATTATGCGAGGTGAAATAAGCCAGTTACAAGAAGACCAAAACTATGCAACTCCATTTATATGAGGTCCTTAGAGCACACATAAAACAGAAAGTAGAATGCTGGTTTCCAAGGGGTGGGGGAGATGGAAATGGGAAATTATTCTTTAATTGGTATAAAGTTTCAATTGAAACTTTACAATTTCATCAAGTACATCATCAAATTGTACTTCATCAGGTACAATTTACTTGGTGAAGAGTGATGTGGCTGAATAGTGGTGATGACAGTGAAACATCGTGAATGTATTTCATTCCAGCAAAATGCACACTTAAAAATAGTTTGCATGGTAAATTTTACATTATGGGTATTTTAACCACAATAACAAATTAGAAAAACACATACTTACAGGGAGAGTAAAAGAAAGATGCTTTGTGTAAATATTCATATAGTTTTGGATAAGAGCCCTCAGTGGGTATTTTACTCTGACATTATTAAACCCAATGTTTTTCTCATATTCACTATAATATATATTTCCTTATCTGTAAAAATTTGTATGGAATCTATTACATTTTACCTGTAACATTTATTTTTTTAAAGTGTTTGATGATAGAAAGATAAATGG
Source organism: Homo sapiens (assembly GCF_000001405.40). NCBI lineage: Eukaryota > Metazoa > Chordata > Mammalia > Primates > Hominidae > Homo > Homo sapiens. The sequence goes on from NC_000004.12 coordinate 64,992,524, forward strand.
TAAGGTCATGTGATCTATATGTTCTAACCAACAAATAATAATAACTAATGGATGCTAGGCTTAATACCTGCATGACAAAAATAATCTGTACAACAATCCCCAATGACACAAGTTTACCTATGTAACAAACCTGCACTCATATTCTTGAACTTAAAATAAAAAGTTAAAAATAATAATGATAAACAGAGAAAATGAGTCAATATGAAAAACTGGGGAAAGGTGTGTATAATTAATTAGAAGTTCAGTAAGACTTGGTAAGATTTATTATTAAGAGAAAAAAACCACTACAAAAGTCAGTGAAAGATATTAAAAAAGAACTTTGCAAGTAGTATCAGGAAAAATAAAGCTCCTATATTCCAGTATTAAAGAATCATATCTAATTTAGTATTAGAATGTTTTATCTGGTTCTTCCCATTAGACTGCTTTATTCTTTTTTTTAAATTTTATTATTCTTATACTTTAAGTTTTAGGGTACATGTGTATAACGTGCAGGTTTGTTACATATGTATACATGTGCCATGTTGGTGTGCTGCACCCATTAACTCGTCATTTAGCATTAGGTATATCTCCTAATGCTATCCCTCCCCCCTCCCCCCACCCCACAACAGTCACCAGTGTGTGATGTTCCCCTTCCTGTGGCCATGTGTTCTCATTGTTCAATTCCCACCTATGAGTGAGAACATGCGGTGTTTGGTTTTTTGCCTTTGTGATAGTTTGCTGTGAATGATGGTTTCCAGTTTCATCCATGTCCCTACAAAGGATATTAACTCATCATTTTTTATGGCTGCATAGTATTCCATGGTGTATATGTGCCACACTTTCTTAATTCAGTCTATCGTTGTTGGACATTGAGGTTGGTTCCAAGTCTTTGCTATTGTGAATAGTGCCACAATAAACATACGTGTGCATGTGTCTTTATAGCAGCATGATTTATAATCCTTTGGGTATATACCCAGTAATGGGATGGCTGGGTCAAATGGTATTTCTAGTTCTAGATCCCTGAGGAATCGCCACACTGACTTCCACAATGCTTGAACTAGTTTATAGCCCCACCAACAGTGTAAAAGTGTTCCTATTTCTCCACATCTTCTCCAGCACCTGTTGTTTCCTGACTTTTTAATGATCCCCATTCTAACTGGTGTGAGATGGTATCTCATTGTGGTTTTGATTTGCATTTCTCTGATGGCCAGTGATCATGGAGCATTTTTTCATGTGTTTTTTGGCTGCATAAATGTCTTCTTTTGCGAAGTGTCTGTTCAAGTCCTTCACCCACTTTTTGATGGGGTTGTTTGTTTTTTTCTTGTAAATTTGTTTGAGTTCATCATAGATTCTGGATATTAGCCCTTTGTCAGATGAGTAGGTTGCAAAAGATTTCTCCCATTCTGTAGGTTGCCTGTTCACTCTGATGGTAGTTTCTTTTGCTGTGCAGAAGCTCTTTAGTTTAGTCAGATCCCATTTGCCAATTTTGGCTTTTGTTGCCATTGCTTTTGGTGTTTTAGACGTGAAGTCCTTGCCCATGCCTATGTCCTGAATGGTCATGCCTAGGTTTTCTTCTAGGGTTTTTATGGTTTTAAGTCTAACATTTAAGTCTTTAATCTATCTTGAATTAATTTTTGTATAAGGTGTAAGGAAGGGATCCAGTTTCAGCTTTCTACATATGGCTAGCCAGTTTTCCCAGCACCATTTATTAAATAGGGAATCATTTCCCCATTGCTTGTTTTTCTCAGGTTTGTCAAAGATCAGATAGTTGTAGATATGCAGCATTATTTCTGAGGACTCTGTTCTGTTCCATTGATCTATATCTCTGTTTTGGTACCAGTACCTTCCTGTTTTGGTTACTGTAGCCTTGTAGTATAGTTTGAAGTCAGGTAACATGATGCCTCCAGCTTTGTTCTTTTGGCATAGGATTGACTTGGTGATGCGGGCTGTTTTTTGGTTCCATATGAACTTTAAAGTAGTTTTTTCCAATTCTGTGAAGAAAGTCATTGGTAGCTTGATGGGGATGGCATTGAATCTATAAATTACCTGGGGCAGTATGGCCGTTTTCACGATATTGATTCTTCCTACCCATGAGCATGGAATGTTCTTCCATTTGTTTGTATCCTCTTTTATTTCCTTGAGCAGTTGTTTGTACTTCTCCTTGAAGAGGTCCTTCACATCCCTTGTAAGTTGGATTCCTAGGTATTTTATTCTCTTTGAAGCAATTGTGAATGGGAATTCACTCATGATTTGGCTCTCTGTTTGTCTGTTATTGGTGTAAAAGAATGCTTGTGATTTTTGTACATTGATTCTGTATCCTGAGACTTTGCTGAAGTTGCTTATCAGCTTAAGGAGATTTTGGGCTGAGACGATGGGGTTTTCTAAATATACAATCATGTCATCTGCAAACAGGGACAATTTGACTTCCTCTTTCCTAATTGAATACCCTTTATTTCCTTCTCCTGCCTAATTGCCCTGGCCAGAACGTCCAACACTATGTTCAATAGGAGTGGTGAGAGAGGGCATCCCTGTCTTGTGCCAGTTTTCAAAGGGAATGCTTCCAGTTTTTGCCCATTCAGTATGATATTGGCTGTGGGTTTGTCATAGATAGCTCTTATTATTTTGAAATACGTCCCATCAATACCTAATTTATTGAGAGTTTTTAGCATGAAGGTTGTTGAATTTTGTCAAAGGTCTTTTCTGCATCTATTGAGATAATCATATGTTTTTTGTCTTTGGTTCTGTTTATATGCTGGATTACATTTATTGATTTGCGTATATTGAACCAGCCTTGCATCCCAGGGATGAAGCCCACTTGATCATGGTGGATAAGCTTTTTCATGTGCTGCTGGATTTGGTTTGCCAGTATTTTGTTGAGGATTTTTGCATCGATGTTCATGAAGGATATTGGTCTAAAATTCTCTTTTTTGGTTGTGTCTCTGCCAGGCTTTGGTATCAGGATGATGCTGGCCTCATAAAATGAGTTAGGGAGGATTCTCTCTTTTTCTATTGATTGGAATAGTTTCAGAAGGAATGGTACCAGCTCCTTCTTGTACCTCTGGTAGAATTTGGCTGTGAATCCATCTGGTCCTGGACTTTTTTTCTTGGGTAAGCTATTGATTGTTGCCTCAATTTCAGATCCTCTTATTGGTCTATTCAGAGATTCAACTTCTTCCTGGTTTAGTCTTGGGAGGATGTATGTGTCGACGAATTTATCCATTTCTTCTAAATTTTCTAGTCTATTTGTGTAGAGGTGTTTATAGTATTCTCTGAAGGTAGTTTGCATTTCTGTGGGATCGGTGGTGATATCCCCTTTATCATTTTTTATTGTGTCTATTTGATTCTTCTCTCTTTTTTTCTTTATTAGTCTTGCTAGCGGTCTATCAATTTTGTTGATCTTTTCAGAAAACCGGCTCTTGGATTCATTAATTTTTTGAAGGGTTTTTTGTGTCTCTATTTCCTTCAGTTCTGCTCTGATCTTAGTTATTTCTTGTCTTCTGCTAGCTTTTGAATGTGTTTGCTCTTGCTTTTCTAGCTCTTTTTAATTGTGATGTTAGGGTGTCAATTTCAGATCTTTCCTGCTTTCTTTTGTGGGCATTTAGTGCTATAAATTTCCCTCTACACACTGCTTTGAATGTGTCCCAGAGATTCTGGTATGTTGTGTCTTTGTTCTTGTCAGTTTCAAAGAACATCTTTATTTCTGCCTTCATTTCATTATTTACCCAGTAGTCATTCAAGAGCAGGTTGTTCAGTTTCCATGTAGTTGAGTGGTTTTGAGTGAGTTTCTTAATCCTGCATTCTAGTTTGATTGCACTGTGGTCTGAGAGATAGTTTGTTATCATTTCTGTTCTTTTACATTTGTTGAGGAGTGCTTTACTTCCAACTATGTGGTCAGTTTTGGAGTAGGTGTGGTGTGGTGCTGAAAGAATGTATATTCTGTTGATTTGGGGTGGAGAGTTCTGTAGATGTCTATTAGGTCCACTTGGTGCAGAGCTGAGTTCAATTTCTGGGTATCCTTGTTAGACTGCTTTATTCTAAGACTGCCAAAGAAACCTTCAACAGCATCAAAAAATGGAAAACTTATTTCAGGGACAATTCAATTATTTTATGAAGTTATATGTTGACTTTCATGAAAGGTAAGAAATCTGATTTTAGTGACTAAATAATAAACAAATAAGAACAATAAAGGTAAATACCATTAAAAACAAAGTAGCTAAAGAGTCAAGATGTAGCTAAAACCAAGCTCAACTGCCTTGATGTGTGTCTGTGAATTTGTGAGGCAGTAAATGTTTACAAGTTCCACTCCATATCCTCAAACGTCTCTGTCCTCAAAGGCAAAACCCAAAGTAAAATAACTTAAAAGGGAGGTTTTTAGCTAGATATAAAAATAACACAACAAAATGTTTTTGTTATTCTTAGGATAGTAAGAGATTCTCTCTGCAAGTCTTTGAGATGGCAACATGCAACTTCATATATATTTACAATAGCTGAGTCACCAACGAGCTTCAGAGCTGCAGATTAGCTCATATGTTCTCCAAAGTTTCCACTGATTCTGTTGTTCTACCTTCCCTCAATTAATAGCACATAGCCAATCACTCCAGTGTTTTCACAATTTATTTTGTCTCTCACACACACAATCACTTGTGCATGAAACTGTGAACCCATGTGTACACACACACTTTAATCTGCTATGTAGGACTATGTTTTATTTAGGCCTTTACACACACATATGCTAATATTTCTATCTTCCCACTTAATTCATTACACATATATCCTTTTTATGATAAAAATAAAATGCCATTATAAAAATCAAATTTTGGAATTATATATTTTTCTTTCTAACATTTATAGGTAGTATAAATTCTTATTTGCGTAGAACTAGTTTTTTACAGAGACAAAATACTGATGTTATTTTTAAAGTTTTCCATAATTCCTCCACCAAAAATAAAATTATACTATTTAATCTTATGAAGTCTCAACAATTCTCATTCTTCAAAAGCAAAGAGAATTAGATATTCTCTAATATCTGCTTTTCAGTATGATTGGCATTGTTATGCTAAACTCTTCTACTTTGAAATTATGTCTTCTAGGCATAACATCACTTTATTTTGAATGAATGACATTCTAAATGTCTAAATTCCAAGTGACATCTTGTTTATCTAGAATTCCTGAGGCCTAAAATTGTTTTTAATGAAATTTAAGTTAGATGTTCTCAATTTAGTTTAACAATTTTGCAAAAACAAAACAAGTGCTTACAAGTCTTATTCCCCAGTCAAATAAAACATTGTAAGTATGAACCCCCTAACACTTTCATAGAAATAAAAATCATCTATAGTTTTCTTTCCTCACGTGAAACAAATCAGGATGCATCTCTGAAAGTTAAAAGATCATGTCACTCCTATATTTAGTTTTCTTCTATTTCTGCTTCCCAATTCTCCACTTGCTGGTAGCAATACTGGCAAAAATAAAACTGTTAAGATGATACTTCTGTCACAACAGTTTCAAAAAGCCTCTATAGAACAATGCAGCAATCTTTTAAATTTATCCACTTCTTTCATTCTCTCATTCTTCAAAAGATCTACCCACAATTGTACTTTAATAAATACATCACAAGACAAACAATGAACCTATTAGGATATGTGGCATATAATGTAGACTTTTTCCTTCTGAATTAATGTTTGAATTTTTAATTTTGCTTTGAAAATTACAAAAATAAAAAACAGAAACATAAAATATTTCAAAGTCTCAAGATATACATGTGGCCAACAAGCATATGAAAAAAAGCTCAACATCACTTATCATTAGAGAAATGCAAATCAAAATCACAATGAGATACCATCTCACACCAATCTGAATGGCTATTATCAAAAAGTCAAAAATAACAGATGCTGACAAGGTTGTGGAGGAAAATAAATGTGTATACATTGTTGGGAGTGTAAATTGATTTGACTATTGTGAAAAGCAGTATGGAAATTCCTCAAAGATATAAAAATGGAAGTACCATTTGACCCAGTAATCCCATTACTGAGTATATACCCAAAGGAATATAAATCATTCTATCAAAAAGATACATGCATATGTATGTTCATTGCAGCACTATTCATAATACCAAAGACATGGAATCAACATAAGTTCACATCAATGACAGACTGGATAAAGAAAATGTGGTACATGTACAATATACACCATGGAATACTATACAGCTATAAAAAATAATGAGATCATGTCATTTTCAGAAACATGGATGAAGTTGGAGGCCATCATTCTTGGCAAACTAATGCTGGAACAGAAAAGCAAATACCATATGTTCCCACTTATAAGTGGAAGCTAAATAATAAGAATACCTGTACATCGAGGGGGAATAACAGACACTGGGGCCTACCAGCAGATTGAAGTTTGGAAGAGGGAGAGGAGAAATAACTAATGGTTACTAGGTTTAATACCTGGGTGATGAAATAATCTGTACCACAAAACCCTGTGACATGAGTTTACCTATAGAAAAAACCTGCAGATGTACCCCTGAACTTAAAATAAAAATTAAAAAAATAATTATTTGATATATTATATTTGAGTATTCATTTATTTATGATAAAAAAGATCATTGTTTTTCCTCCAAGCTACAATATAATATTTGTTCTCATTTATTATTATCCACCTGATCACAAAAAATGACTTTGTAAAATGTTTACTTTTTATGAGTATGTTCTGCTTTACCAATAGTTGTTCATTTTTTCTGCCATACTGCCACATTCTACATCTCCAGGAGGCACTTTTCACATTGTATTCTATGCCGTGTAGTGCATATTCAGCTTGAAATGATAGATGATTAATTTTGATAGATAATTGATTTTATTCTAAATATTATGCTATTGTTGTACTGACAGCACCATATGTTCTCATTAGTCAAAATTCTCAACTGCCAACAATGTAAATGCATTAGATTCTGAAAAGCAATGCTTGGAGAACTTTTAGCAACATGACAAACTAAGGTGATGCATGCAGTGCTCTTATACATTAAAACAAAAAAGTTTGATAAATTAGAGCAATTAAATAAAAAGTCTAACTCAAAAGAAAGGGATAGCCTCATATACCAAAATAAGAGAACAAAGAAAGCCATAATTTTAAGATGAAAGTGAACTTCTAAGTAAATTATGTCAAGACAGGCTCTGAGATCAGGGAGTCTAGATTTCTAATACTCATTGTAAGATAAGAAACTTATTATTAAATACATACGAGGTTCACATGGACACATGGCAGGGTACAACACACACTGGGGCCTGGTTAAAAATGGGGGTTGTGGGGAAGGAGAGCATCAGGAAGAAGAGCTAATGGATGCTGGGCTTAATACCTGGATGATGGGTTGATCTGTGCAGGAAACCACCGTGGTGCACGTTTACCTATGTAACAAACCTGCACATCCTGCACATGTACCCAGTAACTTAAAATAAAAGTTAAAGGAAAAAAATAAGAAAAAGAAAAATAAGAAAAGAAAATCATCCAAACCAAAAAAAAAAAAAAAAAGCACCACCACCAACAATAAACAACCAAGCAACCAAGCAAGCAATGTAGTGTTCCCCTAACTCAGCATCAAACACAACACTTCTTCCCATCAGCATGCATTATTGGGCAGTTTTCAGTGCGATTAGGACTTCCAGTGAAAAGTGATTTTTACAAAATCAAAGCCTCAATTATGGGCCACACACAGATTAGGGTCCAAACTTGCATGGTATGAATTGTGATGATGTTTTTAATAAGAGGAGTTGGAAAGGAATTAGAAGTTAATCACTAGGAGAATACCTAAATAATATTTGGTAGATGCCCACTACAGCATACGAACTTAGAAAAAGAAAGACTAGTGTACATAGAACTACATAGGTAGATACTAAAATATACTTTTAAGTGAAAAAGTCATGAACTCAAATGAAATTTATAGCATGATACAATTAACAAACCTATACCACTCACGCATTCAAAATGCCACAGTATATATTTTATAAAGATAAGTTCATAATAAAATACACTTATCAAATCTATTGAACAGGATATTTATGATAAGAATGAAATATACATTTGCTTCTGGAATGTAACAGCAAATTAAAATAATATAAATGGTCCCAAAAGTAAGGGAGAGGTTGTGCATAAACCAATTATGACACCATGGTAGGATGGAGGGTAGCAAATAACTCAATATATCTAATTCCCATTAAATCATATGATAAAACAAAACATAGGCTTACAAACAATTTACAGAACAAGAAATAAATAATCCAGCAATTATAAAATACACACTTATTTAATTAAATAATAACTGTCTGCTCAGGTTGCCACAACATACCACAGACTGAGTGGCTTTAACAACAAAGTTTACTTTCTCACAGTCCTGGATACTGGGAAGTCCAAGATGAAGGTGGTGGCTGATTAAATTCCTGGTGAATGTACTCTCTCTCTAGATTGCAGATAGCTGCCTTCTTATTGTGTCCTGACATAGTAGAGAGAGACAGCTTTGGTGTCTCTTTCTTTTTTTCCAAAGGCACCATCCGTTTCAGATTTGGGTCCCTTCTTTACGGTTTCATTTGACCTTAATTACCTCCTTGTACAGCCTGTCTCCAAAGACCATCACAGTGAAGGTTAAGGGCTTCAAAAAAATTTGGAGGGACACAATCTAGTTCATAGCTACAATTAAAACACTATGTATGAAACTTGCGGGATACCACCAAAGAGATTGGGGCAGCAGTTCCAATTCTGACATGATACCAAGAGGAGCTCTGCAGACCTACTTCCCAATAAAATGAATCATACTTATTTTTAAATACACACACAGAGAGACCCCGACATTTAAATGTTTCACAATGGTCTTAAAGGCATACAACAAATGAAGAAATCTTTAATAAATATTAATAAAATAAAATTAATAATATTCAATAAATATCTAATAAATTTTACCAGTAAAAGTGAGTCTGTCATTTACCTGTTGCGAAACCAAGTTCTAAGCAGACCAATTAAGAGATAGGGTTTCCCATTTGCAATGCAGACTCCACTCACAGGATGGAGGCTTTGCTTGGGATATGTTGATGTTAAAAATACTGGGTCCCCCAATCCTCTTTGCACGAGTTTTTGGGGTGGAGGTTTTATACTAGAAAAGCCAAGCCAAGAAGACTTGGAGCTGTGGCCCCTTCTACCACGTACTCAGCTATTAAACGAAGAATGTCATTCAAGAGAAGCTCACCATGGCCCTTGCCCCCAGCGCAAAGCCATGGCTTAAAGATTTTGTGCTGGACAAAAGCAGGCCACAAAACAGAGAGCTGCAAATTTCTCCCTTCTTAGGAAACATCATTTGCAACTGAATTTGGAGAAGTTCAAGACTAAGGGCATTCTCGAAATCACTGGAGCTTGCAGTGAAAGGCTCTTGGGAAGAGAATGGTAGTTCCTTGAAGACATAATCTAAACTACAGGCCAACTAGTTTGCCGGAGATAACTGGTGAAAAAGAAAGTTGCGAGGCCATTTTTGGGGACCAGAACAAATCTCGAATACTGACCTGGGAAACTATTCTCTCAAAGGAGCTCAAGTTTCATTGGATCAGTCTACAAAACAATTTATTTCCCAGGACCTTGTTGAAAACAATAGCAATTAGCAGAGTTCAACAGCTTGCTGTGGCCAGGGAAAGAAAAAAGAGAGCCCTGCCAAATCCATTGTGATTCCAGGATGACTGTGGACCTAGCCAAGGCTTTGCACCCTAAGAAGGCTCAGAGGCTTTATACTGTCCAGAAGTAAAGAAAGGGATAAGAAAATGCTAACATTTTAACACAGGGGAATAATATTTGACAATTAAAATAAATAAACTGGGTTTAAATTTATCAACACAGATCCATCTCAGAAGTATAATGCTGAGTGAAAAAATAGATAAGCACAAAATTCAGAAAAATAATTGTTACCTTAGTGAAGAGAGTGAAACTGAATTAAGGAAAAACATAACAATGTTCCAACTTTATGAATAACTTTTTATTTCCATAAACGTGACAGGAAGAAAATATGAAAATAACTTTTCTTATGATTAATTTTTTATTTCTAATTATATTTTGATGTATATTAATTTAAATAAAGGTTAAGTAGTCTTTTATAATTTTCTGTAGTTCTCTTTAGGTTTGAAATGTAGCACAATTTAAATAAAGATTTAAACTATATTAGTAATATGCATTAGTAAGTGAGCTATAAGAACAGCCATAGAAAAACATGTTGCTATGGTTTGCAGGTATCCCCAAAATTCATTAATTTTCCACAACCTTGTCAATATACGATAAAGTTTAATACGCATATTTTTAGCACTTTAGCAATTTCATTCGTAGGTATAAAACTCCAGGAATCTCACCTATATGTGAAAATGAGGCATGTAAATGACCATTCAATGCAACAGTTCTTATCATAGCTATGTAAGAAAACCTCCCACATGTCAACCAAAAGTAGAGTGGTTAACCCGCAGTATAATCATACAATGAAATTTTGCAAGCTTTCAAAGTGAACCAGAGTTACACATGCTAATGTAAATAAATGTTAAATGAAACCGGCCTGGCACGGTGGCTCACACCTGTAATCCGAGCACTTTGGGAGGCAGAGGCAGGAGGATGACCTGAGGTCAGGAGTTCGAGACCAGACTGGCCAACTGAAAATACAAAAATTAGCCAGATGTGGTGGCGGGCACCTGTATTCCCAGCTACTCGGGAGGCTGAGGCAGGAGAATTACTTGAACCCAGGAGGCGGAGGTTGCAGTGAGCTGAGATAGCAACGTCGTACTCTAGCCTGGGACAAGAGCAAAACTCCATCTCCAAATAAATAAATAAATAAACATAATCCATAATCTCAAACAAGAATATGAATTTAAAGCTGCATATATGCAATATAAATAACTATAAATATTTAAAATGAAAATGAAAACAATATAATTTATGTATTTATATATTTGTAATAAAAGTATAAAAACGTGTTTAAGAAACAAAAAAATTCAGATAATGATTTCCCTGGTGTAAAATGATGTGAAATATTATTGAGAAAGATCCAGGTAGCTCCCTCCAGCTGTCTCTTAAAGATTTATTTCTTTAAGAAAAATTGAGGAAAAAAATTATAAAACCCAGTAAAAATCTAAAAGAATACAATTCAGAAAGCTGGCCTCAGATGTAACTTAATAAACATGCTTTTCTTTTATTCCATTATTTCTAACTTTCACAGTGAAGTGTTAAGCAAATATTGAGGTGATAGCTGGAATGAGAAAGTGGTATACTTTCTCCACAACACTCATTGTTTAAAGTAATATACTTATTAAACAGATGCTGAAGTACATATCTGCAATAGTCACTAATTAAAATGCATGAAAAAAATCAAGAAATTATGACACTTTAATACTGTTCATTTTCTCAATTTCTATCACTCAAACATGCCTCCGGAAAAAAAAAATGTTTTTCTTTGAAAAAACCATTTGCCTTATACTTCCAGAAATACTACAACTTGCATTTACGACACTCTTCAAAAATAAAATCTTTTACTTTCAGACTAAATCAATTTAAAAATTGTTTAAGATTTTATATTAAACTTCGTCGAGCTAATGTTATTGCTATTGGATGTGGTTGACTGTATCTATTGACTTTGACATTGTCATTCCGAGTTATAAATATTAATGGTAGCAAAACTTCTATGGATCAATAAATCTCTACAGTGATTTTAAAAATGCCAATTTTGTCTGAAGATTAAAAGTATATTTTGTATATTAACTAAAAACTTCTTCATCAATGATTACATTCTCTCTTCCCAGACTTTCCTCTCTGGTATACAGCCTTGGTCACAGACCAGAAAATCTGTAGTTCACCAAAAGTTTCAAGAATTAAGAGCCAGTGGAATTCACAGTACTTACGGAATTGGATGCCAGGGGATGTGGTGATAATGACTATAGCTCTCACTTCCCAAAGCAAAGTGGACAAAACAGAAATGGGCAGTTTTTCCCATGATTTCTCTGTAGAGAGAAAGAGAAAGTACAGATACATTTTGTTTTTCAAACTTCCAGCCTAATATATTTGTTGGTTGGCCCTATCAAAATCTCAACACATCCAAAACTGAACTAGCTCATGTTCTACTCTATGCCCATCTAACTCCACAAACTTCCTCCTCTCACAGCAATCTCTGACTCTGATAATTGCACCATGACCTGTCCACACAGGGAACCCCCGTCTTTTCTCTATCTCCACCACGATCATTTGAGTTTAGGTCACTATCGCCTCTTGCTTCGACCTTTTCCCATCATCTGCTTGTTTTGCCTCCCTCCGGTTTTCAACTATCCAATATAGTCTACAACAATGATGGTGAGTGGCTCCTCTAACATGAAAAGTGAATCACGTCAGGGCTTTCAAGTTGTGTTTGGTATAATGTTCAAACTTTTCATTATATTTTCAGGACCCTTCTTCACTATCTCCTGCCCATGTATCCACATTCACCTCTTGTCACTTCACCCCTCCACTTTAATCTCCAGCAATACTCACTTACCTTTTAATTTCTTGAATCCAACTAATTCTTCTTGGCCTCCAAGACTTATATGCTAATACCTCTTCTTGAAATATTTCCCATTTCTATTTTTAGTCTAGATAATTCTCAGGTATCTTTCTGGCATAACTTAATGGCTACTTCTTTCAGGATGCCTTATTTGCCCTTCTAGGTTAAGATATGTCCTATTGTATTCACCTGTATTATCTATCCTGTCACAGCATTTATGCATTTTAGTTTATTTGCTTCCTGACTGACCGTAATCTCCATAAAAGCAGGGGCTATTGTCATCTTGCTCACCGTTAAACAGCTAGTACCTGAAACCTGTGTGGCATATAGTTGATGCCTAGAAACTTTTTTTGTGAAGGAGGCGGTAAGCAAATAAATACATTACCAAAAGGAACATAGCAAAGGTTCTTAGGTATGGTATGGTCAGAAAGAACACTCTCATAAGTCAGGCGAAGTCATACATAGGCAGCAGGTATACACAGAAGCCTTGGGTCTACAGTGAGTTAGTTCTCCAAGGTTCAGTACAACTGCCCAGGGCAGATGGAGTCTCATCACCATGTGCTCCATGTAACTCTGCTGCTGAGGGACTCCAAAAGCACTTTGCTCTGGGTTTTATACCCTAGTCCCCAGCTGAGTCACTGTGCTGAAGCACTGTAGAACATCATATGCTGGGAGAAATGAGGACACAAACTGGGCTGTATCACATATTTCCTCTTTATCTCAGAATGTTCCTCTTGGAATGTCTGATAATTGTAACCAAGGAGGAGAAGAACTGGGTCAGCAAAGGCCATCTGGACACCTGTCCTTCTGCAAATCATTAAGGCCCATGCTTCTAGAAAGGGGACAGTGAAACAACATTTATTTGAAATATCATGAATGATAGAAATAACTGGTTATTCTTATTTTTGTTATACTTTATTCAAATATTTTTCAAATGTTTCTTGATAGATAAATAAGGTATCATCCCCCAAGTCTTTTCATAAACTTAGAATTTGGAATCATGTCTCTATGTTTTTTTGGTTTAATAGTTCTCTCTTATTTGTATTTTTGACAGCTTCTTTTGCACAATTATATTTCACTTCACTGTACGTTCTGAAGTAGAAAAGTACATTTAGATACATAATACAGTATGACAAGAATAATCCTTAAACACGTATTAGCCATGAATTACTATAAGTGATATGGACTAAATAGCTTAACCTATCATTATAGAACACAATTATTGGAGATCGACAATGGGTTTCAATTTGCATATATTTCTGGTCAATTGTTTAAAGCTGCCTTATATTCTTTTGGGAAGAGAGAAGGTGAAACAATATGAGATAATTAGCAAGGAAAATAATCATGTTAATTATTAATGTCAACCAGCGAATGAGAAAAAGGTGATATGGAAGGTCCATCACATAGATACCCTCATGATATTCTGCAATTATTTAGTAGAAAAATAAAAATGAAAGTGAATGGCCCTAAGTAGCTAGCACAAAAGAGGTAGATATTTGGATGAATGACACTTTGAAATACGTATATTGAAACACAAATCATACACACACACACACACACACACACACGTAATACGTGATCATTAATCTATGACATTGTAGTATTAGGGTAGTAACTCTATTAAGATTTAATTAAAAAATTAGTAATTCTTCCAAATCTGATATTATAAGTGGGCTAAAAATGTAATCATAATGTATTTTGAATGTTTCACTTCTAAGCACAAATAGAAATAATCTAATGAATTTCCATGTAAATATAATATTAGTTATATTGAAATAATTAAGAATGCAGAAAGAATATAAATTTAGTGAAACATTTTCCCTTCCCAGGAAAATCTAGCTGCATAATTACATTGTAGTAAAATTTTGCTTGTCAAAATTTATATTTTACAGCCAGGCGCAGTGGCTCACGCCTGTAATCCCAGCACTTTGGGAGGCCGAGGTGGGTGGATCACAAGGTCAAGAGATTGAGACAATCTTGGCCAACTTGGTGAAACCCCTTCTCTACTAAAAATACAAAAATTAGTCAGGCGTGGTGGCAGTCTCCTGTAATCCCAGCTACTCAGGAGGCTGAGGCAGGAGAATAGCTGAAACCCAGGAGGCAGAGTTTGCAGTGAACTGAGATTGCGCCACTGCACTCCAGCCTGGTGACAGAGCAAGACTCCATCTTAAAAAAACAAAACAAACAAACAAACAAAAAATTTACATTTTACAGAGCCCATTTTGTTTCCAATGTTTATATAACTTCAATTGTTTTAGAAATATATTATTTTTTGAAAAAGAAATTAAAATAATCTGCTGATACTCTACATAATTGTCTCATGGTTTATGATTGTAAGTAGTACAATCAGACCTTGAAATAAATATATAATTCTTATTATTAACTGGGGGATTAAGCCTTTACTAAATATCAAAATTTTACTGTAATTAAATTTGACTGACATTTTACTAGACTTTTCACTAAGCATCATAAACAGATAATACCATATCATGCTTGTTTTTATTTCCTCATCAATTTCCAAGCATCGGGTATATTGCCTAGAAAATAGTTGGCATGTGAAAAAATTTTTTTCAAAGGATGTCTCACAGAATGACAAATGGAGAATTATACATACAAGAAATGATGTTTTAAAATACAATGTAAGCATAATTCTCTCTGAAAAATAAAAATTGGGGCTATAAAACCTTAATATAAACAGCTAGTAATGGCAGAGGCAGGACTTGAATTCCATATTTTCTGTTTTCCAGGTAAAATGTACTTCATACCATGTAATCATTTTTAAAAATAAATATATCTATAAAGAAATTAGTTATAATTGGCTATTTGTTTATAACAAGTTTATTCATGAGCAATGTAGTCTGCTACTAAAATGTATCCATTTATGTGGTTATTTATAAATTACTTACATAACAGCCCCTACCTGAATCCTCAAGAGACATGTTTGAGCCTCTAGGGGTGAAAACCGGGCAGTGACATTTATTTGACTGGTTTTCAGTCAGTCACTCCACAAGGTGGCAGTGTAGTATTATTACAAATAATACCCCTCCTGCAATTTTTTTCTTTTTTTAAGAATATGTTTTTTTCGTGTACGTTGGGGAATTATTTTACCTTTTCTTTTCCATGTGATATATCTTAAGGTTAAACAAATTCTGAGTAAATTTTAGATTTCATACATTGTACAAACAAGACAAAATGAGCTTGTTTTAGGTGCCTGAATGATACAAGCTATCCAAGATTTGTTGAATATCATGTCAACATTTTGAAGAGAAATATCTTTACTGAAAAGGGAAGGAAACCTCATGTATATATAATCATTTCTTATTGTCTTACAAAAGCACATTACGTTGAAAGGGAAGGTTCATCACAATCTATATTGAGTCTAACGAAGGTAGTGCTCTGAATTTAAAATTATAATTCTGGATCTTTTCATGTACGTTTTTAATTATAAAGAGGAAGAATCACTTGTATGATTGCACATATAAATTCATATTTCCCATGTATACTTCCGTTTTGAACTATAATCTTTTTAGTAAAATTCGTCAGAATCTACAAATCTGTAAAAGTATCCGAAGAGTATCTCATCAACTCCTTTGTGTTCTGTAGAAGCTTTCACAAAGCTATTGTCATGCTCAAGAATTCATGATATTCCAAAGTTTCACCGTTAAGTAGAAATAGAGATACAGAAAGAGGCATGCTATGAAGTTTTTAATACAGAAAGTCATGATTTTGGCAATGAATCTATGATACCTTATTTTGTCATCCTTCTCGTCTTGGATTAGTTGAAGTGGGAATGTGTTTGCAGTCACACATGCTGTAGGCAAGAAGGTGTTTATCGAGGAGCCACTATTTATTCCTATTTTCAGAGAGCTGTCCCCAGCCTAATGAATACATAAGATAATAAGAACAATTCTGTTACCCATTTTCATTATTTCCTTTCTTTTTTCTCTAAATGTTTTTTTTTACTGTAATCACTTATGGTCTACTAAAAAAAGGGCTTCTTAAAATTCAAAATATTATGGTCTTCTTAATTGGGTTCTATCTTCCCAGCACTATTTCACTTTTTTTGTGGTAACAGATACTTCTCCATCCTTTTAAAGAAATATTTTCTTCCCCACTTAAACCATATTATGAGGGAGTTCCAGTCCGGTGCTTTGATAATTTATGGAGCTGGACCTGTAGCCTAGACCCGGTCAACCATATTTCCCTATGCCTCTAAGCAGAACAATTAAGAGTAGACTTATGACTCAATCCAGGCCAATCACAATCCTTCCTTAGAATGTAATCTATTAGAACTTGGAGAGAGAAAGAAAGAAAACTGCAGTGGGAAAGGATTTAGCCAAGGAGAGAAAAATTGACGAGGGGGGCAGTATGCTGATGGTATTTAATCTGCAGTTTCAGTCACTGAAGTCCCTGCAGATGATACCTGCTTATCTTCTGTTAATTCTGTGATTTCATATAGGATCTTTCCTATAAACACCATTTTCTGCTTCAGTTAGTTTATTTGGGTTCCTGCCATTTGCAACCAGACAAATTCTGACTAGACAACTGTTTTGCAAGATCTGCAAGTGATATTTTTAAAAGTAATTTTATTGATCATCTGGCAAAATACAGGTAAGTAAATCACAAGAAGTAGGACATATTGTAAAATATATGATAATCATGTTTTAAGCCCTTTATAAATATCAGATTTGGACGAAGAATTACAACTCAAAGAAAAGTATGTTACAAAATAAATAAATATGTTGAGCTGTAATTGAGCTATAATTTTAATTCAATAAATGTTTTTGTTTTCTTAATAAAAATTTTAATACCACACCCAACTCTCCCAACTTCATATTCCTCACCATCACAGCTAAGCATTGGAAAAAGAAAAAAATTAGGCTGGGTGCGGTGGCTCATGCCTGTAATCCCAGCACTTTGGGAGTTCGAGGTGGGCGAATCACTTGTTGGTCAGCCTGGCCAACGTGGTGAAACCCTGTCTCTACTAAAAACACAAAAATTAGCCAGTCGTGGTGGCATGCACCTGTAATCCCAGCTGTTTGGGAGGCTGAGGCAGGAAAATCGTCTGAACACAGGAGGAGGAGGTTGCAGTGAGCCAAGATTGAGCCACTGCACTCCAGCCTGGGCAACAGAGCAAGATTCCATCTCAAAATAATATAATAATAATAATAATAATAATTAGTCAATGAGGCAGAAAAGGAGTCAAAGGAAGAAGAAGGTTCAAAGGTGGGGGTTGTAAAATAAAAATCAGAAGCCTGAAGGAAATGATCATTAGAGAAGCAGAGAAATGTCAGGTTGTGTTCATGGAGTTGAGAATAGTGAAGTCAATATCTGTATGTCAGAACAAGATGCATTAAGAATCCACTGAAGAACATAAGAAATGGCACTGCGGAAAGAATTCAAAGTTGAGAACCAGTAAAAATAAAAGAATTATGGAAATATGGGAGTTTAATAAAGAAATCTGGGTATTATAACTTTATTATGGATGATGTCTATTTTGGCTAAGGTACATTTTAGTTTATCATTCTTCATTTTTGCTTTTATTTTGTTGCATTAATTGTTTTGTTCTAACTTATTTTTAAGAATTACAGTGCATCTGCCTGATTACATTTGAGGATTATCTTGAAGTGTCACCAACTAAATGAGCAAGTGTACTTAAAAAGAAAAGAAAAACAAGATTTAGATCTTGATAATTTTGTGGTACAAGGTAACTATATGGTGTGTCTTACATTTAAACTTTTGATAATTGTATGTAAAGTTAGTTTAAAGTAAACTATATTAAAGAACATGGCAAATGTAATTAAATGAACATTTTGAATAATGGAGAGCAATAAAGAGTACTTGTATATTTTGAATCAGAGAGTTGGTGCTATTGATAAGGAAAAAAATCAATGAATGTGCTATGGTTATTGATTTTTCAAGAGAAACTGGTTCAGAAAAAAATAATGTCAGAGAAAAAGGACAAAATTTTCATCAAAGGGTAGCATTGTACAAGTGTTCAATTCTACATTATCAGTGCTTACTGCCAATTGAGAAAAAGCAATGAGATAAAAATTCCATCAAACTATGAAAGATTAATTTTGTCACCTGTGTGAAAGATAAACATTTTAAAGCCATATTGATGGACATTTATAATGAGGTAAAAACAATTCTTGAACTTTTCCCCCCAATTTATTCTCCATATTTTCATTAAACAAACTTATTAAGTCAGAAAACCTAGTTGATTGCTGCCTGATATATGTCCTACATAATGAATTTCAATTATAATTATTCGGAAGACCTCAATTCTGAATTAGTGTGCTTTTTTTTTTTTTTAACTTTCAGTGCAAACCTTTAACATCGTGTTTCCCATTCTTTATATTCTCTTTAATGAGTATGAATGACAGTGATGTTTCTTGATTCTATAGCATATACTTTGTTAATGTGTAATCTGGAAAAGTTCAAAGCCAAAGAGATACAAGTGTTTGCTTTGTTTTGTTTTACTAATGTAATAATTTACCTACATCAATAAAAAGATAAAGGAAAGTTAGCCTGAACTATTCACCTGATGACTTCCAGTTGAGATTTTATATAATATCTTAAATACCACAGTGGTCACATAAGCATACAATATTATACATGTGTACTTCTGAAGTTATTTTTCTAACATAATACTATGATATGGCATATTGTATATTAAATAGAATAATTATTGTCTAAGAAAATACATGTAGTTAATTGTTTCTTTTCTCTAAACTATATTTTTCTCAACAAATTATGTTACAGGCTAATATATGATTAAATTGTCACAGATTAGAAAATATTGAAGTTGGTACTAATAAGGTTTATTACAGGTACCCTATCAGAGAATCTAAAAAAAAGTGATACAATTTAATTTCCCAAACTCTCCCCCTTCTCTGTGTTAAAAATTAACATATTCATATATTCAAAACACATCCAGTGAGTTTCCTTTATATGAACTCAAACACTATTAGCGACCTCAATAGTTTGATGCAGACACATCTGTTGAAACCATATATAATGAAGCTCATGGCAATCCCAATGGAGCCATAAACAGATATGCTATTCAATAACTATTTCAAGTTCATTTATTTAAAAAGTCATAGAACTTTATTTTAGCTCTGTGATTTCAGTGAGAGCCATAGAACTCAATGGCTATATGCTGTTCTAGGGCTTTGACTACTAAATGTTGTGTTGCAGATTCTGAAGGGTATTTCTAGGAGTAACCAGAAGAGAGCATCCATATCTCAGAGACACGTGGAGCTAAATTAGTAAGGCACAGAAGGTCTACCACACAGCTTAAGCCAACTCTTTCTGAGGAAATGATGATAAATTTCTTTTGATCATGCACAAATGGCTTAGGAAATGACTGGGAGGTAGTTGATATTCCAAGATTCAAGCATCTGGTATTCTAAAAAAACCAATATAACTGCGTCCTAGTTCTGCAGATTTGTTATCAAAACAATTTAGGCTAAGCACTATAGTCATATACTTATTCCAGGGCACATCAGGCTACTAATGTAATTACTGAATGGGTTCTAAGCAGAAGGAAATTAAATTAAGAAAAACTGTTTTGCATAGCAGTGATTTATGGCCTACTTTACTCCCCAACTAGTGAGAAGTGTGAAATCCAAGTTTTGCAAAATACAGTTTTAATAGTAAAATATTTGAAAAAGAATTCATAGGAGGAAAAGGAGACTCATCAAATCAAAGGAGAAGTTATAATCACATGTGAGTCTTTACAGTAGTATTTGAACAATAATGGTTCTAATCCTAGTAAATGAAAATCCATTATTTTTCAAGTGCTGCAGACTATTTCAGATTCTGCTCTGCACTGGGGTATAATTTGAACTCTGTGTATGTGCACATTATTTGTATATTAATGATGTGGTTTTTCTCTATGTCTTCATTTCTAAGTCCTGATTATTTAAACCCTACTATGCTTTCTGCCCCATAAAATTAGTCTTTGGCACTTGAGTCAGAACAGAAAGTTTTCTCATATATCTCATGTCAATTAGGTCAGGTTAACTCATCATAACATTGCATGCTGAACTATATTAAATACATAAATCAAAAAATGATTAACTGTAAGTTGCAACATTTTCAGGCTTAAAGCATATTAGAAACATTGCTGGAATGAAATAATTTTGCATACATTTTACTGAAGAAATTTGGAATAGAAAAAGGCTTACAAAATGTTGGATCAATAAGAGATTTCATAATGAAGTACTGTAAATTATTCAGAAAATTATTTTCCTCATTCTTTTACAGTGTTAAATCTAAATCCTTCCCTTTGGTCTCTCTTTCCTTTCTTCCCTTTTTCTTCATTTTTTTCCTATCTTTTCCTTTCTCTCTCTCTCTCATTTCCTTTCTTCCTTCCTTCTTTTCTTTGCAAGTCTAATATCCTGAGATCTCAATTCCTTGTAATGTGGTAATTACAACCCAACCAAGGACAACACTACTTCTTAATTATATTTTTGATCAATAATATCTCTGACAATCTGACAAGTATGGAGAGTCATCACAAAAAAACATGTATATGAACATAAAACTTTTATTAGATTTAGAGAATTTAAAAATTTTTCTCCCAAGCCTAAACAGAGACATTATAACGACTGATTCATGAACTTCATGTTAGAAAAGAAAGCAAAAACAACTTGAGGTTGAGTACATTATTTTAAATACCTTATGGTGAATGTAACATTTCAAAGAAAAACTAAGTGATGTTACTATAAGTGAAACAGGAAACCTTCCCTTGTCACCCTTGCAGGGCATGCGATGGGGATGTGGCTTGCTTCTTTGGTGCCCCACTGCTCACACCTCTAGGGGAGCATGCAGATGGGCAGGCTGTGGGGCTCTGACCTCACAGCAGTGTCCAGGGGTGAATGTTTATAGCTGAAGCCCCAGTGTCATGTGTTACAGTGTGTTCTTTCAGTTTAGCCGTCCCTAGGCAGCTTGTGTTAGTCAGCTCTATTAGACTGCCTGCCTCACTCAAGGACAGAGGGCTTTCTGTATCCCAGGGTTTCTTGCCTTGGTGCACCATAAGAATTATATAACACATGGGTTCGGAGAATGAGTGCAAGGTTTTATTGAGTGGAAGTAGCTCTCAGCAGATGGGGGAGCCAGAAAGGAGATGGAGTGGGAAGGTGGTTTTCCCCTGGAGTCAGGGCACTCAGTGGCCAG
The DNA here is from genome assembly GCF_000001405.40 of Homo sapiens. NCBI lineage: Eukaryota > Metazoa > Chordata > Mammalia > Primates > Hominidae > Homo > Homo sapiens. The sequence goes on from NC_000004.12 coordinate 65,014,218, forward strand.
GCTTTCCTCCAGCTGCCCCAGCCAAACTCCACATTGTTCTGCCGGTTGATGACCTGCCACACTGCTGGTGCCTGCCAGTGCCTGTCAGTATGCTCTTCTGCCAGTGTGTTCCTTGTGATATCCAGCCGCTTGTGTCTCTGCCAGCTAGGGTCACAGCACAGGGTTGTGGCAGGCCAGGGTAGTCTTGGGAAATGCAACATTTGGGCACAAAAACAAAAATGCCTGTCCTCAACTAGATCCCAGGGCACAGGCCTCGGGGTGGAGCCCTTACCAAGGACCCACCCTTCTCTACCAAGCACTTCCCTGCCCCACTCCCATATCATAAGCACTAAACAGATAAGCTCAAAGGTATTTTAACTAGAAATATTATATGACTTCCACCTTACTGAATTATATGCATAGTATGTAAAACCTTGAGATAAGGAGTCCATCTGTCAATTAATGATTCATCTAAAAGATTGTTACTGAACAACTAGAATGGGCCAGGCATTGCTTTAAAAAAGGAATGTAAGACAACTATTTGCAAACAGTCCAGTTGCAGGCAAGTATATTATCTCTTTTCCATGCCATCTTAACATGCAGTCATTTGAATATTAATATATATGCCACAGGATACCCTAATAAAGGTAATATCCATAATAGATAATAGTTTTTGAGCACTATAAACCCATAAAGTCTGAGACAATCAATCAATTTAGAAGTTTATTTTGCCAAAGTTAAGGACATGGCTGTGACACAGCCTCGGAGGGTCATGACAGCATGTGCCTGAGGTGTTTGGGCTATACCTTGGTTTTATATTTTAGGGAGACATAAGACATCAATCCATACTTTTAAGATGTACGTTGGTTCAGTCCAGAAAGGCAGGACAACTCATAGTGGAGGGAGGGCCTTCCAGGTCGTAGGTGGATTTGAAGATTTTTTGATCAGTAATTGGTAGAAAGAATTTATCTAAAGGCCTAGAATCAATAGAAGAAAGTGATATCTGGGTTAAGATAAAGGGTTTTGGAGACCAAGGCTGTTATTATGAAGATAAAGCTTCCACGTAGTAGGCTCAGAGAGAATAGATTGTAAATGTCTCCTATCAGACATAACCAGTCCGTTCCGTCAGTCATAAGATCTCCATTTTAATATTAATGCTGGTCTGTTGTGCCTGATTTCCAAAGGGAGGAAGGTATAATTAGGCATGTCCAACCCCCACTTCCCATTATGACCAACTAGTGTTTCAAGTTGACTTTAGAATGCCCTTGGCCAAGAGGAAGAGTTCATTCAGTTGGTGGGGGGGTGGTTAGAATTTTACTTTTTGGTTTGCAGCACTATGTAGCAATCATGCTCAGCTCTTTACACGTACTTACTCATTTAATTATGAGTATTAAATAAAAGGAAGTACATAGAAATATATTATAAACTGTAAATACATTTGCAACTTTTCCACAAGTGGTGGGGAATAGAACTATTATCTAAGAAACAGTAAGCTTAATCCCTGGATGGTTTGAAGATATAAAGTAGCCTACTGTGAGTGAAATGTTTTTAACATTTTATCATGTAAATAAATTACAGACCTGTTGTATTGCATTTAGTAATACATTTCACTATGAAAACAATGTATTTGGCAAGCAAATTAACACCTTTTTTAAGCTCAAATATTTGCCCTAGCTGTGCACATGTGTAGTTGTGCACACTCACACATACACCACACACAGACAATAGTTCTGAGAGATATAAGGTGGCAAATTGTCAGAGGCAAAAGGAAGTGAAAAACAAGAAGGAGCAGGTAAAGTCCCAGGGCTAAAACTCTCCAGCCCTTCACCACTTGTTTATCCATGGTTCTAAGCCACAAACCTTATCCTATAGGCACTATACGTAGGAACTATTTCATGTCTTTATTCCCAGACCTCAAGAAGTAAATTGCTTCTGGTATCTCATTGAAGAAATTATAGAAGAGTCTCTGAGCGAAAGATTTAGAGATAGGAGATTCACATTTGAATCCTGGTCAGGTACTTGATAGCAGTATGAAACTCGACCCAGACCCATCTATAGAGATGATCATAGCAATATAAATAAATATATAAAAATATATAATATATATGCTTATATATATTTTATATATAAACATGCAGCCATGTGAGTTTTAATATCTATGTCACAGGATATCCTAATAAATGTAGTATCACTAATAGATATTAGTTTATTATATCTAATCTTAATTTATATATTATTCTGCAGCTCTCACCCATCCCCCATATATGAACATTTTAATTTAAGTGCATTTTAACTAATTTCCCTGATCTTCCATTTAAAAAGACACTTTATTTCCTTCATTTGGAGGATGTGAGAAAACGAAGTAGGCTTAGAAAAACTCTATATGCATTACAAATTAATACAAGTATGTGGCAATAATCCGATATGTCATATACACATAGTAACTGTTACTGCATATGAAGTTTTTTTTTAAATGCCTACTTCTTAACCTACATCCTCTAGATTTTGTACTGGAAAACAAGGGATCATGTAGATGAGAATGAAGAATTAAATATGTGATTTTTATGGGTTTCCTGGTATTTATATAAACAACACGAACATTTCTTATTTACAATTAATAACATTTTGAGATGGTAAATATAAAAGCACTTTTTATTTTTTAAATTTCTGTATAGATATTAATTGTAAATACGAAATGTTTGTATTGTTTATATAAATACCAGTAAGCCTATATAAATCTTAGAGAAATATTTATCTTTATCCTGTAACATACTCAAAGATTATTCCTCTACATGATGAAGGGAAATAAAACAAAATGGTTTTACATTAAAATGTTGACATATGGGGGCTGGGTGAGATAATATGACTTACACTAAAAAAAAAAAGAAAGAATATGAAAGCAAGTTGGTTTGCACTAAAAAACATTAATGAAGGATTGTATAAGTAGGAAAATTTGATAGCTCTTCTTACTTCCCCTCACTACCTGAGAGATACCTATGTTTCTTACCTTCACAATGAAGTGATCCAATTTATGCTTTCCCGTCTTATTTCTCAGAACATCCTTTCACAAAACCAATAATCAGCTGAAGTTATTTTTGTTACCAAAGATACATTGAACATTCATACTTCTTTACTTTGTGCTTATTCTAGGACTCAATATTAGTTTCCCATTGTGGCTGTATCAAATTACCACACATTTAGTTGCTTAAACAGCACAAAGGTATGTTCTTATTATTCTGAAAATTAGACACCTGAAATGAGTCTTACTGAGCCAAAATCAAGTGTCTGCAAGGATATATTTATTTTCAAATGTCAACTGAAGTACCCATTTTCTTGCTTTTTCCAGCTCCTAGCTACTGCTGCTTAAATTCATTGGCTTGGGGCCGCTTTTTTCATCTTCAAACACAGCAGTGTAGCATCTTCAAATTTCTGATACTGATTTCACAATTCCAGTTAAATGACCTTTGCGATTATATTGTGTCTACTTTGATAATCAAGAATAATCTCCCTATTTTCACATTATCTGATTATCAACTTTAATTCTCACTTGCCAGATAACATATTTATGGGTTCCTTGGATTAAAAATTGAACAATTTTGGTGGCCATCATTCTGTCTAATGCAGATCCCAATCCAAACTCATATCTCTCTTATTCTGTAGCAGTTGCTTATTATCTATAACTATGAATTGTTTTATAGCATTATTTTCATTGCTATTTGTGTAACTTATCCTTCTGAACAGCATTCTCAATGCATTAAATTTATTCATATTCCTTTCAGGGTTTGACACCCTGAAGGGCCAGCCTAGCACCCCAAATCTAAATATATCTTTATATTCTTTCTAAAAGTTACTTTTCAAGAAACCTAAAATAAGACATTAACTTTAATCAATTGAGGTATTGTACCTCAGGACACTCAGCTGGTTATTTGATACTTTTTAACAATTCATGCATATGCTTTGATGGCTCATCAGAAATTCATAACAAACCAGATGATCAATGCTGATACAATGGCCATGTGCAGATACAATTTATTCTAAAGCTGCAGTTATCAGAACTCGATTGCAGAGTAAGATAGACTCTTTGCAAAGTATCCAGGCATTGGGAAGAAAGTGAGAAGCACAAAAGGCTTACCGATACCCACTTCTGCTCCTGCTGGTTCTCTTATTACCCAAGTGCTCTTGCAGATATTGTCCCTAATTTCAGTAGTTGAATTAAGAGGCAGACCTGTGTGCACATGGAGATAGTCCATCTGAAGGAAAACCTGAATGTGGAACCAAACCTGTGCCAAAGTAAATGTTGCATCTAAATGGTTCTCCTCACATGACTGCCACTGCTGAGACAGGCCCAGCTACATGCTGAGCTAGATTGACAGAGAATGCAAATCATTTTCCCCTATTTTTTAAGGAGGAATTGAGTGCTCACATGTAGCTTACTTGCAATGACATTTCCTATTTTGCTTTCCCTAGAGGATATATATGCTCATGTATATTTAAAATTGAAAGCAATTCTATTTTCCAGTTTTAATGTGTGATTGGTTCATTTTTTTAAGGATTTAAATGCTAGTGATATCATTGAATAGATATGAGATTTATTTTAGGAGCAAATGCTAAATTTTGCTTCTTCTATTTGCTTTTCACATGTATTCCCTCCCTCTGGATACCTATACTATTTTACAACATATGAACTTAAATTTTCATTGCCAAGCTGCAGGTTACTAACCATTTTGTTAGTAAAAATTATAAGATTCTAAATTCTTATTCATGTAATCATATCTTGAGTGCCACTGAATCTATAGGTGTGATATTACTAAATAGATGAAGAACAATAAAATTGGATTCATTCTGTGGGGCTAATTCTTCAGGGAAACAACATAAGTGTATCCTAGACAAACTAAAGCTGTAGATATGGACACCTTGCTTATTTTACCTGTATAAAAATAAACCACAATCTTTTGACAATTGTCTTCTGTTAGAGTTTTTCTTTTGTTAAATAAGGGAGAAGATGAAATAGAAAGACACAAAAATACTGACTTTTCTTCAATTTGGCAGTCAACATGAATAGCATTCAGCTTTTTTTGAGAGTTTATATCTGTTTTGCATATGTATTTAATTATTTTGATAAATGCAACACTTTTTGCCCTGGTAGAGTTACAGCATGCTTTTACTGAGACCTGACTGATTAGCAGAAAGAGTTTATTCAACATGAGGCTCAGAATTATGGCAAATGGTTACTATCGTCTATGTTCTAATGTTATATTTATCTGTCCTTTATTAGGGTATTATGCATGGTTTATATATACATATAAAGAATAAATAAATATCTGAGTTTTTTATAAATACTAGTAATTCAGCCTTTCATTTTACCTTTGAGTTGTTATTTTTTGTGTGGATGGTCTGTTGTATCAGTGGTAGCAGAGTACCCAGTCCTGAGGGAGAAGGTACTCAGAGGCAAAACTTAGCAAATCAAACATCCAACTTCTGTCATGCATCATGAAATGTGAACTTTAACTCCAATACTGGAAGAGTGCTCACCATCCAAGGCACAGTTCTTGGGATGTGTGTACGTTGTGTTACTTAAACCTAACTTAAAAATAGGTGGGTACTGTAAGATTTTCCTGTTGCCACTATAACAAATTACCACAAACTTGATGACTGAAAACAATAAAACTTTATTCTCTTATAGTTTTCTGGAAGTCAGAAGTCCAAAATCAGTTTCACTTAAGCTAAATTCAAGTTGTCGGTAGGCCTGTTTCTTGTGGAGGCTGTGAGGGGATAAGCCACTTCCTTTTATTTTTCAGCTCCTGTGGCTGTGCTTCTTTTATCACCTCCCATCTCATTATGGTTTGTAGTATTCTTTGCTCCGAGGAAATATTAAAACAATGTCGAAACACAAAGTAAGTGTATAATACAGTGGGGTTAGTAACAATCAGTCCAGGGAAAACAAACAAGACTGTTTTGTGTGTAGACCCAACCTGACTATTTTAAGATTCACTAATTCTTCTGAAGAAAACAAACAGTATATGCATTCAGATTTGTGAAAAAATTTATTTTTTTATTTCATAATAGTACCTGTGTAAGGCTGAAAAAAAAAAAAGAGTCCCAAGGATATCTAAATTCTAAACCCCAGAAGGTACAAATGTTCCCTTTTATGACAATGGAGATTTGCAGATGGGATTAAGTTAGTGAGAAAGATAAAATAGAGATAAAGTAAGGATGTTGAGATTATCTTGCATTATCCCTGTGAGCTCTAAAAGTAATCACAAGTGTCTAAGAAAAAAACCTAGGAAGTTTTCACTTTAGAACCTGAGAAGAGAGGTGATAAAAGAAGCAGAGATTGAAGTGATGTGCTTTAGAGAAGGAAGAAGGGGCCACAAGCCAAGGAATACGCACAGCCACAAGGAGCTGAAAAATAAAAGGAAGTGGATTATCCCCTCACAGTCTCCACAAGGAAACAGGCCTGCCAACAACTTGACTTTAGCTTAAGTGAAACTGATTTTGGACTTCTGACTCTCAGAAAACACTATAAGAGAATAAAGTTTTATTGTTTTCAGTCATCAAGTTTGTGGTAATTTGTTATGGTAGCAACAGGAAAATCATGATGGTTTACAGACTTCTGGCTTTCAAGACTAATATTTATGATTACTAAGAGGTAAGGATCAACATTTAGATGAGGAAAATCTATTTTTTATATCATTATCATAATTGTATAAAGACTGTTATTTCAATACTAATCAGGAATAAAGAATGTGTGCCATACTGATTCTAAAAGTGCCTTACCTTTTGCCTTTTGGCTTTCACAATCATGTAAATATAAACATACATTAAATAGGCCCACTTTCTCCAGGATTCTTTGGCTCCGAGGAAAGATTGCAACAATGTCAAAACACAAAGTAAGTGTATAATACAGTGAGGTTAGTAACAATCAATCCAGGGAAAACAAACAAGCCTGTTTTGTATGTAGACCCAACCTGACTATTTTAAGATTCACTAATTCTTCTGAAGAAAAAAACAGTATATGCATTCAGATTTGTGAAAAAATTTTATTTTTTATTTTCGTAATGGTTGGTTAATTTCATTGTTTCAGATTGGGATCCCTAGGGGTAAGGCCTGAAACATGAATTTCTTACACATGATTTATTGAGGGAGAACTCTCAAGAAAGCAGAAGTGAAGGTAGAAGAGAGCTGTATTAGTACGTTCTTGCACTGCTATAAAGAAATACCTGAGACTGGGTAATTTACAAAGAAGAGATGTTTAATTGGCTCACAGTTCTGCAGGCTATACAGGAAGCATAGCAGCTTCTGCTTCTGGGGAGGCTTCAGGGAGTTTTTAATCATGGTGGAAGGCAAAGGAGAAATGAGGCATCTGCGTGGCAGGAGCAAAAGGAAGAGAGAGAGACGGGAGGTGCTACACACTTTCAAAACAACCATGCCTTATCATAACTCACTCACTCACTATCGCAAGAACAGCACCAAGAGGATGGTGCTAAACCATTCATGAAAACTCTGCCCCCATGATTCAGTCACCTCCCATTAGGCCCCACCTCAAACACTGGGTATTACAATTTGACATGATATTTGGATGGGGGCAAAGATCCAAACCATATCAAGAGCAAAGAAAGGAACAAAATAAAGATGTGTCTCAGGAAGGCTATAGCTATGGCCTGATCTCACAGGGAGCTTCTGAGCACAGAGTTTGTCACTTGCAACAGGGCCTGGCCTACTGTAACCCTTGTGAGTCAGTCATTGACTGCAGGCTGTGTCTGAAGTTGAGTCTGATAACCTGACTCCCATTTAGCATTCTGACAAGAGCCAGTCTCTCAAAAGGAGCTAGCAGGATACTGTTAGGATCTAATGCTTACACTAACTTGGCTGGGTACCAACAATGTCCCCTAAATCCCTAGCACCACAATTCTGAAATATCTTTTTTACTCAAATAGCATGTCTTTGGGAAATCATTTAATTTTTGTATATCCTATCTCTCCCCTCACCCTAAATTTTGTAAATATCTCTGGTTTTCAAAATGACTTATAGCTATAACTACATAGTTAAATCAATTTGGGTAAAAGGGGTAAAGTTAGTTAGCTAATTAATTCAATATACTAAATTGTTTGGTTTCATATTATTGGCAAATATCCTCTGATAATTGTTCTATTATAAATGGTTAGTGGGCCATATGTAAACATAACTGAAATACCAATACTATATATTTAAATATTATCCTACTTTGCTTCACATGATTGAACTATAAGATATATAGGCCGGGCACGGTGGCTCATGCCTGTAATCCCAGCACTTTGAGAGACCAAGGCGGGTGGATCATGAGGTCAGGAGATCAAGACCATCCTGGCTAACACGGTGAAACCCCGTATCTACTAAAAATACAAAAAAAAATTAGCCGGGCATGGTGGCGGGCACCTGTAGTCCTAGCTACTTGGGAGGCTGAGGCAGGAGAATGGCCTGAACCTGGGAGGTGAAGCTTGCAGTGAGCCGAGATTGCGCCATTGCACTCCAGCCTGGGCAACTTGAGCAAGACTCTGTCTCAAAAAAAAAAAAAAAAAAAAAATATATATATATATATATATATATGTATATAATGTTAAACATTTTGTGTTTGAAAACACAAATTATTACATATTGAGTATGTAATAGTGCTTTTACTTCCAACATGAATCATGTAAAATTATGATCTGTCAAAAACCTGTGGTCATTGCCTGACCCATTTCATTAAAAAAAAAGTTCTTCAAGCTTATTCTAAGAGGAAACAATGTCTTAAGCAAACAGCTTGTTGCATCAGACCATGAAACTTAAAATAACTTTTACCTAAGTAAGTTTGTTGGAAAAATGGCAATTTTCCTATTTAGTTAATTTCTCAGTGATCCATGACCTCAAATAATACAGCAGTGGCACACCGACTGCTTGCGATGCATCTGAAGAAAAACTATGGCAACAAGTTCACCATATTTGTAATTAGGAGTCTGAAAAAGTCTTCAACCAATCTCTCATGAATAGAAAGCTCTGACATTTTCAGACTCCAGGCCGTGAAGGGCACAGGCATTATTTGATGTATCGTTAAGAAAGAGGCCCTGCACTTCCTGCAATATATTTGGCTGATAAGCTGCCGTAAGCCTATCCAGTGTAGTAAATGAAGAAATGAGAGGAGAAAGTTTCTTTATGAGATCACAAAAATACTGCATTTCTAATTTTCCTAGCTTCATCAACGAAGTAAACATGACCAAATAAAGCACCCAGAGAAAACTTACAGACTTTGCAATCTAAATGTATTTATTTATAGTGTTTTGCAAATATATAATGACAAAGCCAACCATAAATTCCTCATGCTTTTTTTCTTGTCCTGATCTAATTAAGTTAATTTTAAAGGGAATTCCATTTTCCTTTTGAATGTTTCATTTGCTACCATAAACACATTGGTACATTTGCCAACTCCAGTTCTCAAAAACAAACCCCTTAATTATTTTTTTTTTTGTAGTTTCGTTCAGATACTAGATTTTCTAAGTAGGAGGTGGAAGCAGAAAGTCCAAACATCATCATCCTCAAAGCCACCACTAAATCAGAAAGTACAAAGTGCTTCAAATTTAATTCTACTCTTAAATCAATCTTTCCCAACCCTTTAGCAAAGAAAATGTGGCATTTTTCTTCTGGTTCTTCAAAGCTATGGCTGTATACATAAATAAAGCAAATACAAATGCACATAAATTATAGAAGCTGCATATAGAAATTCACATAAATCAATTAAGAAAACTACATGTTGCTCTGATTTATTTAACCTTAAAATATTAGGTAGCTCCTTGGATTCTCATCCAAATAACAATATCCATTTACAGTCCCTGTCTTACTTAGTAAATCATCCTAACACTCCCAATCTCTCAGGCAGCCAAGAACATAGCTGCCGGGAGTACACATATTTTGACCATCTAATTGTAATACTATACAGTATGTTAAGTATTGTCTTTGTTTATGTTGCTCTAAAGGAATACCTGAGGCTGGACAAATTATACAGAAAAGAAATTTATTTGACTCACGGTTCTGCAGGCTGCATAACAAACATGGTGCCAGCCTCTGCTTCTGGTGAGGAACTTAGGCTGTTTCCATTCTTAGTGCAAGCAGACGGGAACAGGCATGCATAGATCACATGGTGAGAGAGAGAAAGAGAGAGAAGAGAGAGGTGCCAGGCCCTTTTTGTCAATCAGTTTCAGTGGGAACTAACAAAGCAGGAACTCAGTCACCCCTGTACCATGCTCCCTGCCCCCACCAACAGCAAAGGCATTAATTTATTCATGATGGATCCACACCCATGACCCAGACACCACCCACTAGGACCCACCTCTAAAACTGGGATCAAATTTCAACATGAGATTTAGAAGGAAAAAATATCCAAACTATTCAAGTGATGATTACACTTCTTTTTCTTTTTTTTTTCCAAGTCAAAGAACAGCTTTGATCCCTTGATAAGTTACCTAATCTTGCTCTAGCTCAATATCTTTATATAATGGAGAAAACAATAACTAAATTGCACAGTTTTTATAAGGAAAGCCAGACAGAAAGAGATAAACACTGGATAAAAATTAATTGTCCCTAGTTAAAACTTACTCTGTATATTATCCAACAACTAAATTCTAGCAGGAATTAAAGTAAGCTCATATTCACATTCAATACACTTCTACCATGAAACTATATTTCCCAATTTGAAGTTTTCTAAAAAATTGTGTACATTATTAAATACCTTCTATTGTATTATCTGTTTCATATTGCAAAGAAAGACAGTTTTGGCTTCCTTCTCCTTATCTTTTTACACCATTCCCCAGGGAAGAGAAATGATTAATAGGATTGTCTATGTTCAGAGGGCATTGATTAGATCATGATTATTAATAGGTAGGTTCCCATTCTTTAAAAGGGCCATTTGCCCATATGTGGTTCTTTTTCTTTCAATTTTACATTTCTCATCTTTAGAGAAGTAAAAAATCTCACTATTCTTTGACTGCAGGATTTTCTTCAGCTCTTTATATTTGTGATACGTGTGATATGCATTGGCACATATATTATTTAAGATTTTTTAGAGCAATTTTAGGTTCACAGCAAAATTAAGAGAAAGGTACGGAGATACTTCATTGATGCCTTCCCCAACACATGCATAGCCTCTATTATCAGTATCCCGCACCAGGATGGTACATTTGTTGCAAGTGATGAACCCACGTTGACACATCATCATCACCCAAAGTTCATAGTTTACCTTAAGGTTCACTCTTGATGTCGTATATTCTTGGGGTTGTCAAATATATAATGGCATGTTTCCACCCTGTATGCACTATTATATCCATCACTGGGAATGATTGATCTTTTTTACTGTTTCCATACTTTCTCCTGCTCCAAAGTATCATATAGTTGAAATCAAACAGTTTGTAGCCTTTCAATTGGCTTCTTTCACATAGTAATATGCATTTAACTTTTTCTCATGTCTTTGCATGGCTTGATAGCTCATTCCTTTTTTTGTTTGTTTGTTTTTCAACTTTTATTTTAGACTCAGGGGGTACATGTGCAGATTTGTTACTTGGGTATATTGTGTGATGTTTGGGGTATGAATGATCCCATCACCCAAGCACTGAGCATTGTGCCCCATAGTTTTTTCAACCCTTTCTCCCTCCTTTCCTCCCTTCTCTAGTAGGTTCCAGGTTCTATTGTTGCCATCTTTATGTCCACAAGTCCCAAGCTTAGCTCCAACTTGTCACTGAGAACTTGTGGTATTCGGTTATCTTTCTTTTGTTTTTTTATTATACTTTAAGTTTTAGGGTACATGTGCACAACGTGCAGATTAGTTAAATATGTATACATGTGCCATGTTGGTGTGCTGCACCCATTAACTCGTCATTTAACATTAGGTATATCTCCTAATGCTATCCCTCCCCCCTCCCCCCACCCCACAACAGTCCCCGGAGTGTGATGTTCCCCTTCCTGTGTCCATGTGTTCTCATTGTTCAATTCCCACCTGTAAGTGAGAAAATGCAGTGTTTGGTTTTTTGTCCTTGCGATAGTTTGCTGAGAATGATGGTTTCCAGCTTCATCCATGTCCCTATAAAGGACATGAACTCATCATTTTTTATGGCTGCATAGTATTCCATCGTGTATATGTGCACATTTTCTTAATCCAGTCTATCATTGTTCGACATTTGGCTTGGTTCCAAGTCTTTGCTGTTGTGAATAGTGCCACAAGAAACATACATGTGCATGTGTCTTTATAGCAGCATGATTTATAATCCTTTGGGTATATACCCAGTAATGGGATTGCTGGGTCAAATGGTATTTCCAGTTCTAGATCCTCGAGGAATCGCCACACTGGCTTCCACAATGGTTGAACTAGTTTACAGTCCCACCAACAGTGTAAAAGTATTCCTAGTTCTACACATCCTCTCCAGCACCTGTTGTTTCCTGACTTTTTAATGATCACCGTTCTAACTGGTGTGAGATGGTATCTCATTGTGGTTTTGATTTGCATTTCTCTGATGGTCAGTGATGATGAACATTTTTTCATGTGTCTTTTGGCTGCATAAATTTCTTCTTTTGAGAAGTGTCTGTTCATATCCTTTGCTCACTTTGTGATGGGGCTGTTTGTTTTTTTCTTGTAAATTTGTTTGAGTTCATTGTAGATTCTGGATATTAGCCCTTTGTCAGATGAGTAGATTGCAAAAATTTTCTCCCATTCTGTAGGTTGCCTGTTCACTCTGATGGCAGTTTCTTTTGCTGTGCAGCAGCTCTTTAGTTTCATTAGATCTCATTTGTCAATTTTGGCTTTTGTTGCCATTGCTTTTGGTGTTTTAGACATGAAGTCCTTGCCCATGCCTATGTCCTGAATGGTATTGCCTAGGTTTTCTTCTAGGGTTTTTATGGTTTTAGGTCTAACATTTAAGTCCTTAATCCATCTTGAATTAATTTTTGTATAAGGTGTAAGGAAGGGATCCAGTGTCAGCTTTCTACATATGGCTAGCCAGTTTTCCCAGCACCATTTGTTAAACAGGGAATGGTTTCCCCATTTCTTGTTTTTGTCAGGTTTGTCAAAGATCAGATGGTTGTAGATGTGTGGCATTATTTCTGAGGGCTCTGTTCTGTTCCATTGGTCTATATATCTGTTTGGGTACCAGTACCATGCTGTTTTGGTTACTGCAGCCTTGTGGTATAGTTTGAAGTCAGGTAGCATGATGCCTCCAGCTTTGTTCTTTTGGCTTAGGATTGACTTGGCAATGTGGGCTCTTTTTGGTTCCATATGAACTTTAAGTTAGTTTTTTCCAATTCTGTGAAGAAAATCATTGGTAGCTTGATGGGGATGGCATTGAATCTATAAATTACCTTGGGCAGTATGGCCATTTTCACAATATTGATTCTTCCTATTGATGAGCATGGAATGTTCTTCCATTTATTTGTATCCTCTTTTATTTCACTGAGCAGTGGTTTGTAGTTCTCCTTGAAGGGGTTCTTCACGTCCCTTGTAAGTTGGATTCCTAGGTATTTTATTCTCTTTGAAGCAATTGTGAATGGGAATTCACTCATGATTGGGCTCTCTAGCTCATTCCTTTTTAGTGGTGAATAACATTCTACTGTCTGGATACACCATAGTTTATCCATCTATCTACTGAAGAATATCTTGGTTGCTTCCAAGTTTTGGCAGTTATGAATAAAACTGCTATAAATGTCCATGTGCAGGTTTTTGTGTGGACATATATTTTCAGCTCCTTTGGGTAAATACCGAGAAGCATAAATTAAAGGATTGTGTGGTATGTTTTGTTTTACAAGAAACAAAAAAATTATCTTCCACAGTAACCGTGCTATTTTGCATTCCCACCAGCAATCAGTGAGAGATTCTGTCATTCCACATCCTAATCAGCATTTGGTGTTGTCAGTGTTCTGAATCTTGACCATTCTAAAAAGTGGGTAGTGGTCGCTTATTGTTGTTTTAGTTTGCGTTTCCCTGACTGTATTTGATATGAAACATACTTTCATATGCCTATTTGTTATCTGTATATCTTCTTTGGTAATGTATCCATTAAAGTCTTAGGCCCATTTATTAATTGGGTTGGTTTTTTTCTTATTATTGAGTTTTGAGTCTTTAGTATATTTTGGATAACAGCATGGTTTGTCTTTTCATTCTCTTGAGATAGTGTTTGTTTTTTCTTTTTTTAAAACATGTAGACATACAAAACATAATAAAAATTTTAATACTTAAATTTGAGATAGGTAGGAGAACATTCTTATATCTCTTGCCTAAACCACATGCTCCCATAAATCTTTACCTAATTTCTGCAATTGGGTTTATCAGACATTTTAGCTCAGTGATGAGTTAATTGCCTTCTGTGAGTCATGTGTATCTCCCTGAAGATTTAGCATAGGAAGGCTGGGGTGAAGGAGAGGATGCCAAAGAGACTTAAAGGTAATCAAAAAAGGAGAATTTGGATAAAATACCATCAAAATACAATTCCATATCTGTTCTTACTTCTAACTTATTTGTATGCTTTATAAGCCTTTATCTTGTAATAGTTATGGAGTATATCACTTCCTTCTCTCCAGGACCAAACATTATGATGTCATATATTTATTGTTTCTGATATGGTGAGATCATCAAAGTTTTTCCAAACTGAATTATGACACTCGGTGAAAGATAAATGTTGTAGCTCTGAGGCAAAGTGATGATAGTATTCTTCGACTGCGGTAATTTTTTCAACCATTTATATTTGTGTATACATGTGATAGGCATTGACACTTATATTATTTAAGAATATTTAGAGCAATTTTAAGTTCACAGCAAAATTAAGAGAAAGGTACAGAGATATCTCATTGATCCCTTCCCCCACATATGCACAGCCTCTCCCATTATCAATATCCCCCACCAGAGTGGCATATTTGTTGCAAATATTAAAAAGGCTGTAGAACTTATTGGGAAGGTCTAGAAGGAAGATGTATATCTTTGAGACTACTGAAAGTTTTTTCTCATGGCTTACCCAGACTCTTCATTCAAGGTCTCAGATCTGTGAGCTAATATCTTGGAATCTGGAGAGGAGCTGTGAATATAAAATGGAGATTTCCATCAAGATTCTCTTCATTAGACCTAGTTTTTTCTTTCTCTATATATCTCACATTTAATCTCACAGGATGCCAACTTATTTTAGTGGCAAAGATCCTGATCAATTAGCCCGTCCTGAAGAGCCATGTAGGTCAAACTACTATGATACTTACTCATGCCTAATGATATTACATGAACATGTTTACCTTGCCATAGTGTTTAAGTGCTGCTGCTACCTGTCTACTTAGAATATTGAATTGTTCTCTTAGAAAAAGGTGAGATATTATCATTATTTTTAAGTTTTATATATATATATTTTAAGTTATAAATATATGTTTATATGACTGATTCTGATAGTGAGATTATATAAACAATGAGTGCATTTCATACCATAGAAGAAATACTGAAGGAACTGTGACACATGCATGCTTCACCAAGAAAGGGAATACCCAAAGGACCCTAACAAAATCATTTACATAAAAGGTATACAAGTGAATGTCAAAAACATTCCAATTATAGAGTCGAATTAGATAAAACTTTAATAACTAACAAAGCAAACCTGCACCACACTCAGGAGAGAAATCTTTCAGATTAATGCTCATGCTGTAGAAAAGATGCAAAGGTCTGTAGCTTAGTTTTATAGTGATTACTTCTTATGCAATGGTAAACAGAATGTTGATGTTTTATAAATTGGAGTAATGAAAAGGACTGTAGAATTAATGCAAGTTACAAACTTCTGGAAATTAGTCAAGTGACCTCTAGTGACAGTCAGGGGAACATGTTCTCTACACGAGGGTGGGGAACATGACACACCAGGGCCTGTCGTGGGGTCGGGGGAGGGGGAAGGGATAACATTAGGAGACATACCTAACGTAAATGACAAGTTAATGGGTGCAGCACACCAACATGTCACATGTATACATGTAACACACCTGCACTTTGTGCACATGTGCCATAGAACTTAAAGTATAATAATAATAAAAAAGAAAACCTATGTCTTTGTCCCATAATGCACTATATTTTTAAAGACCTTCATTTTCAGAAACTCTAGGGCACACTCTTCAATGTTCACCGGAGCTCATAATTATGTTATCTTATCACTGTTATCTTGCTGGATCCTGACTTACAAAGCTGTTAAATAGTATCTTGTTACAACAGAAGGATTTCATATTCCTGAAGACAAGAGGGTGCTATTGGAGAAAATCTAGTAAAGGATAAAATATGATTCAAATTTTGTGTCAATAAAGAGAGTTGTGCAGATTGTGGCAGGATGGAATCCAAAAGGACACAGAAGAACTGAACACACGAAATTACTTAAAAGTTAATGAGGGTAATCTAAGTAAATAATTAAAACCTGAAAAATGTAGCTGCATAAATTGAAAGGAAGAATAGACTTGAAAAAATATATAGTAGATAGATTGAGTACATTGAATGAATAATTAATATAAGGGCATTTTGAAAAGAGAATAATCTATGACAATTACCCATCTACTACCTCGCGTAACTGAGATGATGGTGGTGACATTTAGGAAGATTGGTAATACGACAAGCATAAAGAGAAACACTCCTCTTTAATTTATTCCTTTCCCCCTCTGCAGCTTCCATTGGGTGTTTATTACCATTCATATGCATAGATATTAATTTAGTGAGTGGAAAAATTGGAAGGTACTTCATCAAGGAAGAGGCTAAGTGATAAGGGATCAGAATTCAGAGATGGACAAAATGATTTTTGCCCAGAACACTCTCACTTAAAATCATTTTGAGCCTCTTAGAGAAAGGTCATGGAAAAAGAGCCTAAGGGAACCTCTAGGCCTCGAGCACAGTAAGAGATATTTCATGGACGCTGGTAGCTCTGTGAGGCATAGTGTGGAAAACCCCTCTCATCACAACTCAACAGTATCTTATAATTTTTATGCTATGAGGATCAAAACACTTGGTAGAATCAGAGAGAACATTGTAAGAATATGTTGCTCATTTTAGGGTGGTCAGGAACGACTTGTGATTCTCTAAGTAGGCATATCATGAGAAAAGAATGACCACAGACGCCTCATGATAGCTGCAAGACACAGGATAATTTATAGACACAAAGAATCTCTCAGTCTGCTTTCAGGAATTGAAATGAGACTGATATTAATGGTGTAAAAATTTGGGAAAAAATAGGTCTAAGGGAAAAGAGGCATTTTTGATATATGATATTAAGATATCATTAGAGTATCTAACTGGAAACCTTTAGTAGGTCTGATGATATTACAGTCTGAATTTTAGAATATTGGTTTGGGCTGAAAGCATAGAAACAGATACCTTGGGGGAATGATCATTGTTAAAGTTACATGTAGATGTTATTCAATAGGGAGAATATGCAGAAAAATGATCCAAGATGGAACTCTGAGGAACCCTGATATTATCACAATTTTAAAGCAGGTTTTTCTTTCTTTTTTTCATAAATTAATATAATTGAGAATTGCTTAAATTATTTGAAGCATTACGTCTTCATAAACACCAATTAAGTTTTTACCTATACCAGTTTTTTTGTTTTTGTATACCAGCAATCCCCAAACTTTTTTGGCACCAGGGTTCAGTTTCGTGGGAAGGAAGATGATTTCAGGATGACTCAAGGGCATTACATTTATTGTGCACTTTATATTATTACATTGTAATATATAATGAAATAATTATACAACTCAGCATAACGTGGAATCAGCAGGAGCCTTGAGCTTGTTTTCCTGCAACTAGATGGTCTCATCTAGGAGTGATGAGAGACAGTGACAAATCGTCAGGCATTAAATTCTCATGAGGATCAGACACTTAGATCCCTTGCATGCACAGTTCACAATAGGGTTCGAGATTCTAAGAGAATCTAATGCCACCACTGATCTGACAAGAGGTGGATCTCAGGCAGTAATGCAAGCAATGGAGGGTGGCTGTAAATATAGATGAAGCTTTGCTGGCTCACCCAGCACTCATCTCCTGCTGTACAGTAACAGTCTGTGGCCCGGGATTTGGAGACTCCTGTTTTATTCTGTATGAGGTTAGTTTGTATCAACCCTCCCAAATGTTTCTTAGAAGGAATTTTGGAGGCACAGAAATCAGAGATTTATTTTGGAGGCACAGAAATCAGAGATTTAGTGCCTTCTTGGAATTTACTATCGTTTGAATGTCCCCACCAAAACTCTTGTTGAAATTTAATTGTCATTTTAATGATTTTAAGAGGTGAGATCTTTAAGAGGTGATTGGATCATTAGGGTTCTACCCTCATGAATGGATTAATGTCATTATCTTGGGAGTAGGTTACTTATCTTGGGAGTTTGGCTCCTTCTTTCTCTCTCTGTCTCACATGCTCACTTCCACCTTTCACCTTCTATCATGGGATGGCCCTTGACAGATGCTGTGCTGGTTCTTGGACTTCCCAGACTCCAGAAATAGGAACAGAATGAACTTCTTTTATACTTTTATTTTTCTTGTTCTTTTCAGTTAAAGTACAAAGAATAGTACACAAAATAAATATTCACACCCCATCACCTAGATTCAACAATTATCAGTATTTAGTCACATCTGCTTCATTTATCCCCATTTTTTGGCTGATATTCTTTAATAAAAATTATTTAAGTACAATTTCACCCCTAAATATTTTACTATGAATCTCTAAAATAAGGGTATATCCTGAACCACAATGCTGTCACACCTAATGGTTAACAATTCTCTGATATCACCTAACACCCTGCCATACTCACATTTCTCTTACTGAGACAGAAATGTCTTTTTAGCCTAGATATGGTGCCTCATGCCTTTAATCCCAGCACTTTGGGAGGCTGAGGCAGGAAGACTGCTTGAGACAAGAAGTTTGAGACTAACCTGGTCAAAATAGTAAGATCCCATCTCCATAAAAAAAGCAAAAATTAGTTGGCTGTGGTGGTGCATGACTGCAGTCCCAGCCACTGAGGAGGCTGAGGTGGAAGAATCCCTTGAGCTCAGGAGTCGGAGGCCACAGTGAGCTATGATTGTACTGCTGCACTTCAGCCAAGGCAATAAAGTAAGACCTCCATCTCTGAAAAAATGTGAAAAACAAAATAAAGTAAAGTAGGAAAAGATATGTATGTTAACTTTGGTACATATACACACATACACACATAATTTCATCTTTATAACTTTCTTGCAAAATAAATAGTACTTCCATTTTGCAAATGAGTTTAAGCCCACTACCAGAAATTAGCAGAACCTAAATATAAACCCAGATGCTCTGGTTAACTTAGTGTCTAATACTTAGAGTTTAAAAACATACCTGTGGACATCTCTTTTTTTATATAATCAGAGGGAAAAATAATACCTCATTACTTCTTCTTTATGAATAAAGCACTCCATTGACAAATCATTTAACAGTCCTTGTTTATCAGCGATTGAAGGCATCCTTAGACATCTCCTTACAACTGGCTAAGACATCTCAACAAAGGTACTTTCCCTAAGACTGTTTTCTCAATTTTAAGCTCATTTTTTTAACAGCCTATTTCCTACATCTCATTAGTTGTTTTGAAAATACTGCAACTCCTGGGACATATTTAGGGCTCAATAAATGTTAGCTATGTTTTTAAGAAAATTCTGAAGAAAAATCAGTGTACCATAATGCCCAAATAATTTTTATTACCCAGTCTCTTCTAGTCTCTGACCTATTAACTAACCGTAATGCTCATTATTATGACTTTCCAATTCTCTTCAGTGTCATTACAAGTCACCATATTATAAAATTCAATGCACAATAGAAAAGAATATAGGCTGAAATAAAAATTATGTGGAGCAGAAGGTTTCTAAGAAACCGAATGTGGTGAATGCTACCAGTAGGTGGCTTCTTGGGATAACAGAAAAATAAATTGTCAAAGCCTGATATATTAAGGCTAAAAATGTTTACCCTCTCTATGTGGTGCACATCCCACCCCTTTCAATTGTGCCCTGTGGTTTAACTAAGGGCTACAACTTGTTCCCTGCCAAGTAGACAGTTTTGTATGTGTCAGGAATAGCACAATTCAACTTTTATATAGAAGAGGCAAAGTTGACCAGTTCTGCTTTGGTTAAAGTTTGGCAAGGATGCAAACTCCATCTGTGCTTTCTGACATACAGAAAAAATCACACTCATACTCAACAATGTGCCAAGGTCCATACACTTGATTAGGCAACCCCCACAACATCCCTGGGACATAAATATTTTTAGCATTGTTTTGTAGATAGTTACTGGAACAAAAACTTTCTTCTTAGAGATGGTGAAACTGTGAAAGAAAAAATGGGGAAGGGATTAGATTTATAGGTATATTAATACAATAGCCGTCACTTCTTGCATTTAAGAAATAAAACCAAATAGTAAATGATTCAGTCCTCTAGGAGGTTTCATTGACAAACTGTTCCTGTATAGGTTCTGAGATATTTGGAATCAAGTCTTGCATAGAAATAAGATGGAAGAGTTCCAATAAAAGTATCAGTGAAAGTATAGTTGTGAGATTTCTCAGTCATGTTACAGAATGAGATCTCACCCAGTTCATAGTCCAGGAAAAAGCCAATGCCTCTGGCTTTCACTTCTAACAATAGAGGAGTTGGAATATCTCATGGTGCATGACAGCTATCATCCTGCAGCTGAATCCTCCAACACTCCTGTTGGGCTAACAGTGGTCTCCTCACCTTTGTGGGAAAAGAATGCCTGTGAATGCCAATAGCCCATTTAGACTTATGTCCCACTTCTACTTCTCAGAAATGCCTGCCAGAATGAAAATATGGAAAATCCAGGACAACAGGTTTGATTGTAAATCTTTTTGGGAAACCAGGAATCTTTTGTCTTCTCTTTTTAAATGTCACACCTTTTCTTTAATCCTTAAATACAATCAGATTATGGTATACTGTTTCAGAGTGTAGAATTATATCTACCTTAAATTTCTTTATAATTCTCTGCAGAGCAGAATATTTGGGAGGAAACTGCAGTCATCTCTCCTTAAATAAATTGCAAAGATTGATGGGCTATTCTTATTTTTCAAACTTGTAGAAAATTTTAATTTGTGATAGCAAAAATTTCACTTCAGACAACACACTGAACTCTACTATCTTGCTTATTTGACTTTTGAATGTGGAAATGTAGATTGAAAATGCTGTTATGTTTGTGCTGAGTTTTGTTGACTCTCTTCTTCAGCTAACCTGGAGAGAGCTGCCTATTGCTCACGTTCTAAAAACTGGTTCAGGTGCTCAAATTCAGAGGATAATTCTTGCATTAGGTTTTTCACTTTCTCTCAGTTCTAAGAGTCTTTTGCTTGGAATGCTTATTAATGTTTGAAGGTCTTCCGATTGCTTTTTCAGGAGATGGATGTAACTGCATAGCCTTTTCCTGTGATAAGACAGCCTTCTCTATTGGCCTCATGTGGTGATCCTGGTGGTGTGGGGGCTGGCTGCACAGGAGATACAACACCACTAACTCCTCCTCACAGAAGATGGTCAGGACCCGGTTGTGCTTCTTGCCCAGCCTGACTCTATGGCTCCTGGTGATGTAGAGTAGCTTGGGAATTTAAATTATCTTGCCAAGCTGGGTGTATCTCCTAAAAGGCCCCTCTTGGCATTGGTTATAATAGACAGGGCAGGGGAGCCTTTCCTATAGATCCTCCCAAGACTTAGATGCGGGAGCAACAGAACTTATGCCCACACTCAATGCAATGGGGCCTCTAAGGTAATCCAGACAGATGGAGCACTTGGTTTCTGCTTGGGGTCCTGTAAGAGTTTTCCCCACTGCCAGTGGACTACGAATGAAGATCTGGACCAAGGTGGGCTTTTTTAAAGAGGTTGGGTTCTGCAGGTGCTCTCCAGTGAAAAGTAGATACACTCTCAGATCTCACCATCATTCCTGGGCACAGTTGAAGATTTCACTACAGTTCCGCTGGATTCTCAGTCCCTGATGGCAGTCGCTGAAACGCTTTGAGTCTTCAGACCCTTTAATTCCAGCTGCCAAAAGGAATCCCACCCATGGCCACACAGCTCAGCCAGACAACTACTCTTCTAGCCTTTGGATGCTCAGAGAAAATGAAACCAAACTAAGCAACTTTGTTAGGAAAACAGCCATTGCCTCAAATCCTTAGTTGCTGTGGGTGAGAAAACATTTCTTTCTGGAGCAGGAGAGCTCTGCAGTGGTCATTTCTCCATGCAAGAAGCCACACGCTAGACACTAAACACACAAGACTAAACTTATATTCTTTATAAATTACCCAGTTTGCAGAAAACAGATAAAGACAGAAGCCTACATCTGGGAAGGTCCTCCATTAAAAGACAAATTGAGTGGAAATCATATATTGTGGGCTCTTTCTCTCTCTTTCCTCATTTATTTCCCTTCCTTATATCCCCTCTGGAAGAGTCAAGAATGTCCACTACATTTAATCTATTGTCTCTCTCCTTGGGAATTTAGAGAATTGTGATTGCCTAGACTGGCTTATATAGGACATATCTTCTCACAGTTGATAGATTTCTAAAATCAGTTTATTGTAAGACAAAATTCTTTTATTTCTCAAGTACAGATAAGGCTCAATACAAATAATCCTGGAGGTGACAACACTGAAATTAACCATACGGTAAGATGCAAAGACTGATATTGGAATGCAGATTTGGCTGGAAGAGCTTAACCAAAGAGTAGCCAAAAAAATATGTTTTGGCATACTTTAAACGTACCCAGTTATTTCTATGTACGTTAGCATTCTTTGGCACTTCGAAGGGGTATTAGAAAACTTCCTGAGGAATTGGAGACAGGATATTCATTCAACTAAGCATTCTTTCTAAAGGCCACTGAAAATGTAGAACTATCCTGACTATTAGACAGGATTTAACCTGCTTCAATCTACAGACTGACTATCTGGAGATTATAGCAGGTTATGTAAATGTGTGTAATCCTGAGAAACATTTGAGGCAATTAGATTAGCACATTTAAGGAACATTTCAGAGATAGTCTTCAACCTAAGTAATATTTTGCAATGAAGAAAGCTTTCATTGGAGTTTTCTTTTGTGTGTATGGCCAAACATATCCAGCATATTTGGAAAGGTCTATCCAGTCCCAAGTTCCAAAATATAAGCCTTGAAAATGACCAACGTCTCTCCAGATCTACTTCCTCTTAGGTCTGCTGCAGTGAAAATCTCAGTCCCTGGAGTCATATGAACCTGGGTTAAATTCTGATTTCATCAATTATTAGTACAATTTGTTTGAGAAAGTTGCTTAACCTTTCTAAGACTTAGTCTCCTAATCTGTAAAATGAGATGAAAAATGATCAAAAGTGTATAGTACAGTTTGAAACAGATAAAAGAGTTTCAAACTCTTGGCACCTAAGAAATATCCTATGAAGATTAACTATCGTTGTCAACAATACTTCCTATTCTGCTTTTATTTTCTATTTTCATGATATAACTGATTGCATAGTCAGAATCTAAGTACAGAGAAAGAAAAGAAAAAAAAAACCCTGTAATCAAGGGGTAGAAGCCAACTAAAAAAATAGTTAACAGGAAAATGTGTCAATAGACAAAAATTTGCAGGTTGCAAAAGTAGTTGCTTTCTTTTATTGAAAATTAGTCAAATTTGGAATTATCTGTGTTATCAGTTTCCCACCAAAGGGTGATAACAGTCAAGGATGTCAGGAAACTAGTTCTTTGAAACCTGAGATATCAAACTGTTATAATTTTAGTCTAAAATACCTCATTATTTATATGTGTTTATATAAAAATTTTATAGAAATATTTTCCTTCTTATATACATGTCCTATTTTTACTATTTTGAAAAAGAAAAAATACAATATTCTGCTTATATTTTGACATTTTTTGTCTAATATCGAACCTTGCAGCTTAGAGCATTAAAGTTAAATTATAAAACTATTCCTTTCTTGTTTTATCTTTGGATAGACAAAAATGATATATTTTTAGTACACCATAGTAAGTAATTTCCTCTGAAAGACACTGATAATTCTAGTATACAGTTTCAAGCACGATAGTTTGAAAGCTTTTTTAATTTTTCTTTTTTAATAGTCTATGCTCCTTTGACACAGTTTGGCATTACCTGTTTGAGAAATAGAAAACCAAACACCGCATGTTCTCACTCATAGGTGGGAATTGAACAATGAGAACACCTGGACACAGGAAGGGGAACACCACACGCTGGGGCCTGCCTTGGGGTTGGGGGAGGGGTGAGGGATAGCATTAGGAGATATACCTAATGTAAATGACGAGTTAATGGGTTCAGCACACCAACATGGCACATGTATACATATGTAACAAACCTGCATGTTGTGCACATGTACCCTAGAACTTAAAGTATAATTTAAAAAAAAAAAAAAAGAAATAGTCAACACGTGGCCTCTCTCATCAAAAGTGCATGCCCTGAGAAAACAGTTTATAAACTGAGCCTAAAATAAATCCTTTGGCAGAAATGGTTGTATTTTAGAAGAAATCTAGCATAGGTGAAACTTTACACTTTTCTATACCTGAAACTTAATACCAAAGATCTTCTATCGTCATCATTATGCTCTGTGTTCCCTTCCTAGCTGTTTACCACTCATTCAATTATGTCTCAGAAAATTCTCATGCAGTTTTATTTTCTATGGGAAGGCACTATAAAACCTTTTCCCTCTGCAACTAAATTCTCTTTTCAAAAGCTTGAGTTATTTTCTTTCTTTCTTTTTTAGTTGTGCTTCTTGAACACTGTCTCTAAAAGAGCAGTCAAACCTATCATAAAGCACTTTATGTCCATCACAATACACAATCTAGAAGAAGCCATAACCTTGGCAAGTCGGCTCCTTTTTTATTCTGCGTTGCATCTTCAACTCAGGGTTTTATTTTTTCCCCTAAGGATATACCATCACTTATCTTTTTATTTTGTTTTCTTTTCCATTATTTAGAACTTGGTTACCAAGGCTTTGCTGTTGCACCAGCTGCATGAGGATGGAATTTTTCTTGCTCTAGAGGGTAAGTGCAAACATTCATCCTCTGTTTAAGAGCTCCAAGATGATGAATAGCTCAGTAACTTCTGCTGTCTTCTACATAGTTTCTGTGCAAGATTTCATGTTTTACTTGACACTATTTTCCCTTCACTTTTCAGTATCTTTGCTCTATGATAGCTCTCTTATTTCATTAATTTCTGTCTTTGATTCTGCTAATCTAAGAATTTTTTGTTTGTACCATTTGAAATGATGACTTATCATAATCTAATTGTGTAATGATTCTCCTATGTTTATTTTATCTGTCTCTCCTTGCTCCTGCCATCCTCCCACCCCTCAGTGATTGGCTTGCCTTACTCACTATTTGTTTTAATACAAGCAACGATGCTACTACAACTGTTTATTTCTTGACCCTGATTATTTCAATATCATTATCAATACTCCAAACTTCCCTGCAAGAATAATCAACAGGAAGCATGATTTTTAAACATGTTTTTAAAATACATACAGTAAAAGCAAGATTATAGTTCTAATAATTTTCTTGATACCTTGTTCATTTCTCAGGTTGCCACACTTTTGTGTAACACATGTGTACCTGTATCCTATGAAAGAAGCATCATTGACTTTGCAGTGACTTTGAACAAGTGACTCAATTTCTTTCTTATTTCATGTATCCCACATGGGACGAGGTAAGGCTATTTGAGAAATTCATTGATATTAATTCAAATTTGATTCTGCAAAAAAAAAAATTAAGAGAGCTCAGTGATAAATTGAGCTAATTGGTTTCTTTGATTTGAAGGGAAATTTTCAGAAACTGACCAAAGTAAGCACTTCACTGAAACATCTAATTAGATCAATATTATCTTACCATTAATGAACTACTGCATATACATATAGAAATATCCTCCAAGTAATATTTGTTCTTTCTCAGATTTGATATGAGATAAATTATGTCACTCATTAATTGAAACAAGTTTAGATCTTTAATTTTAATTATGATTATTATGTTAAAATACAGAAAAAAATAAGAACATCTATAAAAATAGTTTTGCATTTCTTTGCCTTTAACTATGTAACAACCTCAGTAATAACTTACTGCATATTTATTTTATTGTAATTATAAAGTTTGATTTTAATGTATAAACTGTGAAGTCAACTAAACAGCATTTGCAATCTCACCAAGTGTCACTGAATATTTATAATAGGAAATTAGAAGACACATTAATTTCTCTAGCAATGCTGATTTTTACTACAGTAATAACATGAATAATGCTCTTGAACTGGATTCATTTACCAACTCAGAATAAGGACAAAAAGCAACTGGTTCAATTGTAGTTTTCCATGTATGATTACTCTATTTTTTTATTTAAAATAATGCATTAATTTATTCACCAGTTAATTATTGGACTCGGACCATAAGCCAAACTTTGAGATAGAAAATGGAAGTAGAAAGAATAGGGAGATTATTCCTATACTCACATCACTCACATTCTGTTAGATAGACATAAATATATTCAAAAAACATACTGCATTGAATGTTCTAATACCAATATGATAAAAATACTGTAATACATTGTCCAAAGAAGGAGTTTTATCATGAAGAAGTTGATATTTGTTCTAGACTTCATTAAATAAAGATAATTTTGTCACAGAAAATAGTAATACCACAGTCCAAATTAATAGCACAGAAGCCTTAAAGCATATAGCAGGTTTGAGTGCATTAAGTACCAGCCCCCACAAAACTGAAATATAACGTGCATGGAGGGGTTTAGCAGAAGGTGAGAATGAAAAGAAGCTTGAGATAATATTGTTCAAGGAATAGACAGTCATAATCTAAAAATTTAGATTTCGTTTTCCTGAAAATAAGAAATCTACAAGATATTGTCCAAATTCTTAGAAAAGCATATAATGCACTCAGCATTTGGCTCTCGACAACTTATTCAGCCAAATCACCTAGCTTCATCAGTAAGTAATTTTTATCTTCGGCATCTTTCACTGCTTCCAGTTCTCCAACACATCTGTGGCTTTATAAGTCCTGATCGCTATGGGTGGCACTTAGTTTCCATCTTTCTGCTGCCCTACTTCAATTGGTTAGTTCCTACCCTTTCTTCAAATCTTAGCTTACACATCATATCCTCCAGAAAAAAGTTGCCTGATTCTAGTGTATTGTTAGGTTTGTTAGGTTTCCCTAAGTGCTTCAACAATAGCCATATTTCTATCAACTGCATGATTAGATTTATAGTTTCTTCTTTCAGACAGCAAGAGAGTTGAGAAGGAGGACTAGCGCTACTTTAAAAAACTCCTCATACAATGGAGAAACCTAAGATATCACCTTAACCAAAAATATAAAGGCTAGCATGACTGGTACTGTGGTATACAGATCTTGTGCACCCCCTGATAGGATGCACTGAGTGGGCACACAACTTCTTTGATGCTCTTGGCAAAAAAAAAAAAATGCATTACCAAATATTATCGTGAATAAATATTACGCAAACTCAATTGAGAGGTATTCTGCAAAATAACTGATCTTCAAAATGTTAAGGTCATGAAAAACAAGGAAAGACTGAGGAATTGTCACAGATTTGAGAAGACTAAGGAGACATCACTGTATACAATGTGCAGTCCTGGATCAAATCTTAGCACACAGAGAAATATGTATAGTGGAGAAACTGATAAAATTGAAATAAAGTCTTTAGTTAATAATATTGTGCCAACGTTAATTTCTTAACTGTGATAATTGTACTATGGTTATGCAAGATAATAAAAATAGGGAAAACCTGTTGAGGTCATACTGGTGCTCTCTGAACTCGTGTTGAAGTTTTCTGTAAGTCTAAAATTGTTTCAAAGTGAAAAGATAAAAGGAGGTCTTGAAATATTTGTTACATGAATCATTTTGCATGGTGTTTTGGACTAGAAATAATTATCCTCTTCTCAATATTTCTAAATAGCATTTTGGAATGTCTAGTGTACAACTTGCACTAAGTTAGGCACTCAGAAATCTTTTGGTTTTAATTTTAAGAGATGAAGTCTCACTACGTTGCCTAAGCAGTACTACACTATAGATGCTCACCACCTCACCTGAGAGAAGTCTTTTAATAACACAGGAATAATAACCACTAAACCTACACTTTAATGTGCTATTACAAAAATTTATTCAATGAAATATATTTTAATATGTTCACTATATTAAATGGATATACATAATCCATTTGCACACATTTACATTTCCCAGCGAGTTTTTCATGTCCAGATGCTACATATGTAGTCTTACTTCAGTAATCTTTATTAATACCAAATTAATAAATGTTGTGTAATGCTAGGTAGCAATGAAGCAGCCATAATACCTCAGAAAAATTCCATTTCTTCCAGAAGGAGCTATATTGAGTGGCTTTTGGGGATCAAAGGATACGTTTTCTCATAAATGTCAACCATGAAAATCCTCAACAAACACATTCAGTATAATCAAACCATTGTGTGAGAAGCAAACCAAAGACACAGTTTTGGTCTTCATGACATTACTTTTAAAAGCAATAATCCAAAATATATTATAGGGAGACAGAGTTTTAAAAAATGACCCTCAAGAGGGAGTGAGCACAAACAATATCCTGTGATATGCAGTAAATCAAAACTTCAAACTCGAAAAGCATTTGTAAAATGCCTGTAAACATTGTAAAGTTCAGATTTATCACTGATTCCCTCTTATTCTAGACTACTTGGATTTTTTGGGTTTTGTAACTGTAACATGTGTAACACAGCTTGTGGAAGCTAAAGGTCACTTTCTGTGTTGTTTCATTTTCACAGACTTGCTGACAAATACAATATTGTACCCAGATGTATATATTCTATTAGATATGACAGGAATAAAAGGTTAACATAAGCTTTTTAGAAGTGAAAAAAGGGTTGATATTACCAAGATCCTTTTTCTATATGTTACAAATTGTAAAGGGCAATGTGTATTTTAGCTTACTTTTGATGTCTGCTTTTCTTAAGATTTTATATTTCTCTTGTTCACCAATTTTTCTAACTATAACACTCACATAAAATCTGGTATTTGTCTACAGTTTAAAATGTACTCAAATTAAGATCGGTTCTGTTTATGGGGAACAGAAATTGAGAGACAGAGCTCTTTATGTGCACTCACTGGCTCAATAATATATGACTCCCTTATAAAAAATAAGAAGTTTCTAACACCAACCTCTCCAAGCAAAAAACTATACTATACTTTCCTTAAAGGTCAGAATTACTTCTCATATAAATATTAAAGGACTACAGTTTTCGTTTCTCTTCAAGTATCCCTATGTCTTACGTCCCTCTTTATTATCCATTAATTGTTTCACCTTATATAAATCCATGTTTATGTTTCATTGAATACTTCCCATCATATTTTTGTAAGTATTTTGGTTTATTTTTTAAGCCAAATTGTTGAAGCCCAGCTAAAGTCCTACTACTACTTCTGACTTTGAAAACACTATTGCCAGACCTCATTCATTAGTGATTTGAATTTGTATTTTATATATAAGTGCTGAAAAAGTGTATTTTAAATAAATATGGTTTGACAAATTACACATTTATTTTTCCATATCTACCTATAATTACTATTAATATTTACAAGCCTTGGAAGGGGTTTCATCATAAGAAGTTAAGAGGTTCTTAGGACATATTTCTTAAAATATAAGATTTTCTAAAATTCTTAACAAGAATTTGGGGACTTTTTTTCTAATTTATTATAAATGTGACTAACCTACTCTAAATTAAGGCAAATAATTGATATGCAATTTTAAAATGAGAAATAGATAATTATAATCCAAGGTACCATTTATAGTTTAGATTCTTCATTAGGAATTCATATGTGACTTCATCATTTTTGCTTCATCGTTTTATTAGACACGTTTCTTTCAGAACTGTTGTAATGTATCATGTACTTTTAAAAGCAAACTAAAAGATATGTAACCTAATATCCTTCAATAACACATGATAGCGTGTTATTCTTCAATAACACATGATAACACAGATACTTGTTCTGTAACTTGCACATGAAATCAAAAAGTGAAATACTGGCTCATACTTTTTACACCAGCTCAATTAAGTATTTTTCTAATCACGGTCAACTAGGTCATCACTGAGTGTCTTAAAAAAAAAACTGGTATAAATCTAGGTTAAGTATTATATAACTAACTACCTTGCAAAACATAACAGTCAGCAGGTAATATGAGTAATTTATGTAAATCTGCTGCTGTGACATATACTATCTTCCTAGAGTGGTGAAAAAGAGAAAATGTGAAACTATTAAGACTTTTCATTTTTTCCCCTTTGTTTTTTGATTATTGGTTTGTTTTAAGTGTATAAGGCTCAACTTATATGCATGCGTGTGTATGTGTGTGTGTGTGTGTGTGTGTGTATGTGGGTTTATGTAGAAAGAGAAAGAGAGTATCCTGCACTAATCAGAAACCAACTTTGAAATCATCAACTTTGAAATCATTTTGTACTAAAGTGAGTTTGAATTAGAGAAGTAAATAACATTATTAAATACACTGATAAAATAATCTCAGACAAGCTAATACTCAATTGTTACACGGGTTTTATACCCCCAAATAATTAATTAATATTTTAAGGCTGGGCATGGTGGCTCACGCTTGTAATGCCAGCACTTTGGGAGGCCAAGGCGGGCAGATCACTTGAGGTCAGGAATTTGAGACCAGCCAGGCCAACATAGTGAAACCCCGTCTTTACTAAAAATACAAAATTTAGCCAGGCGTGGTGGTGCATGCTTGTAATCCCAGCTACTTGGAAGGCTGAGGCAGGAGAATTGCTTGAACTCAGGAGGCAGAGGTTCCAGTGAGCCGAGATAGTGCCACTGCACTCCAGCCTGGGTAACAGAGTAAGACTCTGTCTCCAATAAATAAATAAATAAATAAATAAATAAATAATTTAAAATAAAGTTGTCCACAAGGTATAAATTACAATTCCTATATGCTCTTAAATTCATACATATGCAAATCCCATTTTTAAAATATTCAAAAGTGTTATTGACAAACAGTAGCATCTCCTAACCACGAAATAATAATAATAATAATAATAAGAAGAAGAAGAAGAAGAAGAAGAAGAAGAAGAACAAGAAGAAGAAAAGACACCTATATTTAAATGGGAAGAAAAACTTTTTGATTTTGAATAACCCAGGACATCTTCAGGGATTAAGTCCATCCAAAAGTACAGTGTTTCATAGGCCAAGAACATGATACATTCTTTGCAACATGAAGCTTTGGTCTTCCGCTTTTTCCTGCCTGTATCACATTTCTCACCCTCTTGTAGCATGTGGTAGGGGCACACAGTTAGAAACATCAAATCAAAATGTTATCTAGTTTCTAATTTTTCTAATTATATGATGTGAAAGCAAAGAAATGTGTATCACTATCTGTAGCAATCTTTGGTTTTCAGTAGTGGGTGAGTGTGATAAACATGCAATGCTCACAGAAACAGAATCTGCTAATTCTCAAACCACAGAAAAAAAGAAGGCGAGGGGGCTGATTGGAGAAAGTTCCATCTAGCAGAGAATGTTCTCAGTTAAAATTTTCTTTTACTTTTCCCTCAGGCCTCTTTTCTGAAAATAAGTGATTTTAGTATCTACTTGATGTTGTGAAGGACACTAAGAATTGAGAACATTGTAACTATGTTTTATTAGTACAGATATGTTGATGTTCCTTATATCTGAACGTTATTTTGGATCTCTTAATAAAATGGTAAAAAAAAAAAAACTATGAGTGAGAGTGCTGTAGGAGCTGAACATTCAAAAAGAACAGGAAATTTAAAACTTAAATTAACACATGTGTTGCCATTTTCTGAATAAAGTTACTTTTATTTAAGGTGCACATCTTGGTAAATAGCCAGAGAAAACACGTTTATACACTTAATACGTTTTGCTTTCCTAACCCAAATGGGGTTTAAAGCATACTAAAAATGTGTACATTTCCCTTTGTACAAAAGAGATTTTAGAAGAAAAATCATTTGCGTGGCCATGCGCGTGCATACACACCCTCAAATGTGACTTCAGTTTGGAAATTTTTACATTTCTGTATCTTCCAGTTATTTATCCTGTCTTCCTATTTGAATGAGACAGAAATTCTGCATAACATTAAATGCAAATACTTCTCTCTCTTCTCTCTTCCTTTCTCTCTCCCCCTCCCTCCCCTGTGGTGCTGTATGCCATGGAAGTTAATCTTCCATATCTGACATCTTCCATGCAAAAAGCATACCAACTTTCACAAAGTGTAAGAAGAAAATATTGTCCAGGTCTTAACTAGGTCATGGAACCTAGTCAGTGAGCTGCTACAGGTTTTGACAGCTGTTCCTGGCTGCAGCTCTGCTGTGTGCATAGGGGCTGCACCTCTCTCTGGATGCCAAGCAGCAGAGCCACAGGGTGCTGATGGCAGTTAGTGCTGTGACAGTCAGCCAGCTTGGTACATTTCCCCAATTGGAAGGCTACTGCCTTCAAAAGTTAGCTTTGGGTACTGCTTTCTCTTATGTTTACAAGAAAACCACAGCCAAATGCCTTGCCTGCCCATCTGTGCCATATTAGACATCTGGACAAACTTGGCCCTTGTATGCACATCAACGTGATGGATTGCAGATTTGTTCTGTCAACTTCCACAGAACATTCACTCAAGATACAGCTCTCCAAGAAAAGTCTCTTTACCTGTGTTTCTAAGAAGCTCTTTATCTTTGAATGCATGACTCATAAATTGGATACATTACAAGAGCTTAAGAAGCAGATTTATAGCAGGGATTCTTTGGTAAATCTATTCATCCTGAAAATTCCCTTGGTTACTCAATTTAGTGATATTTAAGTATACTCCCTTTGCTATTACATAATTGTTGTAAACAATATATCATTGCACTCAGTTTTTACAGCTGTTTACAAATTGGGCAACATAATTTCAGGCAGAAATTATCGAAAATGAGACCAGCCTTTAAGCCATTTTGTGAAAGCTTACTTAGAAGTATTTTTTGAAAAAAAAAAACAAAAAAACTTTACATAAATGTTTTCACTTCAATGCTGCCTTGCCCTCTATCATTGCTACACACAACCCCCTTCCCCACCTCTCCTCGGTGTCACACATAAAAACTTCACTTTTAAAGGTCAGCAATGACTTCCTACCTGAGCCAATACTCATCTGATTAAAAAAACACTTTCCATAGCTATCACTCGGTTTGAAAAAGTTGTTCCCTCTTAGATTCTATAACACTTCAAACAGCTGATTCTTATCTTACCTTTCCAAACTTTTCTTAATCTGTTCTCCTGGCTTATTTTTTTTCCAACTTAG
Source organism: Homo sapiens (assembly GCF_000001405.40). Classification (NCBI taxonomy): domain Eukaryota; kingdom Metazoa; phylum Chordata; class Mammalia; order Primates; family Hominidae; genus Homo; species Homo sapiens. Next base: position 65,047,505 of record NC_000004.12, read on the forward strand.
AGGTTGATATTTTTCAATGTTCTTCCTCTAACTTTTTTGCCATCTTACTTTATTTTTTGCTTCACTTTCCCTTGTCATGGGATTTCACACATTACATAATTTGTCTCTAATCCTTACACATTTTAAACTTGGATAACAACAAGCTATATACAAAACATGCCATGTAGTACATACATGGCAGCTCCCTCACTGTTTAAATATATTTTTATACAATACTTTAACATATAATGTTTATTCAGTTCATTTTTACTTATTCTCTTCTGTGTTTACTATTAATGCTGAAACAAATTATTGCAAAGCTAATATGACATAAATTCATTTTCATATAATTTTATAGTTCAAAAGTCCAAAATGGAAATTACTGAACTAAAATCAAGGTTTCAGCAGGGCCATGTTTCTTTCTGGAAGCTCTGTGGGAGAACCTATTCCTCGCCCTTTTCAGATTCTAGAGGCCACACAATTCCTTCACTGCTGGGTCTCTTCCCTGATCTTCAAGGTGAGCAATAGCGGATCAAGTCTTCCTCAGACTGTCTCACTCTCACCTCCCCTTCTGCCTCTTTCTTTTATTTAAAAAAAGTTGTAATTTTATTGGGCCCACTGAGTTAATCCAGGATAATGTCCCCATTTTAAGATCAGCTGACTAGCAACCTTAATTTCATCTGCAACCTTATTCCCTTGTCCCATGCAACCTAATAAATTCACAAGTTCTGGGGATTGGGACATAAAAATCATTGCGGATGAGGGCCAGAAAAAATCATCCTGCTTACCGTATTTTCTTACCCTTTTTCACTAGACTATCACTTCCTCCCAAAATTTTCCTCTTATACTCCTTCAAAATGCATTATAAGAATATTTGAAGCTTCATTTTTGAATCTCAGAATTGAGAAATAACTTTAGGGGAAAGAATATTTCAGTGTATGAGAAACTTCTGAATCCTTGTGTTTAGGTGGCATGTGTGGCACTGCTGTTAATAATGAATATAAAATGAAGCAGGTGCTATATCAAGGAAACATGGGAACAGGTGTTAATTATTATAAAATGAACTAGCTAATATATCAAAGGAATGAAAAGGAAAAAACAGTCAAAGTTTCTGACTTCATCAGGATCTTTTATGATATGGCTTTTTTTTCTGGTCTCTTTTATTTTTATTTATTTATTTTTTATTATGCTTTAAGTTCTAGGGTACATGTGCACAATGTGCAGGTTTGTTACATATGTAAACATGTGCCATGTTGGTGTGCTGCACCCATTAACTCATCATTTACATTAGGTATATCTCCTAATGCTATCCCCCCCCACCCCCCATGACAGGCCCTGGTGTGTGATGTTCTCCTTCTTGTGTCCAAGTGTTCTCATTGCTCAATTCCTTAGAGGAGTCTCACTCTGTCACCAGGCTGAGTGCAGTGGTGCAATCTCAGTTCACTGCCACCTCCACTTCCCGGGTTCAAGCCATTCTCCTGTCCTAGCCTCCTGAGTACCTGGGACTACAGGTGCACGCCACCATGCCCAGCTAATTTTTGTATTTTTAGTAGAAACGGGGTTTCACCATGTTGGCCAGCATGGTCTCGATCTCCTGACCTTGTGATCCACCCACCTCGGCCTCCCAGAGTGCTGGGATTACAGGCATGAGCCACCGTGCCTGGCTGATATGGCTCTTCGTATTTTTGATGCTGAGTTTAACCATCTACTTATAGCTTTATGAAACTAGATGTAGTGACACAGTGTTCATTAGATGTATGCATTATGTATATTTGTGAGGAAGGATTATATTCAATTCAAAAAATTATTTAGAGCTTGCTCTGTTTAAAACTTGTTCACAATTTAAAAAGATGCCAACATGAGTAACACACAGCCACTGATCTGCCATTCAGGAACAAGAGAGAGAGACAAAACAAGGAAATGTAGATGAAGCAAATGAGGAAAGCAATTGTTCTACAAGGTAACATTCTCCTCAGATATTTGCTAAAATTTCTGTGTGCTTTTTGTTACTGACCTCTCCCTAATTGTCTGCCTTAGCCCAATGAGACTGCTTTTATTACTGGGTATCAGCCATCTCTGCTGAAAAAACCAGGGTTCTAAGGGAAAGTATTTCTAGTACATTATGTTTATTTTCTCTACAGAATACAACTTTCCATATTAACAGGACTTCTTTGTACCAGATATTTACATAGCACATTTAGTGGTACTGCAGAAGATAGAGAATTTGTTAGCAGAAAAAAACCAATTCTTGTTCTACACTTCTTGTCTTTTTTACCTATAGCATCCTCTTCCAAGTCTGGTTAGTTATCCACGTTAGATTTATTCTTATCTTTTTTGTCATAAGAGTGATAAAATCTGTGCAAGAAACTATAAAGTAGCTACAGACTAAAACTCTCAGAAGCCTTGTGAATACCCAACAGATACTCCGGTTTTTGTTGAGCTACTGTTATATATTTTCCCTTTTTACCAAAACTACTGAAGTGAATTTTCATTATTGACTATTTTCAATAATTCCTTTCCCATTTTGTGTTGAATCCATTTCTGTTGAGGCTTCAAACCCATCACCCATCTGAAACAGATCTTATTATCATAGTCATTAATAATTGCCACCTTCCTAAATCTAATGGCCAATTTTCAGATCTTGATTTTATCTATCAGCAGTACTTTATATGGCCAATTTCTACCTCATCCTTGGAAAGTTTTTATGTATTTCTTTTTTAAAATGCAGTACAATCTTGTTTTCATAATACTTCAATGGCTGCTCCTTCTCGTCTTTTGATAATTCTTCCTCTTCACCCTCTGTAAGTGTTGGGGTTTTCTAGTTTCATTTACTGAATTGTATACTATAGTGTCTATAGATCAAGGATCCTAATATGATATGTTTCTCCTGAATTTGAGGAAAGCCCCATGTGCATGTGTAATAAACATTTTAATCTACACACACACACACACACACACACAGGCAATTTGAGCTCTTGATCTCTGCTCCGCAGTCCTTCTCCTGCTTCAGTCTTTCTTATTTCAGTTAATGGCAAGTTTTTCTTCAAAATTGCCTAAGCCAAAAGAACCTGGAGTCATTCCTGATCCTCTTCTTTTTATTTCACAACACATCTAATGCTTTACTCAATACTGTTGGATATATCTCATCACCTGTACTGCTCTTCTCCCAATCTAGGTTACAATCTCTTCTTGTTTGGATTATTGAATATACTCTTTACTGGTCATACCGCTTCTGCTCTTCCCTTTCAGTCTATATTTAATACAGTATCCAATGTTCCTCTTAAAAAGTAAGTCATATTTTTGTAATTCCTTTCTTCAGAATCCTTTTTTTGAAGAAAGGAATAGCTTTTTATTACCTAAAGTGTTAAAGCCAAAATCTTATTAATGATCTACAAGGCCTCATGAGATTTAGTCCTTGCATGCTATTTTATCTCATACCTTGAACTCTCACCTTCATTCACTGCTTCAGCTGTGCTGACTTCCTTCTGCTCCTTCAAACTACTGAGCTCCTCCCTTTGCAGGGCCCCAGCATTTGCTAGTTCTTCTTCCTAGAATTCTCAACGATTTCTGCAAAATCCACAAGGCTCTTTCTACCTTGTTTGTTCTTTTTGAGTGCATATATCTAAGAAAAAAATGCATTAAGTTTAGACTAACTTACTTAATTTTTTTTTAATTTTACAATTTTACAGTGTGTTTTCTCTAACACACTACAAATGAGTGGCTTTGTAAGCTGTACTATTTATCATCTCTCATTTTTTACTTTTCATGTTTAGCGTGAGAAAGAAGAGCTGCACTTGCGTAGTAGTAAAGAACACGGCTGCTGATAAGACTCTCTGGGTTTGGCTTCTTGATCTGCTGTTTAACAGTTGTTGAAAGCTTAGACTCACAACTTTTACTCGCTTTACCTCAGTTTCTTCATCAGAAAATAGAAGAATATAAAATACTTACCTCATAAAGTCATTGAAGCGGGTGAGTTAGTACATATAAATAACTTAGAGTAATGTCTGGCAGTCAGGTGAGTATTAAGTATAGGTCTGTAACTGCCAACCATTTTGACTGCTTGGAGGGATCATGCTCAAGTTTTAGATTTGTATTATACCTTAGATTAAATAGTTTTATATCTTAGTGACCACAGGCTGATTTCTTAAATTTTGTGAGCCTCATTTTTTACATTCAAAAGTGAAAATAGCACTGTCTTCTGTGCTTACTTTCCAAAGTGGTTGATATGCCTTGTTAGTAAATCATTCATCAATTCTACCTTAATAGAAATGCATATTCTTTCTTATAAAGAATAAAAATGACTGCTTCGAAGCCCAGATATTCTATTCCCAGTAACTAGGTACTTTTATCAAATGTAACATTGAGTGTGAAAAGCTTTGTTGAGTACAAGATGTGAGGACACAGTAGTTCCTGACCTCAAGCAATCTACAATCTAATTGGGTAGGAGAGACATATGCATGTAAAATAACAAAAATGCAGAGTATAAATAGTACCACTTGAGGTATAGCTTTATGCATGTCTAAGACAGAAACAGGTTTTATTCATTGAATACTATTGATAGAGGCAGGAGGCAGAGAAATTCTAGGCACACAGGGTTGGGTCCCTGGTGAAACCCCACCTTCAAGCTGAAAAGCCTGAAACCTGCAAACCTGCAGCCCAAAGTGAGAACTTCTTTTTTTTTTTTATTATTATTATACTTTAAGTTTTAGGGTACATGTGCACATTGTGCAGGTTAGTTACATACATATACATGTGCCATGCTGGTGTGCTACACCCATTAACTCGTCATCTAGCATTAGGTATATCTCCCAATGCTATCCCTCCCCCCTCCCCCCACCCCACAACAGTACCCAGAGTGTGATGTTCCCCTTCCTGTGTCCATGTGATCTCATTATTCAATTCCCAACTATGAGTGAGAATATGCGGTGTTTGGTTTTTTGTTCTTGCGATAGTTTACTGAGAATGATGGTTTCCAATTTCATTCATGTCCCTACAAAGGACATGAACTCATCATTTTTTATGGCTGCATAGTATTCCATGGTGTATATGTGCCACATTTTCTTAATCCAGTCTATCATTGTTGGACCTTTGGGTGGGTTCCAAGTCTTTGCTATTGTGAATAATGCCACAATAAACATACGTGTGCATGTGTCTTTATAGCAGCATGATTTACAGTCTTTTGGGTATATACCCAGTAATGGGATGGCTGGGTCAAATGGTATTTCTAGTTCTAGATCCCTGAGGAATCGCCACACTGACTTCCACAATGGTTGAACTACTTTACAGTCCCACCAACGGTGTAAAAGTGTTCCTATTTCTCCACATCCTCTCCAGCACCTGTTGTTTCCTGACTTTTTAATGATTGCCATTCTAACTGGTGTGAGATGGTATCTCATTGTGGTTTTGACTTGCATTTCTCTGATGGCCAGTGATGGTGAGCATTTTTTCATGTGTTTTTTGGCTGCATAAATGTCTTCTTTTGAGAAGTGTCTGTTCATGTCCTTTGCCCACTTTTTGATGGGGTTGTTTGTTTTTTTCTTGTAAATTTGTTTGAGTTCATTGTAGATTCTGGATATTAGCCCTTTGTCAGATGAGTAGGTTGCGAAAATTTTCTCCCATGTTGTAGGTTGCCTGTTCACTTTGATGGTAGTTTCTTTTGCTGTGCAGAAGCTCTTTAGTTTAATGAGATCCCATTTGTCAATTTTGTCTTTTGTTGCCATTGCTTTTGGTGTTTTAGACATGAAGTCCTTGCCCGTGCCTATGTCCTGAATGGTAATGCCTAGGTTTTCTTCTAGGGTTTTTATGGTTTTAGGTCTAACGTTTAAGTCTTTAATCCATCTTGAATTGATTTTTGTGTAAGGTGTAAGGAAGGGATCCAGTTTCAGCTTTCTACATATAGCTAGCCAGTATTCCCAGCACCATTTATTAAATAGGGAATCATTTCCCCATTGCTTGTTTTTCTCAGGTTTGTCAAAGATCAGATAGTTGTAGATATGCGGCGTTATTTCTGAGGGCTCTGTTCTGTTCCATTGATCTATATCTCTGTTTTGGTACCAGTACCATGCTGTTTTGGTTACTGTAGCCTTGTAGTATAGTTTGAAGTCAGGTAGTGTGATGCCTCCAGCTTTGTTCTTTTGGCTTAGGATTGACTTGGCAATGTGGGCTCTTTTTTGGTTCCATATGAACTTTAAAGTAGTTTTTTCCAATTCTGTGAAGAAAGTCATTGGTAGCTTGATGGGGATGGCACTGAATCTGTAAATTACCTTGGACAGTATGGCCATTTTCACGCTATTGATTCTTCCTACCCATGAGCATGGAATGTTCTTCCATTTGTTTGTATCCTCTTTTATTTCCTTGAGCAGTGGTTTGTAGTTCTCCTTGAAGAGGTCCTTCACATCCCTTGTAAGCTGGATTCCTAGGTATTTTATTCTCTTTGAAGCAATTGAGAATGGGAGTTCACTCATGATTTGGCTCTCTGTTTGTCTGTTGTTGGTGTATAGGAATGCTTGTGATTTTTGTACATTGATTTTGTATCCTGAGACTTTGCTGAAGTTGCTTATCAGATTAAGGAGATTTTGGGCTGAGACAATGGGGTTTTCTAGATATACAATCATGTCATCTGCAAACAGGGACAATTTGACTTCCTCTTTTCCTAATTGAATACCCTTTATTTCCTTCTCCTGCCTAAATGCCCTGGCCAGAACTTCCAACACTATGTTGAATAGGAGTGGTGAGAGAGGGCATCCCTGTCTTGTGCCAGTTTTCAAAGGGAATGCTTCCAGTTTTTGCCCATTCAGTATGATATTGGCTGTGGGTTTGTCATAGATAGCTCTTATTATTTTGAAATACGTCCCATCAATACATAAATTATTGAGAGTTTTTAGTATGAAGGGTTGTTGAATTTTGTCAAAGGCTTTTTCTGCATCTATTGAGATAATCATGTGGTTTTTGTCTTTGGCTCTGTTTATATGTTGGATTACATTTATTGATTTGCATATATTGAACCAGCCTTGCATCCCAGGGATGAAGCCCACTTGGTCGTGGTGGATAAGCTTTTTGATGTGCTGCTGGATTCCTTTTGCCAGTATTTTATTGAGGATTTTTGCATCAATATTCATCAAGGATATTGGTCTAAAATTCTCTTTTTTGGTTGTGTCTCTGCCCGGCTTTGGTATCAGAATGATGCTGGCCTCATAAAATGAGTTAGGGAGGATTCCCTCTTTTTCTATTGATTGGAATAGTTTCAGAAGGAATGGTACCAGTTCCTCCTTGTACCTCTGGTAGAATTCAGCTGTGAATCCATCTGGTCCTGGACTCTTTTTGGTGGGTAAGCTATTGATTATTGCCACAATTTCAGATCCTGTTATTGGTCTATTCAGAGATTCAACTTCTTCCTGGTTTAGTCTTGGGAGAGTGTATGTGTCAAGGAATATATCCATTTCTTCTAGATTTTCTAGTTTATTTGCGTAGAAGTGTTTGTAGTATTCTCTGATGGTAGTTTGTATTTCTGTGGGATTGGGGGTGATATCCCCTTTATCATTTTTTATTGCATCTATTTGATTCTTCTCTCTTTTTTTCTTTATTAATCTTGCTAGCGGTCTATCAATTTTGTTGATCCTTTCAAAAAACCAGCTCCTGGATTCATTAATTTTTTGAAGGGTTTTTTGTGTCTCTATATACTTCAGTTCTGCTCTGATTTTAGTTATTTCTTGCCTTCTGCTAGCTTTTGAAAGTGTTTGCTCTTGCTTTTCTAGTTCTTTTAATTGTGATGTCAGGGTGTCAGTTTTGGATCTTTCCTGATTTCTCTTGTGGGCATTTAGTGCTATAAATTTCCCTCTACACACTGCTTTGAATGTGTCCCAGAGATTCTGGTATGTTGTGTCTTTGTTCTCGTTGGTTTCAAAGAACATCTTTATTTCTGCCTTCATTTCGTTACGTACCCAGTAGTCATTCAGGAGCAGGTTGTTCAGTTTCCATGTAGTTGAGCGGTTTTGAGTGAGATTCTTAATCCTGAGTTCTAGTTTGATTGCACTGTGGTCTGAGAGATAGTTTGTTATAATTTCTGTTCTTTTACTTTTGTTGAGGAGAGCTTTACTTCCAAGTATGTGGTCAGTTTTGGAATAGGTGTGGTGTGGTGCTGAAAAAAATGTATATTCTGTTGATTTGGGGTGGAGAGTTCTGTAGATGTCTATTAGGTCCACTTGGTGCAGAGCTGAGTTCAATTCCTGGGTATCCTTGTTGACTTTCTGTCTCGTTGATCTGTCTAATGTTGACAGTGGGGTGTTAAAGTCTCCCATTATTAATGTGTGGGAGTCTAAGTCTCTTTGTAGGTCACTCAGGACTTGCTTGATGAATCTGGGTGCTCCTGTATTGGGTGCATATATATTTAGGATAGTTAGCTCTTCTTGTTGAATTGATCCCTTTACCATTATGTAATGGCCTTCTTTGTCTCTTTTGATCTTCGTTGGTTTAAAGTCTGTTTTATCAGAGACTAGGATTGCAACCCCTGCCTTTTTTTGTTTTACATTTGCTTGGTAGATCTTCCTCCATCCTTTTATTTTGAGCCTATGTGTGTCTCTGCACATGAGATGGGTTTCCTGAATACAGCACACTGATGGGTCTTGACTCTTTATCCAATTTGCCAGTCCGTGTCTTTTAAATGGAGCATTTAGTCCATTTACATTTAAAGTTAATAGTGTTATGTGTGAATTTGGTCCTGTCATTATGATGTTAGCTGGTTATTTTGCTTGTTAATTGATGCAGTTTCTTCCTATTCTCGATGGTCTTTACATTTTGGCATGATTTTGCAGCGGCTGGTACCGGTTGTTCCTTTCCATATTTAGCGCTTCCTTCAGGATGTCTTTTAGGGCAGGCCTGGCGGTGACAAAATCTCTCAGCATTTGCTTGTCTGTAAAGTATTTTATTTCTCCTTCACTTATGAAGCTTAGTTTGGCTGGATATGAAATTCTGGGTTGAAAATTCTTTTCTTTAAGAATGTTGAATATTGGCCCCCACTCTCTTCTGGCTTGTAGGGTTTCTGCCTAGAGACCTGCTGTTAGTCTGATGGGCTTCCCTTTGAGGGTAACCCGACCTTTCTCTCTGGCTGCCCTTAACATTTTTTCCTTCATTTCAACTTTGGTGAATCTGACAATTATGTGTCCTGGAGTTGCTCTTCTCGAGGAGTATCTTTGTGGCGTTCTCTGTATTTCCTGAATCTGAACGTTGGCCTGCCTTGCTAGATTGGGGAAATTCTGCTGGATAATATACTGCAGAGTGTTTTGCAACTTGGTTCCATTCTCCCCATCACTTTCAGGTACACCAGTCAGACGTAGATTTAGTCTTTTCACATAGTCCCATATTTCTTGGAGGTTTTGCTCATTTCTTTTTATTCTTTTTTCTCTAAACTTCCCTTCTCACTTCATTTCATTCATTTCATTCATTTCATCTTCCATCGCTGATATCCTTTCTTCCAGTTGATCACATCGGCTCCTGAGGCTTCTGCATTCTTCATGTAGTTCTCCAGCCTTGGTTTTCAGCTCCATCAGCTCCTTTAAGCACTTCTCTGTATTGGTTATTCTAGTTATACATTCTTCTGAATTTTTTGCAAAGTTTTCAACTTCTTTGCCTTTGGTTTGAATGTCCTCCCGTAGCTCAGAGTAATTTGATCGTCTGAAGCCTTCTTCTCTCAGCTCGTCAAAGTCATTCTCCGTCCAGCTTTGTTCCGTTGCTGGTGAGGAGATGCGTTCCTTTGGAGGAGGAGAGGCACTCTGATTTTTAGAGTTTCCAGTTTTTCTGTTCTGTTTTTTCCCCATCTTTGTGGTTTTATCTACTTTTGGTCTTTGATGATGGTGATATACAGATGGGTTTTTGGTGTGGATGTCCTTTCTGTTTGTTAATTTTCCTTCTAACAGACAGGACCCTCAGCTGCAGGTCTGTTGGAGTACCCTGCAGTGTGAGGTGTCAGTGTGCCCCTGCTGGAGGGTGCCTCCCAGTTAGGCTGCTCAGGGGTCAGGGGTCAGGGACCCACTTGAGGAGGCAGTCTGCCCGTTCTCAGATCTCCAGCTGCGTGCTGGGAGAACCACTGCTCTCTTCAAAGCTGTCAGACAGGGACATTTAAGTCTGCAGAGGTTACTGCTGTCTTTTTGTTTGTCTGTGCCCTGCCCCCAGAGGTGGAGCCTACAGAGGCAGGCAGGCCTCCTTGAGCTGTGGTGGGCTCCACCCAGTTCGAGCTTCCTGGCTGCTCTGTTTACCTAAGCAAGCCTGGGCAATGGCGGGTGCCCCTCCCCCAGCCTCACTGCCGCCTTGCAGTTTGATCTCAGACTGCTGTGCTAGCAATCAGCGAGACTCCGTGGGGTAGGACCCTCCGAGCCAGGTTGGGGATATAATCTCATGGTGCGCCGTTTTTTAAGCCCGTCGGAAAAGCACAGTATTCGGGTGGGAGTGACCCGATTTTCCCGATTTTCCAGGTGCCGTCCGTCACCCCTTTCTTTGATCAGGAAAGGGAACTCCCTGACCCCTTGCGCTTCCCGAGTGAGGCAATGCCTCGCCCTGCTTTGGCTCGCGCATGGCGTGAGCACCCACTGACCTGCGCCCACTGTCTGGCACTCCCTAGTGAGATGAACCCGGTACCTCAGATGGAAATGCAGAAATCACCCATCTTCTGCGTCACTCAGGCTGGGAGCTGTAGACCGGAGCTGTTCGTATTCGGCCATCTTCGAGAACTTCTATTCCTGTTTGCCCACTCTCTCCAGATTGGTTCTTCCTGAATGTAGCCTTTTCAAGAGATGGACTGACTTCAGAGAGATAGCTTGACTTTGGGGAAGAGACAACCTGACCTCGGGGAAGGCAACCTGCCTTTTCTGTCCCCTTTCCACCTCCTGTCTTCACTGAGAGAAGTTTTAATTGTTCAATACAATTCTCCACCTTCACCATCCTTCAATTTGTCTGCATGACCTCATTCTTCTTGGACACCAGACAAGAGCTTGGGACCCACTGAGTGTGGGTATCCAGAAAGTCTGTCACACCATCCCTTTGCCCTCCCTGGTGGAGGGCAGTCACCCACATGATGAGGCAAGAGGCCAGCTGAGTTGCTAACTCAAAGCTGTCCATGGATGGCATAACTAAAGGAGCACTGTAACACCCCCTCTGGGGCTTCTGGGTGGTGGGAAACCTTATCTGGGCACTGCCATGGACCCTGCATGAAGCTTGCTCTTATGTTGGCACCCAGAGTGGCTGACCAGGTCCCACACTTGCCTGCTTACATGCTCCCTCCAGCAAGGGGTTGAGTATGGTAGGCCAAGTAAATGGGGCACCTCTGTTGCAAGTCTGACAAAGGGGCCAAGAAAAATCCTGCATTACTAGCATGATGCCTAACACAATTTACCCTTTAAGCGAATTAAATAACTAAAAAACACTGCAATACATTTTGCAACTATAAATACTTTCTTTCTTTCTTGGATGCAAAAACACTTTCTTCCTTCCTATTTACAAAATATTTCCTTCTTTGTATGCAGTCCAAGGAAGGAAAGATCATTTCTCCTGTGATTGTCAGAAAAAGTTTACGTTAGACATTCAATTTGATCTACACCATAGAGGCCAGGATTTATACTAGTTAAAAACAAATTATAGTAAGGGAAAAAGTGTGACTCAAATAGGAATGTAGAAAATAATGAAGTCCATTAAGAATTTAAGTAGATGGAGTGGAGAAGTCATGGTTTTTAGAAAATGATGATGTCAGAAAACTGGGTTTTATACTTATTCTGTAAATTGGATCCATTTAAGTAAGTGGTTTGACCTCAGATGTTCAGCAGATGAGGTTTAACAGAAGTGGCTGATAATCTCTAATTTATACATCTCATACACAGAATGAATAAAATTCAATGCAAAAGAAAGTATGGGTTGTGAAGCTGAAAACAATTTTAATGTTAGCACAAAGTAAATTTTCCACATAAGTAACTATATAGAATTATGAAATTAAATGATCAGATAGATTTGGACTATATTTAATCAGTTAAGACTGTGAATACTTTAGAAAGTTAATAATTTTTTTAAATGAAGGTATGACTAAGGTAGTTTTGTTATTATTTAGGAATAATTAATCTAGCAGAAAATTCAAGAGAATCAAATTATGTAAAATATTTGGATTAACAAAAAACAATGAAATAACCACTGTAGCAATCCTCATGTTAGGCCGGACACAGTGTCTCATGCCTGTAATCCCACTTTGGAAGTCAGCACTTTTGGAGGCTAAGTCAGGCACATCACTTGAAGACAGGAGTTTGAGACCGGCCTGGCCAACATGGTGAAACCCCATCTGTACTAAAAATACAAAAATTAGCCAGACCTGATGGTGCATGCCTGTAGTTACAGCCACTTGGAAGGCTGAGGCAGGATAATCACTTGAACCCAGGAAATGGAGCTTGCAGTGAGACGAGATCATGCCACTGCACTTCAGCCTGGGCGACAGAGCAAGACTCTGTCTCAAAAATAAATAAATAAATGAATAAATAAAGCAATCCTCATGTTGGATGATGAATAGCTATGGTGTTATTAGGTAGGATGATTTTTGTGAAAGATAGAAAGAAAAAATATAATATTAAAATACTGATTTATATGTAAAAGTTGATGAAAATATTATTAGACAATGTCAATTTGGTACATGAGTGCCTGAGAAAGCAGGTGAGACTAGGGTGAAGACATTTCAAGTTCTGAAAGAGTGAGAAGATTTAGTTGTTTTGGAAAATTCAAGTTAAGAGGACAGAAACCTTCAAAGGAAATATTAAATAGATTCTAAAGCAAGAGAAGGTTAAGCTTGAAAAATGATATTCCAATAAATACCGAGGGTCTTAATCAAAGATATAATTTAGGCTGAAGTTTGTATAGAGGGAGCCATACTAATCTGTGTTTTCCTCATTATGATCCTTTTTAAGTTTCTCTTTATCAAATTACTACATTTCCCATGATCATGGCAACATCAGATCCATTTTCTGCATTTTCCATGCTGCCTGTTATATTTTGTCACAGATTCTGTGGGCAAAACCGATAAGCTTTAATTACAAGAATTTGAAGATTTCTAGGTAGTTTTTTTTTATTGCTATTATGAGAAGTAGCAGCAAGGCATCAAAGATAGTCAGGGTACAATTGAATATATCAAATCAATTTAATACATCACAGAGTAAAATCAACAGCCCAAGGTTCTTCGACAATGAACACCACAGGCTATAAAATTACAATTCAAACTATGATCAAACAAAGCATATTGTATAATCAATCAAGCATTCCAATATGATTATCAAAATACACATCATGTCATAAGCAAGTACAAGGTTTATCCAAATTAAATTAGGCAATATCAAATGATTACTTGTGCTTTTCTCTCTCTTTTTGTAATTTATTCCCATATTTGCTTTTCAAGTTTACAATATATAATTTAAATGTGGAAAAAAACTTTTTTTGGTTGAAAAACAAAAATGTAATGACAATAATTAAAACTTCAGAATCTTACAACATTTTAATCTTTATAAAATTGAAAACCCCATCTCTTTCTGGACTTGTGTTTATTGCCGTTTTTTTCTTCATCTAGTAACCTGCAATGTCAACCTCAAAAATGTTCCCAGTTGATCTCTTGACATGATTATGAGAGCTTTAACTGCAGTTTTCACAGAGAATCACTGTTTTAAATTCTTAGAATGCATTAATAGAACAGACAAAAAGTTGAGACTTTGGGCTAAGGAGAAAAAAATCAGGTGCCTTCTTCTTCTTATAATTGAAACCTTAATAATGATGATAATTATAAAATGACGAGGATTAAAATACTCATCTGAGCTAGAACTGACAAGAATAATACATAACAAAAGTACTTTTATAATGGCATTTTAAAATTATGCAGATTAAGGATGATAAAACTTCTCAAAGTAATTTTATCTAATTTAATAAAACTATTTACTTCATTCAATAAAACTAAAATAGTTCACATCTACCACAAAAGACTTTGAAATAAATTTGGGCATTTTACCACTTTTCATAGTTTATTTTTTCAAAAACCAGTCTGAGACAAAGATTAATGTACAAAAGTTTTATTGGGAAGTGCTCTTAGGATCAATTGCTGTGGAAGAAGCAAAAAGCATCAGGACAAGGTAAAGGAAGAAATCATGCTGCAATGCAATCTCAAAGAAGATTTCAGGCAATCCAATGGATATGAAGTTAAGGTGGCCCATCAGAGTTATTTCTAACTGAGTTAAGGTGTGGAATCTTTTTATCCTGGGTCAAACAGACATCAAATGTGAACTGCTCTGAAGAGGGGGAATGACTTCGGCATTGTAACTGTCTTGTACCAGGGCAATGTCAAGGGAGCTTGACAACTGAGTGCTATTTACTGGCAGCACTCTGAACAGAGGAGAATGTAAGACTTCATCATAAACAGGGGGATCAGAGAGGAACATCCCAGCATCCACTGAAGCCCACCTCTTGACTGCCTGGGCACACGTGTTTCTGTGAGTCCTTGGAGAGCTCCTCCCAGCAGACTGTTGTGGGCCTCTTTCCCTTAGGGAAACTGAACTACAGCCCTGCTGCTGCAATTCCTCTTGGGACTACAACTGATATTCAGTGTTTACTTCATCTTTTCATTCTAGATGCCCCTTACCCTCAGTTAGCCATTCTGATGGTTGTAAAGTTTCCTCTTGTGGCAGAAAATGGGTTTTCACCAGTGAGATATCTGAGCCTCTGGTCATTATGCCTTTTTCAAGCTTTTGCTGGTACATTTTTCTATTTCATATCAAAACTGGTCAAGACAGTAACTAAAATAGAACACATTATGTAATGGCAGCACCAGTTCCTCCTGATAAATAGGGCTAATTATCTCAGATGAGAGGATGGCTTTTTTTTCTTGTCTGCTGGTTTTTGCCATTAGAAACCCAAAGTCTATAATCCATGGAACTGCTTTCGTGCCCTTTTTGGGAAAACATGGCCTCTACCCTCATATAATATAGATTTTCGGGGTTCACTCCTACTTTCAACACTGGATTCTTAGATCCAGTTATTGTATTTCTTAGGAAACCTTATTTATTTATTTATTTAATGTCTGCATAAAGTGTATAGTGATTTCTGGAGAATAGTGCTCCAGCCTCACAAGATACTGCCTGTGAGTGGCTGCTGCATTGTGTCTTCAACAGTCTTCTCTATCATTCCATCAAGCCAACAACTTCTGCATCTTATAGTATATACAGTATATAAATCTGGCCAGTAGATCCCATGATCTTGTACTGACTCCTGCACAGCTGTTGCTGTAATTTCCTGCATTTAACATGACGGTGTGTGTGATCCTTTGCAAGTGGGTCAAAACAATGTAAGTCCTTGCATAACAGTATCGGTTGTGTTTTTGTGACCAAAAAGGCAAACACATACTCAGAATATGTGTGTATTTCTGTCAAAAATTTTGCAACTATTTCCAGGGAATAAGGGATCCAATGTAGTCAATCTGTCATCAAATAGCTGTTGGTGTTATCAAGGGATATCAGAATCTTGGTTGTAGTCTATTCTTGGTAGGTTGGACGTCTGGCAACAGCAGTAGCTATATCAGTCATGGTAACAGAAGCCCATGCTTTTGACCTAGGCCTAATGTTCACTTATGATTGGTCATTCCTTTAGGTCTCAGATTAGCAGGGGCCATTCCTGCTACTACTTCTGTATTCTCAGACCCAGTGTTCCAGGACAGGAAGAATTCCTGATGACAGAAACTGGGTAAAGTCAAATATCAGTAATTTTGATGACTTGGTTTTATAGTCCCATTTTCATGGTGGATGATCTTTGATGGCTGTGCAATAGAAAAAATCTTCACACACAATGTGCCCACTTCCCTATGTATAGCCACATGCTTCTAGCCCAGACTGCTGATTTTTCAGAATTCTTCCTCTACGCTTTATGACCAGCTAGTCAAGCCATTTTTTCTAGTGCTTGTGAGTCCATGTGTGTTCTAATTTTGTCCAATTTTCTTTCTTCACAAAATAGATGGCCAAGTGTACTGCCCAGGACTCAGCACTTCAGGAGATTTGTGTCCTACTGCTGTCTTTTGAGGGTCACACTTGACTGAAGCTGTAATTCAGCCAGCATTCCCTTGTGGTTTGCACTCACATATTGAGCTGACCCATTTGGGAATGAAACTTGAGTTCTGTCTTTATTTCTTAAATATCCAGAGATGGGAACTGAGAAAAAAAGTACTCTTGCAAAAGTGGTAAATAACATGATCCAGGCTACCTGCTCAAACAACCTGTTTGTTTCCTCTATCTCTGTCCATACTTAATCCTGCATGTACCGCTTCTATTTTAAGACACATGACTGTGGAACTCTATGATTTATGACTTGGTGACTTTACAGTCACCAAGTTACCAGAAACCAGCATTAGATGGTCAATTCCAGTCCCAAATCTCAGTCATATGTTATCACATGATCCATATCTCCATCTCTATTAGAACCCAATAGTGTTGTTTTTTTAAAAGGAATACAATTGTCCACTAAAAGTGGCATGGTCTCCCTCCAGAATGCTGGTGGACTTGCCTCAAACTCCACATGGTGTTTTTCCTAGCATTGCTACTTTCAATACCACAGTGCAAGAACTGTAGGCATTACAGCCCAGTTCTTCTGCCAAAAACTTTCTTGTTCTTGTCCACCTCAGAGCTGGAAGCCTTTTATGTCACCCAGGTTATAGTTTGCTCAGTATTCCCAGGTGTGGAATATGGCTTTCTCCAAGGATGAAGAGACATACTCTGTGGTGACCTTCTTTTTTGTGTACTTTGGGTACTTTGGTGGGGATATCCTAGCAACCATCCACTGGACTCGTAATAATTTTATAGGTACTGTAGGCCCATGAGTACTTATACAATTTGTCACTCCCTTTCAGAAGTACACATTTCTTACTGAGGCCTCAAATGCACTAGCCATTTCTTGTTCACCTTGTCTAATTAGCATGATGTCATTGATGGAGTTGACCAATGTGATGTTCTGCAGGATGTTCAGGCTGTCTAGAACTCTTTAGACTATGTTATGACAAGAGGTGGGGCAGAGATTAACCCCAAACATCCGAGTGAGTATAAACAGTCTCTGATTTTTTTTTCTGAAAGAAAAACAGACAAAAATGCACACAGTAAAAAAAAAAAAAAATGCCCTCATTCTGTATCTGAGACCAAGTTAATCTACTCTGGCGAAGGCCCCATATCTGTCACAGATGGTACAATCAGATGAGTTTGCTGCAGTCCAGTCATTTTCCAAATAGATCTTGTTTTAACAAGTGCTATGCTGCTGAATCAAATGATGGGAACCAATGCTCCCACGTCTTTCACATTTTCAAGGGTGGTATTAAATTCTTCTATCCCATTGGGATACAGTATTGTGATTTACTATTTAGATTTGAGTGGAGGCTATTTCAGAGACTTCCACATGGCCTTCCCTACCACAACTGAATTCCCTTCAAAGGGTGAGATACCAGTGTAAGACTTGTGCCAACTCCCAAAGAGATCTGCTCCAATTCTACATTTGGAGAACAGAAGAATGAACAGTGAGTAGGCCCTAGGACCACTGTGAACTAAACCTGGGATTAGAAATCCATTTATCATCTGGCCCCCATGAACTTCCACTTTGAGAGGGGACCCAGTATGATGCCTTGAGTCCTGAGGTATAAACATCAACACAGGTCATATGTCAAAAAATCCCCAGAATATTTGAGTGTAAAGTTTCCCTCTCAGCAACTGGTGTAATAGGTCCTTGAGTCCTAAAAAAAGAATTCACCATCACATCTCAATGCAAATCTACAGTTCACATTCTCAATGCCACTTACCCTTTAATTGGGATTAATCAGATGTTGAAATCATCAGAGTTTAATCAAGTTACCTTCTTTATTTTTTTTAACTTCATGAAAATCTATTCACTTGTCAACCACTAAATACGGTTTCTCTCTAAAACGTCTATCCTGATCTGTTCCCTCCACAGGATCTAGGTGTGACCCAAGTGAGCACAGACTGAATCATTTTTCTGAAATTATTAAACTTGTGTGTTAAAAATCACACTGACATTTTGAAAAACTTGTATACAGACATATTGTTGGTATTTACCCCCAAACATATTTGTTCATATTCTTTGCTCTTCTTGAATTTCCCTTAAAAAATATTCAATGTTTAACCTAATAAAAAGTATACCTTTGGCTCGGCGAAGTGGCTCACGCCTGTAATCACAACAGTTTGGGAGTCCGAGGTGGGTGGATCACCTCAGGTCAGGAGATCGAGACCAGCCTGACCAACATGGTGAAACCCCATCTCTACTAAAAATACAAAAAATTAGCCAGGTGTGGTGGTAGATGCCTGTAATCCCAGCTACTTGGGAGACTGAGGCAGGAGAACCACTTGAACCTGGGAGGCAGAGGTTGCAGTGAGCCGAGATCGCGCCATTGCACTCCAGCCTGGGCAACAAAAGCGAAACTCCATCTAATATATATATATGCAAATATATATGTGCAAATATATATATACACACACAAATATATATATACCTTTATCTACTTAATTTTAGTTAGTTTGAAACAGCCATTAGTGACAGAATTAATTTCCTTTTTTCCAAGTGGATGCTAAAAAGTACATATATACAATCAACATTTTTTTTTCTAATAATCCTTACTCTCACAGTCCCTAACAATAAAAATGAAGGCATTGATTTTATTTTCATGTGCATGAACTACTTTTGTCTTTGATCACAAATCTGAATCTTCTCTTTGACCCCACAGGAATTACCATCAGTGGTGTACTTAGCTTATTTGACAGCTAGAGTGGAAGATTTTTTGACAGCACACTTCTCTATATGACAAAATCATTGTCAGGAATAACCATGACATGAAATGCATGAAATGAATAATAATAGCCAGAAAAGAAATGCTGACAGGGATAATTCATTGTTATTGAACTTTATATGTAATCATTAAAGTGAAAGTACAAATAATAAACAACTGAAATAAAAATAAATATTGTTCACAAAAGTGAAAAATAATAAAGCATTACTTTCAATTATAAGAGTATATGTTTTTAAATAGAGAAAAATAAACTTAAAATTACATATTGGTTTGCCATACAAATGAATAATGTCTAGTTTCTGTTTTGTGAGCTGTAATTTCTGGAATTTTTTCAATTACATCATCAAAACTGATTGTCACATAATCATGTTTAATAGATAGTGCACCCAGGTTTGTCAATCTAGGTTTGCTCATACTTGATTGAAAAATACTTTTTACTAATTTTTATATCAAAAAGTTTCTCTCACATATAAAAAACATATGTAACTAGTTTGAAAAGGCTTAATCATAAAGATAAGTTTGACCGAGGTTTGTAAGTATGACATTTCACAATGCGTTTTAGGAATGATAATTCTGTAATATAAGAATTCTAAGTCTCATTTTTTTCAGGATCAATTTTAGTAGCTTTCAAATGTCTCTGCAGGAATATGTTTGTCTGCATGTGTATATGCATGTATATGAGTGATAAAAAGAGTAGAATAGAAAAAGAAAAAACTCACAAATTAAAACTCCAAGTTGTCACCTATAATGACAGAACAAAACTAACTCGTGTATTTTATTTTCCTTTGCCTTTACAATAATTGTGCTATCATTGTTTATTTTGAATTTACAGTACAATATCTGAAATATGTAGTACCACAAGGGTGGGAGACATGCTTTACTACCAAAGTGAGTTCATATAATCCCAAATCTTACTGAATTTAGTTTCAAAAAAATGCAAACTATGGAGCTCATGATGTCCTAAATGTTCATGCTGAATATTCATTGGATGCAAACTTTCTTGGAAAAGTGGTAACTTTAGATGAAGTGGCATTCTGTAAAACTTTCAGTCCTTCAATTTAATATCTACATAAAATAGGTTTCATAAAAATAAATATTTTTTAAAGTACTGAGGTGAAAATTGCACATATATATAAACATGCAAATATAAATATGAATTTAGGCCTTAACAGTAACTGCAGCAGTTGCTTAAAGGAGCATTTATCACTGACATAGTTCAGAATTGCCAGCACATGTTGATAGTAAAAATCTGACCAGATTTAATTGGTTTTATTACAGTGTCTAAATTTCCCATAGTTTATTGTGGGAACTGAATCAGGCTACTTTTATGACCCAGCCTTGTAATCTCATGGATTATATTACTTTCTTTTCATATTTTAATACTTCGTCTGCTGTTATCCTTAGGAGAAAGCACACAGGGAAGAATTTTTTAAAATATAATAGTGTTTTTTAACTAATTGCTTTTAAATCACACAAATACACAAAAACAAATTTGTGGCTCCTTGCAAGGAACAATTTATTCTCTAATCATTCTGTGGCAGCGTTTCTAAAATTCACTTGAATAAGAATCATTTATGGTTTGGGTGCCCTGCTGCAGACATTTGGAACTGAAATGTCTGAGGGTTGATTCTGAAACTCTGATTTGAAGAGGGAGAAGAAAGAGAAGAGAAAAGGCTATAGTCATTCATATATAGTTATCTTTTCTCACTTCTTGAAGTCTTCCACGTCTGACAGCTCATCTTTCCACCATGAAACAATTTCTTCACTTAATTTTTGTTAACCTCTCTTCCTATTTTATTCTCCTATTTAAGGACCTATCCTTCGAGATTTATCTGCTGGCTTCTCCTTTCCTACTAATCTATTATTGGCAGAACACTTGAAGGCTCAGTTTTCAGACATTCTTCCTTTCATTCTTTCTTTTCCGCATGCTCTGCCTGAGCTATCATATAAAAATAGTATTTTTATGTTCATGACTTCCTCTACACTGATTTTCATGGATGCTTGCAGGCTTATTAAGCATCTCAAACTTAATATACTGTAAACATTACCATCAATTTTTTCACTCATGTGTTTTTTATCCTCAGTATTTCCACTTTTATAAATGACATCATTCATTGTTGCTTATGGCCCAGAAATTAAGAATGTCTTTATTTCTTCATTTTCCTTATCTCTGATATTTAATACATAATCAAATTTTGTTGTCACTACCGAATATATTTTAAATCAAGAATTATTCACCTTATCTTCCCTATCATCGCAATGGAAACCATCTCTTTTTTTGACTTCTGTAATAGTTTCTATTTACTTTCTCCATCAACCCATTCTGCATACAGAATCCAGAGTGGTCTTGAAAAATATAAACCTGTCATAAAAAGCCCAGCCTAAAACCTTCTTGTCTCATACTGCCATAAAAAGTAAGATCCTTAGCACATATTATATAATCTTTTCTGACCTAGTCTTGTCCATCATCCAACCTCATTTTGTACAACATTCCCCGCTCTCTCACAAAGTTCCAGCTGCATGGATCTGTCTCTGTTCCCAACTTCATTGTATTGCCAAGTTCGTTTCATTCTTAGATATTCTTAGACCGCACTTTGGGTCTCCTGAGAACTGTTGTGCCACTCAATGAAGCTGCACTCCACTTGCTCACTATCCAGTTTTCCCTCACCCTCCAGTTGTCCACATACCTCATTTTTCCTGGATACGGGAAAAGAACTCATGACCCACTGAATTTCAGGACTAAAAAAACTGTAACACAAACAGGGCTGAAACACGTACCACTTTACAGGGGATGAGAAAGAGAGAAGAGCTGTGGCCCTTTGGGAAGCCCAGCCACAGGGGCTCCCTAAGCCAGGGCTGTGACACCCTCTTTGGGGTGCTGAGGTTCCTGGCCTCTCCAAGCTTGCAGGTACCACTATATTCCTCTAGTCCAGAGGCAGGTGGCGTCAGCAGAAGCCACGTGCAGTACATCTGGTCCAGCCACAGCCTCTCATGGAGCCAGCACCTATGCCAGTGCCTGGAGCTACCTGCCATGCCACAGCAGCCAGTTTGCCTAGCTGGCTGTGCACAGTGGCTGGGCCCTGTGCTCACTTACCCACACACCCCTTGCCGTTCTGTGCCCTGCTTGCATTTGGCAGGTACGGGATCTGGGCTGGCTGCACGAGCCAAGCACAGCTGCCAAGCCAAGTGGGCAGAACAAGCCCAGCGGGCACAAGCAATACTCAGGCAGAAGGTGCTGCTGGCCACAGAGGTTTCTGGCTAGTGAATTGACACCCTAAAAATCTTGTGACACCAGGTCTGTGCAAGGATGCCTTTTATTATCATTTAGAACTCAGCTCAGCTGTCACCTTTTCAAAGAGGTCATCAGAGGCCAATGTACCTGAAGAAGCCCCACCCTCACTCCAGGCATTCTCCAACGTGGTGCCCTGTGTCCTTACCTAATCCCTATATAGTTTTCTCAATGATATTTATCCATCTTGTCACATAGTTCCAAAACATACATTCTAGCAAATTGATAAATTGAATGATTTTTATCACTTAATGTTTGATACAGTCTACTTAAATTACAATAATTCTGAAGCCTTTTCTGACTTTTACTCTCTTATCCTTTGGTGAATGAGAAATAACTGACATGTGAGTTTGACAGTAGAACTGAGCAGGTGTTGTGCAGCTTCTTACTATTTTTATTTGAGACCTGCCTGCATGAATAAAGAACATGGTCCGGTTTGTATTTTGTCATTCTTAAGCATCCTAAATTGCAATGAAGGTTTTCAGTACTGTCTATGGCCCCCATAGGCAAGCTTGCTTAATTCACAAAAGCAATGTTAGCAACTGACCATTTAAATTCTGTTGTAATTGTGCTTGAAAACAAAACGTATTGAATGTAATCAGAAATAATATAACCAGTATATCCAAGATATTTATGTTTAGGCAGCGGGGTTTAGCAAATAAGGCCCATGTGTCACATTTTCTTGGCAGTTCGTAGTGGGATATTTGAACTTGGTAAATTTTCTTTTTCTTTAGTTGGGGAAGAAAGGGTGTGTTAGATTTTAACAATAAAGCCTGGGAAAATAGCTTTAGGACTTAGGTTTTTAATAAGCAGGGACTTTTGACCTTGGCAGTTTCAAAAAGCTAATTGCAACTTTGTCCACACAGGTGACAGATATTTTATATAGCAGAGCTTTTTAAAATGGCAGGGTCACAAGCACTGACATTGTAAAAATGAGCTTGGGCCTCACTGGCCTTAGTAGATGACTGGTCATGTGTGGGTTACTACTGCTTGACCTGGAAATATGGAGGCCTGGGGCAGCACATGGTGTTTCCGGAAACTAAAATAAAAATCAGCTCTTAGTAGTCTTTGGTCTGCAGAATAATTTTGTAACTCTAGTGTGTTTTTCAGGCAGGTCCACAGGCCAGGACTTTAGGCTGCAATGTGAGCTTAGCTCAATAATTGCTGTAGAGTATTAGCAAGATTTAATACTTAAATTGTTAGTGCATGTCTAAGTATGTAATGCTATAAAAGCTACCCAAACCCCATTGTTTTTCTTTGTTTGTTTGTTTGTTTTTTGCATGTTTTGAACTACTTTTAGCCTGAAGGAGGAGAGTCTTTAATGTAGGTTGCTTGCTTACAGGTCCTTAACAATCTCTTCCCGCTATGTAGTCTCAAGCTGCCAGTTCTCTTAAGTATCAGAATGTCACAGTTACAATTTCTTTTTCTTTTTTTATTTTGTTTTTCTTTGTGATGGGGTTCCTGCTATGTTGCTCAAGCTGATCTCAATCTCCTGCACTCAAGCAATCCTCTGGCCTTAGCCTACCTAGTAGCTGGGATTACAGACAAGCCCCACTGCACCTGGCCCCAGTGTCTTGGATTTCTGAGAGGCAAAACTATTCATTCACAGGCTATCCCAGATTCAAAGGGAGAAGTAATAGACTCCATCTTTAAATGTGTGAAGTGATAATGCACATACAGAAATGAGAGAAATTGTTGGTAACCAAATCTGTAAACCATCCCATACAGTCTTCCCTGTGGCCACAATTCATTCCCATCCCATATGCAAATATATTAATCTCTTCCACAAATGTCTCATCCTATTATCTCACCAATGTAAAGTTCAGAATTTCATAATCTGCATAAAAATGGAATGTAAATGAGCTTTCTCAGGTGTGGCTCTTCTCCAAGTGAAGACTTCTAAACTGAACAGAACAGTTATCTGCCTCCAAACATCCAACATTCATTGGTGAGAAGGGGATGGGAATAATACAATGAATACTCCCATTCAAAAGGGAAGACATGAGAGGCACTGGTTTATAGCTGAACACATGTTAACAGAGTCCCTTGATTAAACCCTAGTTCTGCTTCCTGGAAGTGCTTCTGTGAGGCTCTGAGATCCATGCTCCATGCCATTGGCTATTTTTTTTTTTTTAATGAGTCAGTCTCCTTTATTATTAAGAAATGATTCATGTTTCTTTTCACAGAAAGCAGGAAAAAAAGGAATGGCTAATGTTTATGTTACAGCAGGTAGTCAGGCAGACATGAGCAGGGCAGGAGACAGTCCTCACCCCCTGCAACAAAGAAAGTCAGGCGACCATCAGGTGATAGTCAAGTGGTTGTTAACTGTCTCTCTAAAATAATAATTAGTTGCAGCCATGGAGAGGGAGTATCTCAATAGACAGAAACACGTGAAATGTGATCAACAGCTTCCTGATAAGATCTCAGGAGTTGGGCAAGTGGGCTTCAGCATGCATACTAAGAGGCAAAATGGCAAAGTTTAAGTGGTGTATGACTTTCCTCTAGGTCACACAATTGGTAAGGGAAAAACGCCTCAATTGAGCATGTGTATAATTTCAGTAAACACACTGCACATGTGGTCCCTCCCAAGTGCTGGCAGGCCACTGCACATGTGGACAGCCCACACCAGTGGAAAATCAAGGCAGTAGTAACACAATCCCAGAAGCATGCCAATGTATAAGACCCCAAATCAAAGGTCAAACTGCACACTTGACTCTCTCAAGTTCCCCACATGGCCCTCTTCCGAGTATAATTTACTTCCTTTCATTCCTGCTCTAAACTTTTTAATAAACTTTCACTCCTGTTCTAAAACTTGCCTGGGTCTCTCACTCTGCCTTATGCCTCTCAGTTGAATTATTTCTTGTGAGAAGGCAAAAGTGAGGTTGCTGCAGACCCATACAGATTTGCTTCTGGTAACATTTATAGTAGAAGAGCTTTTTCAGTTGGTTTCTTACAAGTGGAAATTTGGGCTCAGAGGCTTATATTCATGTTGTTCTCTTCTGGCCCTTTAGTTTAAACTGGCAAGTTTTTTGAATTATTTGGTTTATTTTCACAAAACAAATTATTTTCCACTCCTTTAGGATAAAACCACCACACAGATCTCCTGGAGATAAGCCTTTCTTTACTTAGGGCTGAAAGTCAGATGTTGTTGGAATACATCCTATGACTCTTAACAAGAATTTTTCATTTAGTTTTGTTTGGCTAAGAGAGTCTAGAGGCCCTTCCTTAACTAGGTATCTTACAGGCACAGCCTTCATATAATCTTTAACCTGAGAGGGCATTTTTACTGGCAACAGTCTGGATGTAAACATTGCCCAAAGCTACTTCTTATGTTAAGAATAATTTGCCATACAGAGAGGCTGAAAAGAAAAACAACTTTCTTGATAAAAAGAATTAATATCTAAAATATTTCAAGAGATTTATGCTGAGCCAAATATCAGTGACCATGGCTGGTGACATAGCTCCAAGAGATCCTAAGAACATGAGCCTGAGGTGGTCCAGCTACAGCTTCATTTTATACATTTTCAGGAAACACGGGACATCAATTATTACATGTAAGTTGTGACAGAGTAGGAGCATCACCATCTTGGACAAGCCCCTCATTTGTAAAATTCACATTAATAAAAAAACACCTAAATCCAAAGGGCATCAGCCTAATGGCTAGTCAGCATGACCATAAACCACAGATAACATCTCCAACCAAAATCATTCCAAACTCCAAACTCCTCAACCAGAGACATGCTATCCCCGAGATAACCCCCCTCCAGCCAGGAAGATGCCTGCCCCAAGATAACCTCCCCTCCTCCCAGAGACATTCCAACCCTGCCGTATAATTTCTCCCTCAAACAGGAACATTCCAAGCTTCTGATAAGCCCCCTCACCGTAAAACCAATATATACTCTTAGCCTGTAAGAGAAAGGGCTCCTGACCAAAATTGGCCAGGAGCGCCTCTCAGGTTTTATCCAAAGTAAACCTGTCTTTAACTGCCAGCTGCATTTCATGTTTCTTTCCTCTTTCTTTAACTATTACAAGAGGTACATTGGTTTGATTGGGAAATGTGGGACAACTGGAGGAGGGGGCTTTCAGGTCATAGGGAAATGCAAAGATGTTCTTGATTGGCAATTAGTTGAAAGAGTTTATTTAGAACCTAAATCAATAAAAGGGAGTGTTTGGCTTAAGATACTGGGTTGTGGAGACCGAAGTTCTTGTTATGCAGAGGTAGCCTCCAGGTAGCAGGCTTCAGAGAGAATAGATTGTAAATGTTTCTTACGGGACTTTAAAAGGTGCCAAACTCTTAGTTAGTTCTCTCCTGGATCAGGAAAAAGACCTAGGAGCAAAAGAAATTCTCTACAGAATGTAAATTTTTCCCCACAAAAGACAGTTTTGCAGGGCCATTTCAAAATATAAAAAAGAATAGATTTTGGGACAAAATACTTCCATTTCTTTCAGGCTTGCTATCTGTCATGTTATTGTCTTATTGCTACAGAGAGTCTTGGTTTTCATGTTAACTCTAGACAGCTATGCTTGAATTTCAAAAAGAGGAGGGTATGATGAGGCATGTCTGGCCATCCATTTCCATCGTAACATGAATTAGTGTTTCAGGTTGATTTTAGAATGCCCTTGACCAAGAGGAGAGGTCCGTTCAGTTGGTGGGGGGTTTAAAATTTTATTTTTGGTTTACAGCTTTTATTTTGCAACCTAGCAAACTCTGAGTTAAAAATATTTTTTCTAAGACTTGAAATTTGAATATTTTCTTATTTGAGTTTATCAGTTTTTTCCTAGGTGATAAATAAAACCAATTGACATTACCAACATTCTGCCTGAAAATCTTCTTAGGTAGACAATTTAAATAGATAATTTTTCTATTTTTCAAGACAACAAGCAATGTACTTGCTAATTATTCTTCAGATTACAATTTCTAGTCTCCAGTAGCAGTTTCCTTACTGCCCTTCAAATTTCCACCTCTGGGCAATCTCCAAACTTGTGTTCAATGTTTTTGGATTTTGGTATAGCAACACAACACTTCAAGCAGTCCAAGTACCAAGCTGTGTATCAATTATCAACTGCTGCAGAATCAACCATAATTTTAGCCATAATCAAAGACTGTCTGCCACAGATATTAAACTTAAATACCCCAACAATGTAAGAAGTAGATTTTGCTAAACTGCCTAAAGTGGGTGAGAAAATCTGTTTGATTCTCTGGGTGAATATTAGGAAGTCCAAAATCTGTATTGTTAGAAAAGCTGACATTTTGTTCTCTATCTACTCATTTTGCTTATCCCATTTGAAATTAGTTTAAAACCTAAGTGTGTCATTTGTTAGTCCTCTAATCCCAACTTGAACCTCAAGTTTTAAAAAATTGAGACAACACATGTACATAATGTGTTGTGAATACTACATAATGTAGTGAAAACTATATATTTGTTAAATGAAGAAATTCTGAATGCACACTAATATGTAAAGACTCCTGGGAGACATCTTCAAGAAAGAATATTTGCAATCTAAAGAAGATTCCTATCCCAACATATGCTAAACCTTGTCTTTTAAATTTCTCTGAGACTCAAGAGCATGCATCTAAAATGTAAACAAAATCACTGTACAAAATAAATTGTTGTCTATGATATGTAAATCTTGGTGTATTTATAGAATTTACATTTATATTGTAATACGTATTCAATAAAACATTATAATTGAGGATTATAATAATAAAGGATTATATCTCAACATCAGGGCAAGATATGAAGGCTAGCAGAAATCCCAATACTTCTCCTTTAGTAGCATCAACTGCTAATTACCATTTCAAAATGGAACAATCCAAAATCAGAGTATCCTGAAAGTGAAACATTTTTTTTTCTGTCAGAGAGCCATAAGATTTCACCCTTGGTTCAGCCTTCTCTGAACTAGAAAATTCTAATCCTGTTTTTTTATTTTGTGTAATAACAGAACAGGCATACACACATATAGAAATAACATTCAAATTAATGATTCGTAATTTTAAAAATAAAAAAGAATTATGAATTTTTATATAGTTGGTTATATAGGAAAGAACAATATATCTGTACAGATGGAGTGTTAAAAATAAGGCAAAATAAATAATTTTGGTTCTGATAACAAAACATTAGACAGTAGGACATGTAGAATATGTGGGTTTGGTTGACAAGTAGTATTGTGAATGAAAATCAGTATATATGTGTACAGTGTATTTATAAAATTACATATGTATTCATAATTGCAGTATTTCTCTGAATATTTATGTAGCATAGGATATACACAAGTTTAAAAACACATGTCTTAGGAAATACATTCTACTTTTTTGTTTGTATGCTTATTGTTTTATGCCTATATCCATGGGTAGGCCAATCCTAATGAGAGAGCCTGGTGGGAGGTGTTCCCTGGAGAAACTCCCACCAGCCCTCCCACTGAGGTGGAAGCTTGGGAAGTTCACTGCCTTTGCAGTAGGGAGGAGCCTGGCCCCTCCTCTTCCTGTGTGGAACCTGGGATTCAAGCCTAGGTGGAAAGTGCTCTAGCAGGGACTTTGGCCTTGGGAGAGTCCCTGTTTCCCCCTTTTCTTCCTTTTCATCCAATAAATCTCTGTCTTACTTGCCATTCAAATTGTCTGTGAGCCTGAATTTTCGTGGCTGTGGGACAAAGAACCCCATCTTTAGCTGAACTAAGGAAAAGTCGTGCAACATTTTTGGCCCACAGTGTGAGGGCTCCAAAAGCAGGGAGTGAAATGGGAACTCAAAACCTCTTACCATTGCTTCTAAGCCTTTTCATCTTGGGACTTCTGAGGGTGGGGGAGACCGTGCTCCCATCACCCATCACTCCCAGGCCTTTTCATGGCATTTTCCTTACTTTTTAGGGACCCACCAGTGAGCAGCAGCTCCCTGCTGCTCCCCCATCCCCTCCCCGCTGGGGCTGGGACACATGGCCCAAGGTTCCCACACACCCAGCTGGCTGGTTCCCACCCAGGCACCACTGCAGTCTTCCCCTACCAGGTGGAGGGGTTGAACTCCATCAGAACGTAATTAAGCTTTTCTCTGGGTGGAGGAGCCACTTGCCTAAGAATAAGAGGTTCTTCCCCAGGCATTTTTAAACTGTTCTTTTTTCTTTCCCCTTCTCCACCCCATAGGCAGTTAACTTTTAAAGTTTTTTTTAGAAGATGTTTTGCTAGGCCAGGCCCCACCCAGCGACTGGGTTTTCTTCTGTCTTTCTGTGTGTGTACTGTGTATGATGTCTGTAAAAAGAGCTCTAATTAATTTGGCCTAAGGAAAGACAAGCGCTTGGATCAAAAAACTTTTTTTTTTTTTAAGGGAAGGTAAAAAGCTGTGATACCTTTGATTTCACGCTACTTTAATCTTTGTGAAATTTTTTTCAGCAGGACCCTGAAGCGTCCAGAAAAGAGAGGTAAACAGAATTATTTGACGTGTTTAGGCACATGGGATTGCCAAAATGATGCTCAATCTTCTTTAGGTTATAGCGTGGTGAATAATGCTAAAATATGCTCCAACATTGTATGGGATTTAAAAAATTCTAATGTTTGGGTATTTGCTATCAATCTTAATTAAGGCTTTTATGTTACACTACTGTAAACTATGGAGATAACCAAACTTCTTTGTTAATCGTTTTTCTAACTATAAATGCCCTGCACATTTTGCTATTCACAGAAAATTTTTGTCTTATTTTAATCCTTTTCAAAGATAGTTTGTAATGAGCTATAGAGCTGTAACAGGTACTCTCAAATACAGGCTTCTGATAACTTTAGAGATTGTAACATTGGAATAAAGGAAAATGTACAGGAATCATGAAGAGCTAAAATGTTCACAAATATCAAGCAAAATGAGTTTACTAAATGGATTGAACTCAGGAAACTGAAGCAATTCTTTTAACTTTTGCTTGGAATATTGCTGATCCTTGTTTTTCAGAGTCAAGAAAGCTTATTTTGAACAATTTATGGCCTTTAATAATTAAGTAAGGTATACATTCCTGTGATCAACATTTAGAGCATGTTTGTTTCTCTCTCCCTGGTTCCTCCAGAATTTGGAAACTCTCTGTGAGTATTCTTAACTTATGCCAATATAATTGTTTGCATCACTGCAGTAAGAATCCATTTTTCTTTTGCAACAGAACACAGTTGGAAAAACTGGTAATTTTACCAAAGATTTGACTGGAAGGGCATGCTTCCTTTTAAGGAGTCAATCTCGACTTGCAGAGGCAATACAAGCCCAGTGGGGAAACTGGACTCATACGCTCATCTACACAGTCCCCTATACAGGATTCTTGACCTACGGTCGGTAAAGAATGTCACTTTCTAACAGGTCTAAAAGCTCCAAGTTTATCTTAAGAGTAGAGGATCACCCAACTCACAGGTGTTTGAGGATACAAATCCATGGTTGGGCTCAGCTTTAAAAGATCTTATCTGAGATTCCTTGTGAAACAAACTTCAATGAAAGCAAACCTAAAAGGCCTATATGTAAATAATTATTCTTGCTGCACTTTGCGCAAATAATCATGCCAAGTATAAGACTAAAGTCTATTTTGCTAACCACTCAGTCCTATGTGTTCTGTTTTTTTAACAAACATGAGGACTGGAGAGAGAAATAATGTTTTAAAACTTATATTTCTCATTAACTTCTAAACTCATTAGTGGTTTTTAAGTTTTTGCCTACATTTTAGACTAATCCTGCTTTTTCCTGTGAACATACTAGCAATCTCTGGCTGCAGCTCAGAAAGAACAAAAGGGCTAGATAATGTAGAAATCTGGATCAATATTTTAGTTCTGAGCAATTATCCTGCAAATCCTGCCAGGTGATGGAATAAATAGGGAATAAATAGGAGATTACTTTTGGGAATGTAAGACCAAGGGAGCTAACTAAAGTCAAGCACCCTTCACCCAAATCCTAGCAAGCATGACTATAGCCACCAGTTATCTGGGTGTGTCACAAGACATCCTTTCCTCTTCCTTGTTGGAGGAGGACTCAGTTCCACAGTTTCGCCTTAGCATCGGGCTTATGTTAAGGAGTCCCTGCAACCTCCTGAGACACATTTTTGTGCCAGACTCAATTCTAAGCTTTGGGTCAAAGCCCTAGAAAGAAAACTGGATCTAAGAGATCCAGAGGTTAAAAGGCACAGCACAGGTAAGCGTGGCTGATTCCTGCTGCTTAAGCAAACCCCAAGCTTCCTGTTTCATGGATAAAGGATACTCACACTAATATCCATGGCAGAAATGAGGTTTAGGGAACTCCAAGGCTACTGACAGTAGGTAGGAAAGAGACAAAGGTGAGAGTGGATAATTTCTATTCTGTAGTCCCTTCTTGATTTCATGGGTTCAAGCTGCTTCAGCACTCATGGTTGTACCTGCCAAGGTCGCTGGAACTTGGGGATGCAAGGACGGAAGAGGGAAGAGGAAACTCTTCCCTGTCTCCCTCACATACCCTGGGTATCTGCTAGGAAGAGAAGAGAATCAGGGATGCCTGCTCCCCTCTTTCTAAATAGGTAGCCATTCGTCTTCAGTCTGTACCCCTTTAGAATGCATCCTGAACCTCTGGGACTCCTTTGAAAAAATGCCTTATTTTTATTCCTTTCTCCTCCTCAGTCCTCTCTTCACTGATAGGTAATTGTGTCTCCATACTATGGGACACTCTCCTCAGATGCATCCTCCTAACTGGAAAGAGTTATTTTCCAAACCTTAAACTGGTTGGCTTAGGATTGGGGTCAGGGAAAGGGAACCCGTAAGTCCAACATGCCATCAAAAGGGTAAAGTTTTTTAGCCAGTTGGGCTTTTGGCCTCCCTCTCCATGTTCAAACTGGTAAAAGGCCTCAGGATTATTGAGCTGTCCTTACCCCTCCCCTTGTTTTATTTTGATACCTGATTTTTAATAACCTGGTTTGTGTGCTCTTTCCTGGAGGCCATCAAACTCTAAATGGTCATGCAACCAGAGCCTCTGAGGATGGCCCCTCCTGCTGGGAACCCTTAGATTGGCCGCTGAGGGAGCTCTGACTGCTGTTTCCCCAAACAACGCTCCCTATCAGCAGGAAGCAGTTAGGATCAGTCTTTGTCCTTATCCTTATTCTTTTTTTCTTTTTATTTATTTATTTACTTTTTGTGACAGAGTCTCACTCTGTGGCCCGGGCTGGAGCGCAGTGGCATGATCTCCTCTCTCTGCAAGCTCCGCCTCCCGGGTTCACACCATTCTCCTGCCTTAGCCACCGGAGTAGCTGGGACTACAAGGGCCCGCCACCACACCCGGCTAATTTTTTTTTTTTTTTTTTTGTATTTTTAGTACAGACGGGGTTTCACCTTGTTAGCCAGGATGGTCTAGGTCTCCTGACCTCGTGATCCACCCGTCTTGGCCTCCCAAAGTGCTGGGATTACAGGCATGAGCCACTGGCCCAGTTGTCCTTATCCTAACGGCAGTTATATGTACTTTTTTAGAGGGAGGAAATGAGACAGCCAGGTGGCAGGGAGTCCCTGGAGAAACTCTGACCAGCTTGCCCACTGAGGTGGAGCCTCTGGAAGTTCATGACATTTTCAGCAGAGAGGAGCCTGGCCCCTCCTCTTTCTATGTGGAACCTGGGATTCAAGCTGAGGGAAGGAAGCGCTCTAGCAGGCACTCTGGCCTTGGGAGAGTCCCTGTTTCCTCCTTTTCACCCAATAAAACTCTGCCTTACTCATCATTAAAACTGTTTGCGAGCCTGAATTTTTGTGGCCGTGGGACAAAGAACCACGACTTTAGCTGAACTAAGGAAAAGTCCTGCAATACTAACATGGCCCCCAAGATCTTCACCCCATGAGCAAAGTACCCTTTATAATCTCTTCTTGTGTATAGGTGAGACCTTTGGATATGATCCATGTGTCTCCTTGATAGGTTACATTTTATGGGAAATATATTTGCAGATCCAATTAAGGTTTTTTAGTCACTTTGACTTTGAGTTAATCAAAAGAGGTGTGAGGGTAGACCTGATCTAATCAGGTGAGACTTTCAACAATGGTGTTATTCTTTTCCTAAAATCAGAGAAATTCTCCAGTTGGCTTTGAAAAAGTAGCTTCCATGAGTTCTGCAGCTCCAAGAAAATACATTGTGGCAACAACCACATAAGATTTAGAAGAACCTAGAGGTCCAGAAAGAAACAACATGGCTGACAGCTAGGCAGCAGTTTTAGGAGACCATAAGCGGAGGACTCAGGTTAACTGTTCTAGATTCCTGGGGCATGGAAACAGTGAAATATTAATAATAAATGTATGTTGTTTTAAACCACTAAGTTTATGGTGCTTTGTTATGTAGCAATAGAAATATAATGTGAAAGGAAAGGGGAAGAAAAGAAAAGTAGAATTGTATGTTTAAAATTTTAATGTGCATACAAATCACCTAAAAGTCATGTCATGATGAAATGAAGATTATGACTTGGCATATCTGAAGGGGGACATTAGGCTCCCAGGTGATGCTGATGGTGATGCTGCTGGTCCATGGGCCACACTTGGAGTAGCAAGGATTTTAACCATACAGCAAATTCAAAGTACAAAATAAAAACTATTTTGGTTTAGCTATGTCTACTCAGAAGATGAATATATATAACTGTATGTAAGTGCTAATTGAGGTATGAGGGCTTATATTTAAACACAAAATAAATAAAACTTTAAAAACATTCAATGTAAAATAAAGGGAGGAATGCATTAAAGGAGAATGATTCTACCAGAAAATCTAGGTAGATTAAAGCTACTGAAAATGCGTGTAAACCTTAATTTCAAATTTCTACCTAATATGACAATATTCTAATGAGAAAAGAAAAATGTTTTTCCTGGTTCTGGATTTCTAATCTGTAAGTTTTATAGAACTAATTTGTTCTATAGTATAAATTAGAGTTCTGATTATTCTCATCAGTTAAATTGATTTAGGTTAATCATCAAATCCCGCAGGCACATACTTCTATAGGCCTAATTTAAATTAGGGAGTCTCTGAGGCATATTCATATTATGGAAGCTCTAGCATTCTGTGTCTCAGTCTTCTTGTTCAATACTACTACATAGAGTAGTCCTTACCTGTGAAGATTGAGAAGGAACCAGGTGACCAAACACTGCCAAGGAGTAGGTGCCCTTGGCCCAGCCCCATGTTGTTCTTCGAATACATTTCAGAAAAATGCTTCAGATACAGGGGAAAATGTTTGGCTTTTTTTCAATAGCAATTCTCCCATCTGTGTTTATATCTTTTTTTTTTTTTTCTTATTTCCACTGGTACCTTACTTCAGTAATTTTAACAATTGTTTACATTTAAAGAAGTCCTACATCTCTTTTTAAAACATATTATTTTCTCAAAGTGTGTGAACATACTCTCCCATTAAAAAAGAAAACACAATCTTGTGTTTGATCCTCTATTTACCCTCTCATTTCTACCATATGTCTCTTCTTCCTTCTCTGCCAATACCCGTAGGTGGAGATGGAATGGCAAGTACACATTCTGTTACCACTTCCTTATTTCCTTAGCTCTTATTATTTCTTTTCAAGTAAGAGTTAATACTTCCATGTACCTATCTTAGCTCTCATAACTTTCTGACTTAGCATTTTTCTATTTTCATATCTCCACCACAAGATCTGAAAATTCTTAAGAGTAAGAATACTCACACTTTTATTAATATCACCTGCAACCAACGCTTATCTCACTGCTTCCTACAAGGTGAACACCAAGCAAATATTTGGAAAGCAAAGAATCTTATAAAAAGTCATTCTATTTTTTTACATCCATATTATCTATGTTTACAGAGGCCGGATTTTAACAAATGTAATACATTTTTGTAACCAGAACCTAAAGTGTGTGAAAAAACATTGTCAACTCCATTGTTCTTCTTTTTAATCATAAATTCACCTCTTCAAGGGTTACCATTGATTTTAACAGCACAGATTAGTTTCAATATTTCTGTAACTTACAAAAAGCAAAATATATTGTTTTTACTCTTTTGTATCTGACATCTTTTACTCAACTTTTTCGAGATTTATTCATATGTTGCTTATCATTATAAATTACCCATGTGTTAATATATGACAAAGTATATCTAACTATTCGTGGATATTTAAGAATTTTCTAGTTTGGAGCAATAAAGAATAATGCTGCTATAAATAATTTTGTAGATGACTTTTGGTATCTATATTCATATTGCTAGATATATAGTTAGAAAAAAATATTTCCTTATAGTATGTAATACATTATGCTTTAATAGACAAAGCTATATATTTCTCAGTTGTTAACATAGAAATTACAAAACACATTCTGGTTTTATTAGAATCAAACATACATTACTTTTAGCACTTAATGCCACTAAAATTTTATATCTTTAGACTCAATTCATTTCTCACATTAAATCCTATTTTTATGTATAATAAATTTACATATAATTTGAACTTTCATGCTGTGTATCAAAATGCCATTCATCTAATAGTTTTAAGCCATTTATTATCTTAAAGATTCTGAAAGTCAGGAGTTCACGTACAAGAGTATTATCTTAAAGATTCAGGAGTCAGGAGTTAGCTGAGTTCTCTGCTCAGAGTCTCAAAAGAATGTTAGCAACTTGTCAGACAGCTGTACTCTTATCTGGAGGCTCAATTGGGAAAGAATTCGCTTTCAAGAGCACTTAAGTTGTTGTAGTATTCATTTCCTTTTGGCCGAAGAACTGGGAGCCCTGGCTTCTTGCTGACTGGAGGCTGGAGGAAATCTTCAGCTCCCTGGGGCTCTTTTAAGTTCTCAGAAGCTGACTATTCTTCCTAGAAGATTACTGCTATTCCTGGCCTCATGTCTTCCTCCATCATGGCTACTTAGTGAGGGGAGTCTGGAGAGCAAATATACTAAAAATATGGAGTATTATGTAACATAACACAATCATGGGGTTGAATCCAATCTCTTTGCTATATTATCTTATTTTTGAGCAAGTTATAGATACTACCCACAGTCAAAGGGAAGGGATTACACAAGAGAATACTAGAAAGTGAGGACTTTTGAAGGCCTCCTGTGGTCTACTCCATTTCACAGTCTATCAAATGTTGTGCTGTATACTCCATAGTCAATTGTATTTACCTGCATATATTTACCCTTTTTGGTTTTCTTCACCTCTTTGTGTATTTCCAAATTTCTTGGTTGTATTATTTGCTTCTAGAATTACATTTTATTGTTTATTTCCAAATTTATTTTGTTTCTAGTTCATCTGTGGTTATCAACAAATTCAATCTTTATTTACATTTAAAAAATGTATTTTCCACTTTTGAGATTCTTTTTGTTGTTGTTGTATAGAATTCTAGAATGCAAGTTATTTTCCATTAGCAACTTAAAGATGTTATTCTATAACCTTCTAGCTTTTATTGCTTTACTTGCAAAGCCAGCTGTCCGTCATAATTATTCTTTAAAATGTAATATTTCTTTTTGTCTGACTACTTTTTACCTTTTATTGAATATCCTTTATATTCTGTTCTGTTCTGTTTCTATTTTTTATCTTATCTGTTTCTGTTTTCTATTTTTTATCTTATCTGTTATTTTATCTGTTTCTATTTTTTTACTCTCTATGATTTAATTTGGATATATGTAATACAGCAGTCTTGTATTATACTATTTCCAATCTACTGTTAAAAAACATTTATTATTACAGTTGTCATTTTTTAGATCTATTAGTTCTCATTTATTTTATTTCAATTACTCTTTTTTGAATTTTTTGCTTTTTCCATTTTATTTATTTATTAACTTCTATTTTAAGTTCATAGGTACAAATACAGGTTTGTTACATAGGTAAATTTCTGTCATGGGGTTTGTTGTACAGATTATTTCATCACCGAGGTATTAAGCACAGTACTTATCAGTTATTTTTTTCTAATCCTCTCCCTCCTCTCACCCTCTGAAAGGCCCCAGTGTGTGTAACTCCCCCTATGTGTCCGTGTGTTCTTTTTCTTGATTAAAATCTTTTTTTTTAATGATTGCAACATTTATTTTAGATTGAGTGGGCACTTGTGCAGGTTCGTCATGTGTATGGATATTGCATGACACTCAGGTTTGGGGTAAGAATGACCCCCATCACCCAGGATGTGAGCATAGCACCCACTGGGTAGTTTTTCAGCCTTTGTCTCCCTCTCACTCTCTATCCACTAGTAGCCTATTATTATTATTATTCCCATCTTTATGTGCATGTGTGCCCAATGTTTAGCTCCCACTTTTAAGTGAGAACATGCGGTATTTGGTTTTCTGTTCTTAAATTAATTCACCTAGAATAATGGCCTTCAGTGGCACCTACATTACTGCAAAGGACATGATTTTGTTCTATTTTATGGCTGCATAGTATATTTGATATAAATATGTTCTATTTTATGGCTGCATAGTATATTTGATTACTGCAAAGGACATGATTTTGTTCTGTTTTATGGCTGCATAGTATTCCATGGCATATGTGTGCCATATTTTCTTTATCCAATCCACCATTAATAGGTACCTAGGTTGATTCCTAATCTTTGCTATTGAGAATAGTGCTATGATAAATGTACTACTGCATATTTTTTTTGGTAGAACAATTTATTCTTCTTTGGATATACACCCAGCAATGGGATTGCTGGATTAAACGCTAGTTTCATTTAACTTTAGAAATCTCCAAACTTCTTTCCATAGTGACTGAACCAATTTACATTTCCACCAACAGTATAAGCCTTCCTGTTTTTCCACAGCCTTGTCAGCATCTATTATTTTTGACATTTTAATAATAGCCATTCGGACTGGTGTGGTGGTATCTCATTTTTGTTTTGATTTTTGTTTCTCTGATCATTAGTAAAGTGGAGCATTTTTTCCATGTTTGTTGGCCACTTGTATGTCTTCTTTTAAAAAGTGTCTGTTTATGTCCTTTGCCCATTTTATAATGAGGTTATCTGGTTTTTGCTTCTTAAATTGTTTAAGTTTCTTATAGATTCTGCATATTAGACCTTGTCAGATACATAGTTTGAGAAGATAGTCTCTCATTCTGTGGATCGTCTGTTTACTTTGTTTCTTTC
Organism: Homo sapiens; assembly: GCF_000001405.40. Classification (NCBI taxonomy): domain Eukaryota; kingdom Metazoa; phylum Chordata; class Mammalia; order Primates; family Hominidae; genus Homo; species Homo sapiens. The sequence continues at coordinate 65,085,611 of NC_000004.12, forward strand.
GCTGTGCAGAAATTTCTTTAGTTTAATTAGGTCCCACTTGTCAATTTTTGTTACTGTTGCAATTGTTTTTGAGGGCTTAGTCATTTTCTTTTTGCCAAGACTGATGTCTAGAGAGGCATTTCCTAGGTTTTCTTATAGGACATTTCTAGTTTGAGATCTTACATTTAAAAGTTTATTTCATCTTCATTTAATTTTTATATATGGCGAATGTTGGGAGAACAGTTTCATTCTTCTGTATGTGGCTAGCCAGTTATCCCAGCATTATTTATTGAGAAAGAGGCCTTTCCTCATTGCTTATTTTTGTTGACTGTGTTGAAGATTAGTTGGCTTTATTTGTGGGTTCTCTGTTCTGTTCTATTGGTCTGTGTGTCTGTTTTCGTACCAAGATCATGCTGTTTTGGTTACTATATTAGTCTGTCTTCCTGCTGCTGATAAAGACATTCTTGAGACAGCAATTTACAAAAGAAAGAGGTTTAATGGCATTACATTTCCACATGGCTGGTGAGCCCTCACAATCATGGTGGAAGGCAAGGAGAAGCAAGTCACGTCTTACACAGATGGCAGCAGGCAAACAGAGAGAGAACTTGTGCAGGGAAACTCCCCTTTACAGAATCATCAGATCTCGTGAGGCTTATTGAATATCATGAGAACACTATGGGAAAGACCTGCCCCCATGATTCAATTACTTCCCACCGTGTCCCTTCCACAACATGTGGGAATTCAAGATAAGATATGGGTGGGGACACAGACAAACAATATCCATTACTGTAGCCTTATTATATAGTTTGAAATCAGGTAATGTGATGCCTCCAGCTTTGTTCTTTTTCTTAGGATTGCTCTGGCTATTCTGGCTCTTTGTTAGTTATGCATGAATTTTACAATAGTTTTTTTTTTTTTATTTTGTGAAACGTGACATTGGTAGTTTAATAGAAATAGCATTTAATCTGTACATTAATTTGGGCAGTATTACCATCATAATGATATTGATTCTTCCAATCCATGAGCATGGAATTTTTTTTTCATTTGTCTGTGTCCTCTATGATTTCTTTCACTAGTGTCTTGTAGCTCTCTTTGTGGAGATCTTTCACCTTGGTAACATGTATTCCTAGGTATTTTACATTCATGTGTGTGGCTATTGTAAATGAGATTGCATTCTTTATTTGGCTTTCAGGTTGAATGCTATTGGTGTATAATAATACTACTGATGTGTTTACATTGATTTTGTATCCTGAAACTTTAGTAAAGTCACTAATCAGTTCTGCAAGCCTTTTGGTGAAGTCTTTAGGGTTTCCTATGTATAGAATCATATAATCTGCAAGAGAGATAAATTGACTTCTTTTCCTATTTAGATGCCTTTTATTTTTTCTCTTGCCTGATAGCTCTGGCTGGGATTTCTAGTACTGTATTGAATAGGAGTGGTGAGAGTGGGCATCCTTTTCTTGTTCTAGTTCTTAGAGGACATGATATCAACATTTGTGCATTCAGTATGATGTTGGCTGTGGGTTTGTTATAGATGGTTTGCACCATTTTGAAGTATGTTCTTTCAATGCCTGATATGTCTGAGCATTTTTGGAGGATGTTGGATTTTATTGAAAGCCCTTTTCCATTAATTCAGATGATTCTATGGTTTTTGTTTTTAATTCTGTTTATGTGGTGAATCACATTTATTGATTTGTGTATGTTGAACTGAATTGGCATCCCAGGAATAAAGCTTTCTTGATCGTGGTAAATTTACACTGATGTACTGCTGAACTCAGTTTACTAGTCTTTTGTTGAGGATAATTCCATCTACGTTAATCAAGGAACTTGGTTTGTAGTTCTTTTGTTGTTCTTTGCCAGATTTTGATATCAAGGTGATGCTGGCTTTATAGAATAAGTTAGGGAGGAGGCACTCTTTAATTTTTTTGAATAGTTTCAATATAATTGATAGCAGCTCTTCTTCGTATTTTTGATATAACTTGTCTGTGAATTCATCTGGTTCAGGGAATTTTGATTTGTAGGTTTTTTATTATGGATTCAATTTCAGAACTTGATATTATTCTGTTCAAGATTTCAATTTCTCCCTGATTCAATCTTGAGAGTTCTTGAGAGGTTATGTTTCAGGAATTTATCCATTTTCTCTAGATTTTCTAGTTTGTGTACATGGAAATTTTTCATAATTGTCTTTGAGAATCTTTTATATTTCTGTGAGATCAGTTGTAATATCACCTGTGTAATTTCTAATTGTGTTTATTTGGATTTTCTTTCTTTTTTATTTGTTAATCTAGCTTGTGGTCTACTGTTCATTTCTTCAAAGACCAATTTTTGGTTTTATTGATTCTTTGTATGGATTTTTGGATCTCAATTTCACTCAGTTCTGCTATGATTTTAGTTGTTTATTTTCTTATGCTAGCTTTAGGCTTAGTTTGCTATCTTTTTGTGGTGTTTGGATTAAGTTATGTTTTATTTGATTTAAGAATAGTAACCACTGCTCTTTTTGTTTTCTGTTTGTGTTATGGATATTTCTCCATCCTTTTACTTTGAGGCTATAGATGTGGTTACATGTGAGGTGTGTTTCTTGAAGACAGCAGATCATATACATATATACAAAATTTTATATATATATAATTTTTATATATATGTATATATATATTTTCTTTAGTATTGACTTTGAATAGTCTGGTGACTATATGCTTAGTTGACGTTCATTTTATATATATATGTATGTGTATATATATATGTATGTATGTGTATATATATATATATATATATATATATATATATATATATACACACACATACAGCTTGCTACTCTGTGCCTTTTAAGTGGGGTATTTAGACCATTTCATTCAAGGTTAATATTGACATGTGAGGTTTTTGATTCTATTGTGAAGTTGTTAGCTGGTTGATTTTTAGTTTCTATTGTGTGGTTGCTCTATGGGGTCTGTGGGCTGTGTACTTAAGTGTGTTTTGTGGTAGCAGGTATCATTCTTTTATTTCCATGGTTAGAGCTTCCCCAAACATCTCTTGTAAGGCTGTTCCATTGGTAATAACTTCCCTTAATTCTTGCTTTTCTTAAAAAGATTTTATTTCTCCTTTGCTTATGAAGCTTAGTTTGATTGGATATCAAATCCTTGGTTAGAATTTCTTTTCTATAAGAATGCTGAGAATTGGCCATTATTCTGCTCTGGCTTGTAAAATTTTTATTAAGAAGACCACCGTTAATCTTACTGGGTTCCCTTTTTGTGTGATCTGACCTTTCTCTCTAGCTGTCTGTAAGAAATTTTCTTTAGTATTGACTTTGAATAGTCTGGTGACTATATGCCTTGTTGATGTCCATTTTCTATATTATCTTACAGGTGTTTTCTGGATTTCTTATATCTGAATGTCTACTTCTCTAGCAAGATTAGGAAAATTTTATTGAATTGTTTAATCAAATGTGTTTTTCAGGTTGTTTACGTTTTCTCCTTCTCTCTTAGGAATGTCAGTAATTCATAGGCTTGATCACATTACATAATTCAATATTTCTTGAAGACTTCTTTATTTTTTTGGAATTTTTTTTCTTATTTCTGACTGACTGAGTTAGCTCAAAAAACCAGAATTTGAGCTTTGAAATTATTTCCCCTGCTTGATCTAGTCTATTGAAAAAGCTTTCAAGTGTATTTTAAAATTTCTTGAGTTTTTTAATTCCAAAAGCTCTGATTGATTTCTTTGTAAAACATTTATATCTTATTTCATTTCTCAGATTGCTTTAGAAGTTTCCTTGTTTTTATTTTCAAACTTTTCTTGGATCTCATTCAGCTTCCTTGCAATCTGTGCTTTGAATTCCTTATCGGTCATTTCATCATTTCTGAGTTTTCAGTTTGGTTAGGTAGCATTGATGGCGAGCTAGTGACCCTTTGGTGCTGTCAAAATGTTCGGATTTCTCGTGGTGTCAGAATTCTTGCACTGGTTTCTTCTTTTATTGAGATTTTGGCACTTCTAATATTGTCATTATTTTTGTGTGGATAGGATTTATTTTCTTTCTTTCTTTTCATATAATATTATTGGTTATATTACTGTTTTCCATTTCCCCCCTCCCTAGGGTATGTGACTGTAGAGGATGTTGGGTAAAGTCTTTTGGCTTTGTTTCTATAGCCCTATAAACTTTTGTTGGCAAGTTTTATATTGGGCTGTGTATTCAACCTACAGGCCAGTAGATGGCATTATGGGTAAGAGTCAGCTGTGGCCAAAAGAGATATATACTTCATCCTTGTTTACTGGGAGAATTTCTGTTGCCTCAGGCAATGGGCTGATCTGTGGAGTGCACAGTGGTCTGAGCTCCCTATTCAGTCCCTAGATGGGAACCAAGATGGGAGGGGCTGAATGAGTCAAGCCTGCCTATAGGTCCCCAGATGGTAGGCACAAGCACCAGTACTGAAAGAGAATCCAGTGGGTGGCCACAAAATACCCAGTGGTATGTGTAAGCATGGAGCTTCAACTTTTCCTTGGCTTCAAGTTCAAGATGCCTGGAGAGCTGCCTGGTAATAAAGTGTAGACAGTATCACTGCACCACGGTCTCTACACAGGAAGGGTACGATTACTCAGCCTGCTAATCCAGGTAAATAGGTGTTCAGGATGCCTGGAGATAGATATACTTGGGCATGGAATGGAGAGGGCCCCTGTGCACCATGGTCTCTGTGGAGGAACAGTGAGGTAGCTCAGGCTGATGATCCAGGCAAGCAGGTACTCTGCACACCTGGAGATGTGCCTAGGCATGGAGCATAGAGGGCCCTGCTCCACAATGGTCTCTGAATAGGAAAGATGGGCAATTCAGACTGCTGATTCAGGTGACAAGTGCTCTAACTGCCTGGAGATCTGCCAGAACATGGAGTAGAAAGGGCCCCGCTTCACCATTGTCTCTGCACAGGAATGGTGAGATGGCTCAGAATTCTGATCTGGGGAAGTGGGTTCTCTGACTGCCTGAAAGCTTTCCTGAGCAAGGAGTAGAGAGGGTCCTGTTACACCGTTGTCTTTGCACAAGAAGAATGGGGTGGCTCTGGCTGCTGATGCAGATGAGCAGGTGTTCTGAATACCTGGAGCTATGGCTGAGCATGAAGAGAAAAAAGCCCTGCTACACTACCTATTTCAATTATTAAAAAAGATTATCCATTATTTTTGTTAATTTTCCTCATTGATCTTCCCTATTTTTCTAAAGTTTATATATATACACATACATATATTTAGATGGAGTCTTGCTCTGTCGCCAGGCTGGAGTGCAGTGGCATGATCTTGGCTCACTGCAACCTTAGCCTTCTGGGTTCAAGTGATTCTCCTGCCTCAGCCTCCTGAGTAGCTGGGACTAGAGGCGCGTGCCACAATGCCCAGCTAATTTTTTTTGTATTTTTAGTAGAGATGGGGTTTCACCATGTTGGCCAGGATGGTCTCCATCTCTTGACACCTGCCTCGGCTTCCCAACATTTTTTATATTAAAAAAATAAAAATATAAAAAATTTAAAAAAAATACTTACAAATTTTTGTTTCTAGAGATGGTATCTCACTTATTGCCCAGGCTGGCCTCAAACTCCTGGCTTCAAGTGACCCTTCCACCTAAGCCTCCAAAATTGCTGGAATTACAGGTTGCTTGCCACCATGTTTGGCCTTCTTAAACATATTAATGATAGTTATTTTAAAGTCTTTGTCTGCTAAGTCTAATATCTACATCAAATGAGGTTCTACTACTGTCTGCCTTTTCTATTGATGATAGGTCACATTCTGCTGCTTTATTTTTATATTTTGTAATTTGGGTTAATATTCTAGCAGTATGCAAAAAGAAGCAAAGCAGAGAAAACAAACCTACAGATTGCAGGGGCTTCATATGATAAAACTTCCTATTGGAGAAGGTTTGTCTTTTTCACATTTAGTTGAGGGAATGACTACTTTAATCCTTTTAGAAATTACTCTAGATTGAAACTGGGTTGTATTTTAGTAAAACTAAGCCTTTTTGAGGTGCACTTCTGTTCTTGGTGTATGGCCAGCCCAGGCTTCTGATTGAAAACCTGTCAGATCTCTGTATTCACAAAAATTAAAGACTGTGGAATATCCAGCTGTGATCATAATATCTGCACGTTCAGTTTGCAGCCCATCTCTTCAGCCTCACAGCCCAGGCAAATATCCCAGATAACTTCAAACCTGGCAAAATCTGGAGGTCGGGACCTACAGTGAGTTAAAGGCATATCTTTATCATAACTGTTCTTTGTTTCATAACCATAGTGAGACATGGGAAGATGTTATTTCATTTTCTTTAAAAAATAAACATTAAGCTCTAGTTTTAAACCTAACTTAACCACCATCTGCATAGCATTAAAATCAGCAAACATGCCCAGGAAAACTATTCGATGGATATAATTAGTTTGCATAAAATAGGGTTTTTTCATTTCTGGAATTTGGTTCATCTAATACTTCTTCTAGACAATGTTGATGACTTTAAAATATGATTTTTATAATTTTTGTAATTCATCTTTTTTCCAGTAGCTGTAGTGAGTATGGGTTCGCTATGAATTAGTATAGTGTACTCAAAAGCAGGAGCCAAAACTAATTTACATTTTACAGATAACGTTTCTAAAATTACATCATTTATTCATTTATTATCAGGGGATAAGAAAATTGCCTTATGTTATCTACTCATCTTTTTTAATTGACTTTTTTTTTTAGCTTTTTGTTATTCACAATGGGTGATTTTTATCTTGCTATCTTTTAACGTTAAAGATTCCGAGGTGATTTAGGAAACGGTAAACCCACAGGGTACAGTTAAAGTGATCCTGAAAAGAGGCAAATAATGGAAATCTTGAATTTGAAAGAATACATTCTCTTCATATCACCCTTTTCCCCACATCTGTATATTTTAATAATTGCTTGACCAATTGCTGTTTACCTTATCCAGACTTTAGGACCTTGAGCTCTTTATTTTGTGTTCAATTATTCCAGAAATTTTGGCTTTATTATTACTTTTGTCCGTGTCGAATTAGTGGTTTTGTGTGATTCTTTATGTAAGTATCAACTGCATAAATTAAAACATGAATCTAATACTTAATATTCTTTTAAAGATTTTTATTAAAATGGTGGCCTTAGCATGTCTATCCAAATTGATAGATAAATAGAAAGTGGTTGAGAGTTTAGGTTCTGGAGCCAGACTGAGTTTTAATCACTTTTCTACCTTTTCTTAGTTATGTGATTATGAGGAAATAAATTAGTTGATATTTCTATGCCTCTGAATCTTCACCTGGTTAATAGGAATAATATTTTTATCATTTTTAGATTTTTACATTAGAGGGTTCAACAAAAATTGTGAAAAGCACTTATGACAGTGCCTGGAACATTGTACTTACATAAAAAGTAATATGCCTTTTCATTATTACCTATGCAATTTTTCACATAGCCTAATTTATACACATATATTCACAATTGTTAGAATAATCTTCTTTGGCTTTCTTTTTTCTTTCTTTTTTTTTTTTTTTGGATGGAGTTTCGCTCTTGTTGCCCAGGCTGGAGTGCAATGGCGCCATCTCAGGCTCACCGCAACCTCTGCCTCCTGGGTTCAAGCAATTTTCCTGCCTCAGCCTCCTGTACTTTGGCTTTCTAACTCCTAAAGCTATAGTAAAACATAAGTCCTGATTAAAGTTAAAAATAAATGTAACCTTATTTTATAGGATACTATCAAATCCTGCAATGGCAGTAATTCCTAGTTGCTTATTCTACTGTTCTTTCAAAGAAGAATCTTCCCATTTTATTCAAATAGAGGAGATACGGCAAATGTTTATTAGAAAATAAGTATTACAGTTCTCAGTGTCTCTTAGAATTATCTGCAGGCGAGAGACACAAGAATTCACTAAGTGGGGCTAATAAGTAAGTTTTCAAAAGAATACATTCTAGGTGGTCTGTATGTTTTGTGTTTCGTTCTTACCTTTTTTTTCCTGATGGAAGCCTAGCACACTGGCTGGAGGTAAAGTAACAGTCTTGAAACCATAAGTTGAAAATAATGAAAACAAATATCATGTTTCAAGGATGGCTTCATTGAGAGACAGAAAATGACTAAGCCCTGGTTGGCAAATATGGGCTTACTGTATTAGCCCTTACTGTATTATACCAACATAGTGCCTGTGAGAAAAATAAAATTATTTGGTTAAGCTATTATAAAACTAGTTTTCCATTATATGTCAACAAGAAATTGAGAAAGAGAAGGCAGAAGGAACTGGAAATCCAGTTCAAAGAAGTCGTTTCACAGTTTTAATTATTTGACTTGCCAAAGTTTGTTATTCCAAGATTTTAAATGAAATACAAAATACTAAAAATGTAATAACTGTGTTACTAATAAGATGATACAGCTATTTAAATTATTTAATTAAGTCATTCATATTCCGGTAGAAGCATCTAATGCTATATGCATGCTTGAATCAAGTGTAAGACACACAGCAGTGGTAATAAGAGGAAAGTCAATGAATGCATTCTTAAACTCTACAGGATTTTAAATTCCTGAGACCATTTCATTCATTTCACTTGTAAAAGGAGCAAAATTTCCAATACAGGTATTTTTATTTTATGTATAATGTGATTCTGGGCTTTTGGGGATGAACATTTATCACATTTCTCACTTCCTCAATTTTTCTTACTTTTCTTCTGTGATGGTATTATAATAGTTACATCTAAATTACAGAACCTGAAGCTTTTGCTATTAGTGTCAAAACCTGGCATATTAAAGCACATATTAATCACATATTTATGGAATAAAATTGATTTATTTTTAGTCATTTGCAAGTGATTCGTACTTTATAATTGAAATATACTGCATCTTTTTAGAATTTCAATAGATTTTCAGGTAAATGAACCTACATTTACCTTGTTGAGTTAGAAAGATATTTGAGAGAAAATAACTGCATTTTGCAACAAAATAAATAAAAGATTTGAGATGTTAAAACGCCATCCAAATCTGCCTAAGATCATGTACCTATGGAATTACTTTTAAAAAGAAGGGACCTTATGCAAAGTGCTATGAAATAACACACATTATTCAAAAACAAGCAGATAAATAAATAAACTAGTTTGTTAAATATATACAATGGTAGATATTTCCAGCCAAATTTTTAGACACCATGTATGTAATCATGTCTGTAATACAAGCCACTTGACTGTGTGTGGTTATTCAACCATCTGTGGGTTATTCAACCATCTGTGGGTAAGAAGCACGAAAACATTCATAAGATCTCCTATTCCTATCATTTCTACCATTCCCATCCTTGCTTCCTTTCCTTATCTTCTAGCATGCAAATGTTGGAATCCAAGGAAATGGAGCAGCAAGGAGAAAGAGGTGACACTTGGAAACATCATGACAGTTCCTGCGAAGGAGGAAGCCAGTTAGTGGAGGTGGAGCAAAGAACTAGTGGGCAAAGGAGGTAGCCAGTTTGTGGAGGTGGAGCAAAGAAGTAGTGAGAAGAGGAAGTTCTAAGAATGGTTGGGAGGCCGGGTGTGGTGGCTCACTCCCGTAATCCCAGAACTTTGGGAAGCTGAGGCGGGCAGATCACAAGGTCAGAATATCGAGACCATTCTGGCTAACACGGTGAAACCCCGTCTCTACTAAAAATACAAAAAATTAGCTGGGCATGGTAGTGGGTGCCCGTAGTCCCAGCTACTTCAGGAGGCTGAGGCAGGAGAACGGTGTGAACCTGGGAGACAGAGCTTGCAATGAGCCAAGACTGCACCAGTGCACTCCAGCCTGGGCAACAGAGCGAGACTGTCTCAAAAAAAAAAAAAAGAATGGTTGGGAGATTTAGGCAATGAAGTTAATTAAGGAAATAATATTGAGGATAATAAGAGGCAGATTTCTCATGGTCTGCAAAAAGATTTACAAAATAGAAATGAGTAGGGCTACATACAGATGTAGACATAGGTATACAAATAGGTATATGTATAGTATATATATGTGGATATACATATAGGTGTGGATGTGTCTGTGTATATATGTATGCATAAATGTATGTGCATGTGTGTGTATATATTATATTAGTATAAGCATAGACAATTTTTGTATAGATAAATTTACATACATGTAAGCAAACAATGTACATACTAGAGAGAGAGTGCATGCAAATGAGGTAAAATTTTAATAACTAAGGAATCTGAGTAAAGGAAATGTTGAAATTCTTTGTCCTGTCCTTGACATTTTTCCACTTTTATCTATATTTGAAGCTATTTCAAAATTTTAGAAAGAAGCAACTTTACAAAAATGAACAAACTCCCTTAGAAATGATACATGTTTTCCATAGATTTCTTTTAAAAAAGTACTTTGAACATTATTCATATTGGCCAAGGATTACTACAGCAAAATGATATAAAGTGGCTGATATTAATTTTTAATAAAATTTACATTCAACAGGCAATTCCTGAATCTCCAACCTCATTCAACTATGAGACTGGCTTAGAAGAAGCTTTTCAGGTAAAAAATAAAAATTGGAGCTTTCTGGCCAAGTTTTAAAAATGTTACTTAAAATATTTTGACAGCTGAAAACTAATACCATCTGACGCCTAGAAAACCTCATTCTTATCGTGTTTATTCTTAGTTTTGATCAGGAATATCCTAAAGCTATCTTCAAAGATTTTTAAATGAGGACACATTCAGCATCGCAAGGGTGACTTTTAAGAAATCATTTTTAAGACTTTTTAACTTGTGACAAGGCAGGAGCACCATCATCTCCAACAAACACCATCACTTTAAGTTCCAGCTCCCTTTCTAGTCTCATGCATTTCAAGGAAGTCACTTTTCTTCTAACTACAAGCAGCCAGCAAAAGCAGGCAGTAAAACACAGATAAGACAGCTTGGGCAAGGAGGGAGGTAGGGGGAAGTCTCTTGGGTAACTGCCAAACTTCACCCACACACAATGGGTCCAAGTAAAACAGTGGGCCTTAATAAGCACATTTCTTTCCCTTCAGGTGCACTAAGATAGGGAAGCTGAAAGCAGACTCAGGCAGGGTATGCCTGCAGCTGCAGAAAGATGTATGTGAAGAGACACACAACTCTCCCTCCCAGATAAGCATAACAAAGAGACACAGAAGCAGTACAAACCTCTAATAAACTCTCTCACCCTAAATCCTTAAACTCTTAGTCTGTAAGAGAGTGTGCCTCTGACCTAACATGGCCAGAAGCCCCTCTCAGGTTTGTTTTCTCTAAAATAAACCTGTCTTGACTGGTGAGCCACCTTTTGTGTTTCTTTCCTCTTTCTTTAATTCTTAGAAATTGAGCACCAACAAATCTCTATTACACGACCTTTCACAAAAGACAAATAATATGGATATAAAAAATTCTTGTCCCAAGAACTACACACATAGTATACAAGCAACAAATACTTGTGATTGATTGTTTAGATAAAATCATTTAGTAAGCTGGCCCCTTTAAGGTATAGCCAATTGGCTGAAATTGACCAAATTTAACAATATAATATCCACTGATTAAATAGTTAACTAGTCTTTTAAGATTATTCTTTTTAGTATAATAACATTCAACTAGTATTTTAAGATTATTCTTAACTAGTTAACTAGTCTTTTAAGATTATTCTTTTTAGTATAATGGCATTCAACTAAAATAGAATCTTCTGATATAATAATATCAATAGTTACAACAATAAAGAAAATCACAGAAATTGCCTTTTATGGATGGTCTATAGTATTTATACTAGGCAATTATTTAATAAAATATTCATAATAACATTGGAGGTTGAAAAAGAAAGTCAATTAATATTTTATGAGTAATTTATTTGTCTGGTAGTATTTCAGATATTTTAAATATATTATTTCATATTTAATGATTTAAGGAGTATAACAGAGACAAAATTAAATCTCAAGTTCATATCACTAACAAATATCACTGTGAGAAATTGAACTGATATACAATTTTAAAATTCATGTTCATTTAATCATAATATGTTGAGTGTAACAATACAATATGCATTAATTATATGAAAAAATATAAATCTTGTCAGTCAGAAAGCGGTAAACATTTAGTCCAAAGTATTTTCAGTTTGTAGGAAGTTTAAAAAGATTTAATATATGGGGCCAGGTGCAGTGGCTCATGCCTGTAATCCCAGCACTTTGGGAGGCCGAAGCAGGCAGATCACAAAGTGAAGAGATTGAGACCGTCGACACAGTCAAACCCCGTCTCTACTAAAAATACAAAAATTAGCTGGGTGTGATGTGCACACATGTAGTCCCAGCTACTTGGGAGGCTGAAGCAGGAGTATCGCTTGAACCTGGGAGGCAGAGGTTGTAGTGAGCCAAGATTGCGCCACTGCACTCCAGCCTGGTGACAGAGTGTGAGACTCCATCTCAAAAAAAAAAAATAATATATGGTTCCTGTTTTTTTTTTTTACTTATAAGGATATTAGAGAGATAAAACAAAAAATAAGCATCATTGATAGATACATTAAATATATATTCAACATAGATATTTTAAGTACTTAAGAGTGATACAGTAAATTATTTTGAAATTTGAATAAAAGGAATATTTTTAAAATTTTTATGGAGAAAGGGGAGTATGATCTGGACTCCTAGCTAATCTAATTCTCTTTCTTTTTTTAGTATTACTTAGTAGAGAACAAATTTCAAAATTCAAGAGGTGCTGGGAAAGTTGCTCATTCTAGTAATATAAAATCAACTGTCAGAGTTTCTCTGTTAAGAAGGCTTTAAAAAAAGTTTTATTGAGATAGAATTGCAACAATTAAACTCAATACATGATATAAATAAAACCATAGACTAGAGCATATACTACTTATGTCTGAGTTTTTTCACTCATTAAGATTATTTTGTGGTTCATCTCTGCTTTGGGGTATATTGAAAGTTTATTCATTTTTATTGCTGAGCAGTGTTTCATTATATTGATACATCACAGTTTTTTAATTCATTCACCTCTTGTTGGCTATTTGAATTGTTTCCAGGTTTTGACTACTACACACAAAGTTGCTGTAAATATTTTTGTAAAGCTTCTTCTATGGACATATGCTTTCATCTCTTTTGAGTAAATGCCTAAAAGCAGAATGGGTGGTCAAATGGTAAGTATATGTTTAACTTTTTAAGAAAATGTCAAATTGTTTTCCAGTGTGATTGTAACATTTTACATCTTCATCTGCAGTGTATGAGATTCCTAATTTTTCCACATACTTATCAATACTTGATGAAGCCAATCTTTTTAACATTAGCCATTTTAATAGGTTTGTAGTAATGTTTACTCTTAAACAGATACCTAGAGGATTCCATCATTTAATATTTATACAATTTGAGTGGTATTAATTATATGTTTTAAAGAAGATAAAATGTACTCCCTTTATGTATTGTAAACCATATTGCCAATGATTGTTTAACTATCATTTGTATACAAGGATGTTTATATAATAAAAGAACCTTGTAAAATTTTCTACCAGAAGAGGAAGAAAATTCTTAGGGAATCAGTCTAATTTATTTTATACATGGAAAGAAGTTGCCAGCATTTTATAAGTTTCAAGATAGAATGATATGCTATGGTTTTTCATACCCATTATTTATTAACTTTTATTATCCTTACAAATATATGACACCTGTTTTCTTATAACTTAAAAATTTTACATTCAGGTATTCTACATTTTCTTTTATTCTTGGTTAGGCAAAATTTTTAAAAATGTATTATGTCTTTTAAATTTTATTCTTTTAAGGAACACAAAAAGTTATGCTAAACAAACAATTCCAATATAAATATCACCATTTGTATGTATCGCATTTTTATCATATTTTAATTTTTGAGTGCTGTTCATTAAGAAATTGTATTTCATTTTTAAAGTGAGACATAGAATATATCTGCTTCTCTGATGACTAATATGCCTACAATATATATGAAAGCAGAATTTAAATGAATATAAACCACTCAATGTTTAGGAGTGGGATGTAAAAATGGTTTGTCAAGTTCACTTAGCTTTAGGAGTGGAATTATATTCAATGGAATCCTAACATCCTCATAGTTTCTATAGTTTTGAATAATTTCAACACAGAAATGGCTATATATTTTCTATTTAATACTTACTTATATTTCATTAGCAAAGGGTCTATTAAAATGAAGTATCTTGCCAAGTCATGTTTTTAAAATCCCACAAAAATACTTCCACATAGTATCAACTGCCAACATAGTTGGGTGTATGAGGCACTTTATCTTATTTCTACATTTTAGTAATGTGTGTACACTGCCAATAATTGCATTGTATCAATGAAAAATAAGGAAAGAAATCCCTAATAATACAAACATTCTGCAAGTTTCTTGTTTTAAAGAAAGAGCACAATGATTTCCACTGCCCTTTGTATGTCTTAGTTGCTGGATTTACATTGATTTTTTTCCTGCTGTCACATTAGGATTTTGGCTAGAAATAATTTGTCCATAAATAGCATATTTGCAGGTCCTATTTTAGTATAGGCAATCAACTCAGATACTGATAAAGTCTTTGGTTAATTTTAATCATTAGTGAAGACACAAAGCTCTGAATTTAAAAGACTTCATTATTCACAAGGACAAAACCACTGAGTTAGAATAAGTAAAGGCCATTTGTAAAATTTTTGTTTGTTCATGCATCTATAAATGTCTCATGTTTTTATTCATTATGGTTACCTATATGTTGGATACCTTCCTATCAGGTCACTGCCATATGTAAAAAATATTTTGACTTCTTCACTTTAAAGAAACAATTGTTCTTAAATATTAAGACACTATTGATTAACAAAGTCACTTGTTCAAAGTACATAAGCATCATATATTTGACCCTGTCACTATTTCAACATTCATCATGCTTGAAACTTTTAAAGTTTTTACATCTTTTCATGTGTTCAGCTCTTTCGTTAGTGTGAGACATTTAAACATATAGCATACAGATTTTTACTAATTATATTTTTCATGGGCTGTTGACATTGAGCTACTGATTCTGACATTCAGAGATTGAGGGGTTATCTCAAGAATACCTGCGAATGGAGCAGAATTTGGCAGAAGGAGAAGCTGAACTGTATGCAGTGGCAATAAAAGTCTCAGCTGATCCCATAGTGATTCCGAAGTCAGGGTGACCATCAGGGACTAACTTGAGAGGTAATTCTCTTAATGATTATAGTAATGGGTGTCTTAATCCTGAAGAGAAGATCAGAGTGTCTCATCACGGCATGCACTCTAGTTGTAAGTGGCTTTAATCTCATATATGATTTTATGAAAACATTTGAAATTTAACTTTTAAACCTTTAATAAATATGGCATTTCCTCAGAACTGTGATTTTTTTATATCTTAATGTTTCTAAAATCAGAATATGTCATAATGAATGTGTACCATTAATTTGATTTCTTTTTCAGAAAAAAAACACCTGAACCAGTATTACACTTTATAAGCAATCCCAATGCCTGTGTGAAGGAAAAAATATATAGTACATATCAAGTGGTGTAATTTTATGTTATGCTTCACACACACAGAAATATATCTGGTTTTATAAGTCTCTTTCTGATTCTGAAAGCAGATTAAGTATTTGACTAACATTCTTTCTATGTATCCATAGATAGATTTTTGGTAGGGCTTTGATTTGTGATCTTTCTGTATAGCCCAGGGAATTGATCATGATGATTTTAATCATGTTGAATCAAATTCTGTCAAGCTGACCTGGGATCACTGTTTATTTTTCATGTTTGAATGTATGTCTTCAAAGTATTGCCATCCACACATTTTCTGTAGCCTTCTGTCTTCATTTATCTTCTCACTGTACTTTTTAAGTCATTTTTGATCCATTTCAATTACTAAACATAACCAGGATCTTTGGAATTCTCCAGGCCAACATATCACTGCTCTGAGATTATTTCTGTAACTGAGAGGAATGTCTTGAAATAGAGGTAATAGGGTTAATAATTTTAAATAAGCTTCATAAGATAATCTCCATAAAATCATGTTGGTGGACCAGTAGAGTCCCCTTAAAGACACAGAATGGGAAACTGGGCTTGCAAAATATTTGCATAAGAGTATTCTTTAGTGAAAACCACAATACATTTCTCACATGGAAGCATATTAGAACAGTATAGCATATCTGGTATCAGCATTTTTTATTATTTTTTTTCAATTGAGACAGGATTTCACACTGTCACCCAGGCTGAAGTGCAGTGGTACAATCATAGCTCACTGCAGCATTGCTCTCTTGGGTTCAAGCACTCCTCTGGCCTCAGCCTCCCAAGCAGGGGGAACCACAGGCCCATGTCACCATGCTTGGGCTATCTTTTTTTTTTTCTTTTGTAGAATTGAGGTCCCACTATATATGTTGTCCAAACTGGTCTCAAACTCCTGGACTCAAGTGATCCTCCCACCTTGGCCTTGCAAAGTGCTGGGATTACAGGCAAGGGCCACTCTGCCTGTCAGCATCTATTTTAGTTTTCTAGTCTTTCAGACAACTTGTTTCCAAAATGATGCTACTTTTCTTTTTCTTTATAAACAAACCGCTAGGGATCAATAAACACTCCGATTCCTCCCTTTACCCCTAACTGAATACTGTTAAATGCTTACATAAGGAGTAATAATAGGAGGAAGACTTCAGAGAAAGATTAGCTCAAATAAGAGAAAAATGTTGACTTGTTTTTACAGAAAGCAATGTTAAAATATTACCAAAGATACTAAATAGCATAATATTTTACATTCTCTTTCAATTTCTGTTTTTAAATAATCATACGTTATTAACATTGGTACTCAATCAAGTATCACTCATATATATTTAAATATACATTTCTAAGTTTTTATATATTTTTCACTATAAATCTAATGGTGTTGGTTTTTTTCCTGTGTTAAAAAAAGCAGTTGCCATCACATGTGGTTGATCTCATAAATTTCACTATGCTAAAGACTGAAGAGAATGAATGAATCAATGTAAGACATAAATGTCTGATTTAAGGTGACCTAGTAAAGATTTGCTTATGCTTTTGTGTGATTCACATAGGAAGAGGCTTTCAGTTCTAGGATGTACATCTGAATATAAGTGTGCACTGTGTCACAGTAAATTCAAGTTGATCTGAACATTATACGAGTCCAGTGATTCACCACATAACCTCAAATGCTGGAAAGCACGTAAGCAACAGACTAAACTTTGAGAGTCAGAGAAATGGAAAGAAAAGCTATTTCTGGTGAGGGAGAAAAAATAGAAGTTAAAAAAATCCATGAAATATTTATGGGTTTTGCATGTATCTTTCTAATAAGAATGCAAATATTGTGAATTCTTTCTACTCATACAGTACTGACATTTACCAAATAGAATTCTGTTATTTGACCTCTTTCTGTAAACGTTGACATTGCACTCACATTTATAATAGATTTCTGTCTGTTTTACCACAGTTGAATGTTTCCATTGGGAATGTTATTACTTATTATGGCTCAAAATGCACCTGCACCAGCTGTACGACTAAACATAAAGAAGGCACCAGCCAAAATCCCGGAGACTCTTAACAGTCCTTTGCTGCATTACTGCCATAGATCCAACATCCATCCTGAAGCGGCAGGAAGGAAACTTCTCTAACACTTCATTTCCATAGAAATGAGAGTCTGACTTGTACTCTTGCTTTCTTTCATAGCAGTATCTACTGACCTATTCCTTGCATCCTTAACTTTAGGCAGTCTCATGTTGCATTAGTACAAATTGTTAGATAAAAGATGATAAATTCAGTTGAGTAATAACCTAGAAATGTTAAGAAAAAAATAATATATGTAGTTTACTTAAAAGCACAAAAGCATAAAGAGAATGGGGGAAAACAGGACCTTAGCCTATTTTGTAAAAAAACTATCGAATCATTAACACAATTAGCATTACCAAGAGGTTCTCTGAGATCAGAAAGCATTTTATAAAAAATATCTTATATATATGTAATTAAGCTCTGTCATTATGTTTTTATAGTTTTGCAGATGTTGGAAATGGGTCAGGTCAACATAAATAAAAATGCTAAGAATAATTCTCTTCAGGAACTAAATCTGAAGAGACAAGTAATATAATACTAAACCAAAATATAAATTAAAACATACATTTCGACCAGTCACAATGGCTCACGCCTGTAATCCCAGCACTTTGGTAGGTGGGTGAGTCACCTGAGGTCAGGAGTTTGAGACCAGTGAGGCCAATATGGTGAAACCCCATCTCTACTTAAAATACAACAATTAGCTGGGTGTGGTAGCACGTGCCTGTAGTCCCAGCTACATGGGAGGCTGAGGCAGGAGAATTGCTTGAACCCAGGATGCAGAGGTTGCAGTGAGCCGAATTCAAGCCACTGCACTCCAGCCTGGGCGACAGAGCGAGACTCTGTCTCAAATGAACAAACAAAACAAAACAAAACAAAACAAAACAATAACATATCTTTCATAGATATGGGCTCCAAAAATCTCAGAAAATATTTATAGACACTAACAGAATGTTATTGGACTGTCAACTAAATTGACTTTTTAAAAACAGAATAATTTAAAGTGGTTATTTTTCATGTTAAATATTGATTTTATTATATTTATTTTTTAATTAGTTCCAAAGGCTACACAGACATTTCTCAATATCATATGATAGGCCCATTCTTGACTTGTTGGACTTCTGTAGGGTAGCTAATGATGAGAAATCTATTTATCTGAGAATCAGTGAATTTTTTTTGTTATTCCTACTCACAAAATTGTAAATTTTCTCATTTCTTTTTCCTGCTGTTTCCTCCAATCAATATATTTATGACTACTTGACAAATCAGTGGCAGCAAATATATGGATGTTAGTTTAGTCAAAAGCTTAATTAGATAATATTATTTATTCAGTAGTTTTTATCCAGCTAATATGCATGAAACTCTAAACTAGGGATTAGGTTAAGCTCTGGGGATAAAAATCTCCACTCTTAAGAAATTTAAAATTTATTAGTGACTACAGATAATCAAACAAATCTTTTTCTAACTTACTCAGATACATGGCAAAGTGTGGTAGGAGTTTGTTAGCTGAAGGTCCATGATTGAGGAGGGTGAAACTGCATTAGATAAAACAACATTGGCTGAATGCGGTGGCTCATACCTGTAATCCTAGCACTTTGGGAGGCCGAAGCGGGTGGATCACCTGAGGTTAGGAGTTTGAGACCAGCCTGACCAACATGGTGAAACCCTGCGTCTACTAAAAATACAAAAATTAGCTGGGTGTGGTGGCGGGTGCCTATAATTCCAGCTACTCATGAGGCTGAGGCTGGAGAATCGCTTGAACCTGGAGGGCAGAGGTTGCAGTGAGCTGAGATCGTGCTGCTGCACTTAGCCTGGGCTACAGAGCCACGCTCATCTCAAAAAAAAAAAAAAATACAGCATGTGCAAGGGGTCAAAGACAGTTTTTAGCTAGCAAATAAAATCAGAGATGAAAAAGAGACATTAAAACTGACAACAGAAAAATACAAAGAATTATAAGCGAGTATTATGAACAACCATATACCAACAAATTAGAAAACAGAAGAAATGAATAAATTCCTGGATGCACACAGCTTACCAAGATTGAATCATGAAGTAATAGAAAACCTGAACAGACCAAAAATGAGTAATGAGATCAAAGCAGTAATAAAATGTCTCCCATCAAAGCAAAGCCCAGGATCTAATGGCTTCATTGCTGGATTCTACCAGTCATTTAAAGAATAACTAATACCAATTCTACTCAAACAATCCAAAAAATTGAAGAGGATGGAATACTTCCAAACTCATTCCATGAGGCCAGCATTACTGTGATGCCAAAACTAGACCAGGACACAGCAACAACAACAACGAAAGCAACAACAACTACTGGCCAATATGCCTGATGAACATAGATGCAAAAATCCTCAACAAAATACTAGTAAGCATAATTCAACAGCATATCTAAAAGATCATTTATCACAATCAAGTTGGATTCATTCAAGAGATATAAGGATGGTTCAACATATACAAATCAATAAACATGATACATTACATGAACAGAATCAAGAACAAAACCCATAAGACTGTTTCAATAGATGCTGAAAGAAATTTGATAAATTTTTAAAATGCTTTTAGAATCAAAGACCTTAACAAACTGGGTATAGAAAAAAACATACCTCAAAACAGTAAAGGACATACATGGCAAACCCACAGCTAACATTATACTGAACAAGAAAAAGTTAAAAGTGTTTTCTGTAAGATCTGTAGCAAGATAAGTATGCCCACTTTCCTCAATCTTATTCAACATAATATTGGAAGTTTTAGCCAGAGCAGTTAGGCAGCAAAAGAAATAATGGACATCCAAATTGGGATGGAGGGAATTAAATTGTCCCTCTTTGCATACAAATTATTATATATATATATATATATATATATATATATATAATCTTAATGACTCCACCAAAAAACTGTTCCAATTAACAAATGAATTTAGCAAATTTGCAGAATAGAAAATGAACTTATGAAAACTAGTAGTGTTTCTATTCAACAATAGTGAATTCTCTGAAAAATCAAAGAAGTTATCCCACTTATAATAGCTCTAAAAATACAATAAAATATCTAGGAATACACTTAACTAAGTATGTGACAAATTTTTACCATAAAAATCAAAAAATAAATTGATGAAAAAAATTAGAGAGGACACAAATAAATGAAAATACATCCCCTGTCCATGAACTAGAAGAATTAGTAGGTACAAATGTCCATATTGACTATCTGTACTCAATGTAATCTATATTAAAATACTAATGGCATTCTTCACAAAAATAGTAAAACAATGTTAAAATTCACATGGAAATGCCAAAGACCCTGGGATAGACAAAATGATCTTGAACAAAAATAACAAAGCTGGAGACATTACACGAACTGACTTCAAAATATACTACAAAGCTATAGTATTCAAAACAGCATGCAATTGGCATAAACATAAACACATAGACCAGAATAATGAACAAGAATATTGAACTCAGGTATAAATCCATGCATTTACAGCCAACTAACTTGCAACTAAGACACCAAGAATATACATTAGGGAAAGAACTGTATCTTCAACTAATAGTTCTGGGGAACCTGGCTAGCCACATGCAGAAGAATGAAACTAGATCCTTTTCTCTTACAATATACAATAATAAACTCTCAATAATTTAAAGACTTAAATGTAAGACATGAAATGTTGAAACTACTAGGAGAAAATGTAGGGTAACTGCCTCATAAATTTTAACTTGGCAAATATTTTTAGAATAAGACCTCAAAGCACAAGCAACAAAAGCAAAAATAGACCAATGAAATTACAACTAAATAAAAAGCGTCTTCACAACTAAGGAAACCATCAATAAAATAAAAAGACAACCTGCAGAATGGGAGAAGTTATTTGCAAACTATTCATCTGACAATGAGTAAATATCCAGGATATAAAAGTAACCAGAACAGCACAATAAAACAAACACACAAATGATCTGACTTGAAAATGGCAAAAGATTTGAATAGATGTTTCTCAAAAGAAGACATATATTTAATATTTGAAAAAATGTTCAGCATCACTAATCATCAGGGAAATTCAAATGGAAAACATAATGGGATATCACCTCACCCCACTCCGAATGGCTATTATCAAAAAAGATAAAACCTAAGAAATATTGGCAAAGAAGCAGAGTAAAGGGAACTCATACTCTATTGGTTGGAATGTAAATTAGTACAGCCAATAAAAAAGCAGCATCGAAGTTCCTCAAAATATTAAAATCCCATTACTGAGTATATATCCAAAGGAAATAAAATCAGTATGTCAAAGAGACATCTGCTCTTGCATGCTTATTGCAGCATTATTCACAATAGTTAAGATAGTGAATCAACTTAAGAATCCATCAAGGGATGCACGGATAAAGTGTGGATTATATACACAATAGAATACTATTTGGCCGTAAAGCAGAATGAAATTTGTATTTGTGGCAACATGGATAAAACTAGAGAGCATTGTGTTAAGTCAAATAGCCAGGCATAGAAAGACAAACACATTATTTCACCCATATGTGGAAACTTAAAAAGTTGATTTCATGGAAGTAAAGAGTAGAATGGGGTAACATAAAATGGACAGGATAGGAGGGAGTAGGAGGTTGGAAGTGGTCGGTCGACATGCAAAAATTCCAGTAAGCAGGAAGAATAAATTCTGGTATTTTATTACGTAGTAGAATGACTTTAGTAAATAAGAATGTAGTCTGTATTTTAAGATAGAAGATACAATTTTGAATGTTGTCATTACAAGAAATGATAAATATTTAAAGTGAATAATATGCTAATTACCCCGATTTGATCATTATACAATGCATCCATGCATTTAACCTTCATACTACAACCCATAAATATGTAGAGTTATTATGTGTCAATTATAAATTTAAAAATTATTAACACAAATATATCTTCATTTGAAAAAGATCAGGCAATGCTATTGTCTTATGTTGCTTTGAGAAAAAATTTAAATATTAAATAAAGAAGAAAAACATAAAATAGTGTCTAAATAATACAAATATTTTATTTTCATCCATACAAGAGAGCTGTCCATACTATGTTTTAAGCCTCATGCCTATAATTCTGAAGAGTTTTGCAAAATATATGAAGCTATAAAAATTATGAAAGCTTATTATCAATAAAGAGAATAAGGTGTGTAGGTGTGAGCATGGACACACATACATGCATGTGTACTTGACTTGATGATGTTTAAAAGAAATACTAACAAAATCCTATAACTTATTTTTCTCAAATTGTCTCAGATGCTTTTTTGCAATCAATGTGGCAAAATCAGTGTGATTTCTCCCTCCTGAAGAAAATGTTCAGTCCCTAGAAACTTCCAGGCCCCATAGTGCTTCTGCTTCTCTTTATTCAATGCTTGTATTTGAAAGAAAAATCATGTTACCGTAAAAATAGCACCTGCTCTGGAGTCAGGCAGATATGGGTCACATATCATATCTCAGGAACTAATTAATTGTGTAACTTCGGTCAAATTTAATTAAAACTCTTAGCTTCAATTTCTTCATCTGCAAAAGGAGAATGTTATTATCATATATAGTTGTAAGAATTAAGGATAATGCTGTAAAGTGTTTTTAAACATAGTAATAAGCTCATATTATCATGGTACTTATTTGTTTTTATTTAACCTCAACAAATGTTTTAATGAAGATGTGGACAATGTAGTATAATTTTCCTAGGAATTTAGTCCACACTTGGATTAGCTATATGCAACATACTTCTTTTTGTTTTCTCATTTACCAGCTCATTAATATTCATTAAACATAGCTTTTATAAAGTAATCAACTTATAAAATGGCAGTATTATTATTTATTAACAGCATATTTATATAAGACATAGAAAAACACAAATAGTAAAAACAAAAGTTAAAATCTAGGTTTAACATTCTTGCAATCCAACAAATACAAACTGTAAATAAATTTTGATCAAATATAGGAAAAAAATTAGAACAGAAGGCAGAAAAATAGCTTGTTAACTTCAATTAATTTCTTTATAAAATATTAAACAAATTTCAATGCAATTATCTAGATTCAATTTTTATAAGAGAAAAATATGAAAAATTAGGAAAAAATTATGATTACTATAGCTTTCAATATTTCTAGAACTTCATATATTCCAGATATGTAATAAGAATTAAGTATATGAATATAATTCAACATAATATAGTTGCAATTAAAACTCTGCCAACTATTTATACTCTTAAAAAGAGCAACTGATCATTGAGTAAAAATTAAGTTATTCTTAGATCATTTTCTTTGTGGCACAGCAGTTGTTGCATTCTTCTTACTAACTAATTTGTTTCTATGTCAAAGTACCATTCTTAACACTTAGAAAATATTATGTGTAATAAGTTGTTATATGCTACTCATAGAAGTAGAAGCAAAGAACTTTGATAGAAAAAGAATGATACCAAATATAGATGGCCAAAGTTGATAGATATCCTAATGGTATGGTTTAATTTGCTACCTTAATAAATGTAGTATATTAACTAAGTGGTTAAGGCAATCAATCAGCAACACAGAATGGGAGAAAATTTTTGCACTCTATCCATCTGACAAAAGGCTAATATCCAGAATCTACAAGGAACTTAAACAAATGTACAAGAAAACAAACAAACAACCCCATCAAACAGTGGGTGAAGGATATGAACAGACACTTCTCAAAAGAAGACATTTATGCAGCCAACAAACATATGAAAAAAAGCTCATCATCATTGGTTATTAGAGAAATGCAAATCAAAACCACAATGAGATACCATCTCATGCCAGTTAGAATGGCGATCATTAAAAAGTCAAGAAACAACAGATGCTGGGGAGGATGTGGAGGAATAAGAACACTTTTACACTGTTGGTGGGAGTGTAAATTAGTTCAACCATTATGGAAGACAGTGTGGCGATTCCTGAAGGATCTAGAAGTAGAAATACCATTTGACCCAGCAATCCCATTACTGAGTATATACCCAAAGGATTATGAATCATTCTACTATGAGACACATGCACACGTATGTTTATTGTGGCACTATTCACAATAGTAGAGACTTGGAACGAGCCCAAATGCCCATCAATGATAGACTGGATAAAGCAAATATGGCACATATACACCATGGAATATTATGCAGACATAAAAAAGGATGAGTTTATGTCCTTTGCAGGGACACGGATGAAGCTGGAAACCGTCATCCTCAGCAAACTAACACAAGAACAGAAAACCAAACACCACATGTTCTCACTCATAAGTGGGAGTTGAACAATGAGAACACATGGACACAGGGAAGGGAACATCACACACCGGGGCCTGCTGGGGGGTCAGGGGCTAGGGGAGGCATAGCATTAGGAGAAATATCTAATGTAGATGTTGAGTTGATGGGTGCCGCAAACCACCATGGCACGTGTATACCTATGTAACAAACCTGCACGTTGTGCACATGTACCCCAGAACTTAAAATATAATAATAAAAATATTAACCAGTCTAAAAAAATAAATCTGAATAAAATAAAAATCTTGTCTCAATCTGTTTATTTTTCTCATTATGGCTACTATTTTTATAAAGGCAAGACCAGATATTACAGGAAAACTTGTTCTCAGGGACAGATTGGATTATTTCCTATTATTTCCACAAACTCTAGTGAAATTTCCTAGTCTGCATTTGTAGAAAATTGTTTCCAATGATTGCTTTTTATTGCACTTTTAAAGAAATGTATTTTATATAGAAAACTATGTATACTAGTCTACTAAATGGAATTACAATACACTTTTGTTGTAGTGTTAACATTAATTTTACAGTGAAAACATCTCAGAGGCCCATTTTCCATTACATGAACAACAACAACAGCAAGAGCAACATGATAGCTAACTTGTTTTGAGCATGTACATCCTGTGAAGTTTTATATAAAGCATTATAAAAGATCAAGTTTTACTTAATGGTCACAATCATCTTGAAGTAGGTATAACTATGACATTTGTTTAGTGAATAAGAAAAATAAGGTTTGGAGTAGTATACTCCTGATTACAATCAGAATTCAAACCTGAATCTGAATTGAATAAAGATAACTGGGTTTAGTTCACTAGAAAATAACAATATAGAAAGTCTCCAGTGTGCTATGCCTTGATATTTTCATTCATTATAATGACATGCTTGTGTCCACCATACCCGAAATTCAAATGTCAGAATGCTTGTATCTCCTTCAAAATTCATATGTTAAAATTTTAACTCCCAATGTGATAGCATTAGGAGGTGGAGTCTTTGTTAGATAATTAGGCCATGAGAACTAAGCCTCATGAATGGAATTAACGCCCTTATAAATTAGGTCCCAGAGGGCCCCCTTATCCCATCTGCCATGTGAGATTGTTGACGAACAAGGAAGCAGGCCCTTACCAGTTAACAAATATGCAGTTGTCTTGATCTTGGACTTTCCGGCATCCAGAACTGTGAGAAATACATTTCTGTTGCTTACAAACCACCCAGTCTATGGCATTTTGTTATAGAAGCCTGAACACATGAAGGCAATATGTTGACTTCGAAACCTTTGGCCTGACTTCTGGTTTCCAGTTCACCATGGAAGAAGCTAGAAGTTGCCACTTTATTCTAACAACAAGTAAGAAGCTTAACCAACTGAAAGTCAGCATCTCTTCTTAGATTCATCATCAAGGGGAGGTCACAGTGCAGCCCCCTGCCCTAAAAGTTGGAGAGACCAATAGGTAAATGTAGAGAACTGTGACTTTCCAGAGGCCAATAAGCACAAATCTTCATGGAAAACAGTGCTGAAATAGAGACACCTGAAGTATAACTGACAAATTGCTGGATGCTTATTGTAGACAAGGCTGAGAGATAAAATCTCAAGGGTAACTCAGTCACTTGAGCTTTATTTTAGGAGCTCAACAAGGTTCTTACAGCGAGTATTGGAGGAAAATCCCCTTGTATTTTGGCAGCAAGAGAGAAAAAAGGAACTATTTTGAAATGGCCAGAGCATTCTGCTCTTAACAAGGCCTGTCCTCCAGGGAAACCATTTAATTAAAGACTAACTGATCAGGGGAAAGGAAAATATCCAACAGCAGATGGTTCTAGACTAACATGTGGAAGAAGGGAAATACCCAACTTCAGCTTGCCCTAGCTATTCTGTCCAACAGGAGGGGAGAAAAACTGAGAAGTACATTTGAAGTTTACACTCCAGAGTTAAAAGTTAATAAAACAAGTAAGACCTTCTCACAGAACTATACAACACTTTCCCCCTCCACACATCTTACCACTGCATCAGTAAAGGATTATTTATAACAGTTAATTTTACCCAGTGTGTCATGCCTGGCTATGAAGAAAAATATACTAGCCACACTAAAAAGCAAAAACACAGTTTGAAGAGTCAGGTCAAGCAAGCACATCAACCAGACTCAGATATTTCAAGAATATTAAAATCCTCAGAATGGGAATTTAAAAGAACTATGAGTAAAATGCTAAACGAACTAATGAATAAAGTAAAACACATGTAAAAACAGATGGCTGATGGAAGCAGAGAGATGTATTAGAACAAAGAACAAAAGAGAAATGCTAGATATATAAAAAAAATACTGTAACAGAAATGAAGAAATGCCTTTGATGGACTTCATGGTAAGCTGGACATAGCTGAAGAAAGAATTCCTGAGCTTGAGGATGTCTTAATAGAAACTGCCAAAACTTAAAAACAGAGATAAAAAAGACTGAAGAAACATAACAGAATATTCAGGAATGATAGAACAACTCCAAAAGGTATAACATATATGTAATGAAAGTTCCAGAGGAAGAAGATAGAAAAGAAGAGAAAAATGTGAGCTAATGACTCAGAATTTCCCCCCAATTAATATTAGACACCAAACCACTACACAGGAAACTCAAAAAAGTACCAGGCAAGTTACATTCCTCAAAACCCACACCTAGCTATGTAACTTTTAAACTATAGAAAACCAAAGACAAAGACAAAATCTCAAAAGAAAACAGAGGGAGAAAACACATTACTTATAAAGGAGAAAAGACAAGAATTACATTAAATTTCTCCTCAGAAGGCATATAAGCAAAAGAAGAGTGTAGCAAACTATTTAAAGTGTTGAGAGAAAAAAACCCATGAGCTAGAAGTCTATACACTGAAAAATTGTCCTTCAAGAGTGAAGGAGAAATAAAGACAAAAATTGAGGGAATCTGTTGCCACCAGGCATACCTTGCAAGAAATATTAAAAGAAATTCTTCAGAGAGAAGGGAAATTATAAAGGTCAGAAACTCAGATCTAATAAAATAAAGTAAGAGTGACGAAGAAGATATAAGTTAGGGTAACATAAAAGCTTTAACTTTTCTTATTCTTAATTAACCTAACATGATAGTTTGTTCAAAATAGTAATAGCAATTGTGTATTTGATTATGTGTGTGTGTGTTTGTGTATATATGTACATATATATGGTTATATATAGGGAAATGAATGACAGCAATAATATGCAGGAAAGAAAAAAGAATTAGGATAATTTTTATTATGAAGTACTCACACTACTCATGAAAAGGTAGAATATTACTTGAAGATAAATGGTACACGGTAAAACACAGAATATTGTAACACTGTAGTTGTGGTATATAAACTACTCATACCTTTAGTAGAAAGACTAAAAGAATAACCTATCAAAAGTAACAACTACAACAATTTTTCAAGACATAGTATAATAAAATATGAACAGGAACACAAGTTAAAAAGCAGTGAGTGGAGGATGAAGTAAAGGTGTCGTTTTTATTAGCTTTATATTCACGTATTAGTTTGTGCAATCACTGTTAAGCTGTCATCAGTTTAAAATAATTGATTATAAAATGTTACTTCCAAGCCTCATGGTAACCTCAAATCAAAAAACTTACAACAGATACACAAAAATTAAAAAGCAAAAAATTAAAACATAGCACCAGAGAAAATCATCATCAAAAAAAAGGAAGACAGGAAGGAAAGAAGGAAGGGAAGACAGGAGAAAGGGAGGAAGGGAACACCCAAACACTAAATCAGAAAACAAATAAAATGGAAGTAGTAAGTCCTTGCTTAATAGTAATATTGAAAGTGTATGGACAAAGTCCCCCACTCAAAAGACATAGAGTGACTGAATGGGTTAAAAAACAAGAACAATCTCTTGCCTACAAGAAAGACACTTAACCTATAAAGACACATATAGTTTGAAAATTAAGGGATGGAAAAATATTTTATGCAACTGAAAACCAAAACAAGAGAAAGAGTTGGTATACTTAGACAAAATTAACTTCAAAACAAAAACTATACAAAGATGCAAAGAAGGTCATTATATAATGACAAAGGATTCAATTCAATAAGAGTACAAAATAATTGTAAATATATATGCACTCAACACTGGAGTACCCAGATACAAATAGCAAATATTAGAGCTACAGAGACAAATGGACCCCAGTACAATAATAGTTGGAGACATTAACATCTCACTTTCAGCATTGGACAGAAAACCCAGACAGAAAATCAGCAAAGAAACATTGGACTTAATCTGTCCTATAGATTAGATAGTCCTTACAGATATGTACAGAACATTTCATTCAATGGCTACAGAATATACATTCTTCTTAGCACACAGATCATTCTCAAGGACAGGCCATATGTTAGGCACAAAACAAGTCTTAACTAAATTTAAAAAAAAATGTATCAAGTATCTTCTCTGACCACAATGGAATAAAACTAGAAATCAATAACAAGAACTTTGGAAACTATACAAACACATGGAAATGACACAGCATGCTTCTGAATGACCAATGGATCAATGAAGAAATTAAGAAAGATGAATATATTTTTTGAACCAAACTAAAATGGAAATGCAACATACCAAAACCTATGGAATATAACAAAAGCAGTAGTAAGAGGAAAGTTTATAGCAATAAGTGCCTACATCTCAAAAGTAGAAATACTTAATATAAAAAAATTAATGATCCATCTTAAAGAACCAGAAAAGCAATAGCAAACTGACCCAAAATTAGTAGAAGAAAGAAATAATAAAGATCAGAGGAGAAATATATAAAATTGAAATGAAAAACATCAATGAAATTTAAAATTGTTTTTTAAAAAAATAAAATCAACAAAACTTTAGCCAGCCTAAGAAAAAAAAAAGTGAGAAAAGACCCAAATAAAGAAAATCAGACATTAAAAAGGAGACATTACTACTGATAACCACACAAATCTTATGGACCTTTAAAGGCTACCGTGAGCAACTATGTGCCAACAATTGGAAATCTTAAAAGAAGTAGATAAATTCCTAGATACATACAACATACCATTATTGAACCATTAGTAAACCTAAAACTGAATAGACCAATAATAAGTAATGAGATCAAAGCTGTAGTAAAAAGTCTCTCAGAAAAAAAAAAGCAGCCTAGGACCCAATGGCTTCTCTACTGATCTTTGTCAAACATTTGAAAGGGCTAATACCAGTCCTACTCAAACTAAACCAGAAAATAAAAGAAGGGAAGATTCTTCTAAACTTACTCTACAATGCCAGTATTACCCTGACACCAAAAGCAGATACACACACACACACACACACACACACCCCACTATAAGCCAGTGTTCCCGATCAACATTCATGCAAAAATCTTCAACAAAATACTAGTAAATAACATTCAACAACACATTCAAAAGATCATTCATCATGACCACAAGGGATTTATCCCAGGGATGCAAAGATGGTTTAACACACTCAAATCAATGTGATAATTATATCAACATAATAATGAACAAAATTCATATGATCATTTCAATTGATGCTGAAAAAGCATTTGATAAAATTCAACATCCCTTCAGGATAAAAACTCTCAAAATAATTGATTACAGAAAGAACATACTTCAAAACAATAAAAGGCACATATGACAGACCCACAGCTAGTATCATACTGAATAAGGGAAAACTGAAAGCCTTTCCTCTAAAAACTGGAACACCACAAGGATGTTCACTTTTACCATTGTGATTCAACATGGTACTGGAAATCCTAGCCAGAGCAATCAGAGAAGAGAAAGAAAGAAAGCACATCCACATAAGAAAGAAAGACATCAAATTAGCCTTGTTTTCAGGGTAATATGAGTCTGTATTTGGAAAAACCTAAAAACTTCACCAAAAAACCAGTAGAACACATAACAAAATTCAATAAATATCAATGACATTCTTCACAGAAAAAAAAAATCCTAAAATTTATACAGAACCACAAAAGACCCAGAATAGTACAAGCTGTCCTGAGCCAAAAGAACAAAAATGGAGGAATCCCATTACTTGGCTTCAATTATACTACAGCGCTGTAGTAACTCACTACAGAGCTGTAGTAACTCAAACAGCCTTTGTCATTTGACCTTGGGCAAATTAAATAACCTGCAAGAGTTCTATTCTTTTCTATTTGTAAAATAGAAATAAATATGTGTATCACACAAGGCTATTACCAGGATTAAATGGCATAGCATATGTAATGGTAGTGGCATGAAAACAGACACATTGACCAATGGAACAGAACAGAGAACCCATAAATAAATCCATACATCTACAGTAAGCTCATTTTTGACAAAGATGTCAAGATCACACATTGGGCTAAAGACAGTCTCTTCAACAAATGATGCTGTGAAAATTGGATAGCTATATGCAGAAGAATGAAATGAGATCCTGCCTCTCACCATACACAAAAATCAAATCTAAATGGATTTAAGACTTAAATCTAAGACCTCAACCTATGAAACTACTAAAATAAAACATTCGGGAAACCCTTCAGGACACTGGTCTGGGCAAAAATTTCTTGAGTAATATCCCTAAAGCACAGGCGCCAAAGCAAAAATAGACAAATGGGATCACGACAAGTTAAAAATATTCTGCATAACAAAGAAAACAATCAACAAAACGAAGAGACAGCAGTCAGAATGGGAAAAAAATTTGCAAATTATCTACCTGACAAGGGATTAATAACCACAATATATAAGGAGCTCAAACAACTCAATTAGAAAACATCTAATAATTCAATTAAAAATGGGCAAAATATCTGAAAAGACATTTCTCAAAAGAAGACATACAAATGGCGAACAGGAATTTGAAAAAATCATCAGAGAAATGTAAATTAAAACTACAATGAGGTGC
This sequence comes from Homo sapiens, assembly GCF_000001405.40. NCBI lineage: Eukaryota > Metazoa > Chordata > Mammalia > Primates > Hominidae > Homo > Homo sapiens. Next base: position 65,117,217 of record NC_000004.12, read on the forward strand.
TATCTTATCAGCATTAAAATGGCTTTTATCCATAAGAGCAACAATGCTAGTGAGGAAGTGGAGAAAAGGAAATCCTCATACACTGTTGGTGGGAATATAAATGAGTATAGCTACTATGGAGAGTTTGGAGGTTCCTCAAGAAACTATATAAAAATAGAACCACCATATGATCGAGTAATCCCAGTGCTGGGTATATGCCCAAAAGAAAGGAAATCAGCATATCAAAGTGATATCTGTGCTCCCATGTTTATTGTAGCACTATTCACAACAGCCAAGATTTGGAACCAATCTACATGTCCATTGACAAAAAAAACAGATTAAAAAATATGGTAAATATACACAAAATGGAGTCCTATGCAACCATAAAAAAAATGAAATCCTGTCATTTGCAACAACATCGATAGAACTGGAGGACATTATGTTAAGTGAAATAAACCAGGCACAGAAAGACAAACTGTGAATGTCTTCACTGACTTGTGGCAGAGGATAATAAAGGTAACGGGGAGCAGGAGAGTTGGGGATGGTTAATGGCTACAAAAATATACTTAGAGAAAATGAATAAAATGAGTATATGACAGCACAAACAGGTGATTGCAGTAAACAATAATTTACTGTATCTCTAAAAATAACTGTACCTCTAAAAATAACTAAGAGAATATAATTGGAATGTTTATAACACAAACAAATGATAAATGCTTGAGGATAAATGCCCATATACCCTGATATGATTATTATGCATTGTATTCCTGTATCAAAATATGTCATGTGCTCCATAAATATATACATCTACTATGTATCCATAAAAATTAAAAATAATAAAATAGACTTGAAATAGTTGGAAATGTATTTGCAAATTCTAGGGAAACCACAAAAATATACAGAAAGAAATATAAATCATATACAAAGAAAATATATACATATAAAAAGCTCGATTACAATTAGAAAAGGCAGAAAAAGAGGGCAAAACAAAAATAGGAGCAAAGAACATGGCCAAGAAATAGAAAACAGTAATAAATATGGTAGATATTCATAAAAGTATATCCATAATCACTTTGAATACTGATGGTCTAGACAACCATTAATCTACTTTCTGTCACATTTGCCTATTCTGAACATTTCATATGAATGGAATCATAACATATGTAGCCTTTTATGATTAGCTTCTTTCATTTAGTATAGTATTTTCAAGATTAATCTATATTGTAATATGTATCAGGGCTTTGTTTATTTTTTTCAATGTTTTTATTGTTGTAAAATATATACAACAAAGTTTACTACATTAATCACTTTAAGTGTACAGTTCAGTGGTATTAAATACATTCTTAATGTTGTGCAACCATCACCACCATCCATCTTGAAATGTATTTTCTTCTTTTAAATCTTTACACCCATTAGACAACACTTTCTCACTTCTCCCTCCTTCCAGTACCTGGCAACTACCATTCTACTTTCTGTCTCTATGATTATAATTACTGTAAGTACCTCATGTAAGTGGAATCCTACAGTATTTGCCCTTTTGTGACTAGTTTACTTCACTTAGCATAATGTCCTCAAGGTTCATTCATGTTATAGCAGATGCCAAAATTTCATTTCTTTTTAAAGCTGAATAATATTCCATTGTATGTCTCTACCATATTTTGCTTTTCCATTCATCTGTCAATGGAGGCTTAGTTTGCTTCTGCATTTTAGCTAGTGTCAATAATGCTACTGAGATCCTGCTTACAATTCCTTTGAGTTTATACTCAGAAGTGGAATTGTTGGATCATGTGGAAGTCTATTTTTATTTTTTTGAGGAACTACCACACTCTTTCCCAGAGAAGCTGTACCACTTTACATTTGCACTAACAGTGCAAAAGGATTCCAATTTCTCTACATCCTTGCCGACACTTGTTTTTTTTTTTTTATTTTTTTATCTCTTGTATTTTTGATTTGCATTTCCCTGATGATTAGTGATGCTGATTTTCTTTTATATGCTTATCAGCCATTTGTGCATACTTCTCAGGTTAAATGTCTGTTCAAATCCTTTACCCATTTTTTTCATCTTTTTTGTGTGTGTTTGTTTTTGTTGTTGTTGTTGAGCTTTAGGTGTTCTTTTACATTCTGGATTTTACCATTTTGTCAGATACATGATTTACAAATAATTTCTCTCATTTTGCGCAATGTCTTTACACTGTTTATAGGATCTTTTGAGGCCCTAAATATTTAAATTGTTATTAAATCCAGTTTGTCAATACTTTCCTTTGTGCTTAAGCCTTTGGTGTCATATTGAAGAAGTCACTGCTAAATCAAATGTCGTGAAGTTTATGCCCTATGTTTGCTTCTAATAGTTTTAGATATTACATTAATGCCTTTGATCCATTTTGAGTTTTTTAAAAATTATTTGCATATGGTATCTACCTCTTTCTTGTGCATGTGGATATTCAGGTTTGCCTTCACCATGTGTTGCAAAGACTGCCTTGTGCCCATTGAATGGTTGTGGCGCTTTTGTCAAAATAATTTGAAGATACGTGTAGGATTTATTTCTGGGCTCTCTATTCTATTTCATTGTCTGTATGTTTGTCTTAATGCCAGTATCACACAATTTTGATTAATGTAGCTTTATAGTAAGTCTTGACATCAGAAAGTGTGAGTCTTTTAGCTTTGTTTTTCTTTATAATGATTATTTTATCTATTTGGGTTCCCTTGAAATTCCATGTGAACTTTAGGATGAGCTTTTCTATTTCTGTGGTAAACATCATCATAATTTTGACAGGAATTGCATTAAATCTGCAGATAACTTGAGGTAGGATTGGCAATATTCTTAAAAATATTAAGTTTTCCAATCCATAAATATGAAATATATTTCTATTTATTTATGTCTTCTTTAATTTCTTTCACCAATGTTTCATAATTTTCATTCTACAAGTCTTTCACCTTCTTGGTTAAGTTACTTCTCAAGTATATTATTATTTGTATGCTATGATAAATGAAATTATTTTTATAAATTTCTACTCAAATTGTTTATTTTTAGTGTCTAGAAATATAATGATTTTACCTGTTGCCTACAACTTCGGGTGAATTATTTGTTAGTTCTAACAGGTCTTTTGCAGAATCTTTAGGATTTTGTACAAATAAGAATATTTCTTCTGTGAATAAAGATAATTCTATTTCTATTTCTCTAATTTGAATGTTTTTTGTTTGTATTTCTCTAGGTAATAAACTATGTAAGAAAAACAAAAAGGAAACAATACTTTCTCATTTCCCCTCCTTTCAGCACCTGGCAACCACCATTCTACTTTCTGTCTCTATGATTATAAATACTCTAAGTACCTCACATAAGTAGAGGTACCTCTAAGTACCTCACATGTTTCTTTTTCTACCTCATTTCTTACCTAGTTTCTCTGGCTAGAATTTTTAATATTACATAAAATAGAAGTGGTGAGAGTAAACGTTTTTGTCTTCATCTTAGAGAAAAAACTTTTAATTTTTAATCAATAAGTATGATATTTGCTGTGGGTTTTTCAAATATGGCTCTTAATATGTTGCAGCAGTTTCTCTTCTTCCTCATTTGTTGAGTTTTATTATAGAAGATTGTTATTTTTTTCAAATGTGTTTTCTACATCAATTGAGATGACCACACCTATGTACATTCTTCACAAGGGCAAGTGAGACATTTTCCAGAATAAACAATGTTAGGCTACAAATTGTCTGAATAGATTTAAAATGATAAATAAAACAACGTATCTTGTTCTACCTAAATGGGATAAAGTTAACAATCAATCACAAAACATAATCAATAACAAAATTAAAAATAGAAAATTTATGAAATTGTAAAAATTAAACAGCACACTTTTAAACAACCAATGGATCAAAGAAGAAAAGTAAATTACAAAATAGATCAAAATAAATAAAAATGAAAACACACACATATGAAAACTTATGGAACAAAGCAAAAGCAGTGATAAGGTAAGATTTATGGCTATAAACATATTAAAAAACAAGAAACATCTTAAATCAACAACCTAACTTTTCCACTAAAGGAACTAAATAAAAATAAAAATCTAAAACTAAAGTTAATAGAAGAAAGAAAATAATAAATATTAGAGGAAAGATAGACAAAATAGGGAATGAAAAGAAAATATAGCAATCAATGAGACCCAAAGTTTGTTACTTAAAAAGAAAAAATGACAAATTTTTAACTATAGATAAAGAAAATAAAGAAAAAACACTTGAATTACTAAAACCAGAAATGAAAATGAGAACATCACTATTTAATTTATAGAAATAAAAAGACATATAAGAGAGTACTGTGACCAATTGTATGCCAACAAATTGAGTAACCTACATGAAATGGACAAGTTTCTAGGAAAAAAAAAATCAGGACTAAATAATAAAGAAATATTAAATCTGAATGGGCCTGTAATTAGTTAGGAGAGGCTATGGAGAGGCAAAAGGCACTGAAAAACCAACACAATATTGCAGGAGAAAAAAAGGTGGAGGACTGTCACTATTTGACTTCATGACTTACTATAAAGCCAGTAATAAAGACAGTGTAATGTTGGCAAAATAATAGACAAATAGATTAATGGAATAGAAGGGCGAATCCAAAAATAGACCCACATAGATATAGTCAACTGATCTTTGACAAAAAAGTAAGGCAATACAGTAGGAAAAAAATCTTTTCTACAAATGGTGCTGGAACAACTGGACACTCACATGAAAAAAAATCAAAACTTAGACTTTACACACACCTTTTTTGAATGTTAACTCAAATGGATTCTATGCTTAAATATAAAATGGAATACTATAAAACTCCTAGAAGATGATGTAAGAGAAAATCTAGAAGATCTAGGGTATGGCAATGACTTTTTGCATGCAACACCGAGGCACAACCCACAAAAGAAGAAAGCTGATGAGCTGAACTTTATTAAGATTAATAACTTCTGTGAAAGGCCAGTTCTCAGTCAAAGATCAGTGGTTGCCAGTGGTTAGGGATAAATAAGTGGAGAATAGAGGAGTTTTAGGTCAGTGAAATGACTCTGCATGATACCATAATGGTGGATACATGTCACTATATATTTGTCCAAATCAATAGAAAGTAAAACGCCAAGATCTAACCCTAATGTAAACTATGGGCTTTGGGTAATAATAATGCATCAGTGTCATTTATCAATTTTCACAAATGTACTAGTTTGGTGGGGGAGGCTAATAATAGCAAAGGTTATGCACGTGCACATGCAGAAATATATTGAAAATCTCTGTACCTTCCACTCAATTTTTATCTGAACCTAAAACTGGTCCAAAAGTGTTCTATTTAAAAATGATGTTTTATAATAAAACTAAAACTACACAACAGATTAAATTCAATTTACCAGTTTATATAATGCAGAAGATAAAATGACCTTGAGTCTGAACAAAGAATATTAAATATGCATTCTAAATCTATACAAAACTTGAGAGAGCATCATGTTGAAATAGTCAGGACTTTGTCTTACATTCTATTAAATGAGCATTAAGCTAACTGATTATCTAAGGCCCTTCCAGATCTAAGATTCTTTTTTTTTCCCCCTCTACATTGTCAAAGAAGGAGCCATCAAAAAAACAAGGGCTGGGTTAGGTGGCCCTTGTAATTCATGTAATGGAGAGTAATTGAAGGACTTTCTTTAAGTAATAACATAGTGAGTTCTTAATAGCATAATGTTATTAAAAGATCAGTATGATCGGAGAGTAGCAATGGCAGATACAGAACTGGCAACTTTTTGTTTTGAATGATAAAGAGAGCTGGGGGAGGGAAATATCCAGGCTTGGACAATTGGGGTCATAGAAGTAACATTCACTAAAATAGTGAACATTGAAAAGTGGAAAGGGGGTTAGTTAGAGTTGAGAGGAGAAACAGATGCATTTTGTTTTGCACAAAGTGCAGTTTGATGAGGTATGTTGGGTATAAGATTAAGTACTTGATTTGAATTATTTGATGTATTGAGGTAATGAAGAAAAAATATTTTAAAGTTTTAAAATGTATTACCAAATTACTCTTTAAAATGTTTTTACAATTTATCATATCCACTGTCATAATATGAGAGTGCCTATTTTTCCACACCATTGCCAGGTGGTAATATTTGATATTTATAAAGAGGTTTGTCAATTTTATGGAGTAAAACAAAAATGACACATTTCATGAAAGAAACATAGTAGAAGATTGCTTTAGAAAGCTTAGTTGATGGTATAAATTTTATCTGAAGATGGCATAACTGGCTATAAATGGTGAAATAATAGACATTGCAAGTCATGAGTTGTAATGTTTGTTCTTTGGGTCACAAAACACAGAAGCCTCAATTATAGATTTGGTGAATATGAACTGATTGTGAAATAAAAATTACCTATCAGAGCAAGTATTTGTGACTTGATATATTAGATATTAATTTCCATATAACCAATCACCAAAAACCTAAAATCACATACATTTATTATCTGACAACATCTATAGGTCAGGAATCTAAGCAAGGCTTGGGTGGATCTTGGGCTCAGGGTCTTAAAAGACTGCTAACAAGCTATGAGCTGGACCACATTCTTTCTGGAGCTCAACGTTCAAGCTCACATGATTGTTGGTAGAATTCAATTTCTTGTGGTTGAAGGATTGAGGCCCTCATTTTCTTGCTAACTATCAGGCAGGTGTTGCCCTCAGCTCCTGGTGCCCACCTTTAGTTTCTTGACTGTGGCCTTCTCACAGCATGCAGCTTACTTTCTCAAGGCCAGTAGAAGAATCTTATTCTTGTTTGCTGAAAGAGGGTCTTACATAAGTAACCTAATCTAGAGAGTGACTATCCTACCACTTTTTTATATTCTACTGCCTGGAAGCGACTTACACATTTTGCCCACACTTAACGGGAGGGAATGATACAAGCACATAATTCTTTACGGGTCCCACTAGGGTATATATATTAAAACTACTCTTCAAAAATACCAAAATGAATTTTTCTCACAGTGGAAATAGAATCACTCTATGCCTTAGGAAATGTGTAGCTACAAGGAACAGCATACCTTTATAAAAATAAATAAAAATTAAGAGGGTTTATTATCTCATAGGGTGAGAAGAATAATGGTAGAGAAATTCCAACACTGATGTTTCATCTTAATGAAGTAGCTGATGATGGTGGTGGTTGTCATCGGTTCCTTATGCCATCCTCAACACACAGGCTGTCTTTCCTGTCATGGTCACAAATGCAACTCAATCAGTTACAGGCTTCATGTACAGACATAAAGCAGTGAAGAGATATGATGTGTTTAATTCACTTTAAACAAGGAGAAAAATTTCCCAAGAATTCTCTGATCCCATTGGTCAGGACTGTTTACACAGCAAGCACTAGGAGGAAGGGAATCTGGGAAAGTCTATGGCATTCTCAGGTTCTATAATTTTAGAAAGAAGGCTTCCATCAATGGGACAAGGAGAATGGCTATTGGGTAGAACAGAAGCAGAAACTGTCTTTTATATTGTTATAAAATAATTTTTAATAAAAATTACAGCTTTTTATACAAGCCTGCATATAGACATATTTTGCTCTATCTTGAACTTGTAAAACAAATTTTACTTTTCTTAAAAGTTTCTGATTTTCAACTTATCAATAGGAAGCATCTGTTTTACTTCAGTTTTGACTTTGATTCTTGGAGAGAAATCTGTTTGTAATCTTTTACATAATGGTTCCACTGAGAGAAAGGAAATACTGAGCTATTTCCCACCCTCCTCGTCCCAAACTCACTAGAAACAAATTGCTGTCCTAAAGACTTCAAAGAACCTCACAATTAAAACTTTAATAAACAACTATGTTTCAGATCTCCTTTTCAATACATTCCAGATAATGTGTTCATTTCAGTTTCCCATCTAAGGAAGAAGGCTTTGCATGCTAGATGACAGTGTGTGCTTATTTAAAATGCCTTGGTTGAGGACAAATGGTACTCTCTCCTACTATTTCTACTTAAAAGAAAAATATCATTTGATATTACCAGCAAATTGGCTATAATGCAACAATATCTATGGTTTGTATGATATTTGGTACATCTGAAATCCTCAAAGAAATTGGAGTTTCAAATCACTTGACTATCTTTTTGCATCATGAAAATTGCTTTCAAAGACTTTTAGACACTGTTACATTTAGGATCCAATTACATGCTCTCTGTAAACAAGTAATTTTCCTAAAGAGCTAATAAAGTTTGTGTCTCAACCAATTTTACTGCTAATAAATGGCAAAGAAAATACAAGTATATCAAAGGATTTTTTTCTGGGAGTTGAGCACTTCAGAAATGTCTTTCTTTTGTAGTATCGCTTGCAAACTACTATTGCTTATTTTTGTCAACAACAACAAAAAAAATGTTCCCCAGATATAGCAACAAACTTTTAAAAATTAGAAAACATTATAGATAAATTAATAATTAAAATAATTCAAAATTTAAAATAAGAACAGTTGATAAGTAGGTAAATGTTACCTAAAGCCAAAACATGTTTTATTTTCAACACCAAGAGGATAAAATATAGTTTTTATTCCCCCAAAACACTTTTATATTTTTGACTTCTTATGCCAGTCTTCTTACAAAATTATATTTTTGTTTTGGTTGTAGTTTGACCTAAAATGACTGGACATTTCAAGAAGACAACTCATATTATGACAAAAATAATTGCTAAATTTCAAATTAGCTTGCTTAAATTTCCTAATATTTAGTTAGATTATAACCTGAGTTACTTTTAAAATGCCATTAAATTTAAAATCTAATTCAGGCCATAATGATAAATTCAAACTTTATTTACAGGTGTGTAAATCTTATCAACTCAAGAATACCTAAAACAACTGCATTAACTTTCATGCCCACTTCTGTTTTGATCTTTACAGCTAGAGCTAGTTTCACATTTATCTCAAGAACGAACAGTAATTTAGCTGTGTTCCTCCACTAACGCAATTTTTTACATGGTATTATATTTTTAGTTCTGTGTTATCCATCCGTAAGCAACTTGAGGATAAGATATAATTATGTCTCTCTACCTCTTCAAGTTTCTTTTAAGTCATTGATATTAAGCGATGGTTCATGAATACATGGATACTAGTTTTGAGGGTTTCTGAGAATGAAAGTGAGTCAAAATAAAAGGCATAATACTATTTTTACTAACAACATGTGCATATTGTGTCAGACACCTCCTACATATTATTTTAGTTAATCAGCAAAACAACAGTAGTAAGGTGTTATTTTTGCCTCCGTTTTACAGGTGATGAAACCTGCCCAAGTTTACATAGCCAGTATGCAACAGAAGAGAGATTCAAAGCCTAGCAAGCTTGCTGTATAATACCATGTGCTAAACCACAATTTTAAATGAGAAACCTGTAGAAAGATTATAAAAATTAGAATGACAAGAAGGAAATTTCATGCAGAAATAAAATTGCCTACAAATAATTTCTCAAATCCAGAAAGATTATAGCAAATGCAATTCTAAATGTAATAGAGTTTCAATAGGAGGCTTAATTAGAGCATCTGAATCAGGTCCTGTTTTTCTAAAACAACATAAGAGAAAATAAGAATAGACTGTTTTTAGGATTGTACAAGGGTCTGATACTTACCTGTCTATTGCTTTCAAGTTCTTAACTGGACACAAAAATATTTTGATCAAACTGTCAGCTTTACTATTGCAATAGCTGAGTGGAGGTCATGGCTTTTGAACTTTGGAAAAAGGGCTTACCTATTGCCAACATCCTTCTCTCACCCTTCCTCTTTCACTGGTACAGAAGGGACAGCACAGACCCTACTCTAGAGTCTCAGTCAATCACTTCAACATGATCTCAAGGCAAAGAGCAAATTAAACCACACTCTCTCTGCAGGCAGGCAGATAGAAAAAGAGAAGCACAAACAAGTCTGTGCCAGCATGTTGAAGTCCTTGTCCCTAATTCATCTAACAAATAATCACTCCATCTTTAAGGAAGAGTGAGTAGCAGGAGATGAGGCTGTTCTCAAATAATTTCCTCTAAACAATAACATAAAGTCAAATAAATAGAGTTCCCTCCAAAGGATTAAATCTCTGGAAATGGAACTGGCTGGGGAAAAAAATGACCAAATAGTTTAGATCAGGCTAACAGGAATCTGGATAGCAACATCCCAGCTATTACTATCACAATAGATTTGGAAATGTAGAAGGCTATTGAGAACAGATTCATTAAGACTAGGACAACAAAGGCTTGGATATAAACTCTAGGAAAATCAATCTTAAGGAGACAGGAAACTATTAAAAGTAATATGATAAAATCATAAATTATACTAATGAAAAAGAAAAAAAGGAAATCAGCTAAAATAAACCAATAGGACTTGTTAAACTATATAACTGCAAATACTGAGAGCATCAATAATATATTCTTAAGAAAGTTGGTTCTTTGATTTAAATCAGTATCAAGGATATTGTATTGAGAAGCTGATCCTTTAAAATCAAGATCCTTAAGAAACTTTGGCATTGGAATCAAAAAATCTCAATAAAATATCTTTAAGTTGTGACATATCAAAATACTGGGGCAGCCTGCTTGAAAGAGCCTACCACAATATTTTCCTGCTTCTGTTAGAACCAATGAAAATACTTTATCACAACTTATAGAGCTAATGAAAACCCTCTATCCTTATGCAGTACACTATATATATATATAAAAATATATATATAGTATATAATGTGTTATATATATAACATATATGCAATAAGTTTATATACAAACATATATAAATATATATATAAACAATATACATGTAATATGTTTTACAAGAAGGCAATTATGTTAAAATATTATTGTGGAATCTTTTTTATAATTAATCTATATTTTAAATATTTTTTCATGTATTATAGATTTTAGCCATCATCTTAGAAAACAATTTTGAATGCATCTTTTAAAAATATTTAGGTTTAGGATTGTATATATTCAAGTGTAAACATGATGACAAGTTCAGCGTATATCACAACCACACATACACATATACCCATACACTGCTAACACCACCAACACTACAGTTTAAAAGTCATGTTGGACTCCAGAGTTACAATAGCCAAGTAATCATAACGGAGATCATTTGGTTAGCATTTTTAAGGGTCCTGTTTAGGATTTATAACACTTTTCTACATTTCATCTTAAAACATTTTTACATTTATATCACATACTTCTAGCTAAAATGATATTACTAGAAGCATTCAAAGATCAAGTAATCAAAGCACTGTTATACAAATAAATGTACATCTTTTAATGAAGATGTCTTTCATATTTTGCCTTCTGTACTGTTGAGATGTATGAGTTCTTGCGAATGCCTTGTTATTTTGCTGATGTATTTATTTGTTTGTTTATTTGCTGTGCAAAAGCCTTTTTTAGTTTGCTGTAGTCCTACTTGTCTGTTTTTCCTTCTGTTCCTTGTGCTTTGTGTGTAAAATCCAAAAAGTCATTAACAAGACCAGTCTTTTCTTCTAGACGTTTATGATTTTAGGTTTTACATTTAAATCATAAATTATCATAGATTTGATTTTTGTGAGTGCTATTAAGCGTTCAGCTTTTTTTCTTTTGCTAGCATTATTTATTGAAATGACTATCTTTTTATCATTATTTCTTCTTGGTGCCTTTGTCAAATATTAGTTGACTGTATATGTGTGAGTTTATTGTTGGGCTCTCAATTCTGTTTCACTAGTCTGTATGTCTTTTTATGCCAGCATCATTCTGTTTTTATTACTATAGTTTTGCAGTATATTTTGAAACCATATTTTGTAATACCTTCAGCTTTGCTTTTCTTTCTTAAGATTGCTTTGTATATTTTGGGTCTTCTGTGGTTCCATATAAATTTTTGATTTTTTTTATTTATGTGAAGTAAGTAACTGGAATTTTAATAGAGTTTGTATTGAATCTGTAGATGAGTTTGGGTAGTATGGACACTTAAAAAATATTAATTCTTCTGGTCCATGAACACAAAATAAAGATATCTTTTCATTTATTTGGGTCTTCTTCAATTTCTTTCATCAATGTTTTATAGTTTTCAGTGTACAGCTATTTCACCTTTTATATAAATAAATTTCTATGCATTTTATATTTTATGTTGTATATTTTGTTGGCAGGATTTGACCTCATTCAGTGTGGTTATAGAATCTTTATATTTAACAGATTTTTAAAGTACTTCAGTGGAATAACTAAAAATACACTTGTCAAATGTAAAGGACAAAACAGACACAATATGCTTAAAACATAATGCTATTGATTATCCCCACAAGGAAAAGTGGGGACCAAAAGTATAGCATTGTATAATTAAAAAATAAACTTATTTGGTTCCTTAAAGTCTAGAGTGATAAACACAATGCTCCTTCTTAGAATTTCCTTGAATAAATTTAAAGAAGGCTTTAAAATAATTTTAAAATCTAGGCCTGTTGCCAACCCCTGTAGCAAGACATTTAGAGAAAGCTTTCTCATCTAAAGCTGGATGTATCTCGCAAATTTTAACTATTTGGTAACATTAGGTTGGTGCCATTTTCCTTTACCTCCCACCAGATGGAAAGCATCAACTCTAGCATTTGCCTTACAAATACTGTTTGTTGTTTGTTAGAGGGGAAATAGCATATTGTTACATCTTCTTCAACAGTGTCCTTATTATTAAATCAATGATGTCATTTTCCATAAAAAAGGGTTCCGTGAGAACATAACAATCTTATAAATGAAACAGGCCCAGCTCATCTGGTGAACTGTTTGTTACACATGAAATAGTACCAGATGCTTTATAAGAAGGTAACATGGTACAGGCCGACAATGTTATTTTGACCAGATTATTTATGTTTCATTCATTCATCCAGTGCTTTCTCTAAATAAACATGATTATTTTGTTAGTCTTAGCACAATTAAAAAGGCTTCTGGTAATTTAATAATGATTTTTCCAAAAGGAAGTTAAATATTCAAATCAGACCCAAATCACGGAAACAGACCAGGGCCACCTAGAAGTAACAAGATTCTCTTCATCTTGACAATGTGATTTGTTATAGACCAACAAGTTTATACTGGTTGCTTGAAAAAGATGAGACTATGTAGAATTATTATATTTCTTATATCGCAAGACATATAGAATTTGTAAATGAAATTCATGAGCTTGCAACTTTTTAGCAAGATACTGTGACCCATAATACAGAGGTTCAACTGGCAACAAATCAGTGTGGGAAAATATCAATGAATATAGGATTATTAGTTTTTACTTAGGTCATGTGAGAAAGGAAAGACAAGTTCAGCGTATATCACAACCACTCATACACATACACCCACACACTACTGACAACACCAACACTACAGTTTAAGTCATGTTGGACTCCAGAGTTAGAATAACCAAATAATCATAAGGGAGATCATTCGGTTAGCATTTTTAAGGGTCATGCTTAGGATTTATAATGCTTTTCCACATTTCATCTTAAAACATTTTTACATTTATATCACATACTTCCAGTTAAAATGATATTACTAGAAGCATTCAAAAATCAAGTAATCCAAGAACTGGTATATAAATACATGTAAATAATGAAGATTTCTTTCACATTTTGCCTTCTTTAACAGCAACTCAGTCAAACTACTTTGTCTACATTGCAGGAATATATTACATTCATTTTTGTAAAAATCCCCTCTTAGTTAGTTATAAATATAAAATTGAATCTTCAAAATGATCAAATTTGGAAAAACAATCTGAGTAGTTTTAGCAATATCAAGCAAAGAAGACAAACTGCTTAACTGCCGTTAGCTAATATTTAGCACATACTTACTTGCCAGAAATTTTGCTTAGTATTTTATGCTAATGTACCATATAACCTGACCAAATAGGATTATTGTGTCCATTTTACTATATATTACTGCAGTACTAAGTTATTTAAAAGAAAGTAAAGAGTGGCATAAAATATGTTTCTAGAACTTAGAAGTTCTATGTTTTTGTTAGAGATACAAAACTCATGATGTCAAATATTAGACAATTGATTTTGTTAGTGGTGTTGCAACAGCTACTACCTCAACATGTTTGAAAATTAATATAAACTGAAATTATACATTTAGAATTTGTGGGCAATATAAAAGCTGAACTGAACTTAGAATATGGGTAAATTTGTATAATTAAAAAAAGAGGAGTTTCTCTCAATCTGAGCATGAGATGTGACAAAGCACAAAGTCTAGCATCATGTTGAATGTAGGAAAATAAAATTCCAACAAGGACAGGGGTTTACAATGGGTAATATTCAAAAATAACATTAAACAAATAAAAGGGAAAACTTGTACTATGCTCTGGAAAGTTGAATGTTTGAAGTTTGTATTCGATATAAAAGGCCATCAATAATAGAGTTACATAAACAAAAGTTTTACCTATCTTGACTTTTCTAAATAAAAATTTGTGTTATACTTGACAATTTAAAATTCATTTTGTCACAAAACATGAACAATTAATTAAAACTGATTTTAATATCTTTTTACAGATGTTAAAGTTTACTTGCTACAGAATATTTCTGCTAGAATTACAAGGGGATTGAGAGTGGGGTGGAATTGGGATTGAACTAGAATACAGGGTTTCAGTGTATACAAAAACACAGATCAGTAATAAAAGAAGGGATTGAAGGTGCAATATAAGGCAAGGCTAGGAAGCATTAAGGAGAGTGAAATAGGACTAAAGTATTTTAGAAGATTCTGGGTTATACAAAATATGAATACTCTTTCCTTCAGAGGGAAACGATGGTAATAAGAAATACATTATTTTTCAACACTTTGGGAGTTGAAGTACCATGCAGAGACTGATACTCAAAGTTGGCAGCCATGGTGGAGGTAGTGGGGAACAACATTTATTCAGATAACAGGTAGATCGTGTTTCAGATGTAAATATCTTTCGTAAAGAAAAGCTCACATTTCAAAACTGATGTAAATAATAACTAAACTGACAAATGTGTTTAGGCCAATACAAGATTGCTAAATAAATGTTCAATCTTTCATTGGAGATTTGCAGTCAATAGCATTCTACCTTAACATGGAAGCTGAAGTAGGTTGAATTAGAGTAAAGCCCAAAATAAAGAGTAGTACTGTACTCAAAACATCTTCCTTTATTATTTTAAATATATTTGAATTTAATACAAACATATAGGGGAACAGTAAATAAAATTCAATTCATCCATTCTTTGAACATCATCCAACTTTTCTATAGATATTTTTATTAAAACAAAAACACCCTTCATAATATTTTTATGTCTTCTTCATCTGTTTTTAAAATGTTATTTGATCCACACATCCTTCAAAAAGCAAAGTGAATGTTTCAAATTATAACTTTCAAGTTTACAGCATTTTCAAAGGCTTTGCATTTGGAGAAAATTTTATATTCATTTGCCCTGGAAGAATAATCAGGGTTACTTTGACCCCACAATACGTGGAAGCAAACTTAAATGCAATAACTTCCAATAACCTTGATAATATATCATACTTTTCCATGTAATTTTTCCAAATATTTTCAACCCATATTATTTTTCATGGGTAATAGAAAAAAATATTTTCAGAAAAAAGAAACAAATTGTAAGAAATCTTGTGATTTGGCATAATTTGGAAGAAAAACTATGAAATTAAATAATTTATTTCTAACAGATACGGTTTGGCTCTGTGACCCCAACCAAACCTCAAATTGTAGCTCCCATAATTCCCACATGTTGTGGGAGGGACCCAGTGAGAGTTAATTGAATTATGGGAGCAGGTCTTTCCCATGATGTTCATGTGAGAGTGAAGAGATCTTATGGTTTTAAAAACAGGAGTTTCCTGCACAAACTCTCTCTCTTTGCCTTCTGCCATCCATGTAAGACATGATGACGTGCTCTTCCTTATTTTCCACCATGATCGTAATGCCTCCTAGCCACGTGGAACTGTAAGTCCATTAAACCTCTTTTTCTTCCCAGTCTCAGGTGTGACTTTATCAGCAGTGTGAAAATGGACTAATACAGTTCATTGGCACTAGTAGAGTGCAGCACTGCTGAAAAGATACCTGAAAATGTGCAAATGACTTTGGAACTGGATAACAGGCAGAGGTTGAAACAAGGCTCAGAAGAAGAAAGGAAAATGTAAGAAAGTTTGGAACTTTCTAGAGACTTGTTGAATATTTATTTTCAGTGTTTATTTTCTTTCACTCAGCATTGTTGTAAAATTCAGGTGTTATTGTTTCATGTGGCAGTAGTTAAATCTTTTTATTGCCATATAGTATTCATTGTATAAATATATCATGATTTGGTTACCAATTATACTGTTGGTGGATTTTAGGGTTCATTCTAGTATTTGGCTACTAAGAATATAAACATTATTTCACATGTCTTTTGGTGTATATATGTACCATTTCTTTTAAGAGAATGACTAGCAGTAAAACTGCCAGAAAACAGGGCCTACGTAAATTCAGTTTTAGTAGATTGTGTCAGTTTTCCTAGAGTTTGCACCCATTTAACTCCCATTCTCTGTATTTCCAAATTGTGGTCATTTAATGTCTTATTCTACATTTGGTGTGATCAGTCTCTTTTTTTTTTTGTAAATTTTAGCTTTTCTCAAAGAAATATAATTAACCTAAATGCCCATTAATGGCAGACTGGATAAAAAAATGTGATATATATACACCATGGAACACTATACAACCATAAAAAAGAATGAGATCATGTCCTTTGCAGGAACATGGATGGAGCTGGAGGCCATTTTCCTTAAAAAGCGAATGAAGAAACAGAAAACCAAATACTGCATGTTCTCACTTATAAGTGGGAGCTAAATGATAAGAACACATGGACAAATACAGGGGAACAACAGAAACTGAGACCTACTTGAGGATGGAGGGCAGGAGGAGAAAAAGGATCAAGAAAACTAATGGGTACTAACCTTAGCATCTGAATGAATTGCATTTGCTGAACTGAAAAATTCATTAGAGGTTCTCTACAGTCAAACAGATTATGCAGAGGAAAGAACCAGCGACCTTGAAGACAAGCTATTTGAAAATACACAGAGGCGAAAAGAGGAAAAAAAGAATGGAAAGAAATGAAAATCACGTATAAGATTTAGAAAATTACCTCAAAACAACAAATTAAGAATTATTGGTGTTCAAGATAAAGTTAAGTAAAGGCAAGGGGTTAAAAGCTTACTTATTCAAATAAATAATAACAGAAAACTTCCCAGAACTTAAGAAAGATTTACATATCTAGGTACAGAAAGGTCAGAGAACACCAAACAAGTTCAGTCCAAATAAGACTACACAAAGGCATGTAATACTCAAATGATGTAAGTTCAAGACAAAAAGAATCCTAAAGCATCAAGAAAAAAGGAAGATAATAACCTATAAAGGAACTTAAATTTGTTTGGCAACTGACATCTCAAAGGAAACCACATAGGACAGGAGGGAGTAGAAAGAAAGAAAAAAAACTACCATCCAAGAATATTGTATTTAGCAAAGTTATCATTCACCTAGGAAGGAGAGATATAGCCTTTTCTAGTAGAATGCAATCTGAGATAATTCATTATCATCTGATCCACATTAAAAGAGATACTAAAATGATTTTAATTCTGAAACAAACCAACAAAAAACACACTGAAATGCAAAGAAAACCCCAAACATTTCAAGGTATAAAACCCACTGAGAAATTAAATACAAAGATAACACCAGAATATTCCAATAGTGTGATGTGCAGTTTTCACATAACTCTGATATGAAGTTTTAAGACAAACCTGTCAAAAACAGTAATAGCTATAGCAATTGAGAGATCAGCAATATAAAAATATGTACATTGATAGAATAAGAAGTCAAACTGAAAGAGGTTAGCATACTTTTCTTTTAGTTTTTGTTTTTTTCTTTGTGTGTTTCTTTTTTAAATATTTAAGATAAATTGTTATCTCTTTAAAATAACTTATGTGTATAAGATGTATTTGTAAGCTACATTGTAATCACAATGCAAAACTGTATAATTGATATGCTAAAAATAAAAAGAATCTAATTGATACATGCTACCAGAGAAAATAATCAAAAAGAAAGACAGTAAAAAAAAAAGAAAGAAAGAGAAGAGTTATGAAACAATCAGGAAATAAGCAACAAAATATCAGTAGAAAGTCCTTACTGATCAATAACAATGTTGAATGTAAATGGACTAAATTCTCCTATTAAAAGTCACAGAGTATTTTTATAAAAAACAGTCTGAGAAAGAAAAATAATGTAAAACTTTAAAAATTCATAGAG
Source organism: Homo sapiens (assembly GCF_000001405.40). NCBI lineage: Eukaryota > Metazoa > Chordata > Mammalia > Primates > Hominidae > Homo > Homo sapiens. Next base: position 65,135,427 of record NC_000004.12, read on the forward strand.
TGTCTGAATAAATAAACAAGACCCAACAATACACTGCCTACAAGGAACCCACCTCACCTCCAGAGACACAAATAGACTGCAAGTGGAGAGATGAAAAAAGATACTCCATGCATATGGAAACATAAAAGGAACAGGAGTAGTTATACTTAGATAAAATAGACAACAAATCTAAAATTGTAAAGAAACAAATAATTTCACTATGTAATGATAAAAGGTTCAATTTAGCAGGAGGGCATAACAATTATAAAAATCTATGCATTCAGCATCAGAGCACCCAAGTATATAAAGCAAGCATTAATATATCTAAATGGAAACAGAGTGCAATACAAGAATAGTAGTGGACTTCAAGACCCCACACTCAGTAATGGCCAGATCATCCAGACAGAAAATCAACAAAGAAACTTTGGAGTTAAGCTACACACTAGACAAAATAAGCCTAAACGACATTTACAGAACACTTCACCCAACTGTTACAGAATATGCTTTTTTTTTTTTTTAAATCAGGACATGGGACGTTCTCCAAAATAAGCCATAGATTAGGCCACAAAAAAGTCTCAACAAATTTACAAAAAGTAAAACAAATATCCAAGTTCTCTTTTTTGAATCACAATAGAATAAAAATAAAAATCAACATCAAGAGGCACCTCAGAATCTATGGAAACACATGAAAATGACACATTTTCCTGAACAAACAATAGTTCAATAAACAAATTAAGAAGACAATTTTTAAAATTTCTGAAAACAAATGAAAATGATAGTAAAACATACCAAAATCTATGACATACAGGAAAAGCAGTACTAAGAAGGAAGTGTGTTCATTTGTTCTCATGCTATTATGATGAAATATCTGAGACTGGGTCATTTATAAAGAAAAGATGTTTAATTGATTCACAATTCCACATGGCTGTGGAGGCCTCAGGAAACTTACAATCATGGCAGAAGGCACCTCTTCACAGCATGGCAGGAGAGAGAATGAGTGCCGAGCTAAGGGGGAAGCCCCTTATTAAACCATCAGATCTCGTGAGAACTCACTCACTGTCATAAGAACAACATAGGGTAAACTACTCCCATTATTCAATTATCTCCACCTGGTCCTGTCCTTGACACAAGGGGATTATTAAAATTCAAGGTAAGATTTGGGTGGGGACATAGAGCCAAACCATATCATTCTGCCACTGTCTCCTCCCAAATCCCATGTCCTCACATTTCAAAACACAGTCATACCTTTCCAAAAGTCCCCCCAAAGTCTTAACTTATTCCAGCATTAACCCAAAAGTCCAAGTCCAAAGTCTCATCTGAGACAGTGCAAGTCCCTTCAGCCTATGAGCCTGTAAAACCATAAGCAAGTTAGTTATGTCCTACATACAATGGGGGGTATAGGCAATGGATAAATACACCTTTTCCAAATGGGAGAAATTGGCCAAAACAAAGGGGCTACAGCCCCATGAAAGTCCAAAAATCTAGTAGAGCAGTCATTAAATCTTGAAGTTTCAAAGTGATCTCTTTTGTCTCCATATCTCACATCCATTCTTGCTGATGCAAGAAGTAGGCTCCCATGGATTTGAGCAGCTCCACTCCTATGGCTTTGCAGGGTACAGACCCCTCCCAGCTGCTTTCATGGGCTGGCATTGAGTGCCTCCAGCTTTTCCTTGCACATGGTTCAAGCTGTAAATGGCTCTACCATTCTGGGGTCTGAAGGATGGTGGCCCTCTTCTCATAGCTCCACTAGGCAGTGCCCCAGTGGGAAATCTGTGTGGGGGCTCCAACTTCACATTTCCCTTCTGCACTGCCCTAGCATAGTTTCCCCCATGAGGGCTCCACCCCTGTAGTAAACTTCTGCCTGGACATCCAGGCACTACCATACATTCTCTGATATCTAGGTGAAGGTTCCCCAACATCAATTCTTAACTTCTGTGCACCTGCAGGACCAACACCAACTATAAGCCACCAAGGATTAGGGTTTGCACCCTCCAAAGCAATGGCCTGAGCTGTATGTTGTCCCCTTTTAGCCACAGTTGGAATGCAGGGCACCATGTCCTGAGACTGCACAAAGCAACAAGGCCTTGGGCTCAGCCTATGAAACTATTTTTTTTTCTGTTAGGCCTCTGGGCCTGTGATGGGAGGGCCTGCCATGAAGACCTCTATCATGCGCTGGAGACATTTTCCCCATTGTCTTGATGATTAATATTTTGCTCCTCATTACTTATGGAATTTTCTGCAGCCAGCTTGAATTTCTCCTCACAAAATAGGTGTTTGTTTTCTATTGCATTATCAGGCTGCAAATTTCCCAAACTTTTATGTTCTGCTTCCCTCTTAAACATAAATTCCAATTTCAGATAATCTCTCTCAAATTCAAAGTTCCTCAGATCTCTACAGTAGGGGCAACATGCTGCCAGTCTCTTTGCTAAAGCATAGCAAGAGTGGCCATTGCCCCATTTCCCAATAAATTCCTCATCTCCATCCAAGACCACCTCACCTGGACTTCATTGTCCATATCACTATCAGCGTTTTGTTCAAAGCCATTGAAGAAGTCTGTAGGAAGTTCTGAACGTTCCTACATCTTCCTGTCTTCTGCAACTTCCAAATTGTTCCAACCTCTGCCTGTTACCTACTTCCAAAGTCACTTCCACATTTTCAGGTATCTTTATAGTAATGCCCCACTTCGGATACCAATTTACTACATTATTCTATTTGCATGCTGCTATGAAGAAATACTTCAGACTGGGTCTTTAATAAAGAAAAGAGGTTTAATTGACTCACAATCCTGCCTGGCTGGGGAGGCCTCAGGAAACTTACAGTCATGGTAGAAGGCACCTCTTCACCTCTTTAAAGGGTGGCAGGAGACAGAATGAGTGCTAAGTGAAGGGGAAGCCCATCATAAAACCATGAGATCTTATGAGAACTTTCTCACTATCATGAGAACGGCATGGAGGAAACCACCCCCATGCTTCAATTATCTCCACCTGGTCCTATGCTTGACAAGTGGGGATTGTTACAATTCATGGTGAGATTTGGGTGTGGACACAGAGCCAAACCATATTAAAAAGTTTATAGCAATAAACACCTACATCAAAAAATTAGAAAAACTTTAATAAACAACTTAATGATGCACCCTAAGCAACTAGAAAAACAAGGACAAATCAAATCCCAAATTAGTAAGAGGAAAGAAAGAATGAAGATCAGAGTAGACGTAAATGAAATTGAGAGTGAAACAAAAGATCAATCAAACAAAAAGTTGGTTTCTTGAAAGATAAGAAAGAGTAGACTAAGAAAAAAATAAAGACCTAAATAAATTAAATTAGAAATGAAAAAAACACATAACAACTGAAACATCAGGTACAAAAAATTATTAGAGACTATTATGAACAACTATGCACAACAAATTGGAAAAACTGAAGGAAATGGGTAAATTTTTGGACACATACAACCTACTGAGATTGAAGCTTAAAGAACTAGAGAAGCACAATAAGTCAATAACAATGAGATCCACACCTTAATAAATTAATTAAATAAAAGCCTAGAACCTGATGAATATACTGCTGAATTGTATCAAACATTTAAAGGACCAACACCAACTATTTCAAAAAATTAAAGAACAGAGAATACCTAGGAACTCTCATGAATACAGAGAGATCGTTGGTTACCACAGTCTTGGAAGGGTAGAAGGGAAAGAGGATCAAAGAGAGGATAATTAATAGCTACAAATATACAGTTAGATAGAATAAATAAGATCTAGTATTTTATAGATCAGTAGAGTGACTATAGTTAACACTAATATATTGTAAATTTCAAAATATCTAGAAGAGAATAATTCAAATTTTTCCAACATAAAGAAAAGATAAATATTTGAAGTGATAGATATCTTTATTATCTTGATTTGATTTTTTTCATGTTATATGAATATATCAAATTTTCACATGCACCCTGAAAATACACACATCTTTTACGTATTAATAAAAAAAAGTCAATGGTAGGAAAAGAAAACAAAAGATTTTAATGAGGCTGAAAAATTTCTATTGCCTAGTGACATTACAGCCATTGTATCTCCAAAGCTCAATGTATTAGTCATGTGTTTGTGGTGATGCTGATGTAAACAAACCAATTGCACAACCAGTCTTATAAAAATAGAGCATATATAATTATTTCCAGTACCTACCTGATAATAACCATTTACTGGTTTATATAATTACTATACTTCTTATCCTTATCTTAGAGTGTACTTTTTCTACTTATGAAATATAAGTTAACTGTAAAAAGCCTCAGGCAGTTCCTTAGGTGTATTCCAGAAGAAAGCATTGTTATCATAGGAGCTGACAGTTCCATGCATGTTATTGCCCCTGAAGACCTACTCGTGGGACAAGATGTGGAGATGGAAGACAGTGATATTGAAGATCCTCAACCTGTGTAGGCCCAGGCTAATGTGTGTGTTTGTGTCTTCATTTTTAACAAAAAGGTTAAAAAGTAAATAAATAAATAAAAAAACAGAAGAAGTTTATAGAATAAGGATATAAATAAAATATATTTTATAAAGTTGTAAAATATATTTGTTTTAAGCTAAGTGTTATTACAAAATGATAAAAAAGTGTTTTTTTAAAAATAAAATATAATGTTTAAATTTAAACTAAGCTTAGGTTAATTTATTATGAAAGAAAATGTCTTTTTAACTAATTTTGTGTAGCCTAAACATTCACTGCTTGTAAAGTCCACAGTAGTGTATAACAATGTCATAGGTGTTCACATTCATTCACCACTGACTCATATACTCACCCAGGCCAGCTTCCAGTCTTGCAAGCTCCATTCATGGTAAGTGCCCTAAACAGTATATCATGTTTCATCTTTGATACCACATTTCTATTGTACATTTTCTATGTTTAGATATGTGTAGATACAGAAATACCATTGTGTTTCAATTGCCTTCAGCATTCAGTAGAGTAACATGCTTTACAGGTTTCTAGCCTAGGAGCAACACGCTATGCCACATAACTTAGGTGTGTAGTAGGCTATGCTACTTAGATTTGTATAAGTACACTCTATGATATTTGCACAAGAACAAAATTGCCTAATAATACAGTTCTTACAACATATACCCGTCATTAATTGACACATGGCTGTATAGATATATGAGAACAAATTCATTAGGGGAATTAGCTCACATAATTCAACAGGCTAAGAAATCTCATGGCAGGCCTTCTGCAAACTAGATACACCAGGATATATCTAGCCAAATCCTGGTGCTGTGGCTCAGTTCAAGCCCAAAGCCCTGACAGCCCATGGGGCCTGTTAGTGTAAGTTCTGGAGTCCAAAGGCCAGAGGTTCTTGATTTTTGGTATTCCAGGGCAGAACAAAAAGAGGGTATCCAAGTTCCAGATGGAAAAAGTGAGAGGAACTGGTCTTTTCCTCTGTTTTTGTTTTATTTGAGCCCCCAAGTTGATTGGATGATGACCATCCACATTGAGGACACATTTCGCCACTTAGTCCACTCAGACTTCCATGCCAATCTCCTCTGGAAACATCTTTACAAACACACTCCTAAAAAACCTTTACCAGTTATCTAGGTAGTCCTTTCTCCAGTCAAGTTGACATCTAACATTAACCATCATAAGTCTACCCCTTATCAAGTTGGCACCCATATGCGTCTCCTTAAACCACATTTACTCTCCAAAGACAGTAACACGATAATAGTTCACATCTAACTGCGTTGCACACAATGAAAAATGCACTAATAGCTTCCCCAGAAGAGGAGATAATGCCCTTGGGTAATGTTTACTCTTCTCTTGATATCTCATAACTTAAATACTATGATGCAAAAGTAATAATACTTAAAAACTAATATAAATTCAAAAAATCTTATGTTGCATAATGAAATGAGATAGGAATTAGAACAAAGACATTTGTTTGACATATGTATTTATACACACAAACATATTTTTAAACAAAATAGAACAGAAATGCTCTTGACAATTACAGCCCTCATTTCTGTAACTGGTCATGTAGTTATATCTGGTATTTTTAGCTACCTTCTTCTACTACCGATTCTGTATTCCCTTTATCTTCAGAAAGAAACTCAGCTGGTCATAGTTCTTCACCTAGCAGGGTAATCCAAAACCTCATTTCTGAAGTATATGGACCATTCTTAGTCTTAACTGGATTGAGTTGTCATAATTTCCCATTGACCTTAATTATAGTACATTACAATGCTGAGGGACAACCTAAGCAATCTCTTGTATTCCAGACATACTCTTCTTTACCTCCACTGTGGAGTGGTAGTCCAAATTCCCTTCAGTAGTCCAGATCAATCATCCCAGCTAACACCGTATCTCTTTTCTTAGCCTGTTTACTCAGAGACATGAAGACCCTAAAGTGTCAGGTGTTAGTCTTAACTTCTAGTTCAATGGAATCTTTTTTGTGTCTCCTGGTGGAAGCATTACTCCCTCTGCAACTAAGACTCCTAGGTTAGCAGAGCATAAAGTCTTGGGAAGAGGAAGCAAAAATTGTGCTGTTCGATTATGAGGAGTAACAGGGAGTGGTATTACTTCCATTTCCATTCCTAGATTGCTGGTCCTGTGAATACTGGCTATGGGAGAAGCAGTAGTGTATAGTGGATGCTGATTCAGAGTATATACAGCCTTATAGAGAAACTTGCCCTAGCCTTCAAAAGTCCATTCCATGTTTTATCAAGCTAGCTGCTTCAGGATGACAGGAACACAGTAAGATCAGTGAATTCAATGAACACGAGCCCATTGCTGCAATTCTTTTGCCGTAAAGTGAGTTCCATGGACAAAAATAATAAGAACAAAATGTCTGGGAATACCTTGACAGCAAATAAGGTAGTCGGTGAGTCCACCAACATTGGTTTGTCAAAGCATTGCATACAGGGGAGGCAAATCCATAACTGGAGTACGTTTTGGTTCCAATAAGGAGTCCAAAGGTCAGAAATCCTGGAGTTCTGATATTCAAGGGCAGGAGAAGAAGGGTTCCAGGAAAGAGAGGGACTCATTGGCCTTTTCTTCTGTTTTTGTTCTATCCGAGAGCCCCCAGCTAATTGGATGGTGCTCATCCATATTGAGGGTGCATTTTCCCCACTTGATCCATTCAGACTCACATGCCAATCTCCTCTGGAAATACCCTCACAGACTCACTCCAAAATAATTATCTGTTTAGTTTTCTAAGTATTCCTTAACTCAGTCAAACTGACACCTAAAATTGGCCATCACATTTTGTCAAGAGGTCATATCATTCTGGGTTTTTCAAATCAACTGATAACATGTCTATAATAAAATTGTGATGGTATGTATTGCAAAAACTCAGCAGGAATGTGCTTGGAATATACATATATTCCTTGAAGTATAAGATATATATATATATATATATGTATTCCTTTTCAAGACACATGCAATAAACATATGCTCATTTTCTGCCTAAGGTACAGGTTTAGGGATCATAATCTTCATCTGTTGTGAATCATATCTTGATTCGTCTCCCTTTGGATTTGTTTTAAGGGCAGTACCATTTGAGGGGAGCTCCAAATATATCTACCTCTGAGCTTCTGCCAGCTTCTGTGTTTGCCTTTGTCTCACATCCTCATGTTTCTGAGAAATTTGTTCTTGAGTGAAATATTATGGCTTATTCTGGAACCATAAGAATAAGAGAACACTAGCCTCAATATCACAGCAAATATTTTAGAAATGAATATTATAACTGGAGGAGTGTCTCCACTATTAAATTTTATAAAAGTGGCTTTCAGTGTCTAAGAGGAACAAAGGTTTGCAATATTTACACCATTTTTTCTACTGTATCAGCTGTAATATCGATAGAGCTATGAAGTTTCTAACACATTATAGCAAGAAGAGCTTGGGATGTGGGTGACTACTAACTGCAAATTGCACTCATCTGAACTTTAGAATCTGAATGACATGTCTTCAAAGCTCCTATTTTTAATTCTAAAAAACTAATTTATAGATTTTATCCTTTATTCTTTTTCAAGATAGCATCATGTAAACTTTATATATTTTTCAGAATCAACTCAACAAACACAGGTTTCTTTCCTTTTGCCTAATAAAGCTTCATAATTTTCTTAAACTTCATAGGATAGAACTTCAAAAAGTTCATGGAAAAATATAACAAAAAGATATAAATTAAAAACATATAAACTTTAATTCTCAATATAAACTTCACCAAGATAAAGACAATTTTGTAAATGATGATACTAATCATTTGTCCCATTCATAAAGAACTGAGGATTCTGTGAATTAACCATGCAAATGCAGTCTTTTTTACATTATTGTCTGAAAAAAAGAGTATCTTTTAAAGATTTTTAAGAAACAAAAATAAGTTGGAAAGAGTCAATTCAGGACAGTAAAGTGGATGCCTAGTGATTTTTCATCAAAACTCTCATAAAATTGCCCTTGCTTGCTAATAGGAATGAGCAGGAGCTTTTTCATTGTGGAGAAGTACTCTCTGATGAAGCTTTCCTAGGCATTTTACTGTTAAAGCTCTGGCTTTCTCAAAACACTCTCATAATAAGCAAATATTATAATCCTTTGGCCATCCAAAAAGTCAACAAGCAAATTACCTTGAGCATTTCCCCCAAAATTTGCCATGACCTTTGCTCTTGACTGGTCTGCTTTTGCTTTGACTGGACCACTTCCACATCTTGGTAGCCACTGCTTTGATTGTGCTTTGTCTTTAGAATAGTACTGGTAAAGCCATATTTCATCTCTTATAACAATTATTTGAAGAAATGCTTCAGGTTCTTGATCCCATTTGTTTCAGATTTTCATTGAAAGCTCAGCTCTTGTGTTCAAATGTCCTGGATAAAACAGATTGCACACCCATTAGGTGGAAATTTTGCTCAAGTTTAATTTTTCAGTCAGAATTGTGTACGTTGAACCAATTGAGGTTTCTGTGGTGTTGGTTACTGTTTCTGCTGTTATTTGTTGGTCCTCTTCAACTAAAGCATAAATGAGATTAATTTTTCCTAGCAAATTGATGTAGATGGTCTGCCTCCGAAGGCTTAATTTTCAACATTATCTTGTCCCTTTCTAAAGCAAGTTATATATTTGTAAACTGTTGATTTCCTTGGGGGCATTGTTCTCATAAACTTTTCAAAAAGCAGGAATTATTTCACTATTCTTCCACCCAAGCTTTACAATAAAGTTGATGTTTGTTCTTGCTTAAATTTTAGCAGAATCCATGTGGCTCTGATAGAGATTCTTTCAAACTGATGTCTTAACCTTCTTAGTTCCTCAAATTAGATCCTGTTCAGACGTTCAATAATGAGTAAGTTTAAGTTTATTTTGTGCAAAAAAATAAATTCCATGCAGAGTTTTTCACAGTATCCATTTTTCCATAAACATTTTGAAGATTCTTTATATACAATCTCCTCACAGGTTTTCAAAAGAACTCCCTTTTTGACTTTTTTTTTTTTTGACTATAGATTTTGTGAAAGTGGTCAATTCTAATGTTATACCCACCTATTGAACTGGCAAACACATTTTCTATCTGTAGAGAAGTAAAAATAAGAATCATTGATGTCCTAAAAGCCATTGCTCCAGTCCGACAGTTGCTCTCCTTTAGAATTAGAATCCACCTGTAACTTAGTCTCCCTCTCTGCTCTTTATTCTAGGAATTTATGAGTAAAATCAGTCTGCATGTGTATCTTAATATGTTCTAAAATATGCTTGAGGAGAGAACAGGCATCTTGTGGAGTAAATTTAAGTTTCATTATTAAAGTGAAACTATCACTTTCTCTTACTATCATTAAAAGTAGGTGGATGTTTTTGACCCAGACTTCTCACAGCAATGCTTGTATCTGTGGATAGACTTATTCCATCACATCTACCAAAATGATACATCTATCAAAAATGCAAACATCAGTTTATACTTCCAAGACAAAATCTACATGTTCTAGAGGGTTTATCAAGTGACTTAGGCTATATGAGGGGCAGGTGAAGACTACCAGTCTTTCTACCCGCAACCCAGTCAGGGGTCTCTGCCTGCTCTAAATATGGATAGCCTGACTTTTCTGCATAATGTAGTGAAACAAGTACATTTCATAGTGATCCCTTGAATCTTATATCCACGTACCTTAATTTACTGTCATTCAGATGTGTCTTGGCTATTATTGGCCCTTTGTGTTTCTATAAGATTTTACAATTAGTGTATCAAATTCTTGCTTGCCAGGCAACTTGGGATGATTTCATTACTAGGTATAAGAAAGTCATTTAGGATACCTTTTCCATGGTCAGCCTGGGCCAAAAGGCAGATTTTTCTGATGTTGGCAGTGTTCTTGTGGAATTAACCATCTTATTCATGGTGTTCAAATTATTTAACACCATGGTCATTTTATTTCCTGTGACAGTTTTGTCCCCACAACAAATCAGCTCCAGCCCTTGGTATCCAGCACCCAATGCTCAAACGAGGCATGGAGACCTCCAGAATTTTTTTTTTCATAGAAAATTATATTAGTCTGCTTTCACTCTAATAAAGGCATACCCAAGACTGGGTAATTAACAAAAGAAAGAGGTTTAATGGACTTACAGTTCCATGTGGCTGGGGAATCCTCACAGTCATGGTGAAAGGCAAGGAGAGGCAAGTCACGTCTTATACGGATGGCAGCAGGAAAAGAGAGAGAGCTTGTGGAGGAAGACTAACATTTTTAAAACCATCAGATCTCATGAGGCTTAATCACTATCACAAGAACAGCACAAGAAAAACCTGCCCCCATGATTCAATTACTTCCCAGTAGGTTCTTTCCACAACATGTGGGAATTCAAGATGAGATTCTGGTAGGCACACAGCCAAACCATAACATTCCACCCCTGGTCCCTCCCAAATCTCATGTCCTCACATTTCAAAACCAATCATGCCTTTTCAACAGTCCCCCAAAGTCTTAACTCATTTCAGCATTAAATCAAAAGTCCACAGTCCAAAGTCTCATCTGAGACAAGGCAAGTGTCTTCCACCTATGAGCCTGTAAAATCAAAAGTAAGTTAGTTACATCCGAGATACAATGGAGGTACAGGCATTGGGTAAATACAGCCATTTCAAGTGAGAAAAATTGGCCAAAACAATGGAGATGCATGTCCCATTAAGTCCAAAATCCAGAAGGGCAGTCAAATCTTAAAGCTCCAAAATAATCTCCTTTGACTTCATGTCTCATATCCAGGTCTTGCTGATGCAGGAAGTGAGCTCTCATGGCCTTGGGCATCTCTGCTCCTGTGGCTTTGCAGGGTATAGCCCCCCTTCTGCCTTTCATGGGCTGGCATTTTCTGCAGCTTTTCCAGGCAAACAGTGCAAGCTGTCAGTGGATCTACCTTTCCGGGGTCTGGAGGATGGTGGCCCTCTTATCACAGCTCCACTAGGTGGTATCCCAGTAGGGACTCTGTGTGGGGGCTCCACACCCACATTTCCCTTCCCTACTGCAGTAGCAGAGGTTCTCCATGAGAGCCCTGCCTCTGCAGCAAACTTCTGCCTGGCCATCCAGACATTTTCATACATCCTCTGAAATCTAGGTGGAGGTTCCCAAAATCCAGTCCTTGACTTCTCTACATTCACAGGCTCAACACCATGTGGAAGCTGCCAGGGCTTCTGGGTTGCACCCTCTGAAGCCATGGCCCAAGCTCCATGTTGGCTCCTTTCAGTCCCAGCTAGAGCAGCTGGGATGCAGGACATCAGGTCCCTAGGCTGCATACAGTACGGGACCCTGGGCCCAGCCCATGGTACCATTTTTCACTCCTAAACCTCCAGGCCTGTGATGGGTGGGGCTGTCACAAAGGTCTATGGCATACCCTGGAGATATTTTCCTCATTGTCTTGATAATTAACATTAGGCTCCTGGTTAATTATGCAAATTTCTGCAGCCAGCTTGAATTTCTCTTCAGAAAAATTTGATTTTTTTTTCTAGTTCATTTCCAGGCTGTGAATTTTCCAAACTTTTATGCTCTGTTTCCCTTTTAAAATTGAATGTCTTTAACAGCACCCAAGTCACCTCTTGAATGCTTTGCTGCTTAGACATTCCTCCAACAGGTACCCTAAATCATCTCTCTCAACGTGAAATTTCCACAAATCTCTACAGCAGGGGGAAAATGCCACCAGTCACCTCTGCTCAGTTCCCAACAATTTCCTCCATCTGAGACTACCTCAGACTGGATTTCATTGTCTGTACAATTATCAGTATTTTGGTCAAAGCCATTCAACAAGTTTCTAGGAAGTTCCAAACTTTCACACATTTTCCTTCTGTCTTCTTCTGAGTCCTCCAAACTATTCCAACCTCTGCCTGTGACACAATTCTAAAGTTGCTTCCACATTTCCAAGTATCTTTTCAGCAAATTTCCACTCTACTGGTACTAATTTAGGGTATTAGTCCATTTTCATGCTGCTGATAAAGACATACCCTAGATCGGGCAATTTACAAAAGAAAGGTTTAATGGACTTAACAGTTCCACATGGCTGCAGATGCCTCATAATCATGGTGGAAGGCAAAGAGAAGCAAGTCACGTCTTAAATGGATGGCAGTAGGTAAAAAAGAAAACTTGTGCAGTGAGACTCCCATTTTTAACCGTCAGATTTGTGAGACTTATTCACTATCATGAGAACAGCATGGGAAAGACCTGCCCCCATAATTCAATTACCTCCTTCTGGGTTTCTCCCACAACATGTGAGAATTCAAGATGAGATTTGGGTGGGGACACAGCCAAACTATATCAAAAATCTACATGTCCTGTAAGAAAACTATTTGTTTGGGGACTTTGTGATTGACAGGCATTTCTACTGCCAATGTGTTTCTTCAAGAGCCTCAAGAGACAAAGCAGACATGTTTGACACCTGGCTAGGTATTGAGCTAACAGACTAACTGGCTACTAGATACTTTCCTTGACAAACTGACTCATTTAAGGCTTAGGGTAGACATTTCAGTGCATCTTTAAAGGAGGGCTAGTGACTCCACAGCCAGCTAACTCACTACAAGGCTAAAAGAAGATGACATGTTACCAAAATTATGAGGAAATTATACCCACCCTTGGCTGGACCAGTTAAACTGTCATCTGAAAACTCATAGCATCTGATAGAGTGGAATATGTTTCTTCATGTCCAACAAGTGTCTTCAAAAAGGATTTGCAGATACAAAACAATATTGCTATAGAAAACTATATTGGGAAGATCTTACAAGCAGAAAAGGAAAAGAGTGAACAGAACCTTGTGTTATAATATGAAATAGCTTCCCCTGGGCATTAGTGGATTACATGCATATTGGCAAACACTTGAGCAGAAAGGAATATTGCCTTAATAATATACCTTACTTAGTTATTGGGACTGGGAAGCAGGAGCAATATATTGAGACTATGTAAAAATACATGAGATTATGTAAAAATATATGAGACTCCCAAGAGTTTAAGCTTCTTGGCTAGAAAGTGACTTTGTAGGAAAGGGGATATTCTGAAACACAATCATTAGTCTCAAACTCTCCCAACATTGAGCTAACTCAGATCTGCTGAGGCAGGTATCTCACTTGCTACCAAAAGAGGAGGGCAATGAGCTTCCATCACTACCCAAATCAGTCTCTCTTCAGGGATGGTTAAAAACCTACTCATAAAAGTATCTTATGCCTTAGAAGTATATTTTATCTTTTATATTTAAATTTATAATTCATCTTGATTGTGTGTGTAGAGTATGAGGAAGTCAATATGTGTGTATATATGTGTATATGTATATATATATACACACATATATAAATAGGGATGTGAGTATATTTATGTCTGTAAAGGAGAGGTCCTTGTGTGTGTACACATATACACACATATATAATAACATGCATATATATATTTGTGTCTGTATATAACATATGTATGTATGTGTGTATACCCTCATAGGTACACATTCATACATAATTTTCATATGAATATTCAATTAACACAAAACAGTTACTGACAATGCTATCTTTCCTGAGTACACTGCTACTGCAGTGGTACATTTACAAAAAAAATCTATATATGTAGATTTGTTGCTTGACTTTGTTCTTTGGTTTATTTGTCCATTCTTCAGCCAATATCATACAATCATATTCACTGTATTTTATATCTCTTTGTATTAGTCAGGGTTCTCTAGAGAAACATAACTAATATGATATATATATATATATATAAAGTGGAGTTTATTAAGGAGTATTAAGCCATCTGCAAGCTGAAGGGCAAGGAAGTCAGTTTGAGTCCCAGAGCTGAAGAACTTGGAGTCTGATGTTTGAGGGCAGGAAGCATCCAGCATGGCAGAAAGATGTAGGCCAGAAGACTAAACCAGTCTAGTCTTTCCATGTTCTTCTGCCTTTTTTTATGCTGGCCATGCTGGCAGCTAATTAGATAGTGCCCACCCAGATTGAAGGTGGGTCTACTTTATCAGTTCACTGACTCAAATGTTAATCTTCTTTGGCAACACCTTCACAGACACACCCAGGACCAATACTTTGCATCCTTCAATCCAATCAAGCTGACACTCAACATTAACCATCACACTCTTGATATTGTTGAGATATAATTCTCGGCCGGGAGCAGAGGCTAAGGCCTGTAATCCCAGCACTTTGGGAGGACGAGGTGGGCTAATCACGAGGTCAGGAGATCGAGACCATCCTGGCCAATATGGTGAAACCCCATCTCTACTGAAAATACAAAAAATTAGTGGGGCATGGTGGCAGGCACCTGCAGTCCCAGCTACTCGGGAGGCTGAGGCAGGAGAATGGCGTGAACCTGGGAGGCGGAGCTTCCAGTGAGCTGAGATCGCGCCACTGCACTCCAGCCTGGGTGACAGAGCGAGACTCCGTCTCAAAAAAAAAAAAAAAAACCATACATATATATATGTGTGTGTGTGTATATATATATATATATATATATATATATAAAATTCTCCATGTGTCTCTCACATTTCTGCATGTTTTGCAAGCAGAGAAATGGACTAATATTGCTCCATGTTAACTTATATACATATATATAATGTATATATATAATTTTCCACGTGTCTCTCACATTTCTGCATGTTTTGCAAGCAGAGAAATGGACTAATATTGCTCCACGTTAACTTTTCAAGGTGTTTGTAAAGGAAACAGTCTTAGAAAATAAGAGATAGTATCTGTCATCAGAGTAAAGTGAAACTACTTAGCTTATACTCTTGGAAGGTGAAGATAGCTACTACCTCTGGAACAAGGAGCAAGAATGCTCACTGTCTGTTATAAAAGATTCAGGTTCTGTAAACTTAGAATTCATCTCCTGTAATGCAACCTACTGTATGTGCTGGTGTCATCTGGCCCTCTGCTCATCACCTGTGGAATTGGGACTTAGGAGACTGACATAAATATGCCAGTGCTGTGGCTACTTTTATTGTTATAAATAATAAAGTCCTGACCCAGGTCTTTAGTGGTTTTGTTTCGTCATGAGAGTCTTTCTTTCTCTCTCCCTTTCTTTCTTTCTTTCTTTCTTTCTTTCTTTCTTTCTTTCTTTCTTTCTTTCTTTCTTTCTTTCTTTCTTTCTTCTTTCTTTCTTTCTCTTTCTTTCTTTCTTTCTTTCTTTCTTTCTTTCTTTCTTTCTTTCTTTCTTTCTTTTCTTTCTCCCTTCCTTCCTTTCTTTTTTTTTTTTTTTTGAGACAGTTTCACTGTGTCACCCAGGCTGGAGTGCAGTGGCATGATCCTGGCTCACTGAAACCTCTGACTCCTGTGGGTTCAAATGATTCTCCTGCCTCAGCCTCCCAAGCAGCTGGGACTATAGGCACCTGCCACCATACCTGGCTAATTTTTATTTTTAGTAGAGACAGAGTTTCATTATGCTGGCCAGGCTGGTCTTGAACTCCTGACCTCATGATCCACCTGCCTCAGCTTCCTAAAGTGCTGGGTTACAGGCGTGAGTCACCATAACCAGCTGATGCTGGCCTTCTAAAATGCAATAAGAAGTACATTCTATTATCCTATTGTCTGAAAAATTAATCTTAGAATGATTTCTTCTTCAAATGTTTGGTAAAAATCAAATAAAACTCTAAAACTATTTAATAAGTTGATGTTAGTGTCCTTCTTTTATTAGGCTGGATTATAACATTAGGCCAAAAGTAAAATTTAAGACTGCAAAGCTATACTGATTTTCAGAGATGTGCATAAAAGGAAACCAAAATGAATAAGAAAGGCAGATATCACTCTGTCTTCACATAGAATATAATCCCATGTTTTAAGTATGTCATTACATGCTTTGCCCAAAATATTTAAATTTTTTGTTGTTTTCAGTAAGTTGAAGCAAGTCTAATTTCTCATATGCTCTATTTATTGACTGACTTATTAAAATTGAGACAATTATTATCATAATACTATTAATGATAGGGTCTAAGTATTTCATTTTCAGAAATCTAAAAGTAATTCTGGTACAATTTCATGGAATGCCATGATAAGAGATTAGATAGATAAGACAGACTTTTTAAACGTACACAATGCTAACATTATGGAGTTCTTTTTTGTTACTATTATTTTCTTTTTTTCCAGTTGGAGAATATCCTTATACATTGTTTCTATATTTTTAAAGACACTCCAATAGATTACAAAAGCTAAAGATTGATAGAATTTAGTAGTAAATTTAAAAGATAAAGTGTTCCAAAGCAATTTATTAAAGTTGCCCCCCACCATGTCAAACAGACATGCCATATAAAAAAGTCCTGAGAAACTGATGCAAAAATCTGAGTGATAAAGCAGTTACTGCATTGCCTACTCTCCTATTGATTTAATTTATAGAGAGACAAGGGTGAATGTTCAATCCCACCTCTCCCCAACACATTGCTAAACCAAAGTGTTCCTGCATTTTTTATTTCATACAAGATCTTGACATCCTTTTGAATTTATTTTACATACTTGGGGAACATGAATACAACTTCATGCTTTCATCCTTTGATAAGGCATTCATTATGTGCATTAACTGACAGCTGTGAAATTATCTGCCACTTGTCTTAAATAAAAGAAAATTCAAAATAGATGTGCATTCTGTACTTAGGCAAATTTCACAGAATCTTCTTTAATTCAAATTTCTCTAGATGCTTCTTTTTATATAGGCTTTAAGTACAGTGAATATGTTCAGTCATTACTACATATTGAGTGTCTGATGGTTTCTGAAAACTCAGGAGGCAGTCCACATTTTTCTCACTTGTTTTTAGTATAAGTAGGTTTGGCAGCTCTATATGAGCTTTTGCATCTTAGAAAATCTCCATGTCTATTGCATTTCATTGTATATTAGTGTTGCTTTTAAAGTTTCTTTAATATTCATTTTGCCATTTAAATCAAAATTGTCCAAAAAGGAATCACTAGTGAGCACAATATTTGCAGCCATGAAAGTTGGTGACACTTTAAAGATCCTTTTGAGGACACTTATGAAAAATAACTAGTGGGAAAATAACATTTTCCTTGGGAAAGGAAATGTGGAAAACCCTCTTCTGGACATTTAACTGTGGAAGATCCTATCATCTTTTCACCTATAATTTACGTTTCCTTAGCAGCTAACTACAGTAAACAAAGTAACAGCTGATCAATGGAGTAAAGGAATACTCAAACCACAGTTTCCATTGCTTGGACAAAAACTTTCTTTAGAACATGATCACGTAATTTATTAAATTAATATGTGCGTTCATATTCGAGATGTACATATTAGACATATAAATAAATAGTAGAGATCCATGTTTTAAGGATGAAATCAGTAAAAGGATATAACAGGACATGATGGCTTTTTTACTTGACTTATGTTATTCAATTGGTACATAGATATATACCTAAGTAAAAGTATAGGAAAAAGTCAGTTATACGACTTAACATCTGTGGTTCCCGGATTTGGAGGGCATAAACCGGCCCTGAGTAATGTGTCTGTTAAGACAATGACTTAAATCCTTACAGGATACTGCTTTAATTCAGAATTTGCCTTAGTTTGTGTGTTTGTGGGTGTTGACTAAATATTAGTGCTTATGTTGTGTTGTTATTTTATTATTATTATTGCATTTATAGTTAATAGAAGTAAAGACATGAACAAATAATCCCAGAGACAAATATAGAAATACAATAAAACAGAGGTGTGTTTCAGTGAGAGAATATAATAAAGGGGAATGAAATCTGGGGAGAGGTAATGAAATATTTTTAAATGGAGAATTTAATTTAATTAAATATTAAAAGCCTCAATTTTCAAGACCAATTTAAATTTAAAATGAACTTATAAAATAATAATATTTTTATAAGATGAGATATTTCTTGAATGAAGCATAAAAAACACAAACATTAAAGAAAAATATTGACACATTTGATTTCATAATAATGAACAATTTCTCTTCCTAAAAATGTACCAGAAAGCTAAAATATAATCTCAGACTTAGAGATATTTGCAAGAATTTGTATTCAGTATGCATTGAAAGCTAAACATTAACACAAGTTAACACAGTAAACAAGCAAAATATTAAATTGGGCAATTCATAGAAAAGCCTAATAATCATTTGAAATGAGATAGAATTTTCTAGAATCAGGAGAATGTCACTAAAAACCTAGTAATAACATTTCATACTAAGTGTTAACAAAGATGCTGAGAAAAAATCACCCCTTTTATTCTGCTAAGGAAATTATGAACTGGTCCAGTGACTTTAGACAGTAATATAAATAATTCTTTAAAAAATTAAAGATGGTCATACATCTTATATTATCCAGACATACATATGTAGGCAAAGAGAAATATACTACATTGTTCATATCAGTATTTTTTTAACACCCAAGAAAAGGTTGGACGGCAGGAATGCAGGGAAGGAGAGAGAAAAGAAGAAAGTTAAAATCCTAAATGTAATTTTTACAAAAATGAATAAATGTTTGGAACAGGTTGGCAAAATAAGACATCTCAAGTTTCATTACCTCCCACAGAAATTTCAACGAGCAATTACCCACAATCAAGAACATACCTGTGGAAACCCAAAAACTCAGGAATAAGCCTGAGATACCTGTGTGGACCATGGAACTGAATAAACTCTGCAAGAAAGGGTAAGAGAATAAATGGTCTTTTTAACCACACCACCCTTCTCTCTCACCAAAGTTGGCACAGTCCCAGAGAGGATTTCCAAGGGCTCAAGGCTTTTTCAGTGGGAAAGAGAACTGGAAGCAGACATCCAGCTTCCGTAGTGTTTCCAGATGTTTCCCAGGGAGCTCACTCCTATCTCACTTTATGAGGAACCGAGGAGTTAATGACAGGGCTAGACCACCTGAAATCAGGTAAAAACAAAGCAAAGAGGTGGAGTTCACATCAGCCAGCTCACAGGCCCCAGTGGTAGGTAGCTCAGTGTAACTGCCTATGGTGGTACCTAATCTAAGATGACAACCAGCAGCCTAGCACATCTACAAAGCTGAGATGATCACTCCCAGAAGTAGTGGGAAGTTCTAACTGGCTTGAATTCCTAGACTGCCAGCCTCAAGGCCCATCTTCAAACTTTACTCAAGGCCCTTTGCAGGAAATAATTGTTTGCTGCAAAGCAATTTGTCAAAAGCAGGGGCGAGTTCTGATATCTTGGAGTTTAAATAGACCTCAAGACCTCACTCAGGAAAGGAGATGACCACCATTGTACATTTCAGCAAAGAGCATGGGTTAGTTTGGTCACATCCTGGAGTTTAAATGTGCTTAGCTCAGCCTTATAGCCCAGCAGTAAGTCCTACCTAGGCAGGTTTGTAAACCTCAACTGTGCATTTCTACTGAGCACAGCAGCTCATCTCATCCATCCAAGTAGTGACATTCCCTAACTGTAAGGCCTTAGAACTCTATCAAACTGCAGATCTCAAATAGCAGTACCACCTGGCCAGAGAATACACCCTGTAGCCTCACTCAGTCAGAGGTGATTGCAGTGACCAGCTATGAGCTCCACATGATTGCAGAGCTCAGCTAGCAGTTTTGGCTGAGAGCAAAACTCAGCCAGCAGCTGCATCCAATGAGAGCAAAGGCAGTGGCACAACTATCTAGGGAACCAAAAAGAAAGCCCTGCCTGCCCAGGGTTATTACCAACTGGCCCAACTAGAATTGTAGGCTAAATAGAGAAGGCTATTCCTGCCAAGGAACATCTGAAAAAGCCTGAAGAGATGGTTGTTTCCTCAAATATGCAGACACCAACACAAGGAAACAGGAGTATAAAAACTGAAGAAATCACGACACCTCCAAAAGAATATAGCAAAAGTCCAGTGACTGACCCTGAAGTAATGAAACTCTCCAAAATAACAAAGAATTCAGAATAATCCTCCTGAAGTTTAGTGAACTACAAAAACATATGGAAAAAAAATTAAGTGCGCTTTGGAATACAATACATGCACAAATGAGAAATTCAACAAAGAAATAGAAACAATTAAAAAAACACAAATAGAAATTCTAGAGATGAAGATTGAAATGATTGAACTAAAAACATGCAAGAGAAAGCTTCATTGACAAGCTCAATCGAGCAGAAGTATCAGCTGGAAGACAGAACATATGAAATTATCCAGTCAGAAGAATCAAAAGGAAAAAAAATAAAAAGAACAAAGAAAGCTTTTGATAATATGGGACACTATTAGGAGACTTAATTTTTGTATAAGAATTTCAGAAGGAAAAGGCAAATTTAAATAAATAATGGTTGAAAACTTCCCAAATCTGGGAAAAGATGCCAATATCCAGATATAGGAAGGCCAGAGTTCTCCAATCAAATTTAACCTTTTTTGGAATTAGCCACAGCACAAAGTAATCAAACTATAAAAAAATTAGGACAAAGAAAAAGTTCTGAAAGCAGCAAAAGATAAGACAAATAACATACAAGAGAGACTAAAAGAAGACTGGTATTCTCAGATGGAGCTTAAGGGGCAGAGGTTTGAGATAAGGACGGCCTAGTAGGTAGCTAGGAAGATCATGCATCGTCTTGCTAGCTATGCTGAGAGAGTTTTATTCTCAGAGCTTTGTAGAAATTTTGAAGAAATTTAGGTAGAAAAGTGATGTGATCACATTTTTCTTAGTAAAACAACATTTAGTCAGTTCTCCAGAGTTGTATGTTCCTTATCTGTGGAATAAAAAATATTTAAAAATTAGAAAAACATAACAACATACCAATAAAATAATACAAACATAAACACAATGCAGTGTAACAACTATTTATGTATCATTTACATTGCATTAGGTACTATAAGTGACCTAGAGATAGTTTCAAGTATACAGTAGGAATGATCTAGAAATAATTTAACGTATGTAGGAGTTACACATCCTCCTGTATACTTTAATGCTATGTAAATCTGTCATTGGTTGAATTCACAAATGTAGAACCTACAACTCTGGAGAACTGACTATATGTTGTCTTACTAAGAAAAATGTGATCATATAACTTTTCCATCTAAATTTCTTCAAAATATCTACAAATCTCTGAGAATAAAACTCTCTAAGCTCAGCATACCTTATAGAAAATGATTTTGCATTTGCATAGTTTATATTTGCATATATATATATTTGCATATATAAACTATGCAAATATGACATCATTTTCTATAAGGCACTTAAGCATTCATGCATTTTTTGGTATCTGTGGGGGTCTTGGAACCAGTCTTTAACAGATACTTAGAGATGATTGTATCCTCAATTAGATGGTTTAATACTGTTTTCCTTCTGCCTAATTTCATGTATATATCTAAATTTCATATAATCTTGCATATATAATATAACTTTGTAAAATCATATACAAAAGTAGAAGACCAACGGAAATATAAGGTTTGCTTATTACTTCAACTGGGGGTTTTCCAGCACATTAGCTGGAATTTCTAGTAGCCAATAGATTATTCACTTAAGGCCATTCATCTCCCTGGCGTAAAGTCATTTCAAGAATTTGCATACTCAAACATTCTTTTCTCTATAAAGCTATAAATTGAGCAAAATCATCGTTGTCTTCCTGGTCCCATTAAGCATTTGTTCCAATTTTGATTTCAAAATATGAGAAAGGGTGATTTATGGATCATTCCTTAAAACAACTTTTCACATTTGTTTTAATCCTATGTTACATAAAGGTAGCTTTCTTAATTCAGCTGAACATTCCTCATAAATAGAAACTATGTTTTTTGTATCTTTTTTATTCTTCAAACACTAACATTTAGAATAATCTGTTTTATAGTGGGTGCTAAAAATGTTATCCGTCTACCAAAATGTCTTGTATTTAATAGATACACTTCAATCCTCAAGTTGTTTGTATAGTACTTTGGGGAAAAAGTGTCCCTGACTCATTTGCTTCACATAACACAGTTTTCATAATTTCTGCTTTAGCTTTCTAGTCAGAGACATAAATGCACTATAAACTACTTAATGACTGACAAACCTTCCAATGGAGCCGAACCCACTTTGTTTTCTGTCTCATACTTCTTCAGCAAGTATACGACTGTTTGAGGCACATAACAAAACTTAACATTCATGACAGATTATCTCATACATCATTAGAACTGTCACATTGTTGTAGTGTTGAAGTAATAGATCTTTGGTGCAAAGGCACCGTCATGATATATGACTCAAAAGGTGGGCTCTTCTGAACAGTCCATTCAGGTTAATAAGAATCTTGCCAATTGCTTGCAAACATAAATTTTCCAAGTGACATCTTATGCCAGATCCAATGCCACCTCCATACAATAAAAAAAATGCACAAACTACTTGTTTTATAAAGGTTGTGAAAACATGCTATGAAATACTACATACAAATATATCGCCATGAAAAATTGTACAATTTTAGAGATTAATTTAACAAATCTATACATTTAAAAATGTTAAAATTAGCAAGACAATGAATATTTTAGAGTTCATAAACTATCTTATGTTTATGCTTTTCAGTCTTCTATAATTACTTATAAATATATACAATACCCCAGTGTACTAAGAAATTTAATAAATTATCTTTTCAAATATAATGTTGTGAAAAGCATACTATAATTTTTTTCAATATATACTCTTTTCTTTCCTTCGAATATCCAATCCATTGTATTTGGTTCATTATTTGATATTATTTTAAAAAAAGTATTGATTCTGCAAGGCTTTTTATTGAATTAAGACCTGTTACCCATTGTTTATTTTACCAGACATGTTACACTAACCAAATTGAAATTGTTCATGTATACATGACTGAGTCATATTTCTACTCGTTTAAATACACTTATTAAAGGAATATACTCAGCCTTTTTTTTCTAGTGTGTGTTATGACTTTATTATGAAGTGGATGTTACTGAAAATAAAGTACCTTTTTCCCTGTCAACTCCTTATATTATTTTCATCTTACATGGAACTTTAATTAGCTCCAAGCCACTTTTTTCACCTTCATTTAATTCCTTTTTTTTCTGCTTTTCTTTTTTTTTTCTTTTATTATTATACTTTAAGTTCTAGGGTACATGTGCACATTCTGCAGGTTAGTTACATATGTATACATGTGCCATGCTGGTGTGCTGCACTCACTAACTCGTCATCTAGCATTAGGTATATCTCCCAATGCTATCCCTCCCCCCTCCCCCCACCCCACAACAGTCCTCAGAGTGTGATGTTCCCCTTCCTGTGTCCATGTGATCTCATTGTTCAATTCCCGCCTATGAGTGAGAATATGCAGTGTTTGGTCTTTTGTTCTTGCGATAGTTTACTGAGAATGATGATTTCCAATTTCATCCATGTCCCTACAAAGGACATGAACTCATCACTTTTTATGGCTGCATAGTATTCCATGGTGTATATGTGCCACATTTTCTTAATCCAGTCTATCATTGTTGGACATTTGGGTTGGTTCCAAGTCTTTGCTATTGTGAATAATGCCGCAATAAACATACGTGTGCATGTGTCTTTATAGCAGCATGATTTATAGTCCTTTGGGTGTATACTCAGTAATGGGATGGCTGGGTCAAATGGTATTTCTAGTTCTACATCCCTGAGGAATCGCCACACTGACTTCCACAATGGTTGAACTAGTTTACAGTCCCACCAACAGTGTAAAAGTGTTCCTGTTTCTCCACATCCTCTCCAGCACCTGTTGTTTCCTGACTTTTTAATGATTGCCATTCCAACTGGCGTGAGATGGTATCTCATTGTGGTTTTGATTTGCATTTCTCTGATGGCCAGTGATGATAAGCATTTTTTCATGTGTTTTTTGGCTGCATAAATGTCTTCTTTTGAGAAGTGTCTGTTCATGTCCTTCGCCCACTTTTTGATGGGGTTGTTTGTTTTTTCTTGTAAATTTGTTTGAGTTCATTGTAGATTCTGGATATTAGCCCTTTGTCAGATGAGTAGGTTGCGAAAATTTTCTCCCATTTTGTAGGTTGCCTGTTCACTCTGATGGTAGTTTCTTTTGCTGTGCAGAAGCTCTTTAGTTTAATTAGATCCTATTTGTCAATTTTGGCTTTTGTTGCCATTGCTTTTGGTGTTTTAGACATGAAGTCCTTGCCCATGCCTATGTCCTGAATGGTAATGCCTAGGTTTTCTTCTAGGGTTCTTATGATTTTAGGTCTAAAGTTTAAGTCTTTAATCCATCTTGAATTGATTTTGTATAAGGTGTAAGGAAGGGATCCAGTTTCAGTTTTCTACATAAGGCTAGCAAGTTTTCCCAGCACCATTTATTAAATAGGGAATCCTTTCCCCATTGCTTGTTTTTCTCAGGTTTGTCAAAGACCAGATAGTTGTAGATATGTGGCATTATTTCTGAGGGCTCTGTTCTGTTCCATTGATCTATATCTCTGTTTTGGTACCAGTACCATGCTGTTTTGGTTACTGTAGCCTTGTAGTATAGTTTGAAGTCAGGTAGAGTGATGTCTCCAGCTTTGTTCTTTGGCTTAGGATTGACTTGGCGATGTGGGCTCTTTTTTGGTGCCATATGAACTTTAAAGTAGTTTTTTCCAATTCTGTGAAGAAAGTCATTGGTAGCTTGATGGGGATGGCATTGAATCTGTAAATTACCTTGGGCAGTATGGCCATTTTCATGATATTGATTCTTGCTACCCATGAGCATGGAATGTTCTTCCATTTGTTTGTATCCTCTTTTATTTCCTTGAGCAGTGGTTTGTAGTTCTCCTTGAAGAGGTCCTTCACATCCCTTGTAAGTTGGATTTCTAGGTATTTTATTCTCTTTGAAGCAATTGTGAATGGGAGTTCACTCATGATTTAGCTCTCTGTTTGTCTGTTGTTGGTTTATAAGAATGCTTGTGATTTTTGTACATTGATTTTGTATCCTGAGACTTTGCAAAATCATGCCAAATTGTAAAGACCACCAAGGCTAGGAAGAAACTGCATTAACTAATGAGCAAAATAACCAGCTAACATCATAATGACAGGATCAAATTCACACATAACAATATTAACCTTAAATGTAAATGGGCTAAATACCCCAATTAAAAGACACAGACTGGCAAATTGGATAAAGAGTCAAGACCCATCAGTGTGCTGTATTCAGGAAACCCATCCCACGTGCAGAGACACACATAGGCTCAAAATAAAAGGATGGAGGAAGATCTACCAAGCAAATGTAAAACAAAAAAGGCAGGGGTTGTAATCCTAGTCTCTGATAAAACAGACTTTAAACCAACAGGGATCAAAAGAGACAAAGAAGGCCATTACATAATGGTAAAGGGATCAATTCAACAAGAAGAGCTAACTATCCTAAATATATATGCACCCAATACAGAAGCACCCAGATTCATAAAGCAAGTCCTGAGTGACCTACAAAGAGACTTAGACTCCCACACATTAATAATGGGAGACTTTAACACCCCACTGTCAACATTAGACAGATCAACGAGACAGAAAGTCAACAAGGATACCCAGGAATTGAACTCAGCTCTGCACCAAGCGGACCTAATAGACATCTACAGAACTCTCCACCCCAAATCAACAGAATATACATTTTTTTCAGCACCACACCACACCTATTCCAAAATTGACCACATACTGGGAAGTAAAGCTCTCCTCGGCAAAAGTAAAAGAACAGAAATTATAACAAACTATCTCTCAGACCACAGTGCAATCAAACTAGAACTCAGGATTAAGAATCTCACTCAAAGCCGCTCAACTACATGGAAACTGAACAACCTGCTCCTGAATGACTACTGGGTACGTAATGAAATGAAGGCAGAAATAAAGATGTTCTTTGAAACCAACGAGAACAAAGACACAACATACCAGAATCTCTGGGACACATTCAGAGCAGTGTGTAGAGGGAAATTTATAGCACTAAATGTCCACAAGAGAAAGCAGGAAAGATCCAAAATTGACACCCTAACATCACAATTAAAAGAACTAGAAAAGCAAGAGCAAACACATTCAAAAGCTAGCAGAAGCCAAGAAATAACTAAAATCAGAGCAGAACTGAAGGAAATAGAGACACAAAAAACCCTTCAAAAAATTAATGAATCCAGGAGCTGGTTTTTTTGAAAGGATCAACAAAATAGATAGACCGCTAGCAAGACTAATAAAGAAAAAAAGAGAGAAAAATCAAATAGACGCAATAAAAAATGATAAAGGGGATATCACCACCGATCCCACAGAAATACAAACTACCATCAGAGAATACTACAAATACCTCTACGCAAATAAACTAGAAAATCTAGAAGAAATGAATAAATTCCTCGACACATACAATCTCCCAAGACTAAACCGGGAAGAAGTTAAATCTCTGAATAGACCAATAACAGGATCTGAAATTGTGACAATGATCAATAGCTTACCAAGCAAAAAGAGTCCAGGATCAGATGGATTCACAGCCGAATTCTACCAGAGGTACAAGGAGGAACTGGTACCATTCCTTCTGAAACTATTCCAATCAATAGAAAAAGAGGGAATCCTCCCTAACTCATTTTATGAGGCCAGCATCATTCTGATACCAAAGCCGGGCAGAGACACAACAAAAAAAGAGAATTTTAGACCAATATCCTTGATGAACATTGATGCAAAAATCCTCAATAAAATACTGGCAAAACGAATCCAGCAGCACATCAAAAAGCTTATCCACCACGACCAAGTGGGCTTCATCCCTGGGATGCAAGGCTGGTTCAATATACGCAAATCAATAAATGTAATCCAACATATAAACAGAGCCAAAGACAAAAACCACATGATTATCTCAATAGATGCAGAAAAGTCCTTTGACAAAATTCAACAACCCTTCATACTAAAAACTCTCAATAATTTATGTATTGATGGGACGTATTTCAAAATAATAAGAGCTATCTATGACAAACCCACAGCCAATATCATACTGAATGGGCAAAAACTGGAAGCATTCCCTTTGAAAACTGGCACAAGACAGGGATGCCCTCTCTTACCACTTCTATTCAACATAGTGTTGGAAGTTCTGGCCAGGGCAATTAGGCAGGAGAAGGAAATAAAAGGTATTCAATTAGGAAAAGAGGAAGTCAAATTGTCCCTGTTTGCAGACGACATGATTGTGTATCTAGAAAACCCCATTGTCTCAGCCCAAAATCTCCTTAAGCTGATAAGCAACTTCAGCAAAGTCTCAGGATACAAAATCAATGTACAAAAATCATTTAATTCCTACTGACAAATTAAGGTCAATCCAAACACTAACAGTGTTGGTTTTATACAACACCTGATTTGTTGTGTTCTATCTCCTTAAATATGTCAGTCTTATTTTGAATATTATTATTAATATTCAGGTATTAGTATGGTCAAGAGTATGCCAAACACAAATTTAAAAATATTTCATTCTTTCACAAAGGATAAGAATCCCTGGTGATGAAAAAATAATTATTCTACCACATTTTCCTCTGTCTCCCTCCCTGCTCAACTGGCAGGCTCTTGCTCTCCCAACTATATCTCTACTTCTTACTGCCCCTCACAAGAGTGAATCAGAAACTAAGCAGGCTTCTCAATACACAGACAACAGTTCTTCAACCAATAGCATTTCCAAAAATATATTAATGAAAAGGAAAGATGGAAAAGGCCTCAAATATTATAAATATCTATATCTATATCCACATATACCTAATTATTTATCTATTAGAACTATCACCAAATTATTTAAGGCCCTATCTAATTTATTTTATTCCTTAACACCTAACATATATTAAGCTACTTGGACAAATTATGACTTTCAACAAGCCTGTGGTTTCATATAATGGTTTAAAAGTGTGATGATAATACCCATGGTAAACAGCTTTTTATGTTTTGAACATTTTGAAGTGTCTGTACTTAAAAAAATATAGTAAATGATTATAAAATTAAACAAATATTTTACTCTTAAACATTAATAACTTTATAGAGACAAAATACTTTATTTTTCTCTGAGACCAATGGTTTCTTTATTTGTATTTTCAAAAATTGCACTGTATCATTTGGACAAAATCACATATTTTATGTGTTAATATAATCTCAGGCCAGAGAAATATTGTATTTTATTTATTTCTACATATGCATAGTTCCTATCATTACAAACAGACCTTGAGTCCACTTGCTCTAATGCATATAACACCATTAAGTAATACAAAAAATTAGAAATGTAAAAGCAGTGATAAGAATAACAGTTCAATATCAAAACGAGACAGATTTTAGACCCTAAAAACCAAAACATTTTACACAAGTACAAACTTTATTTACAATTTGACTCAATCTTCTTATCATGTAAATCTAATAAATACAAATTGTGAAACTCCCAGATTCTACAATATAAAGCTTGTTACTTTGTCATCATAGGTAGATGTTTTGGTAGTACAAGAGAAAGTCTACTTATGGGTCCTCATAAAGAGATCAGATATTCACCAATATATTTCTTACTAACATTTATCTAAAAAATTCCTCTCTTAAATTTGCTTTTTATAAAATTTCTCAATAAAAACCTAGGGATAAACAATCTGGAAAATGGATTTTTGTCTATTTACTACTTTCCACACTTCTATGACCAAATACCCCTTTGCTTTCTATATTTTTTTATTGTTTATAGTGTTCTACTGTGTCATTTTTATACTTAAATTTTTACAATGGGCTTATAGTTTTTCTAGTGCTAATTTTGTATGTTTGAGAGACATTGTTCAGTTGCTTTCTTTCAAAAGTATAATCAAAATTTTCAGCAGCATTTATGCAATAAAATATATTTTCTGTAAATTATAGTTTAATATAACCATATCTTAAGACACATATACGCATGTTTTATTGGTAGTTTCTAACCCTTTTATAATGATTTTTCTCTTTGAGTGCTAATCTTATATAATATTTTGAGCAGTATTTTATCCTCCCCAATTATTAGTTTTAAAATTATATTGGGAAACTTGTAATCATTGTTCTACCATATTAACCTATTGTTCAGTTTCACCCTCAAAAAAGCCCAGTTGGAATTCTCATTAAAATTTTGTTCCACACCAAATGTCCTGACATGCGTGTACACTGTATGTCTAAGTCAATGTATGGATATCGCTACATAATAAAAGTATTATGATTGCCCTTTTGTACAGTTTTATGTTGTTATTTTTCAATTTATTGCAATTTATTGTCAGTATTTCCTTTTAAATAATAAGAAAAAATTTTGTTTTAACATTTTTCTTCTGGTAAAGATTTTATTCTTTTCATAAGTGGATAATGAAAGTTCTTACTTCTACATAATTTTAAATTTCTATTTTAACTTTTTTACTGCATATATGTACATATTCACTTATTTTATGATTCTATGATTTTTTAGAAGTCTAAGTAAAAATTAAATACTGAACAAGATTATTCGTGTGGAGACAGCAATGTAATAAAATTTGTTTGCATGCATCAGAGAAAAAGAATGAAATATAGTGTTGACAACTGCTTATTAAAGTAAGGGAGCTTAATAAAGACTAACCTGAATTGATTTCCATACCAATTCTGCACAGTGGTGAGCTGAGAATGTACATAATAAAGACCTAAATTATCCTCAGGTAACCCCTGGGTTTCTGCTGCTCTCTTCCCTGAAACCAAAAATGGAGGAGGAAGAGAATGAAGAAGAGAAAAATAAGAGGAGGAGGATTAATCATATAAATATCAAGCTCACATTTTTTAGAATATGAATTCCCTGAATAGTTTAGCTCAGAGTCAAAATAATTCACATCAGCCATAAAATACATAACGAAATATAGAAACAGAATGAATCATAAATATGCACCCATGACACCATTAATTTTGACAAGTGGTTCTTCCAAGGAAACTAATTAGAATAAATTAGCTCTAAAATGAACCTGTTACTAACTACATGCTTTGAACCACTATGCAGAATTTTTAGAATAAGTCAATTTAATTTGGGACTACTCATGCCAAAAACAAATTTTAGTTCTAGAATAATTGATCTAATTATTAATCTCTACAAGCATTTACATATCATAAAATATCTACTTTAATAATTTCTGTCTAAAACCATAAATCAGTTAGTGACCAACAATTGTAATTTTATTCAGGGGAATGAGAGGCATACATCCAAATCATGGAAATGCAATTTTAAATCAAAGAGAAGATGTTATGATGAAACAAGCCAAATCACATCCTATTTTACACTAAACAAAAATTTTACTTAATCAGTATACTGTGCATTTAAAAAAAAATTATAAGCTCTACATGAGTTTTTTTCTCTTTTGAAGATTTTAATTATTTTAATGTAACCCATATCCATTTAATAATGATTGAATAGCCTAAATGTATGAATAATATTTTGTTATATATCTTTAATGAAAACAGATGTTAAGTGGCTATTCTTCGGAGTTTTACATATTGTGGGTCTTGAGTTCAAAGGCAATTTCTGAAGAATATTTTCAGTATTTCTACATTTAAAATGTCAACTTTCTTAGTGTCATATCTTACACATGATACCCTATCCCCTGACTGTGCTGCCAAATTACAGAATAATATATGGGAGTAACTGAAAAATCTTGAGGCTAAATTTATTAAATGTGATCTTTAAGCCACACAACAAGATACACAGTGAAAATTACGTGAAGTTTTGAAATTGCACACAAATATTACAGTTTGGGTAAATTTGTCAATTTCAAATATACACATGTGTATATATATATATAAATTATATTTTATTCAGTATAATTAATTATAATTTAGTGTGTTTATTTTTTTCTTTTTGAGATGAAGTCTTGCTCTGTCTCCCAGGCTTGAGTGCAGTGATGCAATCTCAGTTCACTGCAACCTCCACCTCCAACATTCAAGCGATTCTTGTGCCTCAGACTCCCGAGTAGCTGGGACTGCAAGTGCATGCCACCACGTCTGGTTAATTTTTGTATTTTTAGTAGAGACAGGGTTTCACCATGTTTGCCAGACTGGTCTTGAACTCGTGACCTCAAGTGATCTGCCGCCTCAGCCTCCCAAAGTGCTGGGATTACAGACATGAGCCACCGCTCCCAGACTAAAATTTAGTTTTGTTGATAAAACTACTTGATACTGAAATGTCGAACAGTTAAAGGATGTGTGCCAATGAAATCAAGATGACTTTTAATTTTCCTGATAAGTATATATTTACTTAATACATGCTATGTGTCTCTAAATTATTTCCATATTTCAATTAATTTAATTCTTATCACAAACCTGCAAAGTAGCTATAATATTAAGCTAACTTTATAGATTGTGAAACTGAGCCACAGAGTTTAGTAACTCGTCCAAGGTCAAACAAGTAGTTCACTGAAAAAGAAATAAATTCAGGCATGTGGTTATGGAGACCATACATGGAGGCCTATGGTGACATTATTGTCATCATTACTGATTTAGAGTACAAATTTTAGATTCTATGTTTACATGCACCTATGAAAGACAACTGTCATCACAGAATGAAATAAATTGCATGCATAACTAAATGATAATCACTCTCAATACAAAAGAAATGATTGGAGTTCACAAGCTAATATCCTATTTGGAAACTTTCACGGTAAAAGAAAGTTAAATATCATGATGAGTAGAAAAGTCTACTATATAAAGTATGACCCCCTTATTAGACACACACAGTTTCCACACTGATCAGCAAAGTGACAATATGCATCTTTGCAGTAGAAAAATTAATAAACTAAGATGTGACGCACTAGTGTTTAATCATGTATAATTTTAATATTTAAGGTCTTAATAGACTTTGCTAAATATTTTCATTCATTCTCTCAACAAATATAAATGCCGTATTTATAATGTGTCAGATGCCATTCTAAGCACCAAAGTTATGATGATAAAGCACACAAAGTTTTTCCTCTAATAATGGTTACATTATTTTGATGGGTGCAGAATAAACAAGTTAACATATAATCACAACATGGACTATGTGATTAAATAGTGTTAAATCTTTTAAATAAAATGAAACAAGATGACTGGAGAGAACAAGTTTAACTTTGGTTGGGTGGCTAGAGGTTTTACTGAGAAGCTGATGTTTGATCAGATAAAGGAATTTTAAGAGGGATCCTGCCATGTTGAGTTTTAGGGCCGAGTGTTCCAGATAGAGATTCACAAAAGCAAAGACTGTGAGTCAGAAATAAGTGTGGAGTGTTTTACATTCTGACAGAATACCACAATAGATGGAACAAAGTGAGAACGGCATAGAGAGACAGGTAATGAGGTCAGAGTGGGTGACAGGCCCCAGATAATGAATGGGCTTGTAGGTCTAGATGAGATCATTGAATTTATTTATTTTCTAATTGTGATGTGAGGTTATCGGATAGTTTGAGTAAAGAAGTAAATAATCTACATTTTAAAATAATCACCTTTTTTTCTTTGTAGAAAACAGACTCTTAGGGAAATAGGAATAGAATTAAGAAAAATAGTTAGTAGGCTATCTCAGTAGTAGAGACAATGGTTTAAATAAGATGATGTATTCATGTCCCATGGCTGCCCCAGGAAATTACACAAACTTAGTGGCATAAAGAGTGGAAGTTTATTTTCACATAGTTCTTCTTTATTTTTCACATAGTTCTTGAGGTCAGAATTCTGAAATAAGCATCACTGAGCTAAAAATCAAGGTGTCAGCAGAACCATATTTCTTCTGAAGGCCCTGGGGAAGAATCTGTCACCAAGCCTTTCCAGCTTCTAGAGACCACCCTACATTTCTTGGTTCATTGTTCTTTTACTTCATCTTCAAAGCTCACAATGTCAGGTGGAGTGTTTCTCACATTGCCATGTTTCTGGTTCTTCCTCTCCTACCTCCCTCTTTCACTTATAAGAAGCTTTGTGATTATACTAGATAATAACCCAGGATAATCTTTTCCTCTCAATGTCTCCTCACTAGCAATCTTAATTCTGTCCACAACCTTAACTCCTCTTTGCCATTTTTAAACCAAGTGTGGGAGGCCATTGTTGACAACTGAGCTCCTGCACTGTGCCTTAGCAGACCAGACCAAACCAAAATGGAGCCCCTCATACTAAATACAACATAATCAAAATAAAACTAGGAAAGTAGGTTCATCCAGAAACATAAGTTTTTCCTGAAAACTGGAGATTCCAGTCTACATAAGTCAGTATAGAAAGAAAGTTCCCTCTGCTTAACCCCTATAAAAAAGTAACCCAAAACAACCTGATGTAAACCAGTTATTTCTATATTGTTTTGTTTCTTTGTTCCTATCTTATAACATCCATCACTGTGCTATTTCTCAGTGGGAACTTTCATACTACTTTGTAGAATGGAAGCTGCCTCAATTATAAATCCAAATAAAAGCCAGACAGATGTATCACTAAATTTGCATTAATTTTGTCTTTTGACATCATATAACCTAATACATTTATAGGTTACAGGAATTAGGATATGAACATTTTGGGTGGTCCCTTGTTATGCCTACCACAGGTGGTAAAAAAAAAAAAATCAAGTAAAAGGTGAGAGGTCATCAGATTTGGAAAATAATTTGACAGTAGAATGAACAAGATTTATAGATTTATTAGCTATAGACCAGCAAGCAAAAAACAAGAGGATTACCAAGTTTGTTGTGAATGGTTGAACTATTTACTGAGAATAGCCAGTTTAATATAAAAGACTATTTCAGTGGACTGGGCAAAGCTAGAGATACAAATTTTGGATAATTCTGGCTTAAATTTTTATTTTTTCTTAAGTACGTTCCCTTTAGCCTTCTATTTTGCATTCCATAACACTAGTAAATAAATTCTCCTTTACTCTTTCTCATTTACTTGAATTTCTAAGTTGTTTTCTTATGTGTTCTTATGTAAATTTTAATTATTTTGTACTAAACAAAAGAGTAATTTCATTTGGAAGAGATAATGTCACCCATCACTCATGTTTTGACAACGTAATGAGAAATCTTTTACTTGGTTTGCTGTCTCAGTCTTATAAGACAGAGCACTCAGCACAATCCTGCCAGAAGGGCTGCAGTTAAACCAAAGAACAGATAATTACTCCTTATACTTTTAAAGAAAAAAATTAATTCACTCCATAATAAATAAGTTTAATCCTAGTCTAAGAAATCTGTAAATCTTCTAGAACTAAAAGCATCTGTAGAAAGAAGTCACTGCTCTGAGATTTTTTTTCAAATAATTCACCCAGTGTGTTAAAGCCTAATATTATTATCATTAACTGTAGGTAAGAATGTACGTGTGTTTAAATTCTATTTTTAACTTTTTTGCTGAAGTACATGTGATGCATTGGAAGGACTCTCCAAAATATAGAAGGAGATAAAAAGTTAAATATGGGTATAAATAATTAGTTTTAGTTGTCTAGCATTGCATTCACCAACAAACTTGACATAATGCATCAAATAGCAATAGGAATAGATGTTATAGTTTCCATAAAGGATACTGCCACCAATCATGGAAGCTTACAAGGATTGAAAGACCATGAATATGGGTCTCTCAAAGATGGTGGTCAATAGTAACAGTAGGTTCAGGGAGGGGTACAAGCAGTAACTATCTTTGTACATTTGTCTTTGTTACGAATGTCTTTGTAGCTTAAGAAAATACTCTTAAAACTGACTCGTAAGTTAACCAAAGCCATCAATATGGAGGATTGTTATGCTTATCAGTATGAAAATTTAACCACCAACATTACCATAGATGTTGACTATGTCTATACATCTAAAATCATTTGATGACTTTTATTAATCAAAGGCAGTTTTGTGCACATGCACGCGCTTTCCTGAAGGCCATAACATTTTGTTTACATAGGCTTAGCCATAAATTATTTATTCTTATAAGTTCAACTGTTTTCAAAGTGGGTACTATCAATTTTTTTTTCTCATTGTATGCTTTCATTTTATAAGTAAATTCAATTTGCAAAAAATTAATAGTAACTCCATTTTGGACAGTTTTTGTCAGGAAATTAAACTTTAAATACATGATCTCAGTAATGGAATCTATTTACTTGATTTACTTAGATAAAGGGAAGTATGAAAATTTTTAACAGATGTTGCACTTATTATTTAACATATGAACAAATAACAGAAATTTTGTATGTATTATTGACATACTTTAATCACATATATACACAGAAGTAGTTTTACTAACATTGCCATTGCTTACTACTCTGCTATAATTTATCCAGTACTCAGATTCTCAGTGACTTAACTGATAATCATTTCTTTGACTCCTACACAGAGTTGCACTGGTCTGGTGCCTCTTCAGGGCAGCTAACTTCCTTCGGTCAGTGACTCAGATATCCTCCTGCTTCTATATTGTGATTCTGCTCACTCACCACAAAGCTTTTTGTTGTTATTGTTGTTTTTGAGATGGAGTCTTGCTCTTGTCACCCAGGGTGGAGTGCAGTGGCAAGATCTCAGCTCACTGCAACCTCCATTTCCCGGGTTAAAGCAATTCTCCCACCTAAACCTAGCCAGTAGCTGGGATTACAGACAGCTGCTACCACTCCTGGCTAATTTTTGTATTTTTATTAGAGACTGGGGTTTCACCATGTTGGTCAGGCTGGTCTCGAACTCCTGACCTCCGCTAATCCATCTGCCTCAGCCTCCCAAAGTGCTGGCATTACAGGCCTGAGCCACTGCGCCCGGCCTCACCACAAAGCTTTTATGGTTTTGACAGCA